>NC_000015.10:48901874-49526874 GCF_000001405.40 Homo sapiens
TTGCTTTATCCTTATAATGGCTATCTACTTTAAGAACTGGGTCTAGGCCGGGTGCAGTGGCTCATGCCTGTAATCCCAGCACTTTGGGAGGCCGAGACAGGCAGATTGCCTGAGCTCAGGAGTTTGAGAGCAGACTGTGCAACATGGCAAAACCCTGTCTCTACAAAAAATACAAAAGTTAGCCAGGTGTGTTTGCTTGCACCTGTAGTCCCAGCTACTTGGGGAGGCTGAGGTGGGAGGATTGCTTGAGCCCGGGAGGTTAAGGCTGCAATTAACTGAGATTGTGCCACTGCACTCCAGCCTGGGCCAGGAAGTGAGACTGTGTCTCAAAAAAAAAAAAAAAAAGAACTGGGTCTAACCTAATTTGTACAACACCTATTACCCAGCAAAGTATTCTCTGTGTTATAACTGGAATGCTATAGTTAATATGTTATATAGTAGGTCAAATTATGTCTATCATGTGTATAGTAACGGATGGTATAAGTTTCTATAAAGGCAGAATACATGTCTGGCTTTCTTCAGATATTGCATGGTACCTAGTAGGCTGCCTTGGAAATACAATGTATTCAACATACAAATGTTAGGTAGTGCTATGTCATCAAAACAAAGTGTAACCCTTGTCTCCCTATATAAATCCAATCCCCCTTCAGGACAGAGGTACTCATTCCTCCAGTTGCTGGGATGCTCACTTCTCATGGATCACAGCTGAGTTCCTTACACAGAAATTGTGCTCTCTAGGGGAAGTTGCCCTGCCCATGTTATGACCCCTCCCCAGCAGCAGCAGGCATCCAACGACCTGACTGGTCAATATGGGGTTCCAAGGCCTGGTCCCCGTACCTCAATATGGGGTGACTCTGAAGTGCCATCCTAGCTCCAGAACTGCCCATGGAGTCTGCTGTGACTTCATTGCTTTTCAGCCTCTCCCTCTGCCAGGCCCTGCTTCCCTTACTCCCTTGACAGTTGATTTCAAGAGCCCTCCTAGTAAACCTTTTGCATTCAACTCTCCATCTCAGAACATGTTTCAATATCCAGCCTGAGACGTGCTAACAAGCTGCTGCCAGAGTTATGCCCCCTTAAACTTGCATACACTTAACTAGATGATGTCTTTCAAGAACCTATTTTGTCACAGACAACAGTGAAAAAAATCATTTTCAGAGAATTTCTCATAAGAGACACAGATGATCTGGATCAAAAACACCCATTTTTTAATTGTTCAAACATACACTACAGTACACATTTCCTAAAGTAAGTGCAGCTCTCAAAAACTGCAACTCAATCACATATAATTAAAGGGACCAGAGCTGTGCACTTACTCTACAAGGCATTTCTCAGCTTCCCTACTGAGAACACCAGCAGGAAATGGAATAAATCTGCCTGGCAGGTAGAGAGATGCACCAACTGTCCTGCATTTACTTTGGCCACAAAGCTCTCCTTTTACCAATGAAAAGACTATCTCTGGATGAGATTAGTTTTTGATGAGTTTTGGGTGCCTCCCGTCTAGCTCACTCTTCCCAAAAGGAATTATATCATTTTTTTTCTAGCTATTTAGGATGTAGCATAGTTAAAACTCACTGTTCTCACATTCCCTGATATTCCCATTTTCCTTTCTTAAAAGCAAAAACAAAACAATTAAAACTTGCAGATGCTTTGGGGGACTTTCTGGGGAACCACCTGCTCAAAAATAAGGAGCCTCCATGTAATCTGTGGTCCAAATTACGTGGAGACCTCATTTTAAAATCACTGGATAGGCTTCCCTTGCACATGCAGGCCTCAAAGTGCAGTCCTCGGACCAGCAGCATTAGCATCGCCTGGAACTCATTAGATATGCAAATTATTGAATCAAAAAACTCTGGGGCTGGGGTCCAATATTACGTGTTTGTTTGTTTGTTTGTTTCAGAGACAAGGGCTCACTATGTTGCCCAGGCTGGAGTGGAGTGGCTATTCACAAGTATGTGATTATCACACGCTACAGCCTCAAACTCCTGAGCTCAAGTGATCCTCCCATCTAAGCCTCCCAAGTAGTGGGGACTACAGGTGCATGCCACCACCCCCAGCTAACATTCTCTGTTTTAAGAAGCCTTTGCATACTAAAGTTTGAGAACTACTATCTCACACATTTTTTTTCTCCTTAGAAATCACAAAAGGACATTAAAGTATCTTTTCCTACAGATTTATGAGTATCTTTATGAAGACCTTCCAGAGAGAATTCACAAAAAAGGAATCTGGCATCTTAAACCCAGGATTAAACATTTCCTTATTCTGACCCTTCTGGCTTTCAGCACTTCCCCAAGATTTGTTCCTTAAAATTATTCCACTTTGGTTGACCCATAATGCACAAGAGGCAGGGCAGATCTGATTTCCAGTTCTACCACCTATTGACTTGCTAGATGACCTTGGTAAATTTTTTAATTTCTCTAAGTCTCAATATTCTTATGGACAAAACAGGGTTAATAGTAATATCTATTTTATAAATGTTAAATTTTGTGATGACAAAGTTGATAAGTCGCTATAAATTAATAATAAACTGCTATTTCAACAGCCTGCTAATAGATGAAACCATGTTTGATCTCTTCAACTAGAAAGAGGTTAAAGCTCATCCAGTTCCACATGATTGAGAAATCCTTCCCTTCATCTGAATCAACTTGTGGACCCCAAGGCTGTCTGAACCAAATGAGTATCTTCATGAAATTTATTTTTATTCCTTTGTTCAAAAATATACCTGGCTGGGCACAGTGGCTCACACCTGTAATCCCAGCACTTTGGGAGGCTAAGGTGGGAGGACTGCTTGAGGCCTAGAGTTTGAGACCAGCCTGGGCAATATAGCAAGACCTCATCTCCACACACACACACAAAAAAATGTAATTAGCCAAATGTGGTGCTGTATGACTGTGGTCCTAGCTCCTTGGGAGGCTGAGGCAGGAGGATCACTTGAGCCCAGGAGTTTGAGACTGCAAGGAGCTTTGATCATGCCACTGCACTCCAGCCTGGGTTACAGCATCTGGGTTACAGTATGAGATCCTGTCTCTAAACACGACACACACGCACACACACACACACACAGACACAACACACACACACACACACACACACACACACACGGATGGCACCCATAAGCCAAACACTCTCCTGTTGAGCCAGGGACCTGACCTAATTGTCCAAGAGCTTCTTGTTTTGGAATTTGGCCAGGTTTAGCACGTCAAATCCTATGTTTTAGATTCTCTAGGTCTTTTCTGCTTTTCTCTAACCAGCAGTGACCATGGAAAGTTCAAGACCTCCAGGATCATCTCAAGATCTGTGATCCAGGCCTGAGAAGCCTAGAAACCTCTCCGTTATTCGATAAATTATTATCAACCCAACTATGTTCTAGAAACTGTGGCTCTGAATCCTTCCAGCTCCAGGGACTGGGCTTCTGAGGAAAACCTTCAAGCCCAAAAATGATGGATGATGGAGCCCTTGTGGTTGCTCCACTGAAAAAAGACCTTAGGGAAACCAATCCCTTCCAGGCCAGACATCCCCCAGGGCACACTCTGAGCTTTCTCAGGAGGCTGCCATTCAACTGCAGCTTCTGTGCTTCCCAGAACAATGGTTCAAAAGGCCTATTCTTACTTGCATTGTAAAATGATTAAGACTAGAGGCTGGCCACTGTATCTATCAAAATCAAAATTAGAAATCCAGGCTTAAGGAAAGCAAAAAGGGGCCACCAAAGAGAGATACTAGAATGTATTTTCATCTGACTCTGCATGATGAAGAAGGCCTGGGAAGAAATCACTGGAGAAAGCTATTTCATTCAGCAATCAGAGCTAAAAATACACATGCATAGGCTTTCACATTCATGTGTTTTAATCTCTGAATTAATTTGTTTCTCTTCAAACACTTGAAGCCATCTATTACCATCTATATTTCAACATGGACAGATATATAACTATTCTTGCTTAGGCTAGTGAATGTGTATGTATTGCCTGATTGAGGAGCTGTGTTTGTGTAATAATATCTGCACATCTGTATGTTTCTATAGATTTATATGGATAAATTAGCAGGCCCTGCTTTTAGCCACAACATATTTTTAGAAACCACTTCATAATGTAGATCATATTTTCCATGGAAAAGATGCTATAATTGGGAGTTTCATTCCTGACCAAGGACTCCTCAGCAAATGAAATATAGAAACTGCCAACAGCTTGTCATGGAACGAAAACTATGACTATTTTATATACCTCTATAAATATCTAAAACTCTAAAACAATGCCCTAAGTCCTATAAAAGGGGCCCAAATATATACAGTACCTATACATGGAGTCTCAAAGTTTAGAAATGTTCAACAACCACATAAAAATACAGCTCAATTGAACTATGTTCTACAATTAACTCACTGCTATAATAACATCAAACATTTGATTAACAATTTTGCAAATATTAGATTTTAGTAGAGCATATTTAGGGATAATTTAAATAGTCCAAAGAAATTGATCTAATGTCTTCTTTTCCTTTTGAGGTGGAAATCTATTTTTTACTGTATCTACTACCTTCATTTTACAAGCTTCTTTTTCCACCTGATTTTTCTTGTCCTTGTCCTTCCCCCATTTCCCCCTACTCTTCCCTTCTCCTACTCCCCCATCTCATCCCCTTTTCCCTACCCACTCCCCTTCTCAATACAGGATTACCATGGAACTACCATATTGCCACAATACAGTGCTGTCCTGGTTAAAGATGTCTGGTCCAGGGTAAAGCCTCAATCGCCATATTTACTGGAAATTAGTATTTGGAACTAAGAGAACCAGAGATGGGGGTGTCCCTGCACTCCTGCTGCCAAGGCCTCAGAAGACCTGGCCCCTGTCCTTTATTAGTTTGATTGTTTACTGCTCCTCAGGTTCCATGAGCTGCCCCAATATCCTTTCAAGGAATTCCCTTTTTTGCTTAAGCTAGGCAATCATTTTCTGTTACTTAAAACCCAGAAGTAAATATGCCTAGGGCAAGCAGATGAACTGAAAATTATTCCCTCTATCTTAAGGCTCAAATCAAAGCAATTACTGCTCAGACTCAATGACCTACAAAATGTGCCCAACAAGTGGCAAAAGCATGTTACAAATTAATATGCACCACAGGATCTCACTTTAGTTTTTAAACATGCGATTAGAAAAACCATATATCAAACTGTTACTACGGGTTATCTCCAGTGATTTGCCTTTTTTAAAAGTTTATTTTACTTACCAATTTCTACAATAAGCCAGATTTACTTTTCATAATCAGAAAAGGAATGCAAAAAAAAATTAAGAATTAGATATGGCCCAGAGGATTGACCTTACCAATGATAACGGTCATGGTGATGTGTGATTTCTTTCTTTTTTTTTTTTCTTTTCCTTTTTTTTTCGAGACAGAGTTGTGCTCTGTCTCCCAGGCTAGAGTGCAGTGGCGCTAGCTCGGCTCACTGCAACCGCTGCCTCCTGGGTTCAAGCGATTCTCCCCTCAGCCTTCCCAGTAGCTGAGATTACAGGCATGCACCATCATGCCCAGCTAATTTTTGTATTTTTTTTGAAGTCTGTGTTTTTTTTTCCATAAGTTATTGGGGTACAGGTGGTATTTGGTTACACGAGTAAGGTCTTTAGTGGTGGTTTGTGAGATTTCAATGCACTCATCACCCGAGCAGTATACACTGCACCATACTTATAGTCTTCTATCTCTCATCCCCTCCCTCCCTTCCCCCCGATTCCCCAAAGTCCATTGCATCATTCTCATGCCTTTGTGTCCTCATAACTTAGCTCCCACTTATCAGTGAGAACATACGATGTCTGGTTTTCCATTCCTGAGTTACTTCACTTAGAATAATAGTCTCCAGTCTCATCCAGGTCACTGCAAATGCTGTTAATTCATTCCTTTTTATGACTGTGTAGTATTCCATCATATATATATATATACACGGTCATAAAAAGGAATGAATGAATATGTGTGTGTGTGTGTGTGTGTGTGTGTATATATATATATATGTATATGTATGTATATATACCACAGTTTCTTTATCCACTTGTTGATTGATGGGCATTTGGGTTGGTTCCATGATTTTGCAGTTGTGCTGCTATAAACCTGTATATGCAAGTATCTTTTTCGAATAATGACTTATTTTCCTCTGGGTAGATAGAAGGGAAAGTTGAGGCTCAGAGAGGTAAGTGGCCATTCTAAGACCACCAGTAGATACCCAGTAGTGGGATTGCTGGATCAAATGGTAGTTCTACTTTTAGTTCTTTAAGGAATCTCCACACTGTTTTCCATAGTGGCTGTACTAGTTTACATTCCCACCAGCAGTGTAGACGTGTTCCCTCTTCACCACATCCACGCCAACATCTGTTTTTTGATTTTTTGATTATGGCCATTCTTGCAGGAGTGAGGTGGTATTGCATTGTGGCTTTGATTTGCATTTCCCTGATCATTAGTGATGTTGAGCATTTTTTCATATGTTTGTTGGCCATTTGTATATCTTCTTTTGAGGAGTGTCTATTCATGTCCTTAGCCCACTTTTTGATGGGATTGTTTGTTTTCTTTCTTACTAATTTGTTTGAGTTCATTGTAGATTCTGGATATTAGTCCTTTGTCAGATGTATAGATTGTGAAGATTTTCTCCTACTCTGTGGGTTGTCTGTTTACTCTGCTGACTGTTCCTTTTGCCATGCGAAAGCTCTTTAGTTTAATTAGGTCCCAGCTATTTATCTTTGTTTTTATTGCGTTTGCTTTTGGGTTCTTGGTCATGAAATCCTTGCCTAAGCCAAAGTTTAGAAGAGTTTTTCCAATGTTATCTTCTAGAATTTTTATAGTTTCAGGTCTTAGGTTTAAATCCTTAATCCATCTTGAGTTGATTTTTGTATAAGGTGAGTGATGAGGATCCAGTTTCATTCTCCTACATGTGGCTAGCCAGTTATCCCAGCACCATTTGTTGAAAAGGGTGTCCTTTCCCCACTTTATGTTTTTGTTTGCTTTGTTGAAGATCAGTTGGCTGTAAGTATTTGGATTTATTTCTGGGTTTATTCTGTTCCGTTGGTGTATGTGCCTATTTTTATACCAGTACCACACTGTTTTGGTGACTATGGCACTATAGTATCGTTTGAAATCAAGTAATGTGATGCCTCCAGATTTGTTCTTTTTGTTTAGTCTTGCTTTTGCTCTGCTGGCTCTTTTTTCATTGCATAGGAATTTTAGAATTGTTTTTTCTAATTCTGTGAAGAATGATGGTGGTATTTTGATGAGAACTGCATTGAATTTGTAGATTGCTTTTGGCAGTATGGTCATTTTCACAATACTGATTCTGCCCATCCATGAGCATGGGATGTGTTTCCATTTGTTTGTGTCATCTATGATTTCTTTCAGCATTGTTTTGTAGTCTTCCTTGTAGAGGTCTTTTGACTCTTTTGTTAGGTATATTCCTAGGATTTTTTTTTTTTGCACTATTGTAAAAGGGGTTGAGTTCTTGATTTAATTCTCTGCTTGGTCACTGTTGATATATAGAAGACCTACTGATCTGTGAATACATTAATCTTGTATCCAGAAACTTTGCTGAATTCTTTAATCAGTTCTAGGAGCTTTCTGGAGGAGTCTTTAAGGTTTTCAAGGTAAATGATCATATCTCATATCGTCAGCAAGCAGTGACAGTTTGACTTCCTCTTTACTGATTTGGATGCTGTTTATTTCTTTCTCTTGTCTGATTGCTCCGGCTAGGACTTCCACTACTATGTTGAAGAGGAATGGTGAGAGTGGGCATGTTTGTCTTGTTCCAGTTCTCAGAGGGAATGTTTTCAAAGTTTCCCTATTCAGTATTATGTTGGCTGTGGGTTTGTCATAGATGGCTTTTATTAAATTAAGGTGTGTCCTTTGTATGCCAATTTTGCTGAGAGTTTTAATGATAAAGCGTTGCTGGATTTTGACAAATGTCTTTTCTGCATCTATTGAAATGATCGTGTGATTTTTATTTTTAATTTTATTTGTGTGGTGTATCACATTTATTGACTTGTGTATGTTAAACTATCCCGCATCCCTGGTATGAAACCCACTTGATCATGGTGGATTATCTTTTTTGATATGTTGTTGGATTTGGTTAGCTAGTATTTTGTTAAGGAGTTCAGCATCTATGTTCATCAAGGATATTGGTCTGTAGTTTTCTTTTTTGGTTATGTCCTTTTCTGGTTTTGGTATTAGGGTGATGCTGGCTTCATAGAATGAATTAACAAGGTATGCTTCTTTCTCTATATTGTGTAATAATGTCAAAAGGATTGGTACCAACTCTTCTTCAAATGTCTGGTAGAATTCTGCTGTGAATCCATCTGGTCCTGGAGGTTTTTTTTTGTTGTTGGTAATTTTTAAGTTACCATTTCAATCTCGCTGCTTGTTATTGGTCTGTTCGGGGTATCTAATTCTTCCTGATTTAAGCTAGGAGGGTTGTATTTTTCCAGGAATGTATCTATCTCTTCTAGGTTTTCTAGTTTATGTGCGTAAAGGTGCTCATAGTAGCCTTGAATGATCTTTTGTATTTCAGTGGTGTCAGCTGTAATATCTCCTGTTTTGTTTGCTAGTGAGTTGGATTTTCTCTCTTCTTTTCTTGGTTAATCTTGCTAATGGTCTATCAATTTTATTTATCTTTTCAAAGAACCATCTTTTTGTTCATTTATCTTTTGTATTGGTTTTTTTGTTTCTTTGTCTCAATTTCATTTAGTTCTGCTCTGATCTTGGTTATTTCCTTTCTTCTGCTGGGTTTGGGTTTGGTTTGTTCTTGTTTCTCTAGTTCCTTGAGGTGTGACTTTAGATTGTCTGTTTGTGCTCTTTCAGTCTTTTTGATGTAGACATTTATGGCTATGAACTTCCCTCTTAGCACCGCCTTAGCTGTATCCCAGAGGTTTTGATAGATTGTGTCATTATTGTTGTTCAGTTCAAAGAATTTTTAAATTTCCATCTTGATTTCGTTTTTGACCCAAATGCTCATGCAAGAGCAGGTTATTTAATTTCCATGTATTTGCAGGGTTTTGAAGGTTCCTTTTGGAGTTGATTTCCAGTTTTATTCCACTGTGGTCTGAGAGAGTGCTTGATATAATTTCAACTTTCTTAAATTTTTTGAGGCTTGTTTTATGGTCTATCTCATGGTCTATCTTGGAGAAAATTCCATGTGCTGTTGAATAGAATGTGTATTCTGCAGTTGCTGCATGAAATGTTCTGTATATATCTGTTCAGTCCACTTGTTCCAAGATATAGTTTATCCATTGTTTATTTGTTGACGCTCTGTCTTGATGACCTGTCTAGTGCTGTCAGTGGAGTATTGAAGTCTCCCACTATTATTGTGTTGCTGTTTATCTCATTTCTTAGGTCTATTAGTAATTGTTTTATAAATTTGGGAGCTCCAGTGTTAGGTTCATATATGTTTAGGATTGTGCTATTTTCCTGTTGGACAATGCCTTTTACCATTATATAATGTCCCTCATTGTCTCTTTTACTGATGTTGCTTTAAGGTTTATTTTGTCTGATATAAGAATAGCTACCCCTGCTCGCTTTTGGCATCCATTTGCATGAAATGGTTTTTTCCTACCCTACTCGTTACTTTATGTGAGTCCTTACATGTTAGGTGAGTCTCCTAAAGGCAGCAGATATTTGGTTGGTGAGTTCTTATCCATTCTGCAGTTGTGTGTCTTTTAAGTGGAGCATTTAGGCCATTTACATTCAATGTTAGTATTGAAATGTGAGGTTTAGATTGAAGAGCATTCATCGTGCTCTTTGTTGCCTGTGTACTTTGGTTTTTTTTGTTGTTGTTGTTTTTGCTTTTTAACTTGTATTTTTGTTTTATAGGTCCTGTGTGATTTATGCTTTAAAGAAGTTCTGTTTTGATGTGTTTCCAGGATTTGTTTCAAGATTTAGAGCTCTTTTTAGCAGTCCTTGTAGTGGTGATGTGGTAATGGTGAATTCTCTCAGCATTTGTTCGTCTGAAAAAGACTGTATCTTTCCTTCATGTATGATGCTTAGTTTCACAGGATACAAAATTATTGGCTGATAATTGTTTTGTTTGAGGAGGCTGAAGATAGGGCCCCAATCCCTTCTAGCTTGTAGGGTTTCTGCTGAGAAATCTTCTGTTAATCTAATAGGTTTTCCTTTATAGGTTACCTGGTGCTTCTGTCTCACAGCTCTTAAGATTCTTTCCTTCGTCTTAACTTTGACAATGTGCCTAGGCAAAGATGTTTTTGTGATTAATTTCCCAGGTGTTCTTTGTGCTTCTTATATTTGGATGTCTAGGTCTCTAGCAAGACCAGGGAAGTTTTCCTTGATTATTCCCCCAAATATGTCTTCCAAGTTTTGGAATTCTCTTCTTCCTCAGGAACACCAATTATTCTTAGGTTTGGTCATTTAACATAATCCCAGACTTCTTGGAGGCTTCACTCATATTTTCTTATTCTTTTTTCAGTGTCTTGGTTGGATTGGGTTAATTAGAAGACCTTGTCTTCGAGCTCTGAATTTCTTTCTTCTACTTGTTCAATTCTATTGTTGAGACTTTCCAGAGCATTTCACATTTCTAAAAGTGTGTCCACAGTTTCCTGAATTTTTTATTGCTTCTTTTTCTTTAAGCTATCTACTTCCTTGAATATTTCTCTCTTCACTTCTTGTGTCATTTTCTGGATTTCCTTGTATTGGGCTTCACCCTTCTCTGGTCCCTCCCTGATTAGCTTAATAACTAACATCCTGAATTCTTTTTCAGGTAAATCATGGA
The DNA here is from genome assembly GCF_000001405.40 of Homo sapiens. NCBI lineage: Eukaryota > Metazoa > Chordata > Mammalia > Primates > Hominidae > Homo > Homo sapiens. The sequence continues at coordinate 48,912,601 of NC_000015.10, forward strand.
TTTCTTCTTCGTTTGGATCCATTGCTGGTGAACTAGTGTGATTTTTGGGTGGTGTTGAAGAGCCTTGTTTTGTCATATTACCCGGGTTGGTTTTCTGGTTCCTTCTTATTTGGGTAGGCTCCGTCAGAGGGAAGGTCTAGGGCCGAAGGCTGTTGTTCAGATTCTTTTGTCCCACAGGGTGTTCCCTTGATGTAGTTCTCTCCCCCTTTTCCTATGGATGTGGCTTCCTGTGAGCCGAACTGCAGTGATTGTTGTCTCTTCTTGGTCTAGCCACCCAGTGAGTCTACCTGGCTCTGGGCTGGTTCTGGGGGTCGTCTGCACAGAGTCCTGCGATGTGAACTGTCTATGGGTCTCTCAGCTGTGGATACCAGTGCCTGTTCCAGTGGAGGGGGTGGGGTGCAGGGGCGGGTGCAGTGGACTCCATGGGGGTCCTTAGCTTTGGTGGTTTGATGCTCTATTGGGCTGGTTGGCCTCCTGCCAGGAGGTGGCACTTTCCAGAGAGCATCAGCTATAGTAGTATAGAGAGGAGCCCTTAGTGTGTGGGGTCCTAGAACTCCCAAGATTATATGCCCTTTGTCTTCTGCTACCAGGGTGGGTAGGGAAGGACCATCAGGTGGGGGTGGGGCTAGGCATGTCTGAGCTCTGACTCTCCTTGGGCAGGTCTTGATGTGGCTGCTGTGGGGGATGTGGGTGGGGTTCCCAGGTCACTGGAGCTGTGTACCTAGAAGGATTATGGCTTCCTCTGCTGAGTCATGTTGGTTGTCAGGGAAGTCAGGGAAAGCTGGCAGTCACAGGCCTCATCCAGCTCCCATGCAAACCGAAGGTCCGGTTTAACTCCCACCGTGCTCTCCCCAATAGCCCCCAGTCCATTTCTAGATGGAGAGCGACAGGGGCTTGAAAACCTGCCCCAGCTCCAGGCTACCTGCCTCCCAGCTGCAAAAGTAAAGGTCTTGGTTCTTTCCCTACATGTGGAGTCTGAGCACAGGATTTGTGCCCTCCCCCAAGTTCTGGCCAGGAGGCTTCTCACCCCCTTCAAATTGTCACAAAGTTCTACTAGAGAATTCCTTCTCCCTGTGGAGTTTTAACCCCTGCTCCTCTGGTCACCCTCCCGATGGATCCCTGTGGTTCCAGGCAGGAATGACCTGCTAGGGGGCCCAGCGAGCTCCCAGGGCCTTTCTACTGCTTCCTCTACCCTTGGATTTCGTTCAGCTCTCCAAATTGACTCAGCTCCAGGTAAAGTTGGAAACTTCTCCCGCAAACAGATCTTCAGCTTCCCCAGTGGGTGTGTTTGTTCAGGAGAGGAGGGTCTCCCTTTCCCACTTCCGCATCTGGGGCACTCACAGTTTTGGGGGTTCTCCTGGGTCCTGCAGGAGCAATCTGCTTCCTTCAGAGGGTCTGTGGGTCCTCTCGGGATTGCTGGTTTTCAATTCTTGTAGTTTTGGTAGAGACAGGGTTTCACCATGTTGCCCAGGCTGGTCTCACACTCCTGGGCTCAAGGGAGCTGTCTGCCTTGGCCTCCCAAAGTATTGGGATTACAGACATGAGCCACCGCGCCCGGCGCGACATTGTGCGTTTTAAAGACTTGAGCCTTTCGCTTGATTGTCTCCCACATTAGTTCATTCACAGCCCACAAGAACTGTTTCTTAGTTTCAATCCAAAGCAATCTCACTAGGAAACATTAAGTGTGGTAGGGATTTGGAGTGTGAGTACATGGGTTTGAGTCCCTGCAAAACAGCTGTGTGGTCTTAGAATGGCCACTTACCTCTCTGAGCCTCAACTTTCCCTTCTTTAAAAGGGGAAATTACTCCTTTCGAGGTGATTTTGCGGTTGCAGAAGCTCTGTGCAGTGTTAACAAACATTAGCTATTATTAGCTACTCTTTCATCGTCTTATTCTGCCACAGCTCCTCTCTGCCAGTGTGGCTTTTGGTTGGAATTTGCTGTCAAGAAATTAGAAGAGGCCACTACACACTCCTTACCAAATTCTCTTTGCTGTATGACATGCTAGAAACTTAAGCCCCGAAGCCTCGATTATCCTTTTCTTATTTGCTTTTCACCCTTTTTAAAGAATAAAATGTATACAATATTGAATACTTCAGTACTCCAAAAATATAAGTCATCTGGTAACTGCTGTTTTAAATATATATAATAAATATACGTAATACAAAATTTACCATTTTAATAATTTTTAAGCATACAGCTCAGTGGCATTAAGCAGATTCACATTGTTGTGCAACTATCACCGCCATCCATCTCCAGAACAGAACTTTTTCTATCTTCCCCAACTGAAACTCTATAAGCATTAAACAGTAACTCCCCCTACTGCCTGACAGCTACCATTCTACTTCCTGTCTTTGGATTTGACTACTGTAGGTACCCCATATAAGAGGAATTATGCGTATGATTGTATATCTTCTTCAGAGAAACATCTGTTCAAGTCCTCTGCCCATTGTTTCAATAGGGTTCTTTATTTTTTGTTGAGTAATAGGAGTTCTTTACATATTATGGATATTAATCCCTTATCAGATATATGATTTTCAAATATTTTTCCCATTCCGTCGGTTGCCTTAGCAGCTATATTTCTTGACTTTACACCTGTTTATTCAAACAAATAGTAACTATGTGCCTGCTGTGTGAAAGACATTGTGCTAATGACAGAGCAAAAAGGTACAATTGGCTTTCATACCCTCTCTGTCTGCATTTGACTTTGTCATGCTATCAGAACCATTCCCAATTGATTGGAATTTTTTTTTAAATGACTAGATCTTTGAAGGCTTCTAAAAGGAATTTAGTTGGCTATTTCAATTATCTCAAGTATCTGAAAAGTGAGATCTTATATTGGGCAAAACTGGAGAGCAGTGAAACCTGAAACTAAAAGAGGTGGTCACTGTGCACACACTCACATACACAACATCAGACTTCCAGCAAAGGCTTCCTGACATCTGCACGTGTGTGAAAGGAAATCATCCTTCCACTGACACCAGTGCTCGCTGAGGGGAGATCAACTTTGGATGCTATGTTTTATTGCATGGTTTATTGTTCTAATCAGCTGATAATGGCCATGAACCTTGACCCTTGGACAGCAGACCATTGCAGGGGCCTTAACACCCTTTCCTGACCAATGAACAATGCAACCTGTTTTAATCAACCGTGGGCATTCTGCCTTAGCTACAGTGCTTGTTTTCAATCCTTAGTATAATCACTATAAATTAGAACTTTAAAACTCCTGATTTTTTTCTCCTTAGCACTCTTCTCAGTAAATTTTTTCACTGGGGAATGTTCCCTTGTCTGCTAAATTAATAGACTTGGCCTTTTATCCCCCTCTCTGGTGATCTTTATTTCACATGACAAGTGGCTGCAATCCTATTCCTAACTGCAACAAGTCAACACAGAATCCACATACCATATGCTGTTCAACTACTCCAAGGCTTAGCAGAGATACTCTCACTTATCCATGCATTGCCGTAACTAATCCTGTTCTGCAATCCTCAGAAAATTTAGACAAACGCCAGACTGTTTTCAAACATATCTTAATTTAGCTACCTAATATACAGATATTTGACCTCTCCAGAATGCTTTTCCTTCTAGAGTTGACGTTTATTGAAAACCACATGTACAGGACTTTATGTAATTGTTCAGCTGCATCTTGAATCTGCTTTGCAGCTGATGGTTGCTCACACACACACACACACACACACACACACACACACACACACACACCCAGAAGTATGCATTTGTCATTAAAGGCATTTGTCACTGCCTTTAATGTCCTGTTGAAGCCCAATAATAAAAATTTTCAACATAGTGAATGAAATTTGCAGAATCACTGCTCAGGAGCAATAACATACACAGGAAATTAATCCAATTACAATAACTTCTGAATGATGATCTCTGTTTCCTTGTTGCTTTAGCTAGTACCAAATCACCCAGAGAACCTCCTTACTGTCTATAGCATCAGTTCAAAAAAAAAAAAAAACACTACTCAGGGTTTCTTCCTACACAGAATGGAATGGGACAGATACACCACGAGGCACAGGTAGAGATCAGCTAGAGAAAATGAATCCGAAGCCAGGACCTCAAAACGGAGCACTCACCACCCATTCTTTAACAGTTCCCCATTTTCCTTCATAGACCCCCAGGGTGGCAATCACACAAAGGAGGAAAACCCACTCCAAGCCACTGCTTCTTAGTTGCCCAGTAAGCCTGGCTTGGGCAGATCCTGTGCTGGGAGCCTGGCTGATTTTATTACTGAATACAAGTTACATGTGTAAGGCACTAAATATCAGAAAAGTACAGAGTGGTAAGACAGTGATCTGGAGGTCCCTTCTGCCAATGGTGTGCTCCGCCCCTCGGGGTGAATTATGTACTGTGGTGATGAAATAAATGTTCCCTTTGCAATTTCCTTGGGTATCAAAATGTATTCTGTTCTTCAGGGTTGAAAGTCAAGCCCTTTCTCACCAGCTCCACTTACTGGGTTTACCCTGATGTGTCTATTCCTCCTTCAGCGTTTGATGCAGGTTCCCACCTAGACACAAAGAGGTAGCCATCCTTAGAGGAGAAGGAAGATTTTTTTTCTTCTTTACTTGATGTGGATGCTTACTTAAGGGAAGGAAGCTGAGCTTTAAGTTTTAGTGACCTGATTTCTTGTGTGTGTGTGTGTGTGTGTGTGTGTGTGTGTGTGTGTGTGTGTGTGTCAGATTCCTGATTTAGGTCAGGTGTTTTTGTTGTTGTTATTGTTTTATTTTCTTTAACTGTGTTTTTAAAAACATAAGGAATACATTTTTATAGGAAAGTTTAAGTAACAATGTCATTCTTAGCATGATCTTCATTTTCTCTCTTCCCTTGTTTCCTTTGGATACAGTTCCGGACATTTTAAAGACAACTGCGGCTAGGAAACTTTGTTTTCCTAATGATCTTGTTTCTCTTTACTATCAGTAAAAACCTCCTCTTTTGCCCTTTTGCATGAATATTCTATTATTAAAAATGGAGATCTGGTCCAGAATCAGCCAAGGGGATGAATGCCTGGGTGAGAGTTAGTGGAGGAACAACAGTAAAAGCCATTCAAGTGGCTCCCCCAGGGACTAAATCTAGAGTCAAGGTAGGGAAGCAAGATGAGAGCTTTGAAAGGGGTGACATCCAGGGAATGGCTGAGAAAGTCAATGGCCTCTTGTCCTTTTATTTTCCTCTGCTCTATCTGAGTACTTTCTGTGTTCTAAGTCTGTGGATTCAGCCCTCAAATGGTTGGCAGAAAGGTCCCTCTAAAGAAAAGAATTCTGCTCCATCTTTCTCCTTTGTTTCAAAGGCTGACTCTTAATCATGGCTCCTCCTTTATTACCAGGAATTTCATGTTGCTGTCTCCCTGATATTTGGAATCTAAAGATGGTGAAATATTTACAGTGAGTGAGACATCAGCCTCCAGTTGTTTGTATCTGTAGCGGTAATTACTTACACCAGTTTGTCAGCATTCACACCTGAATTATTCTATGTTTGGTGGTATGTCAATGTCTAGAGATAGCTATGATCACACAAAATACAGTTTTTTCTTGTGAAATCCTAACTTGGCCCATGGAAATTTTTTTTGAAAAAACACAACAAAAGATCCCGTCCACCACCCTCCCACCCAACTCCCCCATATGTTAACTGGATGGAAATATTTGATTTGAGTGTGGTGTTAACTGGATGGAAATATTTGATTTGAGTGTGGTGTCCATAGGACATTCTCTCACCTTGACTTTAAACTGGCTCATTCAACAATGTGTGTTTCTCAAGGCCATATGGACCACTTTCTCAACAACCTCTATTTCCCACCCAACCTCCCAAATACTGTTCTTCCTTCTAATTTTTCCTTTTTTGTCATTCTCTCTTCTTTCAACTGCAATGTATTTTTGATGTTCAACCACTATTCAGGTTGTTTTGTTACCGATTGTCTTAGATGTTCTTATTAAACATTACTATTGAATCGTTTCCATTTTTTCTTTAAATTTTTTTATGTTTATAAAGTCTTTTCATTTAGCTCATAGTCCTATTTAGTTCAAGACCTAGAGTTTGAAAGAAGAGTTTCAAAGATCACCCTCTCTTTCAGCAATATTTGAGCTCCTGAGAAAAAAATGTGAAAGTAATTTATTTCCATACAAAACGTTATTTGAAACACCAAGGAATTCACCATTAAAAGGAAGTCAGAGGTGAATTCTGCAATATAATTTTTCTGTTCAGCAAATTTTGATTTTTTGCTAATTCTTTAAAGTGAGAGATAATCTATTTTATATCTTCTCTCTTTTTTTAAATTTACCCTTCTTTGATGGGGTTTTTCCTTCTCCCTTCTGGGTCAGGGCTTCCCAGGTCTGCTGTCACACCCAAGTAGCTGCAAGTCACAGCATTTCAAATTCAACAAGCCCCAGGGAAATAGTTCAAGAAGCTGGGATGGGGACAGGATTTTGAAGCAAGGGACTGATGTCTGGCCCTGGCACTTGGAAATCAGCCTCACTGCTTTCAAGACCTCCCTGGATAAGGTCCCTAGTCTACTGGTGGCTGGAATCTCCAGACTTCAAGTAGGACCACTTGACACCATAGGACATTTTAAAATTTGATCCTCCCCTCCAGTCAGCGTTTCCCTCTCCTGAGTTGACGGTTGAATGTTTTTGCATCCACTCTTGGGAGAAGATGCACACCCTCTCACACTCTTAAAAATTTATTTTAATTTTTTTTTTTTTTTTTTTTGTAGAGATGGGGTCTTGCTCTGTCACCTGGGCTGGAGTGCAGTGGTGTGGTCACAATTCACTGCAGCTTTGACCTTCCAGGCTCAGGTGATCCTCCCACCTTGGCCTATAGCATATCTGGGACTACAGGCTTGCACTACCATGCTTTATTTTTGGTAGAGATGGGATTTCACTCTGTTGCTCAGGCTGGTCTCAAACTCCAAGACTCAAATGATTCTCTCACCTTGGCCTCCCAAAGTGCTGGGACTACAGGTGTGAGCCACCATGCCTGACCTCTCTCACATTTTTATCAAACTCCCTGCCCAAATGTTGCCACCATGGACCCATGATGTCCATGGTCATCTTCCCTCTGCCTTCAGCTCTCTTCTTTCAGATACTTTCATGGCTGGATCCCTTACTTTATTCAGGCCCTAGCTCAAATGTCCTCTCCTTAGATAGGACTTCCTGACCACCAGATCTAAAAGTAAAAGACCATCACACTCGAGCTTCCATAACTGCTTAGAACACAATCAGCCATGCCTGAATCATGTATAGACACATCTACAAGAAACAATATCCAGATACCATACCAGATATCTTCCCCTTGGTGTGTATGTTAGACATAACTGAATCCTCAAAGGAGAGGGGAAAAAAAAAACAGTTCACCTTTTACTATTTACAAAATAATAGGGAAATATAGGCCTACAAGTTCACGGAGTTTGTTTTTTTTTTTTTTTCTGAGACGGAGTCTTGCTCTGTCACCCAGGCTGGAGTGCAGTGGCACGATCTTGGCTCACTGCAAGCTCCGCCTCCCGGGTTCACGCCATTCTCTTGCCTCAGCCTCCTGAGTAGCTGGGACTACAGGCACCTGCCACCACGCCTGGCTAATTTTTTTTTTTTTGTATTTTTAGTAGAGATGGGGTTTCACTGTGTTAGCCAGGATGGTCTCGATCTCCTGACCTCATGATCTGCCCGCCTCGGCCTCCCAAAGTGCTGGGATTACAGGCGTGAGCCACTGCGCCTGGCATGGGAATTCCAATTACCTTCAACTGTGCATGAGCAGGAGCTTTGTAATATTGCACATCTGAGTGATGAATGATCATTCTTGATAAACCCGAATAATGCACTCATTTTAATTTACAAATTCTTAACATTAGTAACTTCCTATATCTTACTTGGTAGGTTTCTAGTTGTATGTAAAAATAAAAATCTACAAATTATTCTGCCTGCCTCAGCCTCCCAAAATGCTGGGATTACAGGCATGAGCCACCGCGCCCGGCCAGAGATTTTTTTAAGTAGATAAAAATAGATAAATGGCTGGGAAAAGGGGGTACCAATTAGTACAAATAGACTGCAGAGCCATCCAGCAATACATATCAAAAGCCTTTAAAACATTTATATTGTTTGACCTAGTGATCCTAATTCTAGAATTTGTCCTTTGGAAATATAATCAAGATATATATATGATGTTAATCACAGCATTACTTATAATGATGAAAAATAGAAGAGGCCAGGCATGGTGGATCATGCCTGTAATCCCAGCACTTTGGAAGTCTGAGGTGGGAGGATCCCATGAGCCCAGAAGTTAAGATCAGCTTGGCCAACATATCGAGACTCTTGTCTCTATATATGAAGAAGAAGAAGGAGGAGAAGGAGAAGGAGAAGAAGGTGAAGAAGAAGGAGAAGGAGGAGGAGGAGGAGGAAGAGGCAGAGGAAGAGAAGAGAATGTTATGCAGTCATTAAAATTTTAGAAAAACAACCCATTTATCTATTGACTGATGGATGAATAGACAAAATGTAGTATAGACGTACAATAGAGAGTAGTATTGAGCCTTAAAAACGAATGAAATTCTGACACATGCTACAAGATGAATTAATCTTGAATACATTGTGCTAAAGGAAATAAGCCAGACAGAAAAGGACAAATACTGTATGTTTCCACTTTTATGAGGTACCTAGACCAGTCAAATCCATAGACACAAAAAGTAGAACAGTGGTTGCCAGGGGCTGGGGAGGAAGAGGAAATGGGAAGTTATCGTTTTTTTTTTTTTTTCCTTTGAGATGGAGTTTTGCTCTTGTTGCCCAGTCTGGAGTGCAATGGTGCAATCTCGGCTCACTGCAACCTCCGCCTCCCGGGTTCAAGCAATTCTCCTGCCTCAGCCTCCCAAGTAGCTGGGATTACAGGTGTGTGCCACAATGCCTGGCTAATTTTGTATTTTTTTAGTAGAAACAGGGTTTCACCATGTTGATCAGGTGATCTCAAATCCCTGACCTCAAGTGATCCATCTGCCTCAGCCTCCCAGTGCTGGGATTACAGGCGTGAGCCACCACGCCTGGCCAGAAGTTACTGTTTAATGAGTACAGAGTTTAATGCGTACAGTTTTTCATCTTCGGGAAGATGAAAAAGTTCTGCAGATGGATGGTGACGATAGTTGCGCAACAATGTGAATGTGCTTAATGCCACTGAACTATACACTTATAAATGATTAAAATAGTAAATCTTGTTATGTGTATTTTACCATGATAAAACATGCTTTAGAATCTTTAGCAACAGGAAATTGCTCAGTATGGGAGACTTAGTATATAATATTGTTCAGATTTTGTGTAAAATTCTTTGTAAGCTCATGTATAGAAAAAATACTGGAAATGGATTTAAAACACAGACTGTTAATAGACACCCTCTCTAGGTAAGATTCTGAGTAATTTTCTCTTTCATACTTTTCTGTACTTTCCAAATCTTCTAAGTAAACATGCAATATTTTATAACTAGAAAATAAAATAAAATTTAAAAACCCGCCACCTAAATCTCTATCCTCATTCCCTGCTTTTTTGATGCAGTAAATAAGCACTTCTTCCTATCTGAAAGTAGATTGCTTATTTACCTGTTTCCTTGCCTATAGTCTGTTTCCCCAGCAACAGTGTAAATTCCATGAGGGTAGAGGCTTTGTCTTATTCACTTGAACAGTTTCAGGAACTTTATGGATACTCCATAAACATTCGAGTGAAAAAGAAAGAATCAATGAATGAATGGGTGAATGAACAGAAGATTAGTCATCCTCAGTGTCTTAGTCCATTCCTGCTGCTATAACAAAATACCCCAGACTGGGTAATGAATAAATAATAGAAATGTATTTCTTAGACTTCTTGAGGCTGAGAAGTCCAAGATCAAGGCACCAGTAGATCTGGTGTGTGATGAAGGCTCACGCTGCTCCTCAGCCAGGTTCTTCTTGCTGCATCCTCACATGCTCCCTTGCACCTTTTATAAGATCACTAATCCCACTCGTGAGGGCTCTGGCCAATGAATTAATCCCCTCCTAAAGGCCCTGCCTCTTGATACTTTCACACTGGGAATTAAGTTTCAATACATAAATGTTGAGGGGACATATTCAGACCATAGCTCTCAGGTTAGGACAGTGGGGATTCCTTTGTCCTGTGCCAACCTGGGGTATCAGCCCTCTTTCTCTCATCTGTAGCCTGCTCAGGATTGGAAGAAAAAATGTCTCAAGATTAAGAATCTTCAAAATGGAGTAAACCCTGAAATATGTCCATCAAAGTAGGGCTAACAGTTTGGAAAGTAGTAGATACCATGTCACTTGAAGAGTAATTGAAGGCACTGAGAATGTGTAAGAGAAGATTTAAAGGGGAGAAGAAATGTAGCTGCTTGCAAATACTGGAAGTGTAGTCAGGTGGAACCATGAATTTATTCAGTAAATATCCAGTGAGCCTCTGCCATGTGCCAGTGACTGACGTAGGTACCAAGAGTACAAAAAACAGGATTATATAATATGTTTGATTCCAGAGGAAATACCAAGGATAGACTGAGAGAGGTTTGGAAAGGCAGATTTGAATGCATCATAAGGCAGAGAGTCTCAATCAGCATTTCCTAAGGCACATTTCATGGAACCCTAGGATGTACATTTCTGTTATACGAGAAAAGGATCCAAGGCCCAATAAAGTTTAGAAAATCTTAAGGTAAGGCTGGGTGTAGTGGCTCACGCCTCAATCCCAGAACTTTGGGAGTCCAAGGCAGGTGGATGACCTGAGGTCAGGAGTTCAAGACCAGCCTGGCCAACATAGTGAAACCCCATCTCTACTAAAAATATGAAATTAGCCGGGTGTGGTGGCGGGCACCTGTAGTCCCGGCTACTCAGGAGGCGGAGGCAGGAGAATTGCTTGAACATGTGAGGTGGAGGTTGCAGTGAGCCAAGATTGCACCACTCCAGCCTGGGAGACAGAGTGAGACTCTGTCTCAAAAAAAAAAAAAAAACAAAAAAGAAAAAAGAAAAAGAAAATTTTGAGGGGTAGAGTTTTTTCAACTATAGCAGCACAGGACTACTCAGTCTTTTTTTTTTTTTTTTTTTTTTATGAGTCAGGGTCTTGCTGTCACCCACACAGGAGTGTATTGGCACAATCATCTCTCACTGAAGCCTTGAACTCCTGGGCTCAAGTGATCCTCCAGCCTCAGCCTCCTGAGTAGCTGGGGCTACTGGCATGTGCTACCGTGCCTGGCTATGTTCTTTTTACTTTTGTAGAGATGGAGTCTCACTATGTTGCCCTGGCTGGTCTCAAACTCTTGGCCTCAAGCAATCCTCCAACCTCAGCCTTCTGAGTTGCTGGGATTACAAGCGTGAGCCACTGCACCAGGCTCAGAGTCTTCAATATACTATTGTATACTGTAGTCTCCTAAAGAGTGATGTGGCTCCTTTCGCTACATTTTTTGACCACAGGATACTTCTTTTTCTAGGCCTAGAATTTCATGGGATGAGCATTAGGGAGAGTTATTCTCTACATGACAATATTCACCTTCAGAACAGGAGGCCTGCAAGCACAGATCTACTGTGGCATGCCCCTGAGACACACCTTGGCACCACATCCAATGGATGCCCAAGTCTTCATTCTGAACCACTCATATCGACCCAGTCCTCTCACCTCATCTCCCTCACTTCACAATTTTTCCAGCTGCCAGTCTGCACTCACTCCTTCTTTCCGTCCTTGCTTTGGGCTTAGCTTTAATGAACCATGCCTTGTATTTCTGCTTCTGACTTGAGCTCCACGTAACAGGGATTCTGATTTCTTCCCCTAAGCTCCCTGGGGTCACCCTGGGTAAAACTTCCCTGATTCCACTGTTCCATCTAGCTCACTGTACATAGAGGAGGGAGACCCAGACAAGGAGTAAGCAGTTTCTCACGTCAGGAAGAGCTTGGGGAAAGCTTGGGCTTTCTCATGTTGAAAGTCTTACTTGGTCTTATTTTCTGCTACTTCCTTGACAGGTCTGATTCTGTAATGGCTTCCTGCCAGGCATAATTTTAAATACTTTTGGTACCTGGGAAACCAGCTATTTCTGTAGACTGTATCATCTTATTCATCCTCACATGAAACACAGATGCACTGCCACACAGTTGAGAAATCTTTCACACGATGAGATCAAGCCACTCATTGAAGGTCACTGGGCGAGCCTTCTACACTCCAGTCGCGTGAATAAAAGTGCATAATGAATTGGAAGGTTTGCATAAAATTCCTGTGGGAGAAATTATTGTGACTTTAAACCATACTCCTCAAAGCCCCTCCCATTTTTGGCTTCTTACCTTGTAACTTGGGTTCTCATTCCAAAATCCAGTGATCTCATTGATTGCAGCACTTCAACACAGCCCATGTACTACAATAAGAAGAAAAAAAAGAAGAAGTAGGACAAAAATTCCAAGAAGCTGTCTCTTAGCTTCACGGCAACTTCCTGGGAAGCACCTAAAATCAGCTTCTGCTATCAAGTTACATTTGCACCCTCTGCCTACAACTGTTATTTCTGACTGTTAATGGACACATGCCTAAAGGTTCAATTCAGTTACAAAACACCAGTTAAATCCAAACCATAATATAGATAATGCAAGTAACAAAGACAAATGTGGGTTCAGTGGTTAAGATCATGGGCTCTGGGGCCAGATCATGTGAATTTGCATCCTGGCTCTGCTACTTCTTAGTTATGGAACCTGAACCTCAGCAAGTTAACTTCTGTGCCTCACAGTTTTGTCATTGGTAAAATGGGGATACAATAGGAATTGTTAGGAGAGTGAAATTATTTCCTACATATAAATAAAGCTTTTAGAACAACGCCTGGTACATACAAAGGCCTAAATAGTAGAGGAAGCAAAAATAAATGTGAGATAGAGAATACAGGAATGTCAAATCTTCTAAGTGGATAGAACAAGCATATAAATGCATAGAATACCAAACTTAGTAATATAAGATCTTATCATCCTTTGCAGCTGATTTAAATATTAAGGGGGTTCTTGACAGGACAAAAGTCATGTGCTGCATCAGTGATTAGTATGGTTAGCTCGAACACCATGTATTGCAAAGGGAATTGTGACTTATAAAGCTGAAAGATGGTTTATATTTAGTGTGGCAGCAGTGAGGATCCATGGCAGGCGTGATGCGATTAGATCTGTGTTGGAGGAGGCTTAAGTCAGCGGCAGTATGAAGGTGGGTTAATGGTGAGGGAATAAGTTAGGATGACCCTGTGGAGAGGGAAGTAACGACAGCCCACACTGAAGAGGGATGGTGTCAATAGGAAGGACGGGACAGATTCAAGTGACATCATGGAAACAGATACTACAGAATTCGGCAGTTGATTTGATACGGAGAACAAGAGAGAAGGATGAGTCAAGGATGACTCACTCAGATGTTTCCAGCCAGGGTAGCAGAGGGAACAGTGATGCCATCAACAGAAACAGGAAAGCCAGGAGAAGGGAAGATGATGAATTGGTTTGGGAGCTGTTGACTTAAGGCACCGGTGGGGTATCCAGGAAATAACAGGCTGGCAGCTGAAAATTGGATTCTGGAGACCTGAGAGGATTCAGCCTAGGGACGTGGACTTAGTAGTCTTCTGTGTAGCTTTGCCAGGTGAGGCTGTGAGAGTCAATCCTCCCAGAAGAGCTTTGGTTGAGGAGGGAGAGTGCTTCTTTGAGAATTGCCTTAGAAATGTTACTAGAGCTAAGAGGTCCAATTGAAAGTGATCTGTTGTCTCCTCGGAAATGATATGCTCCCTGTTTAGCTTTCCTTTGGAGGCTTTCCAGCCTCTCTATGCTTGGGAATGGCAAAAACACTGTCAAAAGATGTCAGGAGCTGGTGGGGAGGGGCACCTACCCAAACACTTCTTGTATAATAGTATTTCTTTTTTTTTTTTTTCTTTTGAGATGGAGTCTCACTCTGTCACCCAGGCTGGTGTGCAGTGGCACGATCTTGGCTCACTGCAACCGCTGCCTCCCAAATTCAAGCAATTCTCCTGCCTCAGCCTTTTGAGTAGCTGGGATTACAGGCGCATGCCACTGCACCTGGCTAATTTTTGTATTTTTAGTAGAGACAGGGTTTCACCATGTTGGCCAGGCTGGTCTTAAACTCCTGACCTTAAGCGATCTGCCCACTTTGGCCTCCCAAAGTGCTGGGATTACAGGCATGAGCCACCGCATCCTGCTGTATAATAGTATTTCTGAGCAGATTGTGCAGGTAGAACTCCTTGATGCACCGAGTGCTGCCTGGAGCCTGGTGCTGGGAAGAGCATGCTGGCCGGGACAATCACCCTGCCAGTCTCATCCAGACTCCTGTTAGTCACACTCAGTTACACTCCTCTTGGGATCTCTAGTACTGAAACATTTTGGATATTTTACTCTGTCCCCATCACACTAGTAAGAAACATTTTGGATATTTTACTCTGTCCCCATCACACGTAACTTCCCAAGCCTTGGGTACCTTAAGGAAGTTGTGTCTAGAGATTTCTCTTCAACTGTAAGTGTTATTAGGAGAAGAAAGCTAGATATAGGAAGTAGGTTAGAAAGCCCATCTCAGAATTGTCAAGAAAGGAAATTCCAAGCATCCAAGCTCCACGTCCAGGTGGCATGAAAAGATTGTCCATATGTCTTCACTGACTTCTCTGGCTTTTGGTACCTTCCAGCGCCCTCTTCCACCCCAGAGCCTAGGTCTTGCGTCCCTATATCCTGCAGTCCTGGCTCTGGAAAGAGTGGACTCCCCACACAGGCTGGAGAGCAGGCCTGGATCCCCTCCAATACCCCCAGGAGGTCTTGTTGGTGAGGAGGTGGGTATCATCTTTCCCTTTAGCTGTAAATCACCGATTGAAGACAAGGTGATATCAACTGGCCCATCCGTGCACACTTTTTGAAAAGGTGACCAAGCACCTACATTTTTCACACTCCGCTGTGGTGGTTCTTCAAAACTTTATATCAGATCGTGTTCCTCCACCACATGAAACCCCTGGCATCTATGATCAAAACAATCTCGTTACTATAAACCCCTAGACCCTGGGGTTCCTGGCCCCAGCTCACCCCTTCAGCTTCATCTGTGTCACTGTCCCCTTACACACTTTGCTGCCACATTGGCCTCCTTTCTACTCCTCAAATACACCCCAGCTCTTCCCTGCACTTGACATTCTGTCCGCCTGGCTCTCCTACACAGTTCTGCAGGACAAACCCCTTCTCATCTTTCAGGTTTCAGTTCAAATGACACACCTCAGAGGCCCCCTCCTGCCACCCTTCATCTCAGCCCCTATTCATCACTGATTGATTATTGGTTTACTTGTTAATTTGCTTGTCTAGTACCTCTTTCTATTCCCTTGGCTATAACCACCATAAGATTAAAGATCACAATCACTGCCATATTCCCTGCAACAGTGCCTAGGATCTGGTGGGCACTCGATAAACACTTGTTGAAAGAATGAATGAAGCATCTTTTGTTCAATTCTATTGTACCTTTACAATGAGTGGGGGCTAGGGCGAGCCGAGGGACGGAGGGAGGTGAAGGCTTGGCTGGTCTCTCCACCCAGGAGTACAAGAGCACCCAGGACTCAGCCTCAGGTGCTACAGGCCAGAACAACGTCTTTGCAAGGTTTCTAGATTTCTCAGCAATGTACTTCATGTTTGTTATTTTTGTTGTTCTTCATTTTGGAGTGGCAACACACAACCTAGACCGAGGAGGTTTTGTAGTGAAGTGGGAAGCTGGCAAGAATGTGCCCTACTTCTCAGGCGGGCTATAAGCTGTGGGTGGGAACAGCCCTGGATGATAGAGTTGACAGTGGGAACTTTAAAAGGAAAGGAGAGTACAGAACAGAAACAGACATTTATGTTCAGACAGAAATGTCTGAACAGGAGGGGGACAAAGGGACAAACGGAAACAGCTGGAACAAGGACACCCAAGGCTGATCAAGTTTGAGACCCACGTGAGGAGAGTGTCAAAGTGAAGGCTATTCTCAGCCCAGTTATTAAATAAGTTGCCATTCATTTTGGTTATCAATGAGGAGAGGAATTTTTAGTGTCTTGGGGGTGAGAGGAATTCCTCCACGGTGTCGTTCTTAATCACACTTCATGGTTATAACCACCTTATCTGCTTCGGACTAAGGCAAGCCCAAGCATTGCTTCGGGATCCCCTTCCCTTCATGTGAACCTCTGTTTTGATTCATACACTTGTCTGTCAGCTATGGCACAGGTGACTCCCTGTTGCAGGGAATATGGCAGTGACTGTGATCTTTACTCTTACGGTGGTTATAGCCAAGGGAATAAAAAGAGGTACTAGACAAGCAAATTAACAAGTAAATCAATAATCAATCAGTGATGAATTGGGGCTGAGATGAAGGGTGGCAGGAGGGGGCCTCTGAGGTGTGTCATTTGAACAGAAGTTTCTGGAAAAACATGAGTCATGGCCTGAGATGATTGACAATGAGGACAAGTCCCCTTCCACTGTGGGCATGTGTTGAGAAAATCACAACTGATTTTTGCCACAATTACCCCAAAGACAAGAATGGAGTGAGTCTTCCCATTGACTCACACAATCCATTTCACTTAAAAAACACCGTGGTGAGGAAGCGGGGAGGGGGCGGTGCATAAAAATACTCTGTCCACTTCTTTCTTTAGGTGTTTGATGACTGCATAAGCAGATAGTGGCTGAATATCAAGGCCCGAGAGAGGAGAAGTTTAGTTTGTTAGCTATAAACTGGAGATGACAATACTTCTCATTCACGTATTAAATGCGGATCTGCATAAGACATGGGCTCTGTTCTTAAGAAACCTGGCCCCATTCAGATAGGACAACCATGAAAAGAGATGACCTATCTTTTCTTTTTATGAGATTAGTCATTGTTGCTAACTTTATTTAAGAGATGAGGAAATTGAAGCCTATTAAAGAGAAGTGCCTGGCTCAGTTTCATTTATTCACTGGTACTGAATCAGGGTTTATTCTAGAGTCTGCAGTCCATTGCTAGGACCCTGTATAACAGAAAAAGTGAAAAGAGGAGTTATCCTGCTGGCTGCCACTACCCTCCCTTTGGTCTACCCAGGAACACGGTGAACAGTGTCGAGACGGGGGACCACAATGGTAACAGCAGATGTGAGTCCAAACTGCTCTGGGAACTGCAGGAGGTGAGACAGAGGACACTCCCTAATTCCCCACCCTGTGGTGAGGAGAGGACACTGAAGACCTTTATTTGGAGCCTTACAGGAACAGTGGGAAAGCAGCGGAGCTCAGCGTTGCTCAGACAACCTGCCCATTCAGCCCCCAGCATAGGTTTACCTAACTCCCAACTCGCTTCCTCCCTTTATGCCCCAAGGCAGTCATAATATTTTTGTACTGTCTGAGCTTCAACCACTTGCTCCCAGGGAGAGGTGAACAGCCTATTTATGGCCATGTGTATCTTGGGCTTTGCTCTCCAGAGAAGAAATTACTGGGATTTTCAGAGGAAAGGAATGATAGTTACTTATGGGAAGTCTCATCCTAACTCTCTTACAGAATGATGACTACAAGCACGCTACCTAAAGAAAAAAAAGATACATATTCTTATACTCTTAGAAAGAAGGTCTGCAGGATAATAAGAAACTAACAGTGGTTGCTTTTGGAAGTGGGAGAGAGGCAGGTTTTTACTTTTTACTTTATACTTTTGTACTGTTTATACAAATAAGTGTAAACATATTTATTTTTAAAAATAAGTAGTAGTATTAGTTTAGATTTGAAAAATAAAATGAGCAAAGCTCACTACTTCATCTATAAGAACCACAGTTTTATTGAGTAGGGTGAAATCTCTTTTTATACATGGCTTATTCCCTTTCTCAGAATATACCTGCATCTTGGCTAGGAGTATGGGAGAATATTTTTCAAGAGAAGTTTAAGGCACAGGCCCTGCACTTGGTAAGTTTATAATAAGAGTGCTAAGACAAGGAAGAAAATCACTTCCCAGCTACTTGGGAGGCTGAGGCAGGAGGATCACTTGAGCCCAGGAGTTTAAGGCTGCAGTCAGCTACAATCGTGCCATTGCACTCCAGCCTGGGGGACAGAGCGAGACCCTGTCTGTAAATAAAAAATAAATAATGAATTAAAAACAAACACTGAAGAACAGTATATAATCAACTATGATATAAGGAGGGTCTGACCTTCATGCAATAAATGTTCAACAATGGTAGAGGCCACCAAAATGGCAGGAAAACACAGCAGGATATTTCTGCCACCTTTAAATAATTTTTAGTCTTTCCCATTTAAAAAAAATGGGAGAGTAAGAAACAGGGACATTCCCTTCATAACCTTGAAACACTGTCTCACTTTCTTCCTTTCACTCATGCCTCAACTCACAATAGTAAAGTTTCTGGCCTCATCACTCTAGTGAAACTGCCTGAGCAAACCAACTACTTCCTCAAAGTTCCTTTAGTGAACGATTTTTGTTTTCCTACTCACCTATTGGGGTCACCTACCGCTGTCGACCTTTACTCAATCCCTTCATTTTCCTCTGAACTCTCTTCTTTAGCTTTCCTGAGAACATTTTCTCCAATTCCTCATCTTCTCTGACTATTCGTTCTCAGTCTCCTTTGCTAGTTTCTTATTTTTTAAAAACAATGGTTCCTTCTCTCCCTATACCAGTGATTCTCAACCCTGACTGCATATTAGAATCACTTGGGAAGTATTAAAAATTCTGATTCCTAGGTTCTACTCTAGTCTAATAAAATCAGTCTCTAGCATGTACACTCCTTTGCTTTCAATTACTGCCTCATGCTCATGCCACACACATTTTTAGCCCAGGTTTTCTCCCACCTTCAGATGTGTATTGGCACATGAATATTCTAATTGCATCTCAAATTCAATACATTCAAATTATTCCTCTACTTACATTTCTGATCTAAACCAATAGTATCACTATCTACCTAATTACATAAACCAGAAAAGTCAACTCTTACTTTTTTTTCAAATCCATCAACCAATCAAGAGGTAAGCCGCATCCTTTCAATCTCCCTATCATCGTCATAACTTCCCTGTCTTCTTCCCTGAACTCTGCACACTACCCCCAGCATTTACTATCCAAGTTTAGGCACATTCTTTCTCTCAATTGCAATACTGGGGTCTCATCATATTCATGGGCAAAGCATATGAATTCAACTGCATCCATTTGGCAGGCAGAAAGCGAGAGATTAGCCCCTTTGTTATCTCCTCAGTCTTTCAACCCTACTTGCCAGAGAGTAGGGTAACTATCTGCCCCAGAGAAAGAGTATCTGAATTTATGGAGAGTTAAATAATATCTTGTGTTTCTGTTTGCAATAATAAATGTCTTGTGTTTCTGTTTGCATTTTTGGAGACATACTCTGCCCCAGAGAAAGAGTATCTCTCCATAAATGCAAACAGAAACACAAGACATTGATTCTGACAATTGATCATCCAGATGCGTGGGAGTTGGAGATTTCAAGGATGATCCAGTGTATTCTTTATTCTGAGTTTTATTCTACTGTTGACTTTAGAATATGGCCCTCCCTAAGATGGGGTTTCTGGTGTCCCACCTTTTGAATCTGCCTTTCCCAGTGCAGCCAGCACATTACTAAAACACATATATGGCATGTTATCATTCCGTCCGATCCCCCAATCATTCTCACTTAAAACACTCCCAAGACCCCCATCCTTAAAGCAGAGCTTCCCAAACTTTAGAGAACTTAAGAATCACCAGGGAAACTTACAAATCAGATTTTAAAAATAAAATTCCCAGGCTCTGAGAAATTCTTCTTCAGTAAGACTGTGAAACTGCATTTTAATAAGCAATCAGGTCCTTCTACTACAGGTTGTCCAGGAATCACACTTTGGAGAAAACACCAGTCTTCAGGAAAAGATCCAGCTTTCTTAGAATGATGTACAGGGCCTCTCATGATTTGGCTCTTGCTGAACTCTTTAGCCTTTTCCTCCCCGCTTTTGCCCTCTCATTTTGCACTCTGGTCATTTGCCTGAACTCACCATGCTTCAAAATTCAGAACAACCCCTTCCTTTGCTCCTCCCTCTTGAAATGTCCTTCTTATCCATGTCCATCTTATTAACACCTACTCATCATTCACAAGGAAATGCAAAGTCACTTCTTTTATGAGATCTCTCCTCTTCCTCCCCATCCCTACCTGCAGCCTTGATCTTCTTTGGGCCCTCTTCTATACTCTGTATGAACTTCTAGCAGACCTTTAATAAAACTTCCTTTGCTAATATGGAACTACTTCTTGGTCAATGTGTCCGTATCTCTTTTATAGCAAGAATGGTGTCTGTTTCTTCTTTGTATCCTCTGTGTAAAGCCTGGATCAACAATATTCTTGAGATGAGCAAGTAAGATATGGCTTGAGGTAACTTTTAAGAAAGAATGGGATATGCATATAAAAAAAATCACATTAAGGACTTAAATAATATTAACTGCTCTTTCAAATTGAATCTCATCTAACTTAAATTTCCCAAAAGAATAATCATAAAGGCCAAAAACTCAGTGCTTAATAATAAAGATATTAATGAGCAAAGTAAACTAGATATAAGAAAGTAGCTAGATTAGGACAAACTTGGAACCATATGGCCTACAAAAAGAACAAGGCCCAAACCAATCATTCCAGTCCCTCGTTACCATCTGGGAAACCAGACCCTGTGATTTTTCAAAAGAGGTCAGAAATCAGACTTTATTTGTAAGTTTTCCTGATTTTTAATTCCAGCAAGTCACAATGAACAATCCAAAACAAAATTAAGAAAATAATTTCATTTGCAATATGTGATCAAAAAGAATAAAATACTTATGAATAAATCTGATAGGATAAGCTTACACTTTGAAAACTGAAAAACATTGTTGAAGGAAATTTAAGAAAAGTGAAATAAATGGAAAAAACATCCCATGTTCATGGATCAGAAAACTTAATAATGTTAAGATAGTAATACTCCCAAAAGCTGATCTAAAACTTCAGCAGAATCCCTATCAAAATCTCAGATGGCTTCTTTGTACAAATTGACAAACTGATCCTAAAATTCATGTCTAACTTCAAATTCATGTGTAATTTCCTGACATTCATCTGTAATTTCAAAATAACCAGCACAATCTTGAAAAAGAACAAAGTTAGAGAATCCGCATGTCCCAATTTCAAAACTTACTGCTCAGCTACACAATCAAGATAATGTGGTACTAGCATAATGATAGACATATAGATTAGTAGAATAGAACTGAGTCCAAAAGTAAACCCCTGCATTTACTGTCAATTGAATTTTGACAAAGGTGACAAAAGAATTCAATGGAAAAATGACATTGTTTTCAACCGATGGCACCAGAGCAATTGTATATAAAAGTTGGACCTCTATCTCATACCATAAGCAAAACATAAACTCAGAATGGTTACAAGACCTAAATATAAGAGCTAAAACTGTAAAACTCCTTAAAGAAAACAGTCATAATCACAGGACCTCAGAATAGGCAATGGTTTCTTAGATATGACACCGAAAGCACCAGCAACCAAAGGAAATAAATATATAGGTTGGACTTCATAAAAATTAAATTCTTTTGTGCTTCAAATGACACTAAGAAGAAAGTGAAAAAACCACTCAGAGAATGGGAGAAAATATTTGCAAATGACATATCTGCTAAGAAACTTGCATCTAAAATACATTAAAAAACTCTTACAACCCAATGATAAAAAGACAAATAACCCAATTTAAAAATGGACAAAAGAACTGAACAGACATTTCTCCAAGAAATATATACAAATAGACAATAAGCACATGAAAAGATGTTCAATATAATTTACCATTGGGAAATGCAAATCAAAGCCACAGTGAGGTACAACTTCACACCCTCTGGAATGGCTATAATTTAAAATACAAACCAGCAAACTGAAAATAAATGTTGGTGAAGATGTGGAGAAACTGGAACCATCATACATTGCTGGTGGGAATACAACATGGTAACACCACTAGGGGAAACAGCTTGGCAGTTTCTCAAACAGTTAAACATAGAATTACCCATATGACCCAGCAATTCCACTCCTAGAAATATACCCAATAAAATTGAAAGCATATGTCCACACAAAAACTTGCACCTAAATGTTCATAGCAGCATTATTTATAATAGCCAAAAGGTAGAAATAACCCAAATATCCATCAACTGATGAATGGACAAATAAAAGGTAGTATGTCATGCAATGGAATAGTATTTGGCAATAAAAAGCGATCAAGTATTGATACATGCTGCAGCATGAATGAACTTTGAAAATATTAATTCTAAGTGAAAAAAGACAATCATAAAAGACTGATTTTATTTTATTTATGTGAAATGTCCAGAATAGACAAATTTGTAGAGCTAGAAAGTAGGGCTATGTGGTTTTTGGGGAATGGAGTGTGACCTCTAACAGGTACAAGGTTTCTTTGGGGGTTGATAAAAATGTTCTGTAATTGGTGATAGTTGCACAACTCTGTGAATATATTAAAAAACCATTGAATTGTATACTTTAAATGGGTGAATTATATGGTATGTGAATTACATCTCAATAAATCAATTACCAAGAAGCAACAACAACAAAAGGAATCCAAACAAGCAATATCTGCAGGCAGTGTGTGATCCTTGATATAAACTATTCAGGAAATATGTATGAATGGATGAATAATGGATAAATGAATGAGGCATCAGCAGTGACTACAGTTTTTTGAAATATTCTGTAGCCTTGAGGTGGAGTTCATTGCTCTTCCTTTGGGATCCCAGAACACCTTTGTCACACCCCTAGGTTGCAGTCACCCTGTGGTGCTGCAATTTATCTGTTCCAATGTCTATGCCTCCTGCTGGACTATGGGCTTCTCAAGGGCAGGGAGTGAGTCTTAGTCATCATTATGCCCAGCACCTCTTACAGTGCAATTAAATGATTTATTTGAATGAACTAGCCAAGAAATGATGTTCAGGAAGTCTCAAAATAACCTGCATCCTAACTGGACCATTTGTAATGTGTTCCTTCTTAAAGGGGTATATTGTCAATTAAAATAATCCTGAAGTTAAGCTGGCCAAAGCCCTCCTTGTGCCAGGTTTGAGCTGGAATGTGGGTCGTGTAAGAAGGGAATGGAAAATCCTTCCCCTTTTAGTGTAACACCAATCAAATGAAAACCTGGGCAGGGTTTTGAAGAAGCGGGAGTAGGGCATCTCCTGCCCTGGAATAGGGAAGCAAGTTTAGAGAGAGCTCAGTGAGATGGACAGAGAGATGAGCTGCTTGGAACACAACTTTAAGGAGGAGGTGCAAGTGGTCTTGGCAAAAACGGACTTTTCTTAGGAATAATCTTATAGCACCTTTGAATGCTATAATAATAGCATTATATAATAATATGTATATTATAATCTATAGCATCAAGGAGCATAAAGGTGCTAACACTTTCCATTTCTTCACTATTCTGTGTCCTCTTTTATTTGCTTTTCTACAGAGCACTTACTGCTGAAATTATTATGTATTTGTTGGCTATCTGTCTCCCCTACTAGAAGATTAGTAGCAGAGAACAGGGAGTGTTGTATCCCCAACACCTAGAACATAGTAGACCCTCCAAATATATTTTGGTTGATTGAATTTGAATATATATTTTTAAAATAGAAACATCTATTTTTGCTGAAAACTCCTCCTTCTGCTCCAGGTTTAAAAGCCTGAAAATCTGGATTTGTTCAGTCATTCACATTGGAGACTCAACAACCAGGAAATTTCAACCCTGTAAGTCATTAGTCATTATAACGATGGAACCTTCTAATAGTAAGTTGTGTGTTCTGTTTGCTCTTACAAAAGGCAGATCTCCTTTCTCCAGGGTTCCTGCCCAAGTCAAAAGGCAGGGTTGTGAAGTGAGCAAAGCCTTTCACTTGGCCCAATCCATCTCCTTCGATGTCTTTCCCTGCTAAGTGGACTCCACCCCAGCAGATGGAGAGAGTCTCCATTGTCTCCATCCCCAAGATTCTATTCCCAGTCCGCTTAAAGTAAGCTGAACCAAGCTTGTGCCTGCTTCCCCTTTGCCTTCCACCATGATTGTAAGTTTCCTGAGACCTCCCCAGCCATGGCTCCTGTACAGCCTGCAGAACTGTGAGTCAATTAAACCTCTTTTCTTTATTAATGACCCAGTCTTGGGTAGTTCTTTATAACAATGTGAGAACAGACTAATACACTGGGAAATGAGCTGCCTACAATTGTCCAAAGAAATCTTTCAATTTCTCTGAAAAAAGTACTGGTCATCTGTGGGCAAGGAAAGTATGACAACCATCTGCATCCCGTGAGGCAGCTATGTACTGTCTCATTCCAACAGTCCTACTCCCATTGAAAATCCCTTACACAGGGGAATTTGTTTGAACTAAGAGAGGTTTCATCTCTGCCTACAGACTTGAGCACAGACAAAGTCACCCAGCTGGAGGTCATCCCTGTGGCAAAAACTATACTGATAGCATTTGGAGAGCTATGACTTCTCCTAGGAATAACTTTACACCAATGTGTTGGGAGCCACAAATGGCTCTTTCTGCTGCTGGGCATGGCCAGAAAAGTTGTGCTATGTGATTCATCATGTGCCTTTGCACAAATAGAGATGTATATTCTGTTTAGTCGCAAAAGTATTATATCATTTGAGCCTCATAATGAAACTGTGATGAGACCTGAATAGGTAGGTGATCTCCTTTTTTATTTTTATTTTTGTAGAGATGGGGTCTCATTATGTTGCCCAGGTGATCTCAAACTCCTCACTTCAAGTGAATTCTCTCACCTTGGCCTCCCAAAAACCTGGGATTACAGGTCTGAGCCACCACGCCTGGCCCTGATGCCTTTTTACAGATGGAAAAACTGATTCTCAGAGGTTCAATGCTGTGCTCAAGAGTCACAGGGCTGATTAATGGAGAATAACCCAGATCTTTTGATGTTTAAAGCTGCTGTTCCATGTCATCTTTCCGATCCTGACCTAAAGAAGTTTACCATCTAGGGGAGACTCATGCCTTGCATATATTATATATAGAAGATAGTACTCTATCACACAGACACATAGATAGATAGATAGATAGATAGATAGATAGATAGATAGATAGAGATATAAATAATACACATATAGATCTATCTATCCATATCATGAAGAGAAAGAGGAGTGGTAAGGCCAGACAACCCCTGTATGTAGCAAATGTTTTACACTATCCAATAACTTATAGTGACTTGACAAAAGATTGCTGCATCCAATACCTAAGACAGTAAGTATTGTGCTCAGTTTTATACTGTGTCAGCCATTCTGTGTTCTCTGAAAACAGGAATTGCTTTGTACAACGGTGAATTCTCCTTGACCAAAATATTCCCAATATATCTTTGCAGAAATTCCTTGAGGCCTTGTATTTTATATTCAATTTTAATGTTGTTATTGAGATCTAAAAGTTGCAACCAATAGCTTTAACCCAAGTCTTTTGCGGGGAGGAGCAAGTGTTGGCACTGTAGCCAAGCCTCCTAAGAGACTTTTAAGATCTTTATCACCATGTAGGCCTAATCCTAGGAAACCAGGAATGCTACTCTCTGTTGTTGGAGAAAGTCTTTAACCTGGTGGGACTGGTTCTCCGAAATGAAAATGAGAATTGGAATACTGGCTTGCAAAAGCTGACCCTACTCAGATTAAGATGTTTTGTAATAGCAATTGACTACTCTCTCCTGATAGATCCAGCAAAATCCCAGGTTGTGTCAAAGTATTAATACATTCAGAAGAGAAGAAGCCTTAACAATGCAACTTACAGGAAGAACAACTGAATAATTGATCCCAGCAGCCGTTTAACTGGAGACCTATGGTTTAAAAAGGCAAGCTTTCTCCTATTCCCTGGAAGGCCCTTATTCCTCTGAACACTTTATCCTCTATTATTTTCATTTCTCTATTTCCCTCACTCCTTTCTTTTGTATTGTGGGAGTCATTAGTACCGTTCCACAAATATTTCCAATTCTTCATCTTCCCAGCACACAGCAGCATTGCACTTCTCCTGCCCCTTTGAAGTTGGGTACAGCACCTGATTCGGCCAATGATATCACTGTGGGAGTGATTTGTCACATGTCCTTTCTCTTGCAATTGGGGAGGCACAGATAGAAAGCCACCTTCAGCCTTTTTGCTGAGTGAGAATAACATACAGCAGATGCCCCAGCCAATGTGCTCGGACCATGACATGAGCAAGAAGTAAACCTTTTTGTCTAAGCCACTGAGATGTTGGCATTACTTGTTAACATAGAATGACCTGCCCTATCCTGACTGATACAATAACCATGAGAGGGGAGAAGGAATATGGCATACAGTCTAGGAGCATGGGCTTTGAGAATCAGAAGGGCCTGGGTTTGAATCTCAGCTTTACACGTACTGGCTGTGAAACCTTGGACAAATAACTTTAATTCTCAAAGCCTCAGTTTCCTCATCCATAAAACAAGAACAATAGTTTATGTGTTTCATAGGGTTATTGTGAGGATCCAATCAGGTAATGCATGTGTGGTGCTAAGCACAGTGACTGGCACATACAAAGGTCTCAGCATATGTTCATCATTACAGTGGGATGACTATACTGCTGTTCCTGATTGTCTTCAGTTCTACCTGCCTCAGTATGGGGAGCTGATAAACAAGCCTCAATTACTGTGCAGGGACCTTAATCAATGGCGCTCCATAGGAGTGTGATGAGCACTGGGATGCAAGGGGCTATGGGAGTGTGTCAGAGAGGCTCCAGACCAGCCTCAGGGAATCAGGGAAGAAGGGTCAGAGGAAGGACGCTGGGGCGAGTTATGAAGGGCAGGCAATGAGAGGTGATG
Organism: Homo sapiens; assembly: GCF_000001405.40. Classification (NCBI taxonomy): domain Eukaryota; kingdom Metazoa; phylum Chordata; class Mammalia; order Primates; family Hominidae; genus Homo; species Homo sapiens. The sequence continues at coordinate 48,939,357 of NC_000015.10, forward strand.
GTGGAGGAATTTCCAGACAATGGGCACAGCATGTGCAAGAGGTAAGGGCAAAAATAAGGGGTGGTCCAAAAATACCAAATACTTCAATATGACTAATGTCCAGGGATATGGCTGAGATATCAGCAGGGGCTACATTTCATTAATCATCCAATTAACCATCTGCCCACACAATTCAATGAGCTCTTAGAGGGCAGAAGCTGGTTCTCATTTTCCCTTTTGTTCTTGGAGTCCAGCACAATATGTGACACACAGTAGGCTCTCAATACACTATGCTGAATGTCTGAGGACTGTAACCAAGTTTCAGGCCACCCTCGCTTAGATGTGACGCCAATTTCTTCTTATTCTTTCATGAGTTTCCCAACTACACTTCCACCCAGCCCACTTCTCAGACCCAAATAAATAAAAGCTAAAAATACAGCTCAGGTCATGAATCATAAATGAGATGGAAGAGCAGTGACTCACAGAAGTTAATCTGCTTCCCAGGAGAGTCTTGCTGGATGTCCTCTGCTCTGAAAGGTTAGGCAAAAAGCCAGGATCATAGCTGTGCAGACAAAGCTAATCTAAAGACTAGGCCTGCCATTGGAAGCCCATCTGGTATTCCAAGGCTCCTAGGCAGAGATGCCAAGAGGCGGCAGCTCTGTGCAACCCATCATGGGGCAGCGGAAGGATGGGCCCAGACACAGATGCTGACAAGGTTGCTCTAGGTGTCTGCTAAGAACACCTTAAGCACAGGGCCCTGTCGATTTTCTCAGTGGCCCAACATATCCACCATCAAGTTGGTTATGGTTACTGCTGTAGCCAAGGCAATGCCCTTGCAGGATGGTTTAGTGAATGACCTACCAATTATATTTTGTATTCTTGTCTAGTTAAGTTGAGAATATGATCTAACCTAATAGTGACACTGTGTTTATGGTCTCTCCTGCCAACACATAATCCACTTACAATTGAACATTTTTGGGATATTTTGACCTTCATTCTCAATTATCAGCTCCTCAACAAAATTAAATAATTATATCCTACACCCTAAAATCACACAAATCTGACTCAGCTTTCAGTACCTAGGATGTCGAGTTTCAGTTTAATTAAATATTTACTGGAGGAACTCTGTGTATTCACAAATGAGAGCATCTGCAAATACTGCCACAAGGTAGACAAACAGCAGCTCCATCAAACTTTCTTCTACTCCATTTTCCGTTTGACTCAGCAGTGTCAAAGGCCAAAATTTTTGTCGTCAGTTACCATGTCTGGTCAAAGTTGATGTCCCTAGTAGCAGCATCAGTATGATGGTGGTTTCAATCTCCCCAGCGCTCTAGGACTTTGCATGTTCAATGTGTGGTCATGTCTGGAGACCATGTGGGCAAAGAACCTCATTGACGTCATTCTCCCTCTATGTCACAGCACTGAAGTCCTAAATGAATGGTCAGTGTTCGTTATACTGAAACCATGACTCACATTAGTCATTCTCCCACATGGTGATAAACTGCTGAATTATGCTGTATTAGTTTTCAGCTTTTATGACTTCTTTGAAAAAGCAGCAGTCAACAATACGGCTTTGCGGAAATGCAGCTCAAATGTTAATCATTTCTCATTATACTTCTTTTTACATGAAACACAAGAGTTGTCTGTACCTGGAGCAGTGAATTCTGACTCCTGATAATATGACTAAAAGCACACCAGGGCTCGAAGGGACCTTAGAGATGATCCATTCCAACTCCTCTACTTTTTGTGGATAAAAAATTAAATGGCTTATCTGATGTCACTCAGCATTTAAAGGGAAGGCAGAGAACAGTCTACTAAAGACACAAAAGTCAGAGATGTACAAAGCGAATCAGAAGAGTATAAGACAGCAGCAGTCAAGTGTACACAGAGCTCCATGGAGGAAGAAGTTGTTGACTGAATTCAGGGCAGTGGAGAGGGTCAATAGGCTAAGGAACTGGAAAATGTTCATAGGAGTTTGGCAACTGTTGGCTTTTGTGGAACATTATCAGTGGAGTAGTCAACGTAGAAGCCAGGTAGCAAGAGATTTAAAATTTGATATGGAGATGAGGCAGTGAACCGGTAAGCATAGTACTTTTGTTTTTGTTTTGAGAAATTGATATTTTAACAAGAGGGGCAAGATAAGCTTAGGGGAGGGTGTTATTTTAAGAGTAGAACAGATTTGAGCATGTTTATTGATAGAAAGTTTGACAGTAACAGGAGAAAAGAGAAATAATGGCGAGATCACAGTCCCTGGGGAGGCAGGAGTGAAGACTACCCATGAAATGTGAAAGACCTGATTCAAATAAATTATTTTAATTATGAATCAGATTCTCTCAAGCATTCAAATCAAGTAACTTTGAAAGTTGAAGATACAGTTGCCCTTTTCACATGTCTGGATACCTTTCTGGGAATCTTCTTTTGGTGTTAATTTAAGGGGTACAAGTGCAGTTTTGTTTCATGGATATACCGGGTAGTGGTGAAGTCTGGGCATTTGCTGTAACTATCACTCAAATAGTTCACATTGTATTCATTAAGTAATTTTTCATCCTTCACCTCCTTCACACCCTCCCACTCTTCTGAGTCTCCAATGTCTATCAATTTCAACTCTATGCCCACGTGTACATATTATTTCATTCTCATTTATAAATGAGAACATGCAGTATTTGAGTCATATTCTTATAAATAATCAGGATTGAGCCTAATTTTACGTAAATGGCAATGCTATGAAGATGGACAGCAGCAGGATCCTGTGACTTCAGTAACTGTAGGGTTGCTTCAGGATTACATCACAGGGTCATCATGATCAGAGCTAGAACGAGGTGACCTGTTAGTCAGTATTTTTTTAAAAAAACAAAAACCCTAGATTCATAAAAACTTTGTGATGGACGACACTATTTGTCCCAACCCCTTTATTTCCAAAGCATTTAAGTGACTTGAACAAGATCACCCCGCAGTACAAAGCTCTAAGCAAGCATAGAAATTTGCTAAGCTATTCGATCACAAACATCAGGTTCCCATTAAAATCGAACATAGATTTTTGAATCAAACTCAAATAACGCTGTTATAACTTAAATAACCAACACCTTCAAGATGCAATGTAAATAGGATCCTAGATTCAAGTTGCTTATTTTATAGCTTGTATTCTTTAAAAAAAAAAACTCAGCATTTTTAGCTAAGGAGAAAAAAAGGGCACAGGGAGATCTCTATTTTCCTTTAAAGTCTGCTAGCATGAGTGGATTATTATTAATTATTGGTTATTATTATCCAATTATTTTTTACATTGCTTGAAGGTCTCATGATAATCAATTATTATCATTGGTTATTACATTAAGTATTGACTTTCTAGAAGGATACATAGATTGATGTAAGTAATCAAAAAGTTAGGAATGCTGAAGTAAGAGTCTAGGAGCAGGGAGAGGTCAGTTGGTTATAGCTAATAAGAAGTGTAGTTCAGGCTTGAGATTTACATAGAAGTTAGGCAGCTTCTTTTCTTGCCCAGTCACTGACTACACACCAAACCTTCAACCATTGCCCTGAATTCCCCTGACCAATGGCATTCATGAGTACATCAATGGAAACCAAGTGTAGGTGATACCATGCTGGCTCTAAGCCAGCCATTCCCATAATACCTAAAGAGGGTCTGCTGATAGCATCACTTCCTTTAACATTCTTCTGAAATCCCATATCCTCCAGAAAGTCTCACTGAAGAACTGAGATAGACAATTCAACCATTACCAAAAACATTCCTCTCAATAATCTTTATGTATGTGGGTAAAAACACCCAACATCTACTCCCTTAGCAAATTTTCCATCTACAATCCAATGTTACTAACAATAGTCCTCATGCTGCACATTAGATCTCTAGACCTATTCATCCCATGTAACTGCAAGTTTGGACCCCTTGACCTATACCTCACCATTTTCTCCCGCTCCCTGGCCCTTGTAACCCCTGTTCTACTCTCTGCCTCTATATATTCCACCTTTACAAGATTCCACATATAAGTGAAATCATGCAGTAGTTTTCTTTCTATATCTGGCTTATTTCACTTAGAATAATGTTCTCTAGGTTCATCCATGTTGTCACAAATGACAAGATTACCTTCTTTTTTAAGGCTGAATAATATTTCATTGTATATATACCACAATTTCTTTATCCCTTTATCCATCAGTGGATACTTTGGTTGTTTCCATATCTTGACTACTGTGAATAATGCTACAATGAACACGGGGGTGCAGAAAGCTCTACAAAATGCTGATTTCATTTCCTTTGGGTATATACCCAGCAATAGGATTGCTGGGTCATATGACAGTTCTACTTTGAATTTTTTGAAGAACCTCCATATTGTTTTCCATAATGATTGTGCCAGTTTACATTCCCACCAAGAGTGCACAAAAGTTCCCTGTTCTCCACACCTTCACTTATTGTCTCTTGTCTTTTTGATAATAGCCCTCTTAACAGGTGTGAGATGATATCCCATATAGTTTTGATTTGCATTTCCCTGATGATCAGTAATAGTTTTCCTTGAAGTCCTACCCAATAACATCCTCTCACATCTCCTTGGGCCCCTGGCTTCCAGGGAAGCTGAGAAATGGCAGTTTTTAAGCTGCGTACATTGGGGATCTGTTAGTAAGGTAGAAAGAGGGAACGGAAAAGGAACATAAGGTGTAGGTAGGACACCCAGAGTCTCTGCCCTGGCCGAGCACCTTTTTATATAGCTGTTGGCCATTTTTATGTCTTCTTCAGAAAAAGGTCTATTTAGTTTTCAACAATCTAAGCCTACAAACTTTCAAGTGGTAAAGGGATGGGCTCTTGCAAAGCTCTGCCCAGCTCTGTGTGCAACACCATGTGGTGTCCACCTCTGTTGCATCCATCTTAAAGCATGAGAGCCTAGGTGGCCAGGGCAGAGACTCTGGGTGCCCTACCTACATCTTTTGTTCCTTTTCCTTTCCCTCATTCTTCCTTACTAACAGATCCCCAAACTGCCATTTCTCAGCTTCCCTGGAAGCCAGGAGCCCAAGGAGATGTGAGAGGATGTTATTGGGTAGGACTTCAAGGAAAACTATTTAAAAGGGGGCTGACTCAGCCAGGAGGTACACCATTTGTATTTGCCATTCCTTCTTCCTGCTGCTTGGAAAATGGGTATGATGCTGGGTGCTCTAGCAGCCTTGTTGCAATCTTGAATGAGCCCAAAGATGGAAGCCATGTGTTAAGGATGGCCAAACAGAAAGCTGGAAGGATCCTGGGTTATTGATGACTGAATCCCTGGCCAACCTACCTAACATGAACAAAAAGGGAAACCTCTATCTTGTTTAAACTCCAGTTATTTGAGTTTTGTAGTGATATAATCTGAAGTGATAAGGGGGATCTTTTAAACTGTGCTTTCAGATGGCAGCTGAGGAGTCAGGGTTCCTCTGCAGCCCCCTTCCTACCAAAAAAGATCTCTGTGAAAAGGTTTCTTACTCGAATCAGTTCAGCAGCTCTTAAATAGGCTTTCCTATATGTCAGCAAAAGTAACGTTTTAATCCCCATTATCTGAAAGTAGAGTCTTTATACAATAACACCTTACTGAAAGTATTATACCTAACAACTTCAAATGTCCTAAGCATGGCTAAGAATACAAAAATATGCACCCAAAAACATCTAAAAATACTACTAAGTCAACACTGATGTTTATGCTTATGTTTTTCTCTTAGGAGAGCAACCCAGTCTTTCATTCAGAGCCCATTTACCCTTGCTTTCGATAACAGTGGTAACAGGTTGTCCTCTCCAGAGCTCAAGAGCCCAGATTGAAATGTTGGGTCCTCCCAGAGACAGACTCACTCTGAAAAGCAAAAAGTCATAGCTGACTGAACAAAAGAAATCTGATAAAGTATAAAAATATAGTCAGATAAGTTCAAAAAGCTCAACCACTTGGGAATCCAGACTTCAGGGGCAACCAACCATTGCATTCCATGACTGTTAGAATGAAGGCTCCATTTCCATCAGAAAAAAAAAAAAAGGAGATTGAATTCCAATCAGTATCCACTTCTGGGTGTACACCCAAGAAAGTTGAAAACATGTCTGCACAAAAACTTACCCATGAATGTTCATTATAGCACTATTCATAATAGCCCAAAAGTAGAGACAACCCGAAGGTCCAGTAACTGGTGAATGGATAACAAAATGTGGTATTGCCGTACAATGGACTATTATACTGGAATAAAAAGAAAGGAAGAACTGACACATGCTACAACATGATGAATCTTGAAAACACTTGCTCAATGACAGGAACCAGACACAAAAGACCACATATTATATGATTCCATTTATAAGAAATAGCCAGAAAACACAAATCCACAGAGACAGGAAGTAGATTAGTCTCTGCCAGGGGTTGGAGGGGAAGAAGAGGGAGTGGCTAATGGTTACAGGGTTTCTCTTTGGAGTGCTAAAAATGTTTTAAAACTAGACAATGGTGATGGTTGCACAATTTCGTGACTATATGAAAAACAATTGAATTGTACACTTAAAGTGAATTTTACAGTATGTGAATTATAGCTCAATAAAACTGTTATAAAAATAAACCATAGATCTAGAAAAAAACCTGACATTTACCTCCCAAAATTTTTTTTCAAACAGTATCATCTGTCTATGAAGAGAAGGAAGCATATAATCTTCATTATACAGAGGTTTCCATGTAAAATACTGCATTTTTAGAAGACTGACATCTAAAGGGAGAAGCTTCAATTATCTGAAAAAGTCAATGATTGCCTAGTGATGTCAACTAAATGAGCTTTACTGTGTCGAGATTCTTACTGGTGAGTGTTGACAATGTCTGTGGGCATCTTATTCAGAAGAAATAGCTCCCTTCTCCCTCTTATCACTTAAACAGTTGGATGATGACTCACAGAGTTTCTGCTCTTTCACTTGCTTAGAGTTGCTCAGTGTGTGTAGGAAGCATTAACTCACTAGCAGGTGAGCCACCTCAAACCTTTTTGGAAGTCAGCTGGGTATAAATCATAAATAAATATATTACCCATGACTGTGCACATTATGCTTCCTGGAGGCCTCCAGAATCAATACTCACTCCTTGCCAGGGCCGAGGGGCCTCCCACAGCAATGCCCACGTCCTTCCTCATCCTTCCTCTTCCTTCTCCCTCCTCTCTTTCTCCTCCCCCTTTCCTCTCCCTCTCCTCTTCCTCCTTCTTTTCTTAAGTGACAGCCTAGTTGTAAAATCGGATTCTTACATTTTCTGAAGAGAAATTTGGAGATTTGTCACACATCCCAGGCCAGAATCTCTTTCACTTGTTTCATGTTGAGATTTTTCACTGGATGGCTGTTCCCCATTCCTTGCTTATCTTTCTTGCTCTCTGGGCAACGCATTTGGAACATTCTCTCCCCAGAACATTCCTATCACTGGACTAGGCACAATGATATGGTACTTGCCTTTATTTCACAGAACTTTGCAACTTATTGCTGCTTGTCATAAAAGATAAAAAAATTCAAGATTTGGTGTTGAATAAGAGTTTCTTTGTTTTTAAGTGAACAGCAGATATCTATTTCAGATGGATTAACATTTTTTAAAACTCACCTCTGCATTTGAAAAGGTTGAGAAGAGACACTTGACATAACTTAGACAGGTCCTGAGAGTCCGGTATTATGTAAATAGGCTGTGTGAGCTCCTATGAGCTATATATAATGCTTATGCTAGGGGGGTTTAGGGGATAAGGCTTCAGTTAGAGCTACTCTGAAAAGTTTTAGTCTTTTATTTCAAACTGTCAGTATTTCCAAGATACATATTTTTTCAAATCAAAAACTATTTCTAAGTATGTCTTCATTTGGCCAAAATGAGTATCTTTAACATTATTTCAGAAGCCAAAAGAAAATCAGCATGAAAACAGATCAGCCTCTGGCCAGGGTCATCCAGCACCTCTGGGTCTTGTCTTTCAATAAAGGAATGGCTAGAAGTGTGACCCCTTCCCCAAGACACTCTCCTGCCACTGATGGATCAACAGGTACTGACATGCAAGGGTGCCCTAATCCACAAGAGAGAAAAAAACACACACATTGCAGACCAGCATGCACAGTATAATTTTCATCTGTGTCAACAATTATATTTGTGTGTATACACAAATATGCAACACTTAGGAAAAAAAGTCTGAAAGAATACAAAAGAAGCTGTTAATAGTGCAATTACCCCTCAAAAAGTCATTGCTTGTCATCCTTTTTTCTTGTCCTGACTCCTCTATTTAAAAAATACAAGTGAGAGAACAATCTCATTCACCAGGATCCTGGAGGCCTTTGAGTCCCTAGAAGCATTGGGTAAATAAGAGCTAAAATATATCCACTTTGTGGATAAAGTATCTTGGTTTTTGCCAGCATATTTCTGATAGTTAACGTCATCACACCTGAGAAAGATATGTATTTTTTCCAAATGACGAACAAAAGCTATTGAAAAAAATTACACCTGCTTTTGTAACACCCTTTATTATAATTTGTTTAATGTTTGCAGAATGCTATGGAGATGCAAAGGGCCCTCTAGAAGATTGATGTTGTTATCAATAAAAACAAAAATCAAGGCATCTTCACTCAGTCTTCAGCTGATAAAAATGTTGACAACAGTGGGAGAAACTCAAAACTCACATGTTTTGGCTTTCTTTATAAAGGGAAAGGCCATAGATGAATTTCTAAATTTAAACCTCCATCTCCAGAGACACCCTTCTCGTTGCTGATTCAGTTTCATCTCATGAATACACAGGGTCTTGGATAGGATTCTGCATGGGCAGCCAAGATATCTGTTGTATTCCTAGCTGTGTTTTTTATTTCTAGGTTGCCCTGGGACACTCTCTATATATCATTTTCCCTGAACAGAAACCATTTTGAGAGTAAGTACAACAGCATTCGTTAAATGCTCTCTGCTCTTCAAGGGCAAGATGTTGTTGTCAAGTTTAGTAGAAAAACAATTGAATGTAAAATGGGCTCATTGATTAAAGCTATACAACAAAGCATTTACATGTGATGACAAAAATAGGAAACGCATTGTGAGACATACCAACAAATCGTGTTGCTGAATTGTTAACACAAACTTCAATACCATAAAACTCTGCTGACTGATCTCCAGTTGACAACTTGCTGCATGAAGCCAACAGGCTACCAATATGTCCACACTTTCGGCTGTGAGTATTTGAATTGTGGGCTTACCAAGAATTCTGCTATGTTTGTGCCATTGTAATTGCTGTATATGGCACCTGTATATTGCAATTGTAACTGCTATTGAAATCACATAATTTAAGCAGATAGTAAACACACTGGGCTGGGCGAAGTGGCTCACGCCTGTAATCCCAACACTTTGGAAGGCCGAGGCAGGAGAATTACTTGAGCCCTGGAGTTTGAGACCAGCCTGGGCAACATAGCAAGGCCCAGTCTCTACAGAAATTTTAAAAATTAGCCAAGCCTGTTGGTGTTTGCCTGGAGTCCCAGCTACTTGGGAGGCTTAGGTGGGAGGATGGCTTGAGCCTGGGAGGTTGAGGCTGCAGTGAGCCGTGATTGCACCACTGTATCCCACCCTGGGTGACAGAGCGAGACCTTGTCTCAAAAAAGAAAAATCACACACCTCCCTCTCATCTAGATGACTCTGCCACCTCAAACTCAACATGTTGGGAATGGAACCTCATCCGTTCCCTCTCAACACTGCTTGTCCTTCTGTAGTCCTGTGTCTTCCACTGGCATCTCTCCCATCCCATCCTAGGCCACTTACCTCAAAACCTTAGGCAGGCTGGCCAGGCGCGGTGGCTCACGCCTGTAATCCCAGCACTTTGGGAGGCTGAGGCGGGTGGATCATGAGGTCAGGAGATCGAGACCATCCTGGCTAACACGGTGAAACTCCGTCTCTACTAAAAATACAAAAAATTAGCTGGGCATGGTGGTGGGCGCCTGTAGTCCCAGCTACTTGGGAGGCTGAGGCAGGAGACTGGCATTAATCCAGGATGCAGAGCTTGCAGTGAGCCTAGATCATGCCACTGCACTCCAGCCTGGGCGACAGAGTGAGACTCCGTCTCAAAAAAAAAAAAAAAAACCTTAGGGAGGCTGGACTGAATTCTACCCTCTTCATCAAATTATTCTTCCACGATCTCTCTATCTCTTTACATCATTGCCTGTATCAAGACCTTGATACAAACACTTCTCACCTTGACTATTGCTGTAATCTCCTCTTAATGGGCTTCCCCACCTCAAGGCACTTTGTTTGGCAGCGCAAATCCTCATGCCTCTGCTCAGACACCTAAACTTCTTAGGCTGATGCTTAAGACTTGTTATAATCTGGATCGAATCTCAGCATTATTACCCACCATTCTTTTCCAGCAGCTTTTACTCTGGCCCAACTAAAATCGGTGCCCTCCCTTGCGGATAACCTATAATTCCTTATCTATATTCCCTCATCTACAATACCTTAAAAAAATTATATATATGTAAAGTAATATAATTTTATAATTATATATAATTACAAATTAATATATATATAAATTATGTAATATTTATATATTATAATTAGTATATTAATAATTTTATAATGTATGTATACAAGTTATAAATTATACATATAATTTATATAATATATTAATATGCAGATTATATATTATATATAATTTTAACATATGAAATATGAAATAATATATAAAATAATATATTAATATTATTAAAATATTTATTATTAATAAATAATATAAATATAATACAATAAATATATTTATTAACATACAATAAACATATAAAATATATTTTTATAATATAGTAAATACATAATTATATAATAATATGTGTTTATTTTATATTATATAATTGTATATATTATTTTATATTATATAATTATATTTATAATTTTATATTATATAATTGTATTTATATTATTATATATAAAATTTATATATTATTAAATTTCATATATATTTTAGATAATATATAAAATTACATATATATATATTCCCTATGGTTAAACTTCTAACCGATCATTAGGGACCATCTCAGAGGCCATCTCCTTAGGAAGCTTTCCTTGATTACTCAGCTAGAAGACATCTCCACCAGATAGAAGACATATCTACTTTATCACACTGATGTATATGACTGTGTCTATAGGCATATATCATTTTCTACCTTGTATTATGATTATTGATCTCCTAGTTTCAAATGAAAGCTATAGTAGCAGAGTTTCCCAACCTGTGTTTCACAGAATATTAGCTCCATGAGAAGATGATCTAATAAGTTTTAAAATGGTGCATACTAGAGCCCACCTTAGAAACTGCAGTGGGGATGGAGGGAAATGGGAGTGTGTGAGAAATGTCATAAAGGTGGAATTGACAGTTTGTGATAAGAGGAGGCTGCGTGCAGCAAGACAGAGTGAGTGGTCTAGAATGCCCCCAGACTTCTGACTTGGACAACAGGGAGGCACCATTCACTGAGTGGGCGGAGGTGACAGTGGAGGTGTGGGATATCCACTGGTGTGCTTGGGTCGCGATGGTTGGCGTTAATATCCTGGAGGAGGGTAGGAGTAGGAAGACAAAAGACCAAGCCCTGCGGTTCTTTCTCAGTTCTCATCTTCCTTGAACACTCCACGGATTTTGACATGGTTTTGACCAACCTCTCTCTCCTGGAAACTCTCTCCACCCTCTCCCTAGGTGACCTGTCCTCTCTTCATCCTGCTCCTCATACTGCCCATTCCCTTCCTCCCCTTTCCATAGAACACCTAAATCCTAAATCCTGCTCTACCCTCTCCTTGTGGCAGCCTTGTCCATTCCACGGGCCTTGATGACAATAACAACAAAAATAATTTCTCCCCAGTCCTAACTATTCTATTTTTTGCTGGAGATTTCCACCTGGATGCTTTCGGGGTCACCTTGAACACAGCAGGTGTACAATGGGACTCATCCCCAGCCACATCCTTCCTACCCCCTCACTTTCCTGCCTGTGACCCATTTCCAAAGGGGTGAGAAGCTGGTGGCTTCTTCCTCCCTTAGGTGTCCCATCTTTCCCCTCTCTTCCCAGTGCCACTGCCTTTGTTACCACTCTGTTTCTTCTGGTTGCCTTTCTCCAGGCTCCCTCCTCTTGCATCCTCTCTGAGCATTGCAGCCCATGTAATCTTCCTAAAGCATATCTCTGCATTTGTCATTCCCCCATTTAAAAAAAAATCCAGTGGCTTTCTGGTGAAAACCCAGCTTTTCAGGTACTATACAACCTTGTTGTATCAGTCCATCTTATTTTCCTTCTGATTTCCTACATATGCCTCTTGCACTGTTTAACCAAGTCAAATCACTTACTGCTCCCCAAATACATCCTCCACTTTCCCACCTCCATGCCTTCACTTTGCCTAGGATGTTCTCTCTCCATCTCAGCCTATGGAAACTCTACCTATTTCTTAAAACTCAGGTAAGATACCTCTTCCTCCAAGAAACTTTCTCTAATTATCTCAAATGGAAGGTGTGCCCTTTCTTCTCTGAACTCCCATAATCCTTCATTGGTATCACTTTGGTTTCATTTATTATAACCTAACATTTATTACAGTAATGTGTGTGGACATCTTTGCTTTACTTTCCTACCACACCTCCTCATGCAAGAATTATGTCTCATTCACATAATGTAGTGGAAAGACCACTGGCCTGGGAGTAAGGAGATGTGAAATTTAGTCTTTGCGCTGCTGCCGATGAGCCCTGTGACCTTGGAGAGCTTAACTCACCATGAAACAGAACTTTGTAGTCTAACCTATCAGATGAGTTCTGAGTCCAGGGTTAAAGGAACCAAGCTGAGAGGGATGTGGGAGGCACAATGGCCTTTCAAGGAGCCAGGATTGGCATTAGGTTAAAAAAGATTAAGTTTGAATTATGCATTTTACCACTTCCCAATAAATGATTCATATATAATAAATTATTTGCTGATGATATTAAGGGTAAAAATCCAATTTCTGGGGTTGTCCCTAAAGCACATGGGTTTTTCAACTGGAATGTCAACCCCTCTAACTAGAGGAAGTTTTCAACCCCAAGACAGGCTCTGCTCTTAAAATTTACTTGTAAATTAGTTGTTAAAAATCTTAATGCATTTCCCTGTGAAAATGAAGTTACTAGTAAGAGTAGGATACCATGATTAAGATACAAAGCTATCTGCACAGCAAAAGAAACTATCAACAGAGTAAACAGACAACCTACAGAATGGGAGAAAAGTTTTGCAAACTATGCACCCAACAAAGGTCTAGTACTCACCATCTATAAGGAACTTAAACAAATTTACAAGAAAAAAAACCCATTGAAAAATGGGCAAAGGACATGAACAGACACTTCTCGAAAGAAGACATCCATGTGGCCAACTATCACATGAAAAAGGCTCAACATCACTGATCATTAGAACAATGCAAATCAAAACCACATACCATCTCACACCAGTCAGAATGGTTATTAAAATGTCAAAAAATAACAGATGCTGGTGAGATTGTGGAGAAAAGGGAATGCTCATACACTGTTGGTGGGAGTGCAAATAGTTCAACCATTGTGGAAGATAGTGTGGTAATTCTTCAAAGATCTAAAGACAGAAATACCATTTGACCCAGCAATCCCATTACTGGGTATATACCCAAAGGAATATAAATCGTTCTATTATAAAGACACATGCACATGTATGTTCACTGCAGCACTATTCACAATAGCAAAGACATGGAATCAACCTAAATGAAGATCAGTGATAGACTGGATAAAGAAAATGTGGTACATATATACCATGGAATACTATGCAGCCATAAAAACGAATGAGATCATGTCCTTTGCAGGGACATGGATGGAGCTGGAGGCCATTATCCTTAGCAAACTAATGCATGAACAGAAAACCAAATACTGCATGTTCTCACTTAAAAGTGGGAACTAAATGATGAGAACGCATGGACATATAGAGGGGAACAACACACATTGGGGCCTATCAGAGGGTGGAGGATGAGAGGAGGGAGAGGATTAGGAAAAATAACTAATGGGTACCAGGCTTAATACCTGAGTGATGAAATAATCTGTACAACAACCCCCCATGACACAAGTTTACCTATGTAACATGTACCCCTGAACTTAAAATAAAAGTTAAAAAAAAACAAACACTGTGTAAAGCAAACTACAGTAGTGGAGTTGACATGTTGGACTCCCATTTCAATACTGATGCTTGCTACTTATAAGCATCAAGGCCAGACAATGGGCCTCTCTTGGTGTCAGTTTCCTCTCCATCTACCCACTCCACAGGGTCATTGTGAGGTAATTGATGCAAGCTTCCTGCAACATACACAGAGCTCAACAAATCATAGCTATTATGTTAATGAGAATGTGATGTTATGTTCCTATATTTCCAAATAAATTATAATAAAATCTCATATTTCCATTTCCCTCCACAGAAAAAGAAAGTAAGCTAGCCTGTCAATGTCATTTAGCCCGAGTGCTCCTGGGTTAAGGTAGAATCTGTCCTAATGTGGACATCCTTGATGTACGAGTAGCTCATAGCAACATATGGCTCATGTGGCTCACCCTCATCCCATGACTTGAGATCATGATGTGGAAGCCACAGGAATATTGTTTGGGTGGAAAGTGGTGTGAACTATAATTTTTAGAGAATCTGTAGATTTAAAAGAGGGGAAAGAAGAAAATGAGAAGATGTAGAAGTGGCTTAGATTCGATTTACAGGAATCACTGAGCAGTTGTTTATTTTTCCATTTAATATTGCCTCCTAATCTACATCCCGGGTTCATACACTTCATCCCACTGGCTCAAGGTTTCTCAGCCTCAGCACTTCTGATGTGTTGGACCTCACAATTCTGTGTTGTGGGAGCTGCCCTGGGCCTTGCAGGCTGTTTAGCTGCAACCTGCCCTCCAACCACTAAAGGCCAGTAGCATTCACCTCCCCTCCCAGCTAAGACAATTAAAAATGTCTCCAGACATTACCAAATGTCCCTTGAGTGGCAAAATAATCCCCCGTTGAGAACCATTGCTCTGACTGGACTCAGCAGAGGTTCCCAAATCTTCTCTGCCGCAGAATCACATAAGCAGTTTGCCAAAAATGCAGGTTTCTGGGCCCCAGCCTCAGACATTCTGGTCCAGTAAGTCCAAGCTAGAGACTGGGAATCTGCATTTTAACAAGCATTTTTAACTGATACAGGTGGTCCTCAGCAAACTTTGGGAAACACTACAATGAAGAGTCAATGAAGTAAATAAACATCTTTCCAAAATGCAGATGCTTTTCGCTTTGCTGCACTGGAGGAGCAGGGGACTAGCGGATAAACATTAGGCAGCTTTAGAGAAGAAGGCAGGCAGGCCCTCCCTGGTGAGCAGCACAAGGCAAGACTTAGGGAAGAAAGTTCTGCCAGGGTGGCGCTGCTGGCCGGGAGAAAGTATGCCAAAGGAATGTGGGGAAATGCCAAAACCAAGTTTAGTCTATCCTGAGTTTTCGGCCCAGAGGCACCCCCTAGGCTATTGAAATCCATTCTCTTCCCTCCACTTGGGACCTACTGTGAGACAGGCTCTGTGCTAAGCCTTGTACATACAGTTTGTTATTTTATCCTGTCCCTAACTGTATGAGAAGGCTTATCAAGTTTTAGTTTTATTTCTCTGAGAAATTTCAGTCTCAAAGAACTGCTGTACAAATTAACTCTTCACCCGCAATCTCTTCATGAAATGGGAACAGCCTGTACTAATCCTAGAGTTCTACCACCCTTAAAAACTCTTTGCAACATTGTTACAATGAGAAAAAGCTCCATGAGTTGAGAAGGCAGGATCCCTCTCTTGGGTTTCCTGCAGCCCCCAGTACTCTGTCCCTTTGCGTAAAAGAAAGACATCCCAGTATGTTTACCCAGGAAGAGGACATTCTAAGCTTCTTTCCCACATATTCTGAAGGGGAAAATGAAAGACAAAGGGACTAGAAATGTCTTCACATTCCAATACCACGGGTGGGTGTGCAAACCTAGCCACCTTCAGGTGCAGACAGATGATGTAAGTGAGTGAAGCTGGGTAGGAGCGGGGTGTGGGGCAGCCTGTGTGCATCATTTAGATCACTCTCCTGGTGATGGAACTGTCATATTGGGGTCCAGGCTTGGTTCGGTCCCTCCATATGATAACACCGTATTGGCTTCAGAGTAATATGAACATGGAAATGAGAGGAAACCATATTGGGGAAATGACCCTAAGGTCATTAGGGTTGCAGCAATGAATGAAATGGGAGCCAGTCCATGCATGTGGTAACAAGTCCTGGCCCAACATGGACACACTGCCATCCGCAGGGACCTCCTTAATCAAAAGGTTGAAACTGGCCAAGCCAGTGCTCTTTGGTCTCCTTGCCACCCTTCTATGCTCCCTCTTTTCTTCTCACTGCTATTTTAAGACAATTTTCCCATTAGAAAGAAGTTTTTGTAATTATCTTTCTAAAAAGCACACGCAGCATTTTAATCATGTAGAGGCATTTGGTGTAGCATATTTATTTCAGGAAGTGGGGGAAGATGAAGCAAGGTGGAGGTAGAAAATAGAGTGCTGTACACAGAACTGGGAGCTCTTGTCTGGGCTCCACCACTGGTAGATGTGTGGTTGGGGGCAAGTCACTTCACATGTCTGAGCCTTAGTTTCCTCAACTGCAAAATGAAGTGTGTGGACTCACTGATCTCTAAGACTCTTGCAGTTAAGGCTCTAGTGTCCAGGGGCATGAAAGGACTGGACCAATCAAGGGATATGTGAAGGTCTAGAGAGAAGAACAGGGGAACGGGTCAAACCTGCCAGGCTTTCTCTAAGTTCCAGCAGAATCTACTTCCACGTCTACTCCAAGAAAGAAATAGGAAGGAAAATATAATACCCTCAATGCCAAGTCATCAGTTTTAGCTGGAATTATTTCCTCCCATCCATACTACCTCCCTCTCAACCACCAATAACTTAGAAAAGAAGGAAATTTACAAAGGCAGAAAGCCATGTTTCTTTGCTGTGGGTACCTGAGCGACCCAGGTCTGGCTTCATTGTGTAAACCATGGGACTGTCTCTCCAGGAGTCTCCTGGAGTCACAAATCTCCCTCTTTCAAGGTTAGAGTTACCAGGCTATGTGTGTGGCAAGGCCTTTTTCTCTTGGCTCTTTTGTCCAGAGAAAATAGAGATGGCTTAATTTCTGTCACTTCTGCAGTCCTCCTGTTGGACACCAAGTCCAGTCAGACCTAGCTGGCCAGACACATGAGGAATGCCATGTTCCCACAATCCCATCCACTATCGCTCACCTCTTCCAACCCTGGCCTGCCCCCGAACTAGCCCACCCTTCACCCCTCCCTGGAATTCTACTCTTGGATGCTGTTCTACCACCCTCCATCTCTCTAAAACTTACTGCCTCCACCCATGCCAGTATAACACCCTCCTTTCTGCCTTACTGGTGAAGCCAGCTCAGTGTTAGTAAGAGGGTGCTAAAATAGAAGTGAATGCATCCCTGAAGGACATTCTTTCTCTTCTCTGCTAACATAAAGTGGATAAACATTATTTCCTCAAGGTAACTCTTTCTAACCAAAAGAGATCCTAATAATAAGGGGTTTCAAACAGGTAGGAAAGAAGACCTGGAGTCTCAGGATTTTAAGCAGCATTTTGTTCAAACTTCTTCTTCTTTTTTTCTTTTTCTTTCTTTCTTTCTTTCTTTCTTTTTTTTTTTTTTTTTTTTTGAGACAGAGTCTTGCTCTGTCGCCCAGGCTGCAGTGTAGTGGCATGATCTCAGCTCACTACAATCTCCACTTCCCAGGTTCAAGCAATCCTCCCACCTCAGCCTCCCAAGTAGCTGGGAGTACAGGTGCATGCAAACATGCCCGGCTAATTTGTGTATTTCTAGTAGAGATGAGGTTTCACCATGTTGGCCTGGCTGGTCTCGAACTCCTGACCTCAAGTGATATGCGTGCCTCAGCCTCCCTAAGTGCTGGGGTTACAGGCATGAGCCACTGTGCCTGGCTGAAACTTCTTTTAAATATGAGAAAATGAGGCCCACAGAGGTGAAGTGACCCACCCAAGATCACACAGCTTAGTGTCAGAGCCGTTACTTCAATGCACGTCTCCAAACTCCTAGACCTGTATTCTCCTATGGAAAAGCTACTTGAGGTAGATGTAACATTGTGGTACTGTGGACTACATCTAGTCTAGACAACAGATGATTGACAATACTAGTTTACTGGGTCAGTGATAAGATACCTTAGACAGGAGAAGACGGATGGTAAGAGTATACTGTGGGATTTATAAAGGAAGTAAAGAAAATCTTTCAACACAAATTTCTATTTGCACACAAAGCTGATGAGCTTGATACCCAAGAAGGCCCATGTGAGCAAACACATTGCAATAAATGCTCTTGGGGACTGTTTTGGGTTGAATTATGTCCACCAAAAAAGATATGCCCAAGTCTTAACCCTCAGAACCTGTGAGTGTGACCTTCTTTGGAAATAGGGTCTTTGCAAATGTCATCAAATAAAGATGAGATTATATTAGATGAGAGTGAGCCCTAATCCAATGACTGATGTTCTTATAAAAAAGAGGGAAATTTGGCCATGGACACACAGAGAGAATGCATGTGAAGACAGAGGCAGAGATTGGAGTGATGCATCTACAAGCCAAGGAGCACCAAGAATTGCAGGCAACTGCCAAAAGCTAGAAGAGACAAGGAAGAGCTCTAAGATTCCTCCCCTAGAGCTTTTAGAGACAGCGTGACTTGGCTGATATCTTGATTTCAGACGTCCAGCCTCAAGAACTGTGAGAGAATCGATTTCTATAGTAGTAAGCCACGCAGTTTGTGGGACTTGTTACAGAAGCCCTAGGAAACTAATGCGATCTGGGAAACAGTTGGCTGGGCTGGGCTGAAGTGAAGAGACTGAAATCATGCAAATGCATATCACAAGGCAAGTTCCATGGGCTGGTCCTATGATGAGGCTATCCTGCACAGTGTGGCCTCTCATCTACGCTACTCCATTCCCATACTTCAGAGGCTGCCTGTCTTGCTTGGAGGCAAGTGAGAGGTTGGGAAGTGGAGGAACATTGGAGTGAGACACACCTGGTTAGGAATCCTCAGTCTGCTACTTACTAGTTGTGAAGTATCCTGTGGATCACAGACACCTGGGCTCTCAGTGTCCTCACCTGGAGAACACGGCCTTCCTCAGGGGGTTGTGGTGAGGGCCACTGCAGTTACCTGCCAAAGCTCGTCAAGGTTGGTTTCTTTGCCTCTGCTTTATTAAGTCTTTGAGCCAAGTTGAGAATTGGAAAGGAAACTAACATTTTCAACACCTCCCGTGTGAGAAAGGAACCCTACATTCATTAAATACTGGTGCTGCGAGGGGGCTTTCAAGCCAATTCTCTCATTTTAAAGAGGAGAACACTGTCACGTTGTAGATTTTCCACATTCCCCACTATGTTGGGCACCTGGGAGACCTTTAAATGAATGTCTGCTGATGGATGAATGGACTTGGAAAGGCCTCTAAAGAAAGGAGACTCAGTCTTATGGGGAGAATGAAGTCACATTTGACACCATTTAATGGGCTTTGCCCACCTCACTACTTTGCCCAGACTGGGATCTCACTGTCCTATTTCTGGCTCAATATCTTTCAAAGAATGGTTTGCTAGGCCCCCTTCCCTGAGAGACCTTCAGGTGGTCCAAAGTCTGAGCTTCAATTAAAGTTACTCAAAACAGGTGGTCAGGATTCATAAAGTGTTTTCAGCTATATAATTTATTCTACATCATAAGACCAAATGAAGAACCATTTTTTAAAAAGAATATTTAACCCAAAGTCAACTCTAGCTTAGCGCAGATGAAAAATATAGTCCCTATCATAAAGAGAAAATATGCAAGAAAACAAAGTAAAGAGTAGCTATAACAATCCCACTTTTTACCCAAGAGTAATATGCCTTCCATTCCCACCCAAGCTACTGCCTTTTTCACTTACCCCACTTTATTGCTCTCCATAGCACTTAATGCCATCTGAAATAGTATATTTTTTCATTTATTCAATTGAACCTATCTCCGCTCACTAAAATATTTCACAATGATTCAGACCTGGTCTCTTTTGTTTACTGATGCTTAGAACTGATTCATTTTGTTCATGGATGCCCAGTGCCTAGAACAGTTCCTGCTGCATAATTGATTCATAATACATATTTGTTAAATAAATGGATGAATGGATTAGCAAATAAGTTGGGGCAGGGAGAGGAGCAGTCACATGATATGGATAAGAAGGTAGAATATGAAGTGGCTTTTTTCCTGTAAACTTTGCCCCTAAATCCACCAGCCCTGTGTCAACTAGCCATTAAGATCATCTTTCTCTCAGTTCTCTCCTATGAATCCATTATTACCAAGCAAGGTTTGATTTAAAATTTTTTATGTGCTTTTTCCTACAGATGGGAATACAGAGCTCACAACTTTGGTTCATTTGGTATGATATTTTTACTGTAAATTAATAGCTTAGCATTTCATTTTTCAAAATTGGTTCACATCTCAAAAGAATTCTGAGGAACAGAACAACAACCAGGATGGAAACCTGTGGTGAAGACAGATAAGAATGGCACACAGGAGATTTGGGCTCTAGATCTCACTCTGCTTTAACTCATCTGTGTGGCCTTTGAAAAACCTGGGGTTTGGTTTCACCATTAAGGAATTGACCTTGATAACTTCTGAGTCTTCCGTCTTTCAAAGTTAGGATTCTATAAAACTTAATAAGTAAGTTCTTTCACGTATTTTGACTTCATAAGAGATGTCATTAGCTTGTATCGGACATCACGGATATCGGCAATCTTGTGAGGTTCATTTGGGTCGTGGGGTCAGCACTTTTTCTGGAGTCAGTGATTATTGCCATGAAAAGACAGATGGTGCCCCCATTAAAAATCTAAAACGCCAGAGGAGGCACTCCCTAGGGAAACTGGAGATCACACAGCAACTCTTTTCACATTTAAAATTGTACAGGTGTGTGGGTATGGGGAGGTTGCAGGAGGTACAAGAGGAAAGGAAAGCTGAGGCAGAGGCTAGAGGATGTGTAGGTGATGGTAAGGCAAGTGCAGAGAGCCCAGGTTTGGAGACTCACTCGTTTTCCCATGAGGGCCTGGCACACACCTAATCTTGATAAATGAGAATATGCCCATGAACTTTGAGTAGAAACATGAAAATATTTCCATTATGTGCCATGTCACTGTGGGTGAGGGCGAGAGCTGCATGTCCCATACATTTATCTGCTTTAGAGGTTTTAGTTACCCATTTGCCAGGACTGCCCAAGCCTGCTCTCTCTGTAACCCTTCCAGTGTTTATTATTTGAACTTCCCTGAGATCCTAATTGTCTGTTTGTAATACTGAGATCCTAATTGTCTGTAATACAGTTCTTGGGCTAGCTCTCTATACCTTCAGATCAGACATCTCGCCTGAGTGCTAGTTTTATATGACTGTCTACCTACATATTAGCATTATTTACAAATAATTACATTAAATTTAATATGTCAAAAACAAACTTAAAATGAGTCCATTTCCTAATTTACTCTGCTTCAGTCATTGGCATCACTGATGTCATTCTGAGACTTCAATTTGAAAGTTTTTTTTTCACCCTTTACAACCCTCCATCAATAATCAATCACAACCCCAATAAACAACAATGGTAACAAAATAATCAATCTACCCACTGCTCCATAAATGTTCACTACTCTATTAGTTATATTATGATTTGAAATGATCTGCTTAATCTCCCAGGGTTGTTGAGGCTTCTCTCATTCTTCTGTCACAGAATGCCTTACCATTCACCTCCTTTCTCTCCTCTCCACCTTAATCAGTGTTCTCATTGCCTCATACCTAAACTCTCAGAGTATCTTTCTTACTGTCCTCCAAGTCTCTAATTTTTCCCTGCTTCAATCCATGTCAAATAAATCAACCAACTGGTCTTTTAAAAATTACTTTCAGCAAGTCATGCCCTACAAACCTAGGAGGATTCTCATTTATCAATCACAGTATTTACAATCTCCTCATTTGGCATTTAAGAGCTTCAGTCAACTTCGGTCTCCCAAGCTACCCGTGATCTCTATTTGTCTTTATTCAACTCATACTTGTTTGAGTACTACAAGCCACCCCCTCCCTCAGTCACCCACTATTCTCCAGCATTCCCCTTCCTCCTCCATAAGGCCCAGCCTGTGTGATGCTCCCCTGCAGCCACCACAGTGACTTTGCTCCTATTCTTGGCCTACCAGGAATCCCCTCCTTTCTGCCAACCCAGATCTGACATTTCTTCCAAGATTCATCTTCTCCTGAGGGTTCCCCATGTGAATGAATCCCAGATCACATAATCTTTCCTTTTTTCTGAATTCCCTCAGCATTCTCATATTAGCTATCTATTGCTAAGTATTATTATCTTAGTATTTCGCATGTATTCATTGATCTCATTGAAATCTGAGCTGCAAAAGGGCACAGGCCAAATCTTCATTTGCCCACATCTTGACTGAGCAAGGACAGATACAAGGCCAGTAAGGACCTTGATTTTGCCCATAGCTCATGGACAAGGCCTACTTGCTGCAGCGTAGGCAGTAAAGGCAATAAATGTGCACCGGAGAGCTAAGACTAGCTCCTGGCACAAGGTTAGAGACTCGGACGTGTTTTGAGAAGTGTTTGTTAAATGCTGAAATAAATTTTTAAAGAATAATTCAAGCCCCTTACACACCATGTGTTTCTACAGCACAGAAATCTTTACTGTATTCATCCAAAATACAATGGCCAGTATAACCTACCAGGTCTCAATCACTGATCAGATTTGAAGTCCTTGACTCTTTTTGGCCAGAATACTAGGTCCAGCGGGGACAAAGTGGTGCCATCAGCTGCCTCTATCAGAACTTGCCTCTACACCTGCCAAGTACCCACAAGTTCATGTCCTACAAGTTAGCACCGGTTCATGTCCTTGAACCAAAGGCTGCCTGACTCCAGTACAAGTCAGATAGTTGTAGGGACATATATAAACCCAGCTCCCCTCCGCCTTGGTCCAGTTGAATCATGTCCTGTCCAAACACAGAACCCAGGCAGGTAACATTAGACCCCTTGCAGAAAGCAGAGAAGATGCCCCCTTCCACGGAAGTTCTTAGAGGGCAGAGAGGAAAATGGACTTACCCTCACACAGTAGTTCATGCCCATCCCCAACAGGTGCTGTAGAAAGTGCCTGTCCTGCCTGCTCCTAAGTGTTGGCTCCCCAGGGCCAGGAAGCGGGCACGAATCAGGGGTTAGGGCGGTTGCCCTGTGTCCCACCAGGTCCTGCTGCGGTGGAGGTGCAGTCCCGGACCTACTTAAACTGGTTTCTGGGGAAGAGGGGCCGCTGGAACCTGGGTCCCGGCTTTCCTGGAGCTTCAGCCGAGGCACCTCTTTGGTACCCAGGCAAAAGTTTTTCAGACTCAGCAAAGTGGCCGGGTTGGCCAGCTTCATGCTTGCCATGCGGGGGATCAAGGTGCACAGTGGGGTGGGGCTCTCCTGCGACGGCAAGGTGGCATCTTCAGTCGGCAGGTGAGGTGCCAGGGCGGGGTGGGGAGGCTGCGGCGAGCCCTTGTTCCCGACCGAGCCTCCGGAGCTACCTTCGTCCAAGGACGTGATCGACTCGTTCCGAAAGCGGCTGTACTTGGCCCTGTGCAGCATCCCGGGGTGCCCGAAGAGTCCTACATACAGCACGAGTCCTGCCAGGCTGTCCTGGCCGCGTTCTCGCATAGCCTTGGCAGTGCTGAAACAGGATACTGTTGCATAAATCGCCTCGTCGTCTGGTAGATAAACGGTGCAGACATCAGATACCTCAACGCCCGATGCAACTCACAGCAGCCACCTCTCCAACTCTGCTCTCGAGCTCGCCCACCTCGGCTCCCGGCCCCTTAAGGGTGACAGCCCATGGGGGAAACGCCTCCCCTGCTCTGATTTCAGTCTCTCCCTGGCCCAGGCAGAGGCACCAGTGTTCTCGCCTTGGAATCCTTGTCGGGAGAGCCTAGACCCAGGCTCCCGGCGGCGCGGGTCGCTCACGGCCAACTCTTAGGCGCAGAACCCGGGCGAGCGCCGGTCGGGGGGCCCGCTGCATCACTAGCCTTGCAGGAGCCTAGTAGAAATATTTAGCACCCGACTCCCACCCTCACCCCAGCCTTCTGTTCTGCACACAGGAACTTTCGAACCTGCTCCCTTCGGCTCTCACAGGGCGGGGCAAATGACTGGCCTATTAACCCTTTATTTGTTCCAGTGATTGTTCATTTAAAAAGGAAAAAAAAATGTATCTATGAACCAAAGGCCCTTTTGCCTGGGTTCGTTGATTCCAAAGGCTGCCCTCTCTTGGAAGATCTTGTCTTGCATCCCGTTCTGGGCCACCAGCCAGGAGTACTACTGACGGGCGCTGCTCCGCATTGTTTCACTGACTTGTGATGGGTCCGTGTTCCTCAGATCCCCTCCCAGCCTGCCTACCCTCGCTCAGAGCTTCCCTCCCTCCTGGATTCCTCTCGGAGCTTTTTTCAGAAGCCCATTTGCAGCCGAAAGCTGAGATGTGCAGGATGATACGCAGCGTGTTGAAATTTTTATGAATGAACTTTGCCGAATGAATTTCTCTGTGTGTGTGCAAGCTAATAAATCTGTGAATGAAGCTGAGAATAGCTGTAATTGACTGACGGTCTCAGAGGTGCTTGGTTTTTATCCAATCAGGAGGCAGCTTGATGACTCATACACCATAAATATACTAAACTAGTAGCCGAGAGAAATAAAGCTAGCGGGAGAGGAGGGACGTATTTTATTTTGTGGTATCTGATGAATGAGTTAAAAGGAAAGGCAATCTTTACTACAGATCATTAGCCGGGGAGCAGCAGGTTAAAAGATCTATTTTCTTTCTTGTTGAGATGGCCGGGAGGGCAGAGCAGAAGAGCTAAAAATTAGACCCATTGTTACAGGGATATTAGGACATATGGTTCACAACTCCTGTGGGAAGCCATGATGCATTTTTCTTAGAAACATAGTTCTTTTTTTATTGATTGTTGGTTCCATCTTCCGTCTGGTGCGACTTCCTGTACCTATCAAATGCATCCTGAAGACATGATGACAACTGCAAAGGCTTAGCACACAGGAAGCCAAAACCAGAGCTGGGAAAAGGAAATGCAGGTTCTTCAGGAATGGAGAAGAGGAAACTGCTGAAACACTGGGGGTGTGGGGTGTCGGGGTGGGGTGGAAATCACACATAGGAAGAGATAAAGAACTCTCAGAAAAGATTGCATTACTCCGTGTCTCAAGGCTTTGACATCTGAAATTGTTCATTAATTAAAAAATTAAGACAAACTGGCAACCAAAGGAATTAAGGGTGCCACCTTCATTATCTTATTGTCCCTAATGCTGGATTAGGCTTATGTATATTCATGACTTTGGGAGCCTGAGCTCCCTTGGGATCCAAACACAGGTTCTGAATTAAATGGTTGAGAGTGACCAGTGAAAGCGGCATCCTCCTCCCAAGCTCCCTGGTCCCCCAGGGAAATAAAGCACCCATCACATCCTGTCTGCCAAGCCTGTTCAGACATTTCTTTCCCTGGAAAGGCCTTTCTGCATCTTCATAAATCTTCCCTTCAATCCTTGTTGACCTCCTTTTCCCTGCCCTACATCTCCTCCTGGCAAAACTGAGGGAAGTAGCTAAATCAGTTGGACCCCACATCCCTGGGGCTGAGGAGACAGGCTCTGGGCAAGAATATTTACCTCTCATTCCTCCTCATTCCTCATCTGCTTTCTTCCTCTCATTTTTCCTGCCTTCCCCTGGGTCCCTGGGTCCCTGTGTTGCTTCTGTTATGCTATGATGACCTCATTATATGCTCCCTTTAGAAAGTTACTTTACCTCTCCGTGCCTGAATGTCCTCATATGTTGGCAGCAGCCATCTAATGGGGTTGTTATGAGGGCTTACGAGGCCCAATGCTCCATACAGTGCCCATCTCACTAAGTACATGTGGGCAGTATGAAAAAATGGCCATTGGAACCAGAGCTACCTCCCCTTGAAGCTCATATTCTTAACCCTCACACTGCAGAGTTTACATCATTCTAGGCAACTAAAAAGAAAAATTAGTACAAAGTGGGAGAAGCTAAGAAACTCAACATTGTCCAAAGAAAACAATTTTTTAAATCAGGTGGGCCTGGAGAAGGCTGGAAAGGACATGGGCCTGCCTGGCTGATAGGAATCCTTACAGAGGTCTCATGACTGCAGGATGGGGTGTCCAGGGGAGCCAGCTCATCTAGGTAGGCACCATGCTGGCCAGACTCCAGGAGCCCAGACCAGCCTACATGCCTCAGAAAGTGCGAGTCCTGGGAGGGTTGGGGGTTGCGAAGTGGGACTAAGTAAGGTAAGAAAGCAGTCATGGCCATTGTGGGCTCCTTCTCTTCCCAAAGCCTAGAGACCTTGGCTGTCCTGGGTAGCTCTGCTACAGCGTTTTACGAGGGTGAAAGAGACCAGATCTGCAACTGGAAGTGGGGAATAGCCTCTAGGCTGAGCCTGCCCAGCTGGACCACTCTCTCAGTCCTAACAGCCCAAGAGAAGGCTCGTTGATTGAATTGCTTTTCATTCTAGGTAGATGGGTGGGTAAAGCAGATGGTTTGCTTTTTCCAGGGCATTAGAACATCCTCTTCAATTAGTCATGATTAAAATAATATTAATAAGAGCTACTATTTGTGGAACACCTGACAGTTTACCTACATTCTGGTTCAATTATTATAACAAATTGTGGATGCTTGGATTATGTTCCTCACTGCCTTACAGATATGAAAATGAGGCTGAGAGAAAGGGCAGTGACTTGTTCAAGGTGCTCCAGCTGTTGAGCAATGATCTTGGGATCCCTCTGGGCCTGATTGCAAAGCCTCTGCTGGCAGCCACTGTACTCTGCTGCCTCCCAGGGGACCAGAGAGCTCAAGTCTAGTTTCCAGGCCTATGATGGCTACAGGGCATCTTACTGCTTCCTAAAGCTCTGAGAAATGACTGGACAGGAAGATGAGCTGGGGATTTTTGGAGGTTCTAGGGTTGTTGGGAAGCCTACCCCTGAGCTGGCCCTCACAGATCAATGAGATCAGGGCTGGCAGAATATTTTCCTATCTATGGTTTTCCTGTATCTACCCCTCCAAAACCCCCAGGGAAAGTGTATTTAGCCCAAAGATCATTTATCAGAAGATAATACTAGACTAGATATCTCAGGAAACCTTTGTAACTGGGCCACTACCTACAAGCAGTATGCACTCAGCAGCAAAATGTAATTGGATGAACATTAATCTGGGAATTCCAGAACCAGCTGTGGGATTTTGAGTAAGTTATTTAACCTCTCTGAGACTTAGGTTTTGTATATGTAAAATGTGCACAATAATAATAACATCTGCTGAGCACTAACTCTAGATCAGGTCCTGAACTAAGTGTTTCACATTTAAGCCCCCCAGCAAGCCTATGCAGCAGGTGCTATCTGACATTTACTGACTTGCCCAAGTCACATAACCAGGAAGTGGTAGTTGTGGTGTAGAATCGAGCACTGACTCACTCCAAACTATGCCCTTAACCACTGTGATATGATCCAGTGTATATGAACCTAACTCCTACTGCATGCTCGATAAATGTTAGTTCTTGCTCCTTTCTCCTCCTTGGAAAGCATACCTATAAAATTCACCCTAAATACCTCACAAGTAACAACATGAATAATAGATAAGAAAAACCATTATTGTCATTAAATCATCTAAGAACCATGAATGCCTCATCATTGCCCTTGGAAAACAGAGTTCTGCTTAGACCCCAGCAGTATGCCTCCTTTACTCTGAGACATCCCCTCTCTAAAGGCACCTGCTAGGAAACAACATGTCAGCTTCTTAAGAGACATCCTATGCTGGCTGAGCTTCTTGAGTAGAACAGGCAGTTTCAAGGAAGACCTGGGTCAGGCTGGGTCATGCTACAATTAGCCAGGTCCAGGAGGAGGAGAGAAGAGAACCTGGCAAAAATGCCAGCCCAGTTTTGAAGATAATCCAATATGGAATTCGGGGTAGAGGAAGGTTGTGCTAGAGGATATGGGGAAGAGGAGAGAGAACAAGGCAGAAACATAATAACTCTGGGGGGCTGTAGGCCAATTGCTACTTTGGAACAAAGTGGAGCAGGTGGCATCTGAGTGTTATAGCACAAGGACTGTTACTTCATCCCTCCACTACAATTTCTACCATAAAGCAGGCCTACTAGCAAAGGATTTTCACTGAGCAATACCCACAATGAGTCTAACAGCCCATCAGCTGGGAATGAAAACATTGCTGAAGCTCTATTTTGGGGAAAAAATTCCACAAGAAAATATTTATATAAAGTTCTTGGTAGAGACCAAAATATCATTTTCAGGATGGGGAAATGAGATGGTGAAGAAGAATTGTATCTCTGAGAGTAAGGGCCTAGCCTCACAAAAATCATATCCCCCAAAGTTGTCATTAACTCTAGAAATAATCACCTTTTGCTTCCTGAACCCAATGTTTTCTGTTTTTTTCACAGTCTCCAGCCCTGTAGGTCAACAGTTTTCTGATGGCTGCTGTTGATCTCACACTCCTAGAACTAGGACCAGCTAAAAAAAAAATGAACAGGAAAACGGATATTTTCCTATCTGTTGAAAAGAAAATAATGTACCTGGGAAGGCTATGTAAAGAGTTAGCATGAAGATGAAAAGTAGATGAATTACTTAGGGTCATGTTCAGTTGAAAATAAGATAAAAATTAAAAATTATAATAGATTAAATAGAAAGTTTATTACTCTGGAGGTGGGAAATCCAGAGGCAGTGTCAGCTCTTGGCCATCCCTAAAGTATAGTCCTTCTCCTCATAGCCCAAAATAGCTGATGGAGCTCCAGATATTTCATCTGCACTCCAGGCAGCAAAACGGATGAAAGGACAAAGAACGATACGCCCTCTCTCTTTAAAGAAACATTCTGGATACCCCATACAATGTTTTAATTTATATCACATTAGCCAGAACTTAATCACATGCTGTACCTAGCTGTAAAAGAAGATAAAGTCTTCTTCATCTGAGAATGAAAAAGTCTTTTGTCTGGGTGCGTGGTTGCTGCACAGAAAGTCACAGTTCTGTTACTGGGGGGAAGAAGATAAAAACAGATATTATCTGCCATGGTAATATTTTTAGAAGACCTTCTACTTTATTAAATTTAAACCTAGCATAGGATTAAAATGTTCTTGGCCAATGTGGTCCAGTTGTCCCCTTTTTTGTACATGCAAACACACACACACACACACACACACACACACACACACACACAATGCTTATAAATGACCCATGTAAAAACAGGCCCTGTCAGAATAGAAGCTTACCTCTGCAGAGCCAGGGGACTGATGGAGTCTCTAGGCTCTGAAAGGTGGTCAGGTGCTTCCAGGGGCCAGCAGCTAGAAGCAACAGAAAGTGCATCCAGGCCATGTCAGATGGCAGGCCAAGTAGTTAATTGGGGCCAGGAAGATTTTATAAGGAGTAAGTGGGTGTTAAAGTGGTCCAAGTACAATCATCAGGTGGCTGATTCAGGAGCAGAATCTCCACTCTAATTGTGACTGGCAAGAGAAAAAGGCAAAGATAGAGTCCTGATAGGCTGAAACTCTGACACTATGAATTGGCTAATCCAATCCTCATTTCCAACTTTCTTTTCCTTTGCCCACCCCCACCAGGAAAAGCTAAATACTCTCCTTCTCAGGCTTCCCTGTAACTGCAGGGAATAGGGGCATTTGATACAGTTCTGATCTACGAGATGCAAGTTAAAATATGATGGGGACTTCTGGGAAAACATCTACTTCCTAATTAAAAGGGCAGATAAAACTGGAGCCCACTCTTTACCCCATGTCTTCTTGTCTTGAATGTGGATATGATAGCTAGAGTTATGGTAGCCATACTGCAACCATGAAGGAAAGACCAACCAAATTATGAAGCCAATGCTTTGACATCATTGAACCCCTGAACCAAGACCAGCAATCACCTCTAGATTTGTTATGTGACAAAAATTAACCTCAATAATTCAAGCAACTCAAGCAGCTCTTAGCTGTTATTTATGACTTACAGCCCAACACATTGCTACCTGACACAAATACAGTGGCAAGAACAGGATCATAAGAAGAGCAGGGCCTCTAGGTATGAGACAGAAGCACAGTTATGACAGGAGATTATAGAATCAGGTGGGAAAAGTCCAAAAGCAGTCAGATCAACCTGGTTTCAACTCTGGATGTTGACAGTATGGTAAGCAGACTAAGCACTCCCAAAGATGTCCATACCCTAATCCCGGGAACATGACAAAAGAAACTTTGCAGATGTGATTAAGATTACAGACCTTGAGATGGGGGAATTATCTGCGTGGGCCCAATCTAAACACACAAGTCCTTCAATGCAGAGAACATTTCCTTGTTGTGGTAAGAGCTAGGAAATTTGAGATATAAAAAAATGGAGGAAAAATTTGAAGCGTGAGAAGGATTCACCCTACTGTTACTGCCTTTGGAGATGGAGGAAGGCGCTATGAAGACAGGGTCCTCAGCTGACAGCCAACAAAGAAACAGGGATCTCAGACGTAGAGCTGTAAATCATTTAATTCTGCTTAAAGTCTGAATAAGCAAGAAACCAGATGCTTCTCTAAAGTCTCCAGAAAGAAATGTAGCCCTGCCAATACTTTGATTTAAGCAGGTGATCAGAGAGACCTGTGTCAAACGTCTACCCCAACCCTTACAGTAGCAAGATAATAAATGTGTGTTGTTTAAACTAAGGTGGTGGTAATTTATTATGGCAGCAATTGAAAACTAATACAGATTTTGGCACCACAAGTGAAGTACTACTATAACAAATATAAAATGTGAAGTGGTTTCAAAACTGGGCAACAGGCAGTGGCTGGAAAAATTTTGAGGAGCATGACCAGAAAAGGCTAAATTAAGATCAATATCACTGTAATAGCCAAACTGCCCAATGCAATCTATAGATTCAATGCTATTCCTATCAAACTACTAACATCATTTTTCCCAGAATTAGAAAAAACTATTCTAAAATTCATATGAAACCAAAAAGGAGCCCAAATAGCCAAGCAACCCTAAGCAAAAAGAACAAAGTTACCCAACTTCAAACTATACTATAAGACTACAGTAACCAAAACAGCATGGTACTGGTACAAAAACACACACATAGATCAATGGAACAGAATAGAGAATCCAGAAATAAAGCCACACACCTACAGCCATCTGATCTTTAACAAAGTTGACAAAAACAAGCAATGGGGAAAAGACTCCCTGTTCAATAAATGATGCTGGTATAGCTGGCCAGCCATAAGCAGAAGAAAGAAACTAGACCCCTACCTTTCACCACATACAAAAATTAACTCAAGATAGATTAAAGATTTACATTTAACACTTCAAACCATAAGCATCCTAGGAAACACCATTCTGGACATCAACCTTGGGAAAGAATTTATAACTGAGCCCTCAAAAACAATTGCAACAAAAAGAAAGATGAACAAGTGGGACCTAGTTAAAGAGCTTCTGCACAGCAAAACAAACTATCAACAGAGTAAACAGACAACCTACAGAATGGGAGAAGATATTTGAAAACTCTGCATCTGACAGAAGACTAATATGCAGAATCTATAACTTAAGCAATTGAACAAGCAAAAAAAAATCCATACAACTCTATTAAAAAGTGGGCAAAGATATTAACAGACATTTCTCAGAAGAAGACATACAAGCAGCCAAAAAACATGAAAGGATGCTCAATATCACTAATCATCAGAGAAATGCAAATCAAAACCACAATGAGATACCACTCATACCAGTCAGAATGGCTATTATTAAAAAGTCAAAAAACAGCAGATGTTGGCACGACTGCAGAGAAAAGGGAATGCTTATATACTGTTGGTGGGAATGTAAATTAGTTCAACCACTGTGGAAAGCAGTTTGGAGATTTCTCAAAGAACTTTAAACAGAACTACCATTTGATCCAGCAATCTCATTTACTGGGTATGTATCCAAAAGAAAATAAAACATTCTACCAAAAAGACACATGCACTCATGTCTTCATTGCAGCACTATTCACCATAGCAAACCTAGTTTTCTTTAACTAGGTCCCACTTGTCCATAGCAAAGACATTAAATCTACCTAGGTGCAGATCAATGGCAGATTAAAGAAAATGTCATACAAATACACCATGGAATATAATGCTGCCATCAAAAAAGACAAAATCATGTCCCTTGCGTTGACATAGGTGAAACTGGAGGTCATTTTCCTAAGTGAATTGACGCAGGAACAGAAAACCAAATACTGCATGTTCTCACTTATAAGTGGTAGCTAAACATTGGGTGCTCACGGACATAAATATGGCAAAAATAGATACTGGAGACCATTGGGGGAGAAGCCAGGAGTGAGGCAAGGGTTGAAAAACTAACTACGGGACCTAGAAGTAGCTTCTCCGTTCCTTCTCGAATCTCTGCCTGGTTCAGCCTGCCTGCCTCCACTCCTGCCTCCACCATGTCCATCAGGGTGACCCAGAAGTCCTACAAGGTGTTCAATTCTGGCCCCCGGGCCTCCTAATGGGATCATTAGTACCCCAAACCTTAGCATCATGCAATATACCCTTATAACAACCCTGCACATGTACCCCCTGAATATAAAAGTTAAAAAAAATTATTGACTAAGCTTGTTGAGCTTCTCCCCAGTGGGCAGCAGCAGCTTCCGAGATGTCCTGGGCACCAGCATGGGTCTGTGTGGAGGCTATGCGGGGCCAGCGTATGGGAGGCATCACAGCCGTCACAGTCAACCAGAACGTGCTGAGCCCCCTTAACCTGGAAGTGGACCCCAACATGCAGGGCATGCACACCCAGGAGAAAGAGCAGGTCAAGACCCTCAACAAGTCTGCCTCCTTCGTTGACAAGGTACTGTTCCTGGAACAGCAGAACAAGATGCTGGAGACCAACTGGAGCCTCCTGCAGCAGCAGAAGCCGGCTCAGAGCAACATGGACAACATGTTCGAGAGCTACATCAACAACCTTCTGGGGCAGCTAGAGATCCTGGGCCAGGAGAAGCTGAAACTGGAGGCAGAGCTTGGCAACATGCAGGGGCTCTGCATGTTTTTCGTGAAGGAGGACTTCAAGAAAAAGTACGAGGACGAGATCAATAAGCCTACAGAGATGGAGAATGAATTTGTCCTCATCAAGAAGGATGTGGATGACGCTTACATGAACAAGGTAGAGCTAGAGTTTCGCCTGGAGGGGCTGACTGACGAGATCAACTTCCTCAGGCAGCTGTATGAAGAGGAGATCCCAGAGCTGCAGTCCCAGATCTTGGACACATCTGTGGTGCTGTCCATGGACAACAGCCGCTCCCTGGACATGGACAGCATCATCGCGGAGGTCAAGGCGCAGTACTAGGAAATCGCCAACTGCAGCCGGCCCGAGGCTGAGATTATGTAGCAGATCAAGTATGAGGAGCTGCAGACACTGGCTGGGAAGCACTGGGATGACCGGCGTCTTACAAAGACGAAGATTTCTGAGATGAACCGGAACATCAGCCGGCTCCAGGCTGAGATTGAGGGCCTGCCTCAAAGGCCAGAGCAGAGAGCTTCCCTGGAGTCCGTCATCGCAGATGCTGAGCAGCGGGGGGAGCTGGCCATTAAGGACGCCAAGACTAAGCTGTCCGAGCTGGAGGCCGCCCAGCAGCGGGCCAAGCAGGACATGGCACATGGCACGGCAGCTGCCTGAGTACCAGGAGCTGATGAACGGCAAGCTGGTCCTGGACATCGAGATCGCCACCTACACGAAGCTGCTGGAGGGCTAGGAGAGCCGGCTGGAATCTGGGATGCAGAATATGAGTATCCACAGGAAGACCACCAGTGGCTATGCAGGTGCGCTGAGCTCGGCCTACCGGAGCGTCACAAGCCTTGACCTCAGCTAAGGCCTGGGACTCCAGCTTTGGCTCTGGCCGGGCCTCCAGCTCTTTCAGCCGCACCGGCTCCATCAGGGCCGTGGTTGCGAAGACGATCAAGACCCGCGATGGGAAGCTGGTGTCCGAGTCCTCTGATGTTCTGCCCAAGTGAATGGCCACGGCAGCCCCGCCCAACCTATCCCTCCTGCTGCTGCCTCAGGGCCTGAGAGGGAGGCCGCTGTGCAGGGGAGCACAGGGAACAGGAGGCCCACCTGAGGCTCAGCCCTGGCCCTCAGCCCACCTGCGGGGAAGTTTACTGCCTGGGGGACCTGCCTTGCCCATGCCTCCAATTACAAAACAATTCCATTTTTTTTCCCAAAATAAAACCTCAGCTAGCTCTGCAAAAATAAAAATAAAAATAAAAAAACTATGGGGTACTATGCTCAGTACCTAGGTGATGGGATCATTAGTACCCCAAACCTTAACATCATGCAATATACCCTTATAACAAGCCTGCACCTGTACCCCCGAATATAAAAGTTAAAAAAAATTATTGACTAAGCTTGTTAAACAATGCTTCAGTATTACACTGAAAGGACATGCTGTCTACCTTTTTGCCTTATTCTTTTTAGTGATGTTTAGAAACCTATCACTAAAGGACACCAAAATGAGGGAATTTCAGGCACCAGTCAATAGATGTATATGGATAGATACATACGAGTAGATATATTAGCATTCTAATATATAATTCTCCCCTAGAAACCACCTATATGAATGGCTTTGTTGATAAAGCAAATAATGAAATTAGAGAGGAACTTTCCTGAAAGGCTAATTCCATCCGACGAGCTCAGTTATTTTTCAATCAAAAATAAAATTTGACCAACTGGGTGTAGTCTGGTGATCCAAGTGTAGCCAAGACTTTCATTTGCTTTTCAGTTAGGTTTTCTCTGGGTAGAATCACACTGGCAAGGTGGTTAGACAGAGGCAATCTGCAATAAGAAAAAGCCACTGGGAGCAGACAGACTTGAATTTGATTCTAACCATTCCATCAGCTGATAGTCTCTAAACCTTGGCTTCCTCACCTGCAAGTGGGTAACTCTAAGTATCAAAAACAATGGAGCACTGTTCCCAAACCACTGATTATCTGTAAAAATGTTTTCTCCAGTTTATATAGAAATAGTAATAATCTTAAAATACATGGGGGAAAAGGAGGACCTTATAGTGAAGTTCTATTTAAACAGTGCTTTAAAAAAAAAAAATTTGAGATTGTCCTTCCTATTTTCTGTGTGTGGTAAAATGTCTTTTCCGTTAGGAAGTAATGGCAAACATGGATACTAGGCAGCTTTTTAAATGGCTCTACCTGGCAAAACATAAGTTAGCAGCCCTATTTCTATCTCCAAATGATTTTGGATATGCTCTGGGAATCACTGTAAGGGAGTCTGTGGATTTACTTTGTGAACTAAAAATACGTGTACAAAGTAAGCTATTATTACTGTAGTCTCCCAAAGTGCCGTTGCTTGTGTAGTGATGAAAATATCGTCCAGCTGGTCCTAAAGATGCCTAAAGAACGCACACTAAAAAAAAATGCTTTTTCCCAGGAGACTAACTGGGACAGGCCTCTCACAGAGAGACAGGTCAGGGTCTGCCTCTGGGTTAAGCCCCAGACTTCTTTTTAAGAAGAGGAATTTTATCTTACAAGACTTTTGCTTTTAGTGGGAAAAGTGAATAGCATGGTAGGATTCTCTATAGAGACTAAGGAACCTCTCTGGCTTGAGTAAGTGATGAGAGGGAGGAATGCAGTTTGCTGCAGGAAAGCAGGGATAAGAGAAGGGAGGATCTAGCGCAAATTTGAGAACCTGTATGGGGCTGGTGGAGCTGGAAATGGCCAGAAGGGGCAACACAGTAGTGTTTGTATGTGGGCTGGGAGAGCCCAGGACTTCTGTCATGATAAATAGTGCTGAAATAATCCCACGGAGCCTGGTCAGCTTCTTGAGCTGACCACATGTTTTAAACTTCTTTTTTTCATTTTGCATAGAAGTACTTCATTGATAGATAAGTTACAAAGATAAGTCAGATATGAAAACTAAATTCATCCATATCCTAATTTAGCCACAATCCTTATTCACATTTTAGCGACAAAAACCACCTCAGGCTGCTTTTCCCCTATACGTATTTTTTTTTTTCAAACAAAAACAACATAATATTGTGCATACGGTTTTCCACCTGCTTTTTTAACAAAAAAAAAATCTCCATATCACTGAATAGACGATGTTACTTTAACAGCTATATAGTACCATTGTGCAAATGTGGCATAATTTAGCAAATCGGAGAGGGGGTGGATTTAGATTCCTACACACACACACACACAATAGGACAGTGATAGCCATTGTTGCTAAATCCTTCCATACAAAATGCTAATTGCAGACGCCAGATAGCGGGTATATAGGTGTATATTGTACCATTCTTCCAACTTTTTAGCATGATTGCAATTTTTCATAGAAAGATTTGGAGGAAGAAGTTTTTTTTGACATATCCTCTCACAGATCCCAGTCTGATTATCTCAGAATGAGCTCTCAGAATGAGCTCCCAGAGGTAGCATTGCCGGGCCCCGGGCTGCCTGTTTTTCGTCTGAAAGGCGGGCGGCGGATGAGTTTCCCGGATGAGCTCCGGCTGCGTGAGCTCCCCGCGGGCAGGCGCAGCGCCCCCTCGGTGCGGCGGCGGGAGCTGCAGGCCGCCAGCTCCGCGGCCGCCCCGGGCTGTGCCCTTCTCGAGAAGCCCGGCCGGGCGGCGGGGAGAGCGTCTGGTCCGCGCTTTCGCACGGTCTCCCTGAAAAAGACCAGCGGAGCACCAGGCTGCCAGGCGCACAGCATCAAAGCTGCGGGCGCCCCGAGAAGAAAAGGGCCAGTGTGCATTCCGTGAAACTCCAAAGCCCTTCTCCAGGCACAGCGACTCGGGGGGAGGGGAGAGGGGGCTGGAACTGCGCTTTCACAGTGTGGGCAGTCAGGCCCCGGGTGCCCCGCCGGGACAATAGGGCCTCAGTGCTGGATACTAAGCGGCCCGGGGGCCTAGTGGGAGCATAAAGGGAAGCTGTGTCTCCGCAGCACTCAAGTTCACCTTTGTCTTCGGAGTCCAAGTCAAAGAAGGCTAAAGAAGGAGCCTGCAGGCTCTCCTCCCTCGTCATGGGTCTGGTCGATAGGAAGGGCCAAGTTCTTTCCCTAAGATGCTGGGAATTCAGATGAAAATAGAAATGGGCTTGCCTGCTAGCTGGGACAGCGGTCAGTGTTTCTATCGAGAGCTGAGTCCTCTGGCCAGGACCTACGAGCAGGGGGACGCCAGTACAAATTACTGGAGCCAGCCGTCCGGAAGGCGCCTATGCACACGTGTTGTACAGCAATGCGAACTTGCCCTGGTTGGGGAGAAGTAGCGGGTGGGAGGTGGGCAAGTTTCTTCCCAGCAACTATCCGCTGTCCACACTCCGCTACTGCCTCTTCCCCAGAGAGAGAGGCCGCCCTGTATTCTGGCTGATAGCAGCAGCCCACTGATCAGTGGTGGAAGGTGACTTAGGCTACGGTCCTTACACTTGGCCTTGGCCGTTTTCTCCTGGAGTTGACACAAGATCGGCTGGCTGGGGTCAGGTCTCTATTGCCACTTAAGGGAAAACAAAACCTGGCTCTTGGCTGAATTGCCTAAATAATGCCAATGGCTTGCACAAGACAGAGGAGTAGCTGTGATTGAAGAGCAATTCACAACCCCTGCCCTGCAACACACGCAATCCACACAACCCAGTTGTACATCAATTTCCTAATCCTTCTCTTTGTTATAGAGGGTCAAGATAGTTAACAACAACAACAAACAACCAAACCAAACAAATAAATAAACTAACACACAAACTTTTTTTTTCAACTTTTATTTTAGTTTCCAGAGTACATGTGCAGGTTTGTTATATAGGTAAATTGCTTGTCATGGGGTTTGCTGTACTGATTATTTCATCACCCTGGTAATAAGCATAGCACCCAATAGGTAGTTTTTTAAAATTTTCTACCCCTTCCCCAGCTTCCCACCCTCCACCCTCAGGCAGGCCCTGGTGTCTTTCGTTTTTTGTTTTGTTTTGTTTTGTTTTTCGAGACGGAGTCTCGCTCTGTCGCCCAGGCTGGAGTGCAGTGGCGCTATCTCGGCTCACTGCAATCTCTGCCTCCCGGGTTCACGCCATTCGCCTGCCTCAGCCTCCAGAGTAGCTGGGACTACAGGTGCCCGCCACCACGTCCGGCTAATTTTTTTGTATTTTTAGTAGAGACAGGGTTTCACCGCGTTAGCCAGGATGGTCTCGATCTCCTGACCTTGTGATCTGCCCGCCTCGGCGTCCCAAAGTGCTGGGATTACAGGCGTGAGCCAGCGCGCCTGGCCTGTTTCCTTCTTTATGTCCATGTGTACTCAATGTTTAGCTGCCACTTATAAGTGAGAACATGCAGTATTTGTTATTTCTGTTCCTGCGTTGGTTCTTTTAGGATTATGGCCTTCAGCTTCGTCCATGTTGCTGCAAAGGACCTGATCTCGTTCTTTTTTATGGCTGTGTAGTATTTCATGGTGTATATATACCACATTTTCTTTATCCAGTCCACCATTGATGGGCATTTAGGTTGATTCCATGACTTTGCTATTGAACACACAAACTTTGAACTCTTGATCTGAGTTTTATTCTGACTTTACCACTTACTATGACTTTGGACAACTAACTTAACCTCATTCAATTGTGTTAGTTTGTGAAATGAGCATATGAAATCTGCCTTATAGAGTTGCTGTGACAATCAAAAGAGAAAGCATACTGAACATTCCTAGCATGGCAGTAAGCTTTCAAACAAAGGTACCTATTTATTTGTTTTTCAGATAAAGGTATCTTTTATTTGTTTTAAAAAATTTGATTATTCCTAATATTGTTCCAAATGGATTTGAGGCTACTTACACAAATACAGAGAGAGTACTATGACATAATAAATGAATGCTTTCAGGTTTTGTTCTGTATACTTCTGAGTTCATTATTTACAACAAGAATGTATTATTCATCGATTAACTTATGAAATAAATGTAAGAAGCAACTGATGAGAAAAAAACAAGAAGGAAATTAAGGTGAAAGCAGTGGTGACAGTATATAAAGTGTTTCACAGAAGGGCAAGTAAACTTTCTAGAAGTTTAGGCTGTCAATTTAATTCTGAGCTCCCAAGCAAACATGTCAAATGGGGGAACAGGATCAGTTTCATAATTCATGCTGTTCACTGATGAAGCCAAACCTGTTTCTCAGGGTCACAAACTATTTCTTTGGAAATCTCTCTTGAAAGTTTTTGTGAAAATAAACACTGCAAGAGAGATTAATTTAAGCAGTTAATTGAGGAGAACCCCGGAAAGAAAGTCTTGGGTAAAATACCTGTGCTCAATGCCTTTAGGTGAAGGTGGAGGGTGGAGATTTAGGACATAGTAGCTATATTAGTCTGCTCAGACTTCCATGACAAAGTGACACAGGCTGGGTGGCTTTAATCACAGAAATTCATTTTCTCACTGTTCTGGAGGCTGGAGTCCAAGATCAAGGTGCCAGCGTTGGTTCCTGGTGAGGCCTCTCTTCCTGGCTTGCAGATGGCTGCCTTCTGGCTGTGTCCTCACATGACCTTTCTTCTGAGCATGCTTAGAGAGAGAGAATTCTGGTGTCTCCTTCTCTTATAAGGACACCGGTCCTGTCATATTAGGGCTCCATCCTTATGACCTCATTTAATCTTAATTATCTCCTTGAAGGGCCTATTTCCACATACAGTTACATTGGAGGTGGGAGCTTAAACATATGAATGGAGGCAGGGGACACAATTCAGTTCATAACAGGAGCCAAAGTGGGGAGGGAGGAGTGTCACTAGAACATAGGGAAGAAGAGCAGTCCAGACCTGCCATGAGGACCTTATTTCCTCAGGACACAGCCTTATTCTACCTGGTAAAGAATGTGGAGCTAAGAGGCTCTTTGTCACAGGGTGAAACTTGGGCAGAGTCTGACAAGGGACCAACATGTGGCATCACTGCATGTCAACGTGAGGACCCTACTGACCAAATCCCTGGCTCGGAAGCAAATGACCTCTGTGACCTCGGGCCAGTAACTTAAATGCTCACAGCCTCAGTTTCCTTATCTGTAAAATGGGGCTGATAATACCTACCTTGTTTACCTCAGAGGGTAGAAAATTGAGCTACAGTGAGGAGTAGCAGTAATGAGAAGTAATTCCCAGTCTCTCCTGGCCCACCCACCCCCACTGTATATAAATATTGTATATAAATATTATGCACAACAAATAAAATGAAATGGTGGATGTCAAAAGTGCTGGGTAGACTAGAACCTGCCATGTAAATCAGATGTAAAGGATATTCTCAACAATGCCACCAATGACAGCAGTAGAAGCTATACACTCGGCATCTTGTCAGTTCCACACCCTCCTTGGCTGTGGGTGTGAGAGGCATTGCCTGGCCAAGGTCAGCATTCATCACAGCTGTGGCAATGGGAGTCCCCCCCAAGAGCACTGCCGTGTGATCTCTGGGCTGAAAAGAGACCTTCTTCCCCTCCATGCAATAATAACAGGCTCAACTACTTCTACCTCTGCTCATGGTCTCTTCCTCTCTACCCTCCGATCTCCCTCACAAACTGAGATGTTGGGAAGGCAAGAGCAGACGGAGATGGAACCTCACATCCTCTTGAACCAGATCAGGTCCCAAGCCAGGCACATCCCTTTCTCTCTATCATGGCTGTGAATGAATAATCAGATGTGTAGTGAGACTTTGAGGTCTGTCCAGCCACGGGGATAGAAGCTCCTCGAGGACCAGAGCTGCCATCTCTGCTCTGGCCCGGGGTGTAGCACAGAGGCTCGGGCACAAGAGGGCTCAGCACAAATCCGAAGATGTGTGAGCAAGTGAGTGAATGTCACCTACGAGGCGCCCCAGGTCCTTGACGTCTTCTTGGTTTTAGTGACTTTTCTCTGGGGAGCCAGGTGATAAAAGAATGAGAAGGAAATTGCCATTTCTGTCTATGCCTAGGAAGAAGCTCTCTGAGCCTTGATTTTCTCTTCTGTGAAAAGTGGGTAACACAGTTCTCAGAGGGAGTGTGAGCATTCAGTGAGAGGATGCATGTAAAACATCAACTACAGGGCCTGGCACGTGGCCGTTCTCATGTCATTGGAAGGCTTGCCTTCTCCATGTGCCACCTGGGTGCCTTGTACATGTTTCTACAGTGGCATTCCTTCTGTACAATTCTGAAAATCACCCTTTATTGAATGTCTGTCATGTGCCAGGCACTGTTTTAAGTGCTGTGCATTATTTCACTTGATCCTCACAACTCTATATTATTATTCCTGTTTTACAGATGAGGAAGCTGATGCTCACGGCAAGTTGAATAACTCATTCAAGATGAGATTGGACCCCAAGAATGTCTTACCTGCAGGTAGGAGTCTATGCTCTTACTGTCTTTGTGAACGACTTCCCAACCATTCTGCTGTAATAAATATAAAATATAAAAATATTTAGTATAACATAAATATAAAAATAAATAAATTTGTTTGTTTAGATCTCCTTCTTCAACCTTAAGTTGTAAACATTTTAAGGGCCAACACCTCTTTTCTACAGTACCCAGGACAGTATCTGGCACATAGTAGGCATACAGTAAGTAGCCACCATTTATTGGACATGCTATGTGCTAAACATGTCACAGACACTCTCTCACTTATGTATTAGGAATCACTATGTCCATTTGTCAGATGAGAAAACTAAAGCCCAGAGAGGTTTTGTCACATGTACATGATCAATGGTAAGTCTGTCCTAGATCTGCCTGACTGCAGAGTGCCTGTGCACTTAACCGTAAGACACATCACCCACCTTCCACCCGAATGAGCATTATTGAACCTTTCGGAATGCAGCTCCACATGGGCTGAAGTGGAAGATACATATGTTTAAGAGGATAAAAACTGTCCTTCATTTGTGTGTATGCACATGCACAAATACACACATATAGATGTATTTCCATACACATATTTATTGTTGGGATGTGCATAGATGGGCTCTGGAAGGCTGCATCTTTAGGGAGCTGCCTTTGGGGAATGAAGCAGAGAAGCAGGAAAGGGACTTGCTTTTCATTGTACATCTTTTGGTATCTTTGGAATTATGAACCGTGTGTAGATATTGTCTATTCAAGAACAATAAAAAATTTTCAAAAGACTGCTATATGTTTGGTGGAAAAGATACTGGATCCAAGAGACTCGGGTTCTGATCTTGCCTCTGCCACTGGATACATTTGAAGAATAATCAGATTTATTTTTAGTTTCTTTGTCCATAAAATGGGTATAAGAATCACTTCTCTTACCTCCCTCACAGGGCCACATGAGATCATTTACACAAAAGCATTTTTCAAGGTGTGAACAGCCTTGCACATGGAATACATTATTATACCATAGTGGTATCATTAAGGTCAATTCCTTGATCCACCCACTCTGGCAGCCTGAGGACCTCGTAAAGAGCAGCATGGCTTTGAGCAAGATAATGGGTGTTTCCAGGTTAGAAAAGAGGTTTGGAGGCTTATCAGACATCTGTGGACAGAGGGCCATGGAGCACTAGTGCTACATCTTTCGACAAAGTGTTTGCATTTCCTCTTCCATCACCATCACACACCTACAAAGAGCAGTCTCTCTCCTCTTGAGAGTTAAGAACATTCTGGTCAGGTGGCCAGAGGCGGGGCAGCTCCTTTCCAATGAGTGGAGATAAACATGGTGAGGATGGGAGACATGTGCTGGTGTTTGCTGGTGCTGCCAATTGCTGATTT
Source organism: Homo sapiens (assembly GCF_000001405.40). Classification (NCBI taxonomy): domain Eukaryota; kingdom Metazoa; phylum Chordata; class Mammalia; order Primates; family Hominidae; genus Homo; species Homo sapiens. The sequence continues at coordinate 48,982,023 of NC_000015.10, forward strand.
CCGTTTGGGAGAAGGAAGATTCCAGGTGCAGAGAAACTGCAGCATCTGCAGTATCGTGGGGTGGCAAAGTTTGGCAATCTCTGCCTCAAGAGTTCTATGACCTCAACTCAGCAAGCACAGCTATTTTAGCCAGAAAACAAAGCTTCTCTTAGAGAATGTGTTTCGCAAAAGTAGAATTGGGCGTTGGAAGGAGCCTGAGGGGAATTCTAGTTTCTGAGTCTCAGGATGCAGGGACAAGAGCACAGCCTGGGGATTGGTGGATCTGGAATCCCAGCCCTAATATGCCTCCACAAAGCTAAGTGGCCTTGGCCAGATCCCTTTGCTTCCCTGGGCCTCAGTTTCCCCATCTGTAAATGAGGGGCTTAGACTGAATCATCTTTACGATTCTCTCCATATTAAAGATCCCCTAACCTGGGACCTCTGTGTTGGGGAAACATGCTGCCTGACCTGTGTCTCTACTTGACAGACTTGCAGAGTGTGCTGTGTTTTCTTATCCCTGTCGTTGCATCTGGAGGCCATAGCCAGGAGAGTGTCTGTTCTGAGACATCAACACCCCAGCAGCGGAAAGTGCTGCTGACCTGCCTTTGCACCGGGAAACCTTGATCCTTGATTCTCACACTGCCCCACTGCGGGGGAGTTTGGGTAAGAGAAAGACTCTGTGTGTGTGTGTGTGTGTGTGTGTGTGTGTGTGTGTGTGTGTGTGTGTGTGTATTTGTATGTGTGAGTAGAAGGGGCCAGGTAATTGGAAATGTGTACTTATTTTCCTGAATTATACACTTTTCTCCTAGAAACAAGGGGAATTCAACAACAATTTCAGTGTATGAAGCTGAAATGCATTTGTAGCAGCATAGTTTCCTATAACTGTGGGTTTTTCCTATCATTTCAGCTCCAACATGAGTTATGGTTAAGGGTTTCTAGGGCTTAGCTTGGGAATATAATGAGCACTTTAATATGGCTACTCTGGGATAATGTTCCATGTTTCAAGCAATTTAGGAACTCTCAGTACACAGCCATGTGTGAGATGGGGCAGCCTGTGTGTCTGTCAACTCTGCCAGGGCACTAACTCAACCATGGCCCAGAATCAGCATCAACCAACACTGATTTGATTAAAATATAATAGAGGGTCCTCAGTTTGTGGCTTAGTAAGTCTCCCTATGTCTTTCAACAGTAATCTTAAGAAGGGAGCTTCTTCTTTGTAGACGGGGGCTTTGTGTTCCATTCTCTCCAGAATTACAGGAGCTGCTCAGGCATTTCCAAGCCCCTTTCCAAGCCCCTGTCCAGTGATTCTGCTGAGGGACTTGGTTCCAGGGCAGCCATTCCCTGGGAGGTTGCTGGAGTATCCTGCAGAGGCTTTCTTGTGTCTGCTTCAGAGATGCTACTCAGCAGGGCAGGCAGCTGGATTCCATGTCACAGTGTCTTAGAAAACTCAGTCCCCGCCACCTTTGCTTGATTCAATTGTGTGATACGGCCAGACCACCGAATTCCTCTGGCCTCCTGTTCGCACTTGAGTTGTGCTTTTCTTGGAGTGTTCACTGAGCAGCCCTTGCCAGAGGTGCCTCCCTGCCCTTTTGCTCCTCACACGCCTGCCCACATGATGGGAGGAAACAAGTGGGAGACATGGGAGGATGTACTGGCACATGATCAGAAGCTCCAGGTCAAACTCTCTTCATTCTCTTCCCCAGGCGGTTGAAAAAAACACTTTTTAAAAATAAGGCCTATTGTATCAGGAAGACCTGGATGTCCCTGGCTAAGCCAACTCTGGAACATTAGAGAATGTATAAACATGTGACAGAAACAGAAGTCAAGAGCATTTGATAACTCACCATATGAATACATGCCCACCTTCTTGGGGCCATGAACCTATATGGGACTAATGCAGTCTCCCAGGATTGAGTTAGTGCAGGGCCTCTCAACCTCTCCATTGTTGACATTTCAGGCCAAATAGTTCTTTTTTGTGGGGTGGGGTCGCTCTCTTGTGTACCATAAGGTGCTTAGCGTATCTCTGGTCTTCACCTGCTAGATGACAAGTAGCCCCTTCTTCAGTTGTGACAATCAAAACTGTTTCCAGACGTTGCCGAATGTCCCCTGGAGGTGAAATTGCCCCTGGTTGAGAATCTGCGAGTTACAGCAGTCCAGGTATTCCTTATGTGCCTCATCCTCCTGGACCTTCAGAGTTTAAGCAACATAGATTTTGTCGCACATTACATGAAAAACTAGTTCCCCAGGATGTTCATAGTTCCTGCACAGAAAAAGTGCTCTGTGACTGAATGTGGAGAACTGTGTGTGCCATGGTCCAACATGTTGAGGAAATGCAGCCTGATATATAATAAATCCTTCCTTCATGGAGAGTCAAAATACATTAGGATATTGGAGGCTGTAAAATGTCTGACAGTAAGGAAATCTGTTCAACACTGCCTGACCCAGATTTTGCTTTTTCTTGGCCAAAAATGACTTTAGAGATTCCTCTTTTAAAAGCCAGACACCCCAAACCATTTGAGCCAAGCTCTCTCAATCCCAAGTCCAAAATTCCCAAAGAAAAATCCCATTGGCCCGGCACAGATCAACTGTTTCATGATTTCCAGACTAATCAATGGTTTCGGGGTCATTTAACTGCCTGCTCCTGTTGCAATTAAGAGATTATATCGCTGGTGGGTGTGTGAGGCATAAAGTGTTGTTCCCCAAAGAATGGATGTACTAACCAGACAAAACAACAGATGCCTAGTTAATAATACTTTAGTACTGATTTCCTTTCAAAGTTCTTTTTCCTTTCTTTATGCTTTTTTTCTAAATGCCTGAGCAGCTTCATCATCTTGATTCGTGTTCAGATTTCTTGGAAGCTGGTGGCAACCAACCTAAATTGCTGCAAAAGTTACAAGTACATGGAAACATTTTTTAAATTCTGAAATTAAAAGAGACAGTTTGTTTTGTCAATATTTCCACAGACTGGGCTACTGTAGGTGCCACTGCAGCTGGCCAGGGTGAAGTTGGCGGTGGATACAGGTCCAGAGCTTTCACTATGTTGTATTCCAGATAGTTGCCCCTGTGCTACCATTTATAGGTTTGCTACCATGAATTGGCAGGTGAAAAATAGTGTTTGAAGAGGTGAAGCAGCCCTGAGCAGACCAGGGGCACCACGATCAGCTTACTCAATTTCTATTCCGAGCAAGGAATGCCATTACTTTAAATACTGTGTTCTGGTTTCTAAGGAAACCAAATAAGTGGGTTGCTAACACAATCTTAGAACTTTCTATGAAGATTAAAGCACTTTGCTCTAGCTAAAGAGCAGATGGGAGAGTCATAGATGGAACCCATATTTCTCACTACTTGGGGGAGGGTTAGGCCAGGGAAAAGATGAAGGAAGAGTTTTTCATTCGTGGGAAGAAAATAAAATGTGTAGCTCTTGGCTATTTAACAAATAGTTGTTATTTGCTAAATCAATCAAGATAGGGGTTTAAATCTGGCTTCCAGTTCCATTTCCACTACTAATGCTTTTTCTGTTTGTCAATTTATTGAAGTCAGTGCCAAATCTGGGAAGTCAGTTATGGGATAGAAAATAGTTGCGTTTTAGTTGGCCCCTTCCTTTTGGTTATTCTTATAAAATATTTTAAGTACATAAAAAGCTCTATACAATTAAGGAAAAGTAGTGTTGGTTAAAGCACAGCATGGGCTAAAAAAATGCAAAGTGGTCAGTCTTGCTTTGTTACTTTCATAGCCTCTCTACTTTCTGCATACCTGCATACTGCACACCTGCGACACTCTGCTTTCTCTGGCCTCCAGTTCAAATTTTAGTGGGGGATGGTTGGGGGGAGGGGTGAAGCGGGAAGAACTAAGGTGATCAGCCTAATTGCCATGACCCATTCTGGGGACAGGACCCATCCAGGCCACTTTGAGGGTGCTGGCAGTCTTTGGCTATGGTAGCCTTAGAAAGTGCCCAGCTCACATCCAACTTATGACCATCCTTGACCAAAAAATGGCTTCACTGTTTCTCTAAGGAGCCAAGTTCTGATTCATCCAGTACATCCCCTGACAGAAGAGGAAATCAGGAACCAGGGACTTGCCCAATATTAGAGAACAGAGAAACAAGAATTCAGGCCTTCCCAAACGCCAGTACTGTCCAAGCATCCAGGCTTGCTTCTGGTGGTGCCCCTCCTATGCATCTGCATGCCTTCTACCACTGGGCAGAGCTTAGTACGTTTTTTAATATGTAAAACCACAACAAACGTATCATCTCTGGAGATAAAAGAACTGGGGGCGGGAATCACGTGAGTGTAAAATATTGGACATCATCTCAATTTTAGAGGTTGGCCAGAGAATAAATATTTCAGGCTTTGCAGGCCATATGGTCTCTCACCTCCGCATTGTAGCACTGAAGCAACCATGGACAATATGTAAATAATGTGTGGCTGTGTTCTAACAAAACTTTGTTTACAAAAAGAGGCTGCTGGGCAGCGTTGGTCCACAGGCTATAAGGCAATAGTTTGCTGATCACCTTATCTAAAAGATTACATCATTTAATTGGTACACTTTATTAGGAAAAGAGAAAATTAAGGAAATAGTTTTATCTTTCTTGGTCATCATGGTGTTTGAGTATTTGTAAAATAGGAATACAGTAATTTCTTACCTTTCTAATTACAGATGTTACAGGATTTGTTAGAAGCTCACCATTTTCCTTACAATATTGGCTTTAAGAAGGGGGAAGCAAGGAAAAGGAACAATGAGAGGGATGATGACCTCTAATATTTCTGTGATTGAGAAGCCAATATTTTAAAAGTTTTCTCTCATTTCTCTTTATCCAGAGCTAACAAACATTAACTGCTTTAATTTCAATTCAATACTCCATTCTCAAGCTGAGGGTTTACAAGGCAATGAAATTCTCTAACTCAGTTAAACAGAGAGAAGACTGAGAAGTAAAGGGTGAAAACAATTACCTGGAGAAATCTGCACAATGAAGTAGGAACCGCCTTACATCACTCATCCCCTGGTAGATGAGGATGCAACTGACACTGCCTCCCATCAGAGGCCTACCACGGGAATGCTGTAGCTATTATCTGTTCCCTCTGGGTAATTCAAAGCCATGGCTAGATGAAGCACTCATTCCTTCCACAGAAACCTATTACGCCAGCCTCCAAAACCATAGCACACCAGATCACAATTCCATTCTTTGGTTGGTTCCTCAGCAATTACATAAAGAACATCATGCTCAGCCAGAAGCTCCAAATTTCATGCAGCTCATTATCTTATTTGCTCCAATCCTCTGCTTCCAACTGAAACCTTAGATACAGGTACAGCCAGTTTATAGTTGCACAATTATCCAACCTATTTCTGCAAGAGTAAGGGTCACCTTGCTTGCCACATGATTGCTAAATAATTACTCAAAGTGTCAAAATGGAAGGACTGGGAAGAGAGAAATACAGAGATTGAGACTGGGTCCAGAACTGAAACATCTCCCATTTCACAAACCATACTCTGGCTCTGCAATCCACAAGGCTGCCATTGATGCCTAATATATAAGCCAAGTGTAATATTCCATGACAGTAACATCAGAAGAACCCAAATCAAGCCAAAAGTACTGACTGACTTGCTAATCTAGAAATTTCACGACCTATTCAACATGTCTAAATATTCTCTCTAAAATGAAATGATACCCATAGGCATGGTTCCCAGTTCTGAGCTTAGACTCAACTAAGCACCTTTAATGGCAAGGCCCATAGTTCAGGTTACTTCTCTTTCACCGTTTCCTGCTTTAAAAAAGTATTATTATTACATGTAGCTTTTGACTGTTTTCAGGTGCGATGCACACCCTCTTCTGGTTAGGAGAAAAACTGATCACTATTGGAAAAAATTAGGGAGTGGTACATGTACTGGTTAAAAAGGAAGTATCTGATACAACTGATGAGGCATTCTCCTTCGCTTTGTGATCACCAAAAAGTTCATTTCTTTGTTATGAAAATTAGTATCCTATTTTCTGACAGATGAATGCACTTTTTCAGATTCCCTACATTTCACTGTGACATAGTGAGAAGTCCTGGGGCTACTTAGGGAAAGGGCGATGAGGTGAGGCCCAATAACTTTAGTCCCCAAGGCCCTCTTCAGTCCTCCTGTTCCACATTCCCAAAGACACCTGAAGGTGAAGGAAGCATGTTTGCCTTGCACACCCTGTGCACCTTATGCCAAGACATAACAAAGTACAGTGATTGGGGCATGGGCTTTGGTATGGGGCTGGGTTAACATCTCCATGACTCTTCCATCATCTGAAAAGTGAGAAATAGTAACCAAAATCTACTTCACAGGACTGTTTTAAGGATTGAGTTAATACTGGGAAAAGACTTAGAACAGTGCCCAGCACAGAGGAACTAATATAAAAAGGTGAAGGAATCTATAGAAGCCTTCTCCTAATAACCAGGATGGTCTCTGGCTAAACGCCTGGGCCCATGCCGCAGATCACACCAACCATCCCAGATGGAGATTTTTATTCTTAACTCCTTCGTGACGATTTTACAGCCTTTTTTGGCAACTCCATATGACCACCAATCAATACTCAAGCTGGACTCTTTTTTCTGTCTTCTACTTGTGGGGAGTCATGAACTCTTGAAGTATCTCTTCTGAAAGGACAGATTTCATTTCAATAATCATTTTATTAGTACAGAAGAATCCCCACTAGTATTTACATAGTGCAAAAAAGCTGTTATTACCCCCCAAATGTGATATAACAATTATCCTTCATACAGCAAAAGATGAAAATCCCTTCATGTTATAACTCACACTAATTTTGCTAGTTTTTTATTAGAGCATTACAATTAAGACATTAAATTATAAACTTATGTGGTATATTTAGAAATTAAATTATAAAATAATACAAATACTTTCAAGGTGTGATGTGCCAACAAAATTTAAATTTTTCTCATTAGGATTCAGATTTCAGATTAGGCAAACAGTTTGGTTGATTCTGTGATGTATGTAAAGGTTGGAAGGGATGAGGGAGGAGGAAGATGTCTGTAAATAAATTATTTCACAGAATTTTTTTAAATCAAAAAAAGATAAAAATTTTTAAATGAGTTGATGTTCTAACCTGTTGGCCCAACATACAGAAAATACATGACAAGGGTGTTTTTTTTTTTTAAGCAAACAGCAGCTTTACAAACAGTAATACTTCTTTATACATATATTAAAGTAACAATGTGTTAAGATTGAACAGTTTCATGTTAAAGAGTTGAAAATGAGTGTAGCATTCACTACTCATTTGCACATTTCAATTCCCACCCCTCCCTCCTCCCCCAGCTTATTTAGAAATCAGACAAGTACATATTTGGATATTAATTTCTCAGTATTTAAACTATGTGAATTCCTTTTGACTAATTCTTTTCCAAATACTGGAATCATATAAAATACCATCTCTGCAAAAACAACCTCCAGTCAAAGCCAGTAAAAACTTCTCAATGTATAACACACATTACTTTTCCACATTTAGTCAAAAGAAATATATTACATCATTTACAAACATATTTAAACCGAAAATTAAGCTAATATGAACATCTGTCTTTTGAGAAGTAATCTTCACAGCAAACAAACCTACTGAAGCAGAAATCTAACTTTGGAAGTGTAATTCATATTTTAGTTAATATGCTTACATACTGAAATAGAAATCTATTATTAATTATTGCCAGTAAAACCACCTCTACACATTAAGAGAAAAAATCACTATGTTTTTTATTTCTTGTGATGATGAACCAACCCTTACTCTTCCCACTGGATCTCTTTATAGGTCTTCAAAGAGCCAACCATGCCCACTTCAAAAAATATATAAAAACTTTCCTAATTTTCACAACTCCTCCAAAGCCTGTAATTCAATATTCCAAAATTTAAAGGAAACAAGTTATAAAGACATTATTAATATTTATTTAAGCATGCTCTCAAAATGGTAACATTTCCTTTAATAATTCTTGGGTTGTCCTCTAGAGGTGACCTGTCTCATAAAAAGGCTATGGTCCCTTGGATTTGCTGGCAGAAGAGGTACTGCATATGCGAGAGCATTTACCGAACATATAAATAAACACTTCTGAAGTCTATAGCAAAACTAAAAGTTACCAGTGTTCTGAAGATTTCCTCAACTTCTCTTTTGATACAAATGTCAAAAATCTAAAATGACAATTCATGTTCAGAAGAGATATAAAATATAAGAAACCTGTGAAAAGCCATCATCTCAAGGTCAAGAGTTATCTGAATCACTGACATCGAGCAAAGGAAATTTACACCATAAAAAGTATGAACAGTTTTTAAATTCACTTTTAAGACTGTCAGTAGTTCAAAACCTCTATCATTTCTTTAAACCAACGAACACTTCCAAATGTGTAGAGACAGTAAGATCTGCCATGTATAAATCCATGAGTACTATTTCAGAGGCTTCATTCCTTACCTGCTGTGTTCCTTTAAATATTGGATATTTAGTGCCTAGGAAGTCTATACTGGAGAACAGTTTAGACAGGACAGTATAAGAATGTCCCCTTTTAGCACAATAATAAAGTTGATTGACTAACATTTTCTACACAGCTCCTGAACTTTCACAATTCACAAATACTAAATCATCAACCAAGAATCCAATCTCTCCAGTAATTAAATGCCAGCATTATAAAACATCAAAACTAGCACAGTAGTCCCAATGAGTTCAGTAAAGAATCTGCCCAATTCTTCTCTCCTGCCTCTGTGAGGCAAAGCCCTGCCCCAGATAATCAGGGCAGGGATAATACCCCTTCCTTCTCAGTTTTGTGCCTGCTTATGGAAGCTTGTAAGTGGAAAACACACACACGTACGGATGTGTGCATGTGTGTGAGGGGGGTGGGGGGGACAGTTGGGGGTGGTGGGGAGTTGGATGGAAGACAAAAAAATTACATAGTTTGTCATTCTTCCACCATTACATAAACTTGTAAAGTCACTGAAGTCCAGGTGGTGACTGACTAGCAAATAAAACATTTAGCTCATTTATTGTCTCCTAAGCAGGTATACAAACTCCTAGAGAAGGGCAGAGATAAATAATAGTGAATAGAGAATTAATACCTACATATCTGTATACTCTAAATCATCTAATAGTTTCAGCACAATTAGAACAACTTTCTCTTATCTTCTAAAACTTCCTCCTCTAAGCCTTGATTATCAGGATACATGTCACAAGTTGTGCAAAGTTCCTTTCCTTGACCTCCTGACAGTAACTATGGTCATTGCTATGTGGAAGGTGCTCAAGGCTAGGTGCAAAATAGGTATTTTTTAAAAGGTGAAACAGTTTTGCACTCAGGACAAGTTTGGATACTCAATCAAATCCATATCTCAAATCAAGAGTCCTGAACCAGAAGCATGCAAGAGAACACACCAGTATAAGACTCTGTTTCTGAAGAGTTTACATGTAAGTGCAGCAGTCATACAATCGGTTACAGTTATTCACCTGTCAACATGTGCCTAGCTTTTTGTAAATAAGTCTATGTACAAGAGCATTCCTGAGGTAAGTAAGAAGCAAATATGAGACAGAACCTGGAGGTCCTATCATGGGTGACTGTTCACTATTATAGACAGCATCTATCACTTTCCACAAATGAGGCTAGCTAGCTATAATCTAAGATGGTGGCTCCACTGCTAGCCGAAGTTTTGAAGGCTCTGTTTTAGCCCATCCCAACACTAATTAATTACAATAATCAGTGACTTCTGACTAAACATTTGTGGACCACATAAAAGTTGCATTGATTTTTTAACATACAACACTGGTGGACTTAGTTACCCTCAGCCTTTCATTTAATTTTCTGACTCCACCCCCAGTTCTTTTTTAAAGAAGCCCAAACAATTTTTTGGTCAAATTAGAGTAGAGGAGGTGGAGTCCTGAAGCAAACACTGATAACTGCTTCTATCCTTAGAACCTTGTTCTTTAACTTTCAAAATGTCTTTTAAGTAAGCATTTGAAATTTATTTTCTTTAAGATCTGGTCTTCTTTTTATCACTGTTTTTGATTACAAAATAAGCTGAAACAGATCTGAATTTTCCACACAGTTCTTAGAAAGACACTTAGATACTAATTAAAAGCTAAGCTACAGATCATAACAAGTAAAAGCTACAAAAATATTTGTTGGGAATTAAATACGTATATTAAATACTGGACAGTGCAAAATGTTGAGATGAAGCATAAAAGGTAATGGCTGCAACCCTTCCACAGCTGGAGATAGAGAGCCGACATTTCCTGAGTTACGTAGTTTGCGTTGTGTAATTAGAATCAGAGTGCTCTTTGTTGAGCGAGCTGCAGTTGCTGGACTTCTGCTGCCCAGGACTGGCCTGCTGGTCAGCAGTCCATGCCTCACTGTCCATCCCTGGCTCCAGCACCTCAGGCGCCTCTGCTTCCTCTTCTCCACTTTGCTCTACATTGTCTTCCTCAGAACCATTAAGGGTTTTTCCAAGCTGAAGGGTTTCCATAGTTCTCTGGGTCTCTGAGACCCAAGACTCAATTCTACTATTGAGCTGCACTTCTACAGATATGGGTTCATGAGTATAATCTTCCTCCTCCTCCTCATCTTCATCTTCTTCTTCTTCAAGCATGCCAGGTACAAGAGTGCTGGTGGTGCTGGTGATGGAGGAATTCAAAAGATCTCGGCAACTGCCATCCAAAGAGCCAGTCTCTGTACTCTGCTGTGAGGCCCATTCCAGGTCATCTGGCTTCACTTCCTCTTTATCACTTGCTGTGGATTTCCCAGCACTTGTAGCTGAGGTAGTACTGCCTGTAGCCACTAATGATGGCTGCTTACCAATTGGGGGTGTGTCAAATGGAAGTTTACTGGGTTTTTCAGAAGTGCTGTGCTTACAGGATACCTCTTTCTCATTTTCTGATGCTTCCAGTCCATCTGAAGTTTCCACCATGTTTCTCCAATTTGTTTCTACAAGTATCAAGCAGATTTTTTAAAAACCAGAACACTGTTTCAAAATCATGCAACTCTTTAAAAACCCCCAAAAAAGAAAGAACAACAAAATATATAAATTTGTTGGCTTAGAAACTGACTGGAAAAACTACAAATTTAGTTTATTTAGTACTAGTTTGAGACAGAGAGAGAGTGTGTGTGTGTGTGTGTGTGTGTGTGTGTGTGTGTGTGTGTTTCAGATGGGGTCTTGCTCTTTTAGGCTGGAATGCAGCAACATGATCTTGGCTCACTGCAGCCTTGACCTCCTGGGCTCAATCTATCCTCCTATCTTGGGCTCCCAAAATGCTGGGATTACAGGTGTGAGCCACTGTGCCCAACCTAATTTAAATGTTATAAAGGGAAAATAATTCCCAAAAATGTACATTCAAGATAAAGAAACAGGGAGGTAAAAATAAGTATATTAACGCTTCAGAATGCAAGAGATCTTATACCAATAGGAGCTCACTGGCATTCACAAATAAAATCCATATATTCATGAAAATCAATAAACTGCCTAACTTTTTGGTAGCCTAGAGGTGTAATGGGCTCAAGGACCCACAACCCAAGAGATAGAAGAGCCAAGATGTCCAGCAATAATAGTTCTGATTCATGTGTTTGTACCATGCTCACTCAGCAAGTTATTTAAATTATCTTTTGGCCTGTAATGGGACATGTGTTTCCAATTATAAGCAAAGAATCCATCCATGCATTTCTAACATCTGTGAAAGGTTGTTTTATAATATATATATATATATAGCTTGGCTTACAAAGTGATTTTGGAGGACAAAAAAAGTATTATATACTACAGTGATGACAAACTAAATTATTTCTCATGATAGGAAATCAGTTGAAGGCAAAAAAAGTACCAAGAATCAGTAAAGATCTCTCACCCCTGTATTTTTTCAAATTTTTTTAAAAAATAAAAATTCTATCATATTGACATTACAGCTACTATTTGCAGTTTATAGGTATAATATTCTTATCAAGTTGTAGCAAACCTATTCACATTAGTATGTTCAATATGGTCACCATCTATGGCCTATATATTGATATAGAACATGTTTTGGGCACTTCAAGTCAGGATACATTGTTTGGGAAAAAATTTCTTTCCTGAAGCTACTTTAGTGTAGAATGAGTCCTTTCCACTGTCATTTCTACCTTATGAAAAAAAAAAAATCACCTCCTCCTATATTCTCATTCTCAGCTAATGACATTATCATTTACACAATCTCAAAGCAGAAGACACCTTATAGTAACACTTGATCCTACTTTTCTCTCTTATTAGTATTATATCCCTTTAGTCCACTGAATTCATCACTATACCATGACACCTGTAGCTCAAAAACTACTAAATCTGTTTACTACTCCCTTAGCTCAGGCCTTCTTTTTCTTGCTGTTCATTTGTAACATCTTCGTAACCGGTTTTGTGAACTGATTATATCATTGTCTAACTGGCTTTTTATCACCCTAGGATAGAATCCAAAATCCCTGGCGTGGCACAGCAAAGCCCTTCATGATCTGGCCCTTATCTATCATTCTGGTCCTACTGCCTTCTGACCCTGCGCCATAGGCCACACACTCCATGCTCAGTGTCATCTAAATTCTCACTGTTCCCTAAAGTTGGAACATCAGCTGTACTCTTTCTGCAGATGTGTTTTCCTCCTTTCCCCTTCAGACTCCTATTCATCTTGATAACCACTCTTAAATGTTAGTTCCTTCATGAAGTTTTTCCTAACTCCTGACAGGCAATCGCTAACCTGAACTCCCACAGTACTTTTTACATATACAGTCAAAAGCCTTGTTTTGTGTTTGCTGTTTCACCTTCCTCATCCCTCCTCACTTCCACTCCAGCTCATCTCTGTGTCCCTATGACTGGTATATAGTAAGTGCTGGGGAAAAAAAAAAAAAAAAACAGTCTAGTAAGTGAAAATTTTCCCACATATATTTAATTATGAAAAAAAATTTTAAAGGCACAAAATGTTTAAAAATTTTAGATGCACATTAACATTTCAACAGTTTTTTTTTCTAAGGAGAAATCCAAGACCCCGAGATTAACTGATTACACCTAAAACCTTTAGGCAGAGTATAGAAAAACCAAGGCTTCAATCTTTGAACACTTTGAATCTGGTGCTTTCTGAAAACATCACCTCAATCTCTGAGACTTTCGTTTTATACTACTTGTGTTTATATGTGCCCATATCATTTGTTACTCTGTCATCTGTCCAAACCCACAGCTTTACAGGTTTCTCTTATGGCTTGCCTTTGAGATGCGGCATTTCACTATATAGAGAGGATCGTGCTCATTTACAATGTTAGCACTTTCCCTTTATCTTCTTAATTTTCAACTAGTATCACTCCTGCAAAAGAAACATGTCTGCCTCTAAACCAGTATCACCCATCCCTGGCCAACAGTTTCCTAAGGGCCCACAACAGCTTGTTAATTGCCTCTGCTCTGGAGCTTTACTGAAAGCATTCCAAACATCTAACTACAATCACAGACAGGGAGGCCAGGAAGGAGAATATGGGAAGAAAATGAGGGCTCAGTTTTTTTTACACGTTAAATTTTAGGTGGCAACAAGCTATCTGATAACCTCCCAGAGAAAAGAAAAAAAGAACGAACAAAGAGCCAAATGAAAGAAGGTGGCTATACTATTTAAAATTTTAAAAAAAGAAGAAAGGAAGTTACATAGGGAAAACAAATCATAAACTAAACCAAGAAAGAGAACTCAAGAGCTCAAAGTATTATAGAAATAAGGCAAAGAAACTACTGAGATGTAGACTTCAATAAATAAATGTTAAACATTAAATACTATTTTTTAGTCTGTATCTCTTCTTGATTACAATCAGACTACTTAAGGCAAACAGCATGCTAGGTTTTATAAGCCTAGAGTGAATATTATTCACGTCTGTAGTTTACTTAGTAAATACAACATTTAAAGTTTTTTTAAATTTATTTTTTTCTTTTTAAGACTATAGTCAAGTGCAGTAGTGAAAAGGGGGGAAAGAGCAGAACAAAGAGATTGATCTATAACTGACTGTGAACAAATTAGATAACTCACTACCTTCAGACCAGCCCTTAGGAAATATAAAATTTTAGTAACTGAGCATAAAGTATTGGAATAAAACTTCCTAATGTTTAGTTAGTGATAGGTCACAAGTATGGTGTGTTTTGCTTTTTAAAGCCCCTGAGGCTTTTTATAAAGATTTGGAACTGTGATTAAATTCTGGGGTCTCATAAGAAGTCTCAGTCCCAAATATTCTCCTGATTTTTAATGAACATGTTTAATGCAATGTTTTAAACCAAATTTCGAGCAACATTTGAATAATCAAGAATAAAGATTAAAAATAAAAGGTAGAATAGAAAGTCATTTAAATCATCTCATGGTTTAAGTCATTTAAAATAGTATTCAACAACTTACCATATTCCTTTTCATTTACTTCAGAGATCGGTTCAGAAATAACACTGCAGAAAGAAATGGCACTTGCTGCAGAGGGATTCCGAGAATGTCCCATGTGGTGTGGTACCTTCTTCACATTCTTTAAGGCTTCCTCAGCCTGCTCCTGTTCCATTGCTGCAACCATATCTTTATATGCTTTCCTGGCCTCCTCAGTGAGTTCTACTAATTTATTAAACAGGCTCTGAAAAGAAAGAGTATTTTGATTAATCCATTTTTTTGTTACACTTTTTATTCCTATTATGGATAATAAATATCTCTACTGTTTGTTTCAGGGTCAGACACTTTCAATGAGGACAAAATCCAAATGGTATGCAAACCACAGAACCTTATGAAATTACTCTGTAACTTACATTTACTGTTTATTTAATTCTCACAAGTCAAGTCTGAGGAAATTTCTTGATTCCAACACTAGCCACTAAATGTGATATATTAAAAGTTCTTACACTATTCAACAAGTGTACTCTTCCTTTAGTGTCTGCCACTACAGAGGGTACAAAGATGACTGAACATCAACTCTACTCTCAAGGAACCTTCTATGTGGCTAGAAAAAGATGGTAAGAGACACCTATAATGCAAGGCATAACACCTTACATGCCTTGAGAGGTGTAAAGTGTTATGGCTTTAGTTGAGGCATCAACTCTAAACTGCTGGGCATCACTGAGGAAGTCATGAAGGGAAGATGACATCAGCATTGGCCTTGAAAAAGGTACAATTTTGAGGGGTGAAATCAGGGCCTTCAAAGCCAAATATGCAAAATCATTAATAAAGCTACAGACATAAGAAAAGTATAAGGCTTGTTAGGGGAGCAGTAAAGATTTTATCTGGGTTAGAATATAAAGGAGTGAGTGTATTCTGAGTGATGTTCAGGAATGTAGAAGAAGATGGCAGTCTCTATAGGAATTAAATTTTTCTGTAATGTTTACTTTTTGGAATAACTAGACGAAGACCAAAAGTAAGTTGGTGATAATATGGAGAGCTAGGACCTTGAAGATGATGAAAAGATAACACAAGATAGAAAAGCATGACTACTGGGCCAAATGCAAATTAGAATATAGAGCTTGGAAGTAGAATATGGAGCTAAAAAACCAGATGTTCTTTCATTGCTGAAACAAACATAGGAACAAAATAAATAGTTTCCGTGAAGTGGTAGGTACACTGAGCATATTCACATCTAATGAGATGGCAAAATTCAGCTGGGCACAGTGGCTCATGCCTGTAATCCCACCACTTTGGGAGGCCAAGGCAAGAGAGGTCAGGAGTTTGAGACCAGCGTGACCAACATGGAGAAACACCATCTCTACTAAAAATACAAAATTAGCTGGGCGTGGTGGTGCATGCCTGTAATCCCAGCTACTCGGGAGGCTGAGGCAGGAGAATCACTTGAAACCGGGAGGTGGAGGTTGTGGTGAGCCGAGATCATGCCATTGCACTCCAGCCTGGGCAACAAGAGTGAACCTCTGCCTCAAAAAAAAATAATAAGATGGCAAAATACATATAGCATTAAAGTTGCACTTCAATAACCATGATACCGAATGATGTCCAAAGATTTAAGTTTCTACAGCCACCAGAAGGCCAATCTATATGACTTTTAGTTATGCCATAATTCTATAGCATCCCATTCCTGTTAAATGTCCAATTTAGTATCACAATGCAACATACTCACAACATTAAGAATTTCAAAGAATTAAACATAACCTGGACATTTTTGAGAATCTGTTTAATTTTATAGTAAGTACAAACCTTGAGATGAAAGCATGGCAAAAAGTGCTACATTGCTGTAGAATAATAAGTCTCTGAAGATTCATCTCAAGAGGGAAAAATATAAGTAGCATCCTTTATCCAGCTGCATTTTAAATTGTTTAAAATAGCAGGTATAATATAGGATGCTGCTAATTGTATTGATTTTTGAAGAGTGGTGGGTGTTACCTATTAGTAGTGTAAAAAATATAATCAGGATTTATTATTTTTAAAAAGGAAGGACAAATTCTGTTAAAAACAAAAAACAATAGCCCCTATGTGGTTACATGTAACAGGCTTGACAAATATTTTCAGTGTTTAACAAACCATGCACTGAAGTGAAAACAATAAAAAGAAAATATGCAAATGGATATGTGAGTTTAACATTGGTTTTACAATATAAAAGAAAGAAAGAAATTGTTAGGAATAAAAGAATATAAGGAAAGAGAAGAAAAACTGAAGAGAGATGCTAGGATCAAGGAATTAAAGCCTTGAATGTGAGGGTAAAGATTGGAAGCTTAATTCCAAGATTAGTTGTATCAGATGGTAACAGTAACAGGTGCACTACCATTCATTGTGAATAGACATACTTGATAATATACCAAGCTGGTCTGGAACTCCTGGCCTCAAGCACTCCTCCCACCTCAGCCTCCCGAGTTACTGGGCTAACAGGCATGAGCTACCAAGAAATTCTCACATACAGTCTAGCATAGTGGGCAGATATACATCTATCTCACAATATCATTCAACAAACATATATTGCCTGCTTATACTCAAGTAATGTGAAAGGTGTCAGGAATATAAAGACAAGGTAAGGGGCCTGTCACCAAGGAATTCACAGTTAAAGGGAAAGAAACATACGTAACCTACAGCAAGGCAGTGTGCTATGCTAAACGTGACAAAAGCACAGGCTATTGTGGGAGCACAAATATTATTTATATGCTCATAGAGCAGGTGGGTAGAGAATTTCATGGGTGGTGGGAAAGAAACAGAATGGACAGGGGAATGTAGGATATGCAAACATGGTGACTGGATAGACACATACACAAAAATAGTGTGGTTGGGAAAAGTAGTCTGTCATTGATATCACAAAGTACTTCAGAATCAACTTTGTTAAAAAACAGTCTTAAACACTACAGTTGATGAGCATTACTCTAAATTGATAACCATTACATTATCAGCTCCTATGATAAAGATCTATATTAGCAGATTGCCAAAGAGATGATGGTTGATAGTATCATGGGTACAATCATTGTGACAATTGGTTTAGAAATTTCATTTTCTAAAGGAAAATCCCTTCCAATTAAAGGATTCTTTTGTCTCCTGATTCCTAGTAGCACAAAATATACCCATCTAGAGACTGAAGAAATTACATTACGTAATATCAGATATCTTTAACCAGCAGTAAAATAAATTACCAAGTACTATGCAGTTGAGCCTGGAAGAAAAAAACCACTTTGGCAGAAATACGAACTAAAACCTTTTCAAAATGCTTTAGGATTAATCTACATAAATCTTTTCCACCACTAAAAAAGGAAATGTAATACTCAAAAAATTTCCATTTATTCTTTCAGGGTTGTCAACTCACTCCTTCAAATGCTTAAACATAACACTGGCATATGTCAATCGAAAAATGTGCTATCTGGGGGATGTGCTGGAGAGCAAGAGTGTGTGTCTTCTAAATTCTTACCTCAGCACCAAAGTAGTTGAAGATTCCCACTACGCTAACAGGAACCAGCTTGTTCACACAGCGTCCTAGAGCTTTCCTTCCAAGGGCAAACACAAAAGGAATTTCTTGTTCCCGTGCCATGGCTATAACATTATAGAGAGCCTCATCCAGACCACCTGAGAAAATCAACACATGCAGACGCCTTTAGTTGTTGCCTACATGGAGCTAATTGCACACCCGATAGCTAAAGCATAAAACATCGCAGCAAAGAATTCTATGAACACTTGTAGCACTTAACGCTGTTACACATTATCCTATTTAATTTTATACAATATATGGAAGTATATATGTATTTTCTTTCTCCCCTATTAAATTCCAAATTCCCTCAAATCCAGTATTTTTCTTTCTCCATAGGGATTAGCATAGCAGCAATCAAACTGCAATTCAACAAATATTTATAATAAAGAAATTAATTAAAATTGTCAATAGTGGCTGACTTGCAAATGTTTCAGCTCAAGAAAAGATCTCTCACAATGCAATGAGATCGATTACACATTACTGGTCTCACTGATATTCCTCGCCATGCATATGCCTACTACTACTACCTGCTTTGTCTACTACAGTCACCTAAAGTTGCCCATCGAAAAGGACAAATAAGGATGCATGATGTAGTTCAAAGTACTTGTGTGCTGGTTTGCCTAAGTGCCTCTAAATGAAACTGCTGGTTTCTCAGAGACAAATCACCACCATAAAATTTTAAAAGCAGAATATATTTGCCGAAGAAATGCATTCTGGCTAGACCTCCATCTGATCACAACAGAAGGGACAGTTGGTGGGCCAAACTGAAATCTTCCACTGGTGTTCATACATGAGGATTTTATTTACAATCCAGTCTCAATTCTACTACTTAATTTCAGGTATTGAAAGACTGCATTTTCTTTTCTCATGCTCCAATATTGTTTTATACCTAAACTCTGATGAGAAAGACATATGGCTTCTACTTTATATTCACTGTATATCCCACAGCTATACTATCAAAACACTTCAAAAGCAAAAAGCGCATACCTTTTGACTGGATTTTTTCACAGTTTGGAGAAATTATAACACACTTGATCTTGTTTAACTTCATATGTTTGGTAACTTCTCTTAGACCCATAACGAGTCGTCTCCTTGCTTTTGCTCTTACAGGATCTTTTTGGTAGATGCGTTCCTGGAAACTGACAAGCTCTTGGAGAAGAAGAGTCACACATTCATCAATCTCTTTACAAAGAACCTGATTACAATACCTGTAAAAAAAAACCAAAATGGGTAACTCCATCCTAATTTTTTTCCCTATAGTTATAAAACTGCATTAAGAAAATATCTCTAAGAGAAAATATATATGGTAAGAAGTTTTCATGAAAAGTCTCTTAAAGAAGTGTTTAAAACTTCTTAAATCCTTCAGTCATTTACAAAAACAGAAGAGTGATACAGATATTCCTTGTTTCTGCATTTCAAATAGATTTTTTTAAGTATTCAACAAATGCTTGCTTTTATTATGATACTGGTTTATCACTTTATCCCCATCACCTAGAAAAAGGCACATACTAAACACTCAAAAATATCTGATAAATTAACAAATATATTTGTTGTCTTCCACATCGTATTCTTTTTTTTTTTTTTCTTAATTATCCTTTAAGTTCTGGGATACAGGTGCAGAACATGCAGGTTTGTTACATAGGTATACACGTGTCATGGTGGTTTGCTGCACCCATCAACCCGTCATCTACATTAGGTATTTCTCCTAATGCTATCCCTCCCCTAGCCTCCCACCCCGACAGGCCCCGGTGTGTGATGTTCCCCTCCCTGTGTCCATGTGTTCTAACTGTTCAACTCCTACTTATGCGTGAAAACATGCAGTGTTTGGTTTTCTGTTCCTGTGTTAGTTTGCTGAGAATCATGGTTTCCAGCTTCATCCATGTCCCTGCAAAGAACATGAACTCATCCTTTTTTATGGCTATATAGTATTCCATGGTGTGTATGTGCCACATTTTCTTTATCCAGTCTATCATTGATGAGCATTTGGGTTGGTTCCAAGTCTTTGCTATTGTGAATAGTGCTGCAATAAACATATGTGTGCATGTCTCTTTATAGCAGCATGCTTTAGAATCCTTTGGGTATATACCCAGTAATGGGACTGCTGGGTCAAATGGTTCTGATTCTAGATCCTTGAGGAATCGACACACTGTCTTTCACAATGGTTGAACTAATTTACACTCACACCAAAAGTGTAAAAGCATTCCTATTTCTCCGCATCCTCTCCAGTGTCTCGTTTCCTGACTTTTTAATGATTGCTATTCTAACTGGCATGAGATGGTATCTCATTGTGGTTTTGATTTGCATTTCTCTAATGACCAGTGATGATGAGTTTTTCATACGTTTCTTGACCGCATAAACGTCTTCTTTTGAGAAGTATCTGCTCGTATCCTTCGCCCACTTTTTGATGGGGTTGTTTTTTCTTATAAATTTGTTTAAGTTCTTTGTAGATTCTGGATATTACCCCTTGGTCAGATGGATAGATTGCAAAAACTTTCTCCCATCGTATAGGTTGCCTATTCACTCTGACGATAGTTTCTTTTGCTGTGTAGAAGCTCTTCAGTTTAACTAGATCCCATCTGTCAATTTTGGCTTTTGTTGCCATTGCTTTTGGTGTTTTAGTCATGAACTCTTTGCCCCATGCCTATGTCCTGAATGGTATTGCCTAGGTTTTCTTCCAGGGTTTTTATGGTTTTAGGTTTTATGTTTTAAGCCATTAATTCATCTTGAGTTAATTTTTGTATAAGGTGTAAGAAAGGGGCCCCATTTCAGTTTTCTACATATGGCTAGCCAGTTTTCCCAACACCATTTATTAAATAAGGAATCCTTTCCCCATTGCTTGTTTTTGTCAGATTTGTCAAAGATCAGATGGTTGTAGATGTGTGGAGTTATTTCTGAGGCCTCTGGTCTCTTCCATCGGTCTATGTATCTGTTTTGGTACCAGTACCATGCTGTTTTGGTTACTGTAGCCTTGTAAAGTTTGAAGTCAGGTAGTGTAATGCCTCCAGCTTTGTTCTTTTTGCTTAGGATTGTCTTGGCTATATGGGCTCTTTTTTGGTTCCATATGAAGTTTAAAGTAGTTTTTTCTAATTCTGTGAAGAAAGTCAATGGTAGCTTGATGGGGATAGCACTGAATCTATAAATTACTTTGGGCAGTATGGCCATTTTCACAATATTGATTCTTCCTATCCGTGAGCATGGAATGTTTTTCAATTTGTTTGTGTCCTCTCTTATTTCCTTGAGCAGTGGTTTGTAATTCTCCTTGAAGAGTTCCTTCACATCCCTTGTAAGTTGGATTCCTAGGTATTTTATTCTCTTTGTGGCAATTGTGAATGGGAGTTCACTCATTATTTGGCTATTATTGGTGTGTAGGAATGCTTGTGATTTTTGCACATTGATTTTGTAGCCTGAGACTTTGCTGAAGTTGCTTATCAGCTTAAGGAGATTTGGGGATGAGACAATGGGGTTTTCAAAATATACAATCATGTCATCTGCAAACAGAGACAATTTGACTTCCTCTCTTTCTATTTGAATACCCTTTATTTCTTTCTCTTGCCTGATTGCCCTGGCCAGAACTTCCAACACTATGTTGAATAGGAGCAGTGAGAGAGGGCATCCTTGTCTTGTGCTGGTTTTCAAAGGGAATGCTTCCAGCTTTTGCCCATTCAGTATGATATTGGCTGTGGGTTTGTCATAAATAGCTCTTATTATTTTGAGATACACTCCATCAATACCTAGTTTATTGAGAGTTTTTAGCACGAAGGGCTGTTGAATTTTATCGAGGGCCTCTTCTGCATCTACTGAGATAATCATGTGAGTTTTATCATTGGATCTGTTTATGTGATGGATTACGTTTACTGATTGCCATATGGTAAACCAGCCTTGCATCCAAGAGATGAAGCCGACTTGATCGTGGTCGATAAGCTTTTTGATGTGCTGCTAAATTCGGTTTGCCAGTATTTTATTGAGGATTTCCGCATCGATGTTCATCAGGGATACTGGCCTGAAATTTTCTTTTTTTGTTGTGTCTCTGCCAGGTTTTGGTATCAGGATGATGCTGGCCTCATAAAATGAGTTAGGTAGGAGTCCCTCTTTTTCTATTGTTTGGAATAGTTTCAGAAGGAATGGTACCAGCTCCTCTTTGTAACTCTGGCAGAATTCGGCTGTGAATATGTCTGGTTCTAGGCTTTTTTTGGTTGGTAGGATATTAGTTACTGCCTCAATTTCAGAACTTGTTATTGCTCTATTCAGGGATTCGACTTCTTCCTGGTTTAGTCTTGGGAGGGTGTATGTGTCCAGGAATTTATCCATTTCTTCTAGATTTTCTTGTTTATTTGTATAGAGCTGTTTATAGTATTCTCTGATGGCAGTTTGTATTTCTGTGGGATCAGTTGTGATCTTCCCTTTATCATTTTTTATTGTGTCTATTTGATTCTTCTCTCTTTTCTATTAGTCTGGCTAGCAGTCTATTTTGTTAATCTTTTCAAAAAACCAGCTCCTAGATTCATTGACTGTTTGAAGGGTTTTTTGTGTCTCTATCTCCTTCAGTTCTGCTCTGATCTTAGTTATTTCTTGTCTTCTGCTAGCTTTTGAATGTGTTTGCTCTTGCTTCTCTAGTTCTTTTAATTGTGATGTAAGAGTGTTGATTTTAGATCTTTCCTACTTTCTCCTGTGGGCATTTTAGTGCTATAAATTTCCCTCTAAACACTGCTTTAGCTGTGTCCCAGAGATTCTAGTACGTTGTGTCTTTGTTCTCATTGGTTTCAAAGAACTTATTTATCTCTGCCTTAATTTCGTTATTTACCCAGTAGTCATTCAGGAACAGGTTGCTCAGTTTCCACGTAGTTGTGCAGTTTTGAGTGAGTTTATTAATCCTGAATTCTAATTTGATTGCACTTGTTTTGAGAGACTGTTTGTTACAATTTCCATTCTTCTGCATTTGCTGAGGAGTGTTTTACATCCAATTATGTGGTCAATTTTAGAATAAGTGCAATGTGGTGCTGAGAAGAATGTATATTCTGTGATTTGGGGTGGAGAGTTCTGTAGATGTCTAACAGGTCTGCTTCATCCAGAGCTGAGTTCAAGTCCTGAATATCCTTATTAATTTTCTGTCTCGTTGATGTCTAATATTGACAGTGGGGTGTTAAAGTCTCCCACTATTGGCTGGGCGCAGTGGCTCACGCCTGTAATCCCAGCACTTTGTGAGACTAAGGCAGGTGGATCACCTGAGGTCAGAACTTTGAGACCAGCCTGGCCAACATGGCGAAATCCTGTCTCTACTAAAAATACAAAAATTAGCCAGGCATGGTGGCACAGGCCTGTAGTCCCACCTACTCAGGAGGCTGAAGCAAGAGAATCACTTGAACTCAGGAGGTGGAGGTTGCAATAAGCCGAGATCGCGCCACTGCACTCCAGCCTGGGTGACAGACCCAGACTCCATCTCAAAAAAAAAGTCTCCCACTATTTTTGTGTAGGAGTCTAAGTCTCTCTGTAGGTCTCTAAGGACTTGCTTTATGAATCTGGGTGCTCTTGTATTGGGTGCATATACATTTGGGATAGTTACCTCATCTTGATGCATTGATCCCTTTACCATTATGTAATGCCCTTCTTTGTCTCTCTTGATCTTTGTTGGTTTAAAGTCTGTTTTATCAGAGACTAGAATTGCAACCCCTGCTTTTTTTTTTTTTTTTTTTTTTTTTTTTGCTTTCCATTTGCTTGGTAAATATTCCTCCATCCTTTTATTTTGAGCCTATGTGTGTCTTTGCACGTGAGATGGGTCTCCTGAATACAGGACACCAATGGGTCTTGACTCTTTATCCAATTTGACAGTCTGTGTCTTTTAATTGGGGCATTTAGCCCATTCACATTTACAATTAATATTGTTATGTGTGAATCTGATCCTGTCATTATGATGCTAGCTGGTTATTTTGCCCCTCAGTTGATGCAGTTTCTTCATAGTGTTGACGGTCTTTACAATTTGGTATGTTTTTGCAGTGGCTGGTACCGGTTTTTCCTTTCCATATTTAGTGCTTCCTTCAGGAGCTCTTGTAAGGCAGGCATGGTGGTGACAAAATCTCTCAGCATTTACTTGTCTGTATAGGATTTTATTTCTCCTTTGTTTATGAAGCTTAGTTTGGCTGAATTTGAAATTCTGGATTGAAAATTCTTCTAAGAACGTTGAATATTGGCCCCACTCTCTTCTGGCTTGTAGGGTTTCTGCAGAGAGACCCGCTGTTAGACTGATGGCCTTACCTTTCTGGGTAACCCGACCTTTCTCTCTGGCTGCCTTTAACATTTTTTCCTTCATTTCAACCTTGGTGAATCTGATGCTTTGTCTCTTGGGTTTGTTCTTCTCAAGGAGTATCTTTGTGGTGTTCTCTGTATTACCTGCATTTGAATGTTGGCCTGTCCTGCTAGGTTGGGGAAGTTCTCCTGGATAATATCCTGAAGAGTGTTTTCCAACTTGGTTCCATTCTCCTCGTCACTTTCAGGTACACCAATCTAACGTAGGTTTGGTCTTTTCATATAGACCCATATTTCTTGGAGGCTTTGTTCATTCCTTTTCATTATTTTTTCTCTAACCTTGTCTTCACGATTTATTTCATTAATTTGATCTTCAATCACTGATATCCTTTCTTCCGCTTGATCGATTCAGCTGTTGATACTTGTGTATGCTTCAGGAAGTTCTCGTGCTGTTTTTCAGCTCCATCAGGTAATTTATTATGTTATTCTTTAAACTGGTTATTCTAGTTAGCAATTCCTCTAACCTTTTTTCAAGGTTCTTAGCTTCCCTGCATTGAATTAGAACATACTCCTTTAGCTCGGAGGAGTTTGTTAACATTGAATTAGAACATACTCCTTTAGCTCGGAGGAGTTTGTTATTACCCACCTTCTGAAGCCTACTTCCGTCAATTTGTCAAACTCATTCTCCGTCTAGTTTTGTTCCCTTGCTGGCGAGGAGTTGTGATCCTTTGGAGGAGAAGAGGTATTCTGGTTTTTGCAATTTTCAGCCTTTTTGCGCTGGTTTTTCCTCATCTTCGTGGATTTATCTATCTTTGGTCTTTGATATTGGTGACCTTCGGTGGGGTTTTTGTGTGGACATCCTTTTTGTTGATGTTGATGCTATTCCTTTCTGTTTGCTAGTTTTCCTTCTAACAGTCAGGTCCCTCTGCTGCAGGTCTGCTGGAGTTTGCTGGAGGTCCACTCCAGACCCTTTTTGCCTGGGTATCACCAGCGGAGGCTACAGAACAGCAAAGATTCCTGCCTGTTCCTTCCTCTGGAGCTTCATCCCAGAGGGGTACCCACCAAATGCCAGTGGAGCTGCCCTGTATGAGGAGTCTGTCAACCCCTGCTGGGAGGTATCTCCTATTCAGGAGGCACAGGGGTCAGGGACCCACTTGAAGAGGCAGTCTGTCCCTTAGCAGAGCTTGAACGCTGTGCTGGGAGATCCACTGCTCCTTTCAGAGCCAGCAGACAGGAACATTTAACTCTGCTGAAGCTGCGTCCACAGCTGCCCCTTCCCCAAGATGCTCTGTCCCAGGCAGATGGGAGTTTTATCTGTAAGCCCGTGACCAGGGCTGCTGTCTTTCTTTCAGAGATGCCCTGCCCAGAGAGGAGGAATCTAAAGAGGCAGTCTGGCTACAGCAGCTTTGCCGAGCTCAATTCAGATAGATTTTATGTAAAGGATAAGTTAACCTAAGGTAAAGACTATCAGAATTACTAATTATTAAATTCCTAAGGATATAAACCAAATGACAACCTGCTATTAGATAAAAACAAACATAATGATTTTGGTAAAGAGTTACTGAAGATGCTTCTAGTAGGAAATATATACAATTTCTAACTGAATGTCCTATTACCAACAATTCCTCCTCTGGGCTTGGATAGATTTCTGGGCACTGGCTTTCTCAGTCATAAAAGTAAGGAGCTAGGTAAAATGGCCTCAAGAGTGCCTAGAGCTCCGAAAATTTATGGCTATGGAGGATGAACTCAATAATTAAACTGAAGCCAAAACCAAAGAGGTCATGAGGTAAAAATCACATGCCTTTACATCAGACAAAGCAAATGAGTAGGGCTCTCTGAGATTATGTATGACTATAGTGTGAGACACAGAAAGTCAGAAGCGTGAGGCCACTACAGTACCTAATTTCTGGGACAAAGAAGTCATCTAAGTATATACTTCTCCTGTATACTCTTTCCATCTTTTCTAGTAATCACCCCTCATGTCTACCATAAGCAGGTACTTAATAGGGAGAATTGGTGTTTCTTATCTATGAATAACCAAGGCAAGCAAATTTCTACTTTTATATTATGTAGTGGGAAAATCTGTGCCTGTTCTTCTTTAGTGCAAAAAAGTTTGCAGGGGAATTTTTTGTATTTCTGTCAAAAATAGTTAAATAAGTACAAGAATGACACTACTTCAGAAGAATATATATAAATGCAGAGATTGAGGAACATTTAACTGTCAAAGTGTGCCAAATTGAAGAATGCAATCAAAGACTAGAACATCCCAAAATGCAATTTTCTTCATTCTTTTTTTCCCTTTTTCCTTCAAGCTGTTCATTTCATACATATGTAACATTTTATCCCCCAAGTGTTTCATTTGCTCCACATCTGTGATTTGACATTTAATTAACTTTCCAAAGCTAGGCAGGAAGTATTTGCTCAAAAACAATGGTATAGGGAAAAGGAACAGAATAAACCAATGTAATTTGGACTCACATAGATTATACTTTCACCCTGGGATTCTTTCATATGTCATTTTTAAAGGTAAAATTAATTCATCAACATAAATGTTAAAATCTTAAAATCCTTCACAGCAATAACTGTTAAAGCTATTCACAGATGGGGTATCATATTCTGTGATCCCCCCAGTTATCTCAATTTAAGAACTTAGAAATACTTGCACAAATAGCTTTATGTAATAGGTTCACTTCATATAATAGGGTCTTAGAAACCTATTAATTGGTTAGAGTGATCTTTTGAAGGGCCAATAATATAAACAAAAAAGCAAAAGCATTTGTAGGAGGAAAACTGATAGTACAACATTTAATATATAAGATATTAAGAGTCTAGATTTCTAGAATAGAAATACTATCTGATATAAAGAGAATATACTTACTGTCAGATCACTCTCACGTGAATACTAACAGCTGACAGAAGGCAATGCTTTAAATAATAAACCCAGCTGTTAAACAAAATCCGAAAGGAGTTAAAGATCTCTGGTCTTTTGTCTGCTTGACTCACTGAGTAACAATGACAATACTAAATTCAGAACTACAATCAAGATCCTTAAACTATTCAACCTCAATAATGAGTATAAAACTTACTCTCTAAATCTTTTGCTGTGGATTTTGGTTATTGTTGAAGATGCCATTGGACTGCCTATTCCAGAACTAGCAGGAGAGCCTTGTGACACAGGTGTCATACAGTATGGAGAGTTCTGACTTGCTGGAGAGAGTGAAGTATCACTGGGCATGCTTAGTCCAGTATCTGTGGAGATGTGGAGTGAAGGGAAAAAATTTAGAAACTTCAAATGCTGAAAAGTTCTACGTTGATCAATGCAATTTAGAATGGCCATTGTCTTTTGGGTCATTTCCAAATTTTCCAGAAGCTAATAAGGTGGGCATTTTTCATATCACAAATAAACATGTTCCATACACTACAAAAATTAAATTCTCCTATTGTCTGTTGAAGTATATTCTTAGCCAGGTGAGGTGGTGCATGCCTGTGGTCCCAGCTACTCAGGAGGGTGAGGCGAGAAAATCGCTTGAATCTGGGAGTTTGAGGTCAGCCTGAGAAACGTTGTGAGACTTCCATCTCTTTAAAAAAAAAACATTCCCTCTCTCTCTCAAAAGTTAAGCATAGCCCAGAAGTCTCCACAGGGATGAGGAAGAATACACATTACCTAAAACATGTGTTCCCAGAGAATTTAAATTAAAGAGAAAAAATCTGCACCTCTTAGGCCGGGCATGGTGGCTCATGCCTGTAATCCCAGCACTTTGGGAGGCCAAGGCAGAAGATTACTTGAGGTCCAGGGTTCAAGACCAGTCTAGCCAACATGGTGAAACCCCATCTCTACTAAAAATACAAATAAATTAGCCGGGCGTGGTGGCACATGCCTGTAGTCCCAGCTACTCGGGAGGCTAAGGCAGGAGAATCGCTTGAACCCGGAGGTGGAGGTTGCAGTGAGCCAAGATGGCACTACTGCACTCCAGCCTGGGCAACAACAGAGGCAGACACACACACACACACACACACACACACACCCCTCTTGCCAGATCACATTACTCACTTCTTCATTTCTAGTTTTCCATCTATTTCTTAGAAATCTTTTTTTTTTTTAAACAATCTAAAACTTCCCATTATTGCTGGCAATGACAAATTCTACCTCACCCTCTCCACACCACTCCTGATTCTCCAGGTACCACCCCGGTCTCTCTCTTATTTGGTCTTTGCTTCTGTGTTCAAGAAGCCACATTATTAAATGCCATTTCTTGACTCTACTGTCTCCTTCGTTTAGTTATTGCCTCTTTCCTAAACAGCTAAACTCAGGAAATTAGTTTGTATTTGTATATCTAGTCCATTAATTAGCAAAGCTACACATGGTGTTTTTTTTTGGTTTTTTTGTTTGTTTGTTTTTGATACAGGGTCTCACTTTGTCATCCGGGCTGGAGTGCAGTGGCATGATCTCCACTCATTGCAGCCTCAACCTCCTGGGCTCAACCAATCCTCCCACTTCAGTCCCCCAAGTAGCTTGGACTATAAATATGAGCTACCATGCCCAGTTAATTCTTGTATTTTTTTGTAGAGACAGGGTTTTGCCTTGTTGTCCAGGCTGGTCTCAAACTCCTGAGCTCAAGTGATCTGCCCATCTTGGCTTACCAAAGTGTTGGGATTATAGGCGTGAGCCACTGCGCCCAGCCCACGTGTATCTTCTTACCTTCCTACTGGGCTGTAAGCTCTTCAACAGCAGGACCTGTCTACTATATATCTTTATTACATTCCCCAACGTCCTCCTGCCGCTCTAGTTACTAAAATACATGGGGTAAGCATTCAATAAACATTTGCTGAATGAATGGATGGATGATTACACCTAAAAACATGGGGAATCATTAAATTGAGAATAAAACAGAACCCTAAACAAACATGTCCCCAGTGAACAATCTTTAGAAATCAACTCATTTTTCTAAAAACAATGAAACATTGTTGCTTAATCTATGTGTAAACCAGATTTAAATGTGTTGCAAAAAGTTGGGCAATAAAGATATACTAGCAGAAAAATCTTTCTTTTATGGTGGTATAAATATTAGAAGAAATCTGCGGTTTTACTAAGTTACCAACTGGAATCATATGTGTTGCTACTTACTGTATGACACTGAATCTTATCGACCAACTAGATTCTGCTTTGCAATTGCATTCATTGTGACATATGTATTAATTCCATGAAAGCAAGAAAATCAACAAAAATGACTCAATGAAAAGTAGCCCTAAAAAGAAAGATAGCCAACAGTATTTTGGACGTAAAAGAAAACAAAATGAAAATACTTGTGACAATTCCAGAGATCCCATGCATTCGTGACATCTTAATTTTGAGAATTCACTACAAATTCAGGATTTAAGCCTCAAAAATGTCATAGGCCTACTATATAATACCTGTCCCCTTCTCTTTAACCATCTCCCTACAAAAGCATCTTTAAAAGAAACCACTCTGAAGAATAAAGAGATTTATGTAAAATATGGAGCACGTCTTCCAATCAGGAGCATTAACTAGTGATAGCTTACGTATCTATTAAAATATTTCAGACCATTCCATGAGAAGAGGAGAAAGGGGGAGCTCCTTACCTTCCTGGGAAACAATCTCCTGTGGCAAGTCATCAATAAAATCTAAGTGCATTTCTGTTGGTTCCTCGGATCCCAAAAGATTGTGGTCCACAGTTAAGCGCCCCTTCTTTTCCTCTCTTTCTTTTAAAATAACCTAAAAGTCATTACACTAGTCTTTAATTACAGATTACTCTTCAACTGTGTACAAATGATGACAATATACATTATAACACAGGTATGGTAGTTCACTTAAACATGAACATGAGAAGTTTGGCTAACTGGCAAAAAGGCAAATGTAATTTCAGACACTGTAAGTTGAAGGAAGTACTGCATACAAAATAAAGAAAAGCAATTATGTTATAGAATATACAGCTATCAAACCATATCTGATGCTTTAAATCCTAGGTGGCAAACTAGAGTTTCCAAAAAAAAAAAGGGTAAATTAAAAAGTTTGGAACCCAGGTCATACAGTTACATTTGATTGACATTCTACAGTTTTCAATTATTTGGACACGAATTATCTCATTTTGACCCTTTTAACAATAGTGAGTTAAATCAAATATGCTCCCCAATTTATAGATGAGAAAGATGAGAGTAAAATGGTTGCCTAAAATGATATGTGTAGCAAGCACTGAAGTTAATACTGAAATCCAGGGCTTCTGATTCCTGGAGTCTTAATGTTTTGGGATACTACATATTTATCTTTTTTTTAACCTTATAGAAATAATTCATTTTCCAGGGCCCCGTTCTACACAGAAAGATAGTCATGATACTGATGATATCCTGAGCTTCAAATTAACACATTATCGTCAAGATTCATGTGTATGAATACTTCTCACAACAATCTGTTGGCTAAGACACCACAACCTACTTTTACAAAACAGATTAAAATCCTTATTCATCCTATAAAATAAATATCCCACCAGATTTTGGTTTACCTTTTTAAGTGCTGTGGGTCGTTTTAGTTTTGCAATTTCCTTCTCTTTTCCTTTTTTTGCTTTAGAAGAAGCAATGTCCACAGAATTAAAGGATGTCAAACAGGGCTGACTTTTGGTTAAAGGTTTTCTATTAGTAGAGTCTTTAGTGTGAAAAGAAGCTGCAGTAACCACTAAAAACAAAGAGGAACATTAGTTTCACCATTAGGGCCAATCCCACATACTTTCAAAATTTCCAATAACTACAAAAACAAGAACATCCTCCTCCCATGGAAAAAACGACATCATAACAGTAGGAGCACTATACATGGCTAGGCAGTGTCCCTCAGATACAGCTTTTACCTATCCTTTAGAGACTAAGCCAATGCAATTAACCAATTTAGAAGTCCATTATAGGGGTAAATAATTAGTTCTACTCTCCTGTACAACCCTCAAACATGGCAATTCCTTGCAACTGGTCTTCAGTCAGAACCATTCTACCTTTGAAACTTCACAATGCTGCACCCCTTCTTATTCCTACTGAATCTGCTATTTGTCCTTATGTAAGATATCTTATCTATCACTTCTCTCCTTATTTCAGTTGGTCAGTAAAGAATGATGATTTTACCCACTCAGCTGCACTCAGCCTCACTCAGTAATTATTTTTATTTATTTATTTATTTATTTATTTTGAGATGGAGTCTACTCTGTCGCCCAAGCTGCAGTGCAGTGGCACGATCTCGGCTCACTGAAACCTCCACCTCCTGGGTTCAAGCAATTCTCCTGCCTCAGCCTCCCGAGTAGCTGGGATTACAGGCACGTGCCACCACGCCCAGCTAATTTTGGTATTTTTAGTAGAGACAGGGTTTCACCATGTTGGCCAGGATGGTCTCGATCTCTTGACCTTGTGATCCGCCCACGCTGGCCTCCCAAAGTGCTGGGATTACAGGCGTGAGCCACTACACCCGGCCTCAGTAATTCTTTTATGTCTGGTTGATACCCTCAGTTTCCACTGGCTTCTTCCAATCCTTTACTATACCTAAATCCCCAACCTCAATCCTCTCACTCTAGCAGAGCTTTCCTGCCACTTCCCTGAGAAGATGCTATCCAATATAAACTTACCAACCACCTGAAAGGAGGTGGCAGACATCCTTACTCCTGTCCAAGGCTCACCAACTGTCTTTATTCTTAATATCCCATCTCAGTTCCTCTAAGATCTAACTCTATTCCTATACCCTTGCATCTTTCGAGTTCCTCCCTGACCCTTGACTTTTTTCTTGATCCCCTAATAAGATGCTAGAATCTTCTATCTAAAAAAAAGAAAGGGTTTTTTAAAAAGGCACACCAACTAAACCCTTCCCTTCAAGCTAAGGTGCCATCATTCCCCTTTCCTTCCCTATTAAACTTCGAAACAGTTTTTCTCTCATTATCACTTTTCAAATCATTACAATTTGACCTCTGCCCAACCCATTCTCTTGAAACGTACTGTCAAGGTCACACATAATCTTGCAATTGCCAAATACAATTCTCTGACTCTTCACTCTACTCTAATTTTCTTCAGCATTTGGTACCAAGGACTACATCCTTTTCCTCAAAATTCTATCCTTGCCTTCTGTAACATTACACTCCTTTATTTTTCTTACTCTTTCTCAAATCTATGTTTCTTGTTCTTCTTCCTCTTATCCTTTAAATGTGAGCATTCCACAAGGCTTTGTCTGTGAACATCTTTTTCCTAATTTTTCTTTCCCCCAACAATCTGATTTCCACAACTTCAACAATCATCTGTATTTGAAACTCACTGACTTGTAACCTAAACTATACATTCATAACTATATGCTAAATAGGAACCACCAGAATCTCCCATGCTAGCATTTAAAATACAACAGGCAGCATCTGCTCTTCCCAACAAAATTCTTCTATAATCCCTATCTTGTGTAGTAACATCGCAGCCCTTATCACCACCACAGTCATTCAAGACAGAATCTGGAGTCATCACTGACCTGTTTCCAGATCCATCATTTCCCTATAATTCTTTTTCATCATGATCAGTCTCATCCTTTTCTTGAACATGTGTATATATGGGTGTATATATATTAAAAAGATATATAATTATATATAAAACAATATATAGTTATATAATTTATAGTAATTATATCATATTAACATTTAGCAACTGCTAAATGTTTGTTTATGTATATTAACAGTATATGTATAAATATATAAATGTATATATTTAGCAGTATATACTGTATATATAATATAGACATTATATATACTGTATATATGTACACATATAAACATATATATTAACAGTTGCTAAATTAATTGAAGTTGTAACAATAAGCCATCTGAAGTATCACAGGTTAACAATCTCGTCTCCATAATAATATTAAACATTTATTGAGTGATTATAACCCAGATACTCTATAAGCACTTTACATATATCATCTCATCTAATTCTCAAGACAATCCTGAAGTAGGTACTCTCATATTAATGTGAGGAAACTGAAGCACAGGAAGGTTAAGTAACTTGCCAATGAAACACATGGAAGAACAGGATTCAAACAAAGGCAACTTGATTCCAGGGCCCCTGCTTTTAGCTACTAGGGCATACCGCCTCCAGAACACTGCTAACTCTCAGTTTTATTCCCTATTTTTACTCTTAAGTGAGAGATTACTGCCACTCTGCCCATCTCAACATGCAACTCTAAAGCTTTATATACATTCAGTACTATTTGTAATAATAGTTATTACAAATAACTATTGTAATAACAGAGGTTGATAGTGGATTGGTAACTAGATAGGTTTAAACGTTTTGCACACAGGTTAAAATTATACACTGTAATTTATCTTTCTGTCTAATAAGTAATAGTCCCTTCACACAGGATCAGAAGAAACACAAAATTCAATTTTGCCTCTCAACATTGGTGCTGGTGCTGTACATTGGTACCTTTCCTGTTCCTTTGTTCTATTCCTCACCCTCTAAAAAAAGACTATGAAAAGAAATGAGGGAACACAGAAAAGCTGAGCTCTAAATCTGACAAGGTTTGTTAAAATAGAAATTACTGTTTCAGTAGAAAGCCAGATCATTTTCTCATATACACACACACACAATCTGATCAAAACCCTTGTATGCAACTGAGTTTTAAACTGGATAATTTAAGAGAGCCAGATTACTTGTGATTTTTTATTTCAATCTTTGAAAAAGAAAAAAATTTGGGTGAGTCAAAATGCATATCAACTGACATTTATGCAGAGATCTAAAGAACCTGAGGGAAGCAAACTATGCTGATACCTGGGGAAAGAGCATCCCAGGAAAAGGGAATAGCAAGCCCACAGATACTGAGCTAGGATCATGCTGGGTGTGTCTGAGGACTGCTAATGCAGCTAGAGCAGAGTGTGTTAGGAGAGAATGGTGACGAAGGCAAAAAGGTAATAGGGTCAGCTAAAATATGGCTTTAGTTAGGAGTCTGGCTTCATGCCAAGTGAAATGAAGCACTGTTAGAGGATTCTGAGCAGTGAAGTGATATAATCCAGCTTACATTTTAAAAAGGTCACTCCTTTTAACGCAGACAAGGGGTTGTGGGGAGGGAAAAGCAGGTAGTAGTAAGGAGGCTACTCAGTCTAGTATGATACAATAATGGGGGCTACTGTGGTGGCAGGAAATCTGGTGAGTAGTTAGAGTATGGATATGTTTTGCAGGCAGGACAGATAGGATGTGTTAAAGGACTAGGTGTGGAAAGGAGCATGGACAATTTCAAGGCTTGCGGTTTAAGCTGACTTAAAATACACACACACAAACACACATACATATATATACACACACACACACATATATATACACATACATATATAAAATTTTAAAAATTTCGATTAACAACATCTAACATATATTAGCAGAGACAAACAGCAAATTGCTCAGACTAATGATATCACCTGTATATGACAGAGGTCTGGTGTTAGTAATTTGCCGTGCTTTCATTGCTTGCTGTTGTTTTTCCAGAGCAGCTAACATGTCCCCTAAATCTAGCTGCACAGGTGTTTTATTCTTTTTTCCAGCTGCTTTTGATAAAGCTTCCTACAAAATAAATATAAAAAATTAATTTTTTTGTTATAGTACGAAACTGTGGCATTTTAAGATGACTACATTTATCACTCCTTCTATCTATTCCATCAAACCTAGCAAGTAAACTATCACATTTGTTCATAAAAATGAATATGTACCTGTAATTTTTTTTGCTCCATACTTATTTCTGAATACTCTTGAGCTGTGGCAAGGGCTGCTGCTAAAGCTTTCTTCTTCTGACTTTTTGCACGTTTGGGAACTGAGGTGGTAATAGGAATTGGAGTCTGAACTATATTGATTGGTGAGTTTTCAGGTAAATCATCCAACTATGATAACCAGAAAAAACACATTTGTTAGTGATCCCATAAAAGTCAATCATAAGGAAAAAGGATCCAGAATGTGGGATGTTCTGCAGTACAACCGGACTAGACTCTTCAAAGAATTCAATGTCATAAAGAACAGGATTTGACAGTGGGACCATTTCAGACTGGGAAATAATAAAGGGACAAAACAGCTTAATGCAGTGGGTGATGGCTGCCTGGATCCTTGAATGAAATAAAACAAAATACATCCAAAGTAAAATTTTGCAACAGTTGGGAAAATTTCAGTACAGACTGTATGTTGTATGATGATATCATTTAGTTAATGGTATTTTAGTAATAGAACTGTGGATTTCATAGGGTATTATCTTTGTTCAGGCTATGCTGGAAAAGAAATATTAAAGATAGGTACTAAACACCATCTCCTGCACACTCTGCTGCTCCATGTGCCTTTACACTTATCTTTAATATTTCCCTTCAACATAGCCATTGTTCAAAAGATGTTATATTTTGCTTTTCTTTTTAAAGAGTTACTTACTACTTTAGAAGAAAGTTTTTGTTGAATATTCTCATCCTTAGCATTTCCATTCTCATTTAGTTCTTGAAACCCATCTTCATCCTGAAATGTTTCACATTTTAAGTAAAAAGAGTTCAAGGCAAACTCCTAAACTTTTTATAATGCTTAGAAGTATTGAAAAATGAGGAAGTTATTTCTTGTATTCTATTACTGAATTATTCAAAGTCGGTCTTAAAGAGGAAATGTCATTTCTCACATGCTAAAATATAAACAATTTAATTATTCAAGGATGGGGGCGTATCCACACATGTCCAGTTTTTGGATTTCTGCACCTACTATTTCATTTTTATTAATAATTCTACCTTCAGATGGGTGGGTAATTGAAAAGAAATTCAAACTGGGTTTTATCACATTCAGATAATTTGAGAAAGTGTTTAACAGACAGCTTCATGTAAACTTTATTAATATACTCCTTGTTCTGCATTACTCCACACAATTGTCAATAAGGTTAAAAACATCTTTTCCATTGAAATTAATTTATTAATATCTTCCTTTTTCCTGAAAATTATATCTAATGTCTTTAAATATAAGTATAGAACCAATAGTACAGTTGAGTACATGTACTACAATTGCCAGACCTGGATATATTGAAACTATTCTTGAGAAAATAATTGAGATATACTCTCAAGTCCTTTGGCTCAATTACTAAACTTATCTAACATATTATTGATTTTTTTTTTTTTTTTTGAGATGGAGTTTCACTATTGTTGCCCAGGATAGAGTGCAATGGCACAATCTCGGCTCACTGCAACCTCCACCTCCTGGGTTCAAGCAATTCTCCTGCCTCAGCCTCCCAGTTAGCTGGGATTACAGGGACCCGCCACCATGCCCAGTTAACTTTTTGTATTTTTAGTAGAGATGGGGTTTCACCACGTTGGCCAGGCTGGTCTCGAACTCCTGACCTCAAGTGATCCTGACCTCAGGTGATCTGCTTGGCCTCCCAAAGTGCTGGGATTACAGGCATTAGCCACCACGCCCAGCATATTATTGATTTCTATCCTCTGACCTCAAGCAAGTTTTCCAGTTTAACCTCCCATCTATTAACTCATTCAATAGAATTTATGATCCAACCAAAATGAGTTACTCAAATGAGTTACCGGAGATGTGTGGTGAAAAACATCTTGACACATACAAATTCTACTTGTTTTTTAAATTCATTTCAAATGTTACCTACCCTGCCACAAACCCAAAGTGACCTGTCTCTGCGCTCAACTCTAACCACACTCAACTAAGTATTAGGTGTGTATATGCCTATGTTCTTCTACTACACAGCAACTTTCCCAAAGATAGCAGGTCTATTCACCTTAATGTATCATTCAGAGCACCTTACTGCACACATATACTAGACCACCAGTAAGAATCTGTTAGATGAATAACAGTGCAATTAGGATATGAACTGTCTATCAGAGAAAGTAAAACATTTTTCTTCCTTCTCTAAAATTCTCCTGGCTGGCAGCACAACTTAACTAGACTGAACTACTCAAATCTGAAAAGCCTTTCAAATGGATTGAATAACAACAAAAATTAAGTGAAAAAGCTCCATACTAAATAAAGTCCACATGAAATCAAGTTCTACCTCTATACATTACCCCCTAAATGATGAACACACAGGACAAAAATTTATAAAAATAAACATCAGTAAAATTAATGTTAGATTAAATATATATAACCAAGACAAAAATGAGTTAATACTTCTGAGTAATTTATAATTTAATACTAGAATCACATGTTAAGACATAAAAAGTACTCACAATGTTCACAATGTAACAAATTAATTTCTTAATGGGAACATTTCCTATAACAGCTTACAAATAGAGTTTGAAAAAAATACCTCAAAATATAAAGACTCAGAATTTGGATCGCTTCTATGGGATTGACTAGAGCTTAAATGCTTATTATCTGGTCTCTTTTGCAAATTCTGTCTTCTTTCTGAGGAAGTACTGTGTCCTCGGCATCTGAATCCAACCTAAGTAAACCCCAGAGGGGAAAAAAAATCTAATTATTTTTAAATAAATGTTTCACTCAAATATATAACATACTGGCAGAAAAGTACACGCAAGTGTACAACTCAATAAATTTTCACCAAGTGCATCACTTATTTTAAAGATCAAGTTTCTGACAAGTAAGGTACTTATAAGAAAAATAGAAAAATGAGACAATTAATCCACATTGCTTTTTTCCCCTCGACATGAATATTTATTAGCAGCTTTATTCACAAAAGTGAAAACAGGAAACAAACCAGATGTTCTACAGTGGGTGAACAGTTAAACTAACTGTGGCATATCCAGATCATAGTATAGAAGTCTGTATCAACCACAAAAAGGAATAAACTACAGTATTGATAAACTCAACAACCAGAGAACCATGGAAGTGAAAAAGGCCAATCCCAAAAAGACTGTATGAAGGCATACAAAATTATTGAAACAACAAAATTAGAAAGGGAGAATAGATCAGTGGATTCTAGGGGATAAGGAGCAGTTGGTGTGGCTATGAAAGCCAACAGGAGGGTCCTTGTGATGATGGATCTGTTCTGCATCTTGACTGTATCGAGGCCAATATCTGGGTGTGATATTGCACTATAGTTTTGCAAGATGTTACCACAGGGGGGAAACTGCATATTACTTGCTTATTTTTTTTAGAGACGTGATCTTGCTCTGTTGCCCAGGCTGGAGTGCAGTGGCTTGATCATAGCTCACTACAGCCTGAACACCTAGGCTCGAGTGATTCTCTTGCCTCAGCCTCCCAAGTAGCTGGGACTACAAGCACATGCCACCACACCCAGCTAATTGTTTTATTTGTATTTTTGTAGAGACAGGGGTCTCGCTATGTTGCCCAGGCTGGTCTCAAACTGCTGACTTCAAGCAATCTTCCCACCTTGGCCTCTCAAAGTACTGAGATTAAGGCATGAGTCACATGCCTGGCTTTTTACATTACTTTTTCAGTTAGGATCTTACTCTGTCACCCAGGCAGGAGTGCAGTAGTGTGATCACAGCTCACTGCAGCCTCAACCTCCTGGGCACAAGTGATTCTTTCACCTCAGCCTCCCAAACAACTAGGACCACAGGTGTGCACCACCACACCCAGCTAATTTTTTTTATTTTCTGTAGAAGCAGGGTCTACCTATATTGTCCAGGCTGGTCTGCAACTCCTGGGCTCAAGGGATCCTCCTGCCTCGCCTCCCAAAGTGCTGGGATTACAGGCATGATTCACCGTGCCCAGCTACTCTTTAATTTAACTACTGTAAGTCTTCTGATACTTGCAGTTTATTTTTTTATAAAATAGATAAAACAATTAGGAGAATAATTTAATACAAATCTTGTTTCCAAGATTTAAGAGAATAAGCTTTTATTAAATCACATAAATTAGTATTATCATTGTATGTTATGGACTAAAATGTTTCCATCTCCTAAAATTCATGTATTAAAATCCCAATACGCCCTCCGCCCACGAGACGGTATTTGAAAGTGCGGCCTTTGGGAGGTGATTAAGTTATGAGGGCAGAGCCATCACAAATGGGATTAGTGACCTCATATAAGAAACCCCAGAGACGCCTTCACCCCTTCTACCACATAAGGACAAAGCTAGAAGACAGCCACCTATGAACCACAAAGCAGGCCCTTACCAGACATCGAATTTGCCAGTGCCTTGGACTTCCCACCCTCCAGAACTGAGAGAAATAAACTTCTGTTGTTTATAAGTCACTGAGTCTATAGCATTATCTTATAGCAGCCAAAACAGACCAAAAAATCCCATTAACGAATATGCAAAATGTTCAACTGTCATATGGGCAAGAAAAAAAACATTAAGCATTCTAAGACTCTTAAGACATTTCAAGTTACCTCTCTTAAGTACCAAATGCAGCTAACAGTAAATGCCTCTCTTAACCAGGACACTTAAAATATATGAAAAGTATAATCTTTAGTAACAGCTACTCCAAAATTCTAACAACTGCGAATTGGAAGCAGACCTGGAGAGAAGGTGCTGGTACACAGGCCTTGGATTCTGAAGTCAAACAGATGCACACAAAGACCTGGAACCACCTGAATTCTCACGCTTGCTGTTGTAAACCAGAATTAGTATATATGTATTAACGGTGTTACAAACGGTAAAACAATTTCCTTTAAAAACAAACGCAACCTGATTCTTACACTTCGAGACATAAAGCACCAGGATTAAATTAAAACCCCCAAACTAATGGTCCCAACAAAGTTCATGTGAGCCAAATGTGCAAGTACTCCAATAAACTCATGAATGAATCAATAACCTCAGGACGTCGAAATACTTTTTGTCAGCTCTTCTAAGAAAGAGTTTTGTTGATAGAAAGAGGGTATACTGAACAAAACAAAGCAGAAGCTACGGCTTTGAATATATATTAAGATTCTTAAATGAGTAGCACAAAATTAATTTAAAAATTTTAAAGTTTTCATACCCCATTTACAATAAAAAGGAAAAAAATATTAGAAATTGCCACTAAGAATATGTACAAACTTATTTAAAGAAAACTTTACAACACTTCCATTTATTTGATTGATTGACTAACTGCTTAACTGAGACAGGGTCTCATTCTGTCACCCAGGCTGGAGTGCAGTGGCGCCATCATAGCTCACTGTAACCTCAAACTCCTGGGCTCAAGCGCTCCTCCCACCTCAGCCTCCCAAGTAGCTAGGACTATGGGTGCATGCCACCATGCCTGCCTTACACCACTTCTAAAGAACACAAAAAAACGATTCAAGCCAGGTGCGGTGGCTCATGCCTGTAATCCCAGCACTTTGGGAGGCTGAAGCGGATGGATCGCTTGAGGTCAGGAGTTCGAGACCAGTCTGGCCAACATGGTGAAACCTGGTCTCTACTGAAATACAAAAATTAGCCACGTGTGGTAGCAGGCACCTGTAATCTCAGCTACTTGGGAGGAGGCTGAGGCAGGAGAATCATTTGAACCCA
The DNA here is from genome assembly GCF_000001405.40 of Homo sapiens. Classification (NCBI taxonomy): domain Eukaryota; kingdom Metazoa; phylum Chordata; class Mammalia; order Primates; family Hominidae; genus Homo; species Homo sapiens. Next base: position 49,022,528 of record NC_000015.10, read on the forward strand.
GGAGGAGGAGGTTGCAGTGAGCTGAGATTGTGCCACTGTACTCCAGCCTGGGCAACAGAGCAAGACTCCGTCTCAAAAAAAAGATTCAAAAATAGGAAGACATACTGTTTTTGCATAGAAAGGTGACACATCATAAAGGTAGCTGATTCTCTCTAAGTTTACAGATTAATTTAAACACCAATGGAACAGAATAGAAAGTCCAGAAATGGATTCCAATATATTTGGGAATTTAATAAGTGATAAAGGTAATTAAAGTCAGTGAAGAAGAGATCAACTTTTCAACAAATGCTGCTGGAAGATTTTAAAAAGTCACTTTGAAATTACAAAGTAGGATCATATCTCACATCATATACCAAGAAAAACTCCAAATGGAATAAAGATTTAAATGTAAAAAGCAAGGCCATGAATACACTAGAGGAAAAAACAAGCAAATTCCTTTACAGCTTTAGAGCAGGGGCAAAGCTCTTCCAATTATGATTTAAAACCCTTTAGAAGCCATCAAAAAAAAAAGGACCAATAAAGTCAATTTATAAATATAAACTTCTTAATGTTATTTTAAAAATAAACTGTGCATGGCAATAATCATGATAATAATGAGCAAAGTAAAAAATAAAAAGGAAAACCTAGCAAAATATTTGCAACTTGTATTACATATTAAATACTCCAAGTAACTTCAGGAATTTGATAAAAACTTGATCAAACTGATTTTAAAATGTACCCCAAAAAAGAAAGAAATAGATCAAGATTCAAAAAATGAGCAAAGGATAGGACCAGGTAAGTTCACAGGAAAAGAAGTAAATACAAATGCTCCTTAAACACATGGAAGAATGATCAACTACATTAAGACATAATTTTTATCTAACTGGCATACACCCCAAATCCTGAAAACGCACTATATCTGAAGCCGTATGAAACTAGGCACTTTCCACATTGTTGCTGAGGATGCAAACTGATACAATCTGGTGATATTTACCAAAACAACAGATGAATTTACCTTCTGACTCAGCAGTCCCTAACTAGAAACTGATTCTATACATACACATTTCTAAATGACACAGCAGCATGTCTATAACAGCAACAGTTTGCAAACAACTCAAGTGTCCACTGGTAAGACTACAGAAATCAACAAGATTATATCCACACAATATTACGAGTTGTCTAAAAGGAAAAAGTGTGGAAGCCCTTTATGTAGTAATATGGAAATTATGAAAATGTCTCCAAGATACACTGTTAAGTGAGCAAAGCAGAGAACAGAGTAGATATGCTCTTTTATGTAAAGAAAGAACAAAAATAAGATATATACTTCTATTTACTTATAATGAAGTGAAAAAACTCTGGAAGACAAGAAATTACTCAAAGTGGGAGAGGTATGGGGGAGAGGAGAAGTCAAGGAGAAGCAGAGGTGAAATGAGACTTTTACATTGTATATAATCTTTTTTTAAAAATCTCTTTTACTTTTCAACCTATTCCATAAAATAAAGCCGTTTTAAAAGATTTCAAGTTTTTGGATTCTTTCCATCATTTAAAATTAGACCTATACCAGACTAAAGAAATGATCTATATTACCCAATGTTAAAACACCAGAAGAATGTTTAAAACTCCTGTAATTAAACAGCATGGTATAGGTGCAAAAATATGATAAACTGAACAAAACAAGTAGCCCCAAAATAACATATAAGAAATCAGTAGGCTGGGTGCCATGGCTCACCCCTGTAATCCCAATACTTTGGGAGGCCGAGGTGGGTGGATCACGAGGTCAGGAGTTTGAGACCAGCCTGGCCAACATAGTGAAACCCTGTTTCTACTAAAAATACAAAAATTACCCACATGTGGTGGCGGGCACCTGTAATCCCAGCTACTCAGGAGGCTGAGGCAGGACAATCACTTGAACCCGGGAGGCGGAGGTTGCAGTGAGCTAAGATCGTGCCACTGCATTCCAGCCTGGGCAACAAGAGCAAGACTCTGTCTCAAAAAAAAAAAAAAAAAAGAAAGAAATCACCAAATCACTAAAATGGAAACACAAACCAGGGAAAGAATGTTAGGATAACTGGTTAACTACTTTGAAAATTTTGTTTTACCATGGATCAAAATAAATCTCAGATAAAAATGCCCTGAAATATTATATTATAAAAAGTAGCAGAACATACAGGTCAATATTTATTTGATTTCTAAAAGATGTTTAGAGCCTAAAAACAATCAGAAATTGCAAATAGGGAAAAACATTTTGACTTAAAAAGACTCTGCATCTCAAAAATCAAACAAATCAAAAATCAAACAAATACACTTAAGTAAAGTACAAGGATAACAAAGCATCAGAAGTAGAAAGCAAATACATTGTCAAACATGTGGCTCCAGTTCTTTGGTGCCATATATATTTGCAAAGTTTTCTTTTTTGTTCTTTTAACATTCCTCATCAAGTTTTGAGAAAGAGATAAAATGTTTTTCATCTCAGTATTATTTCCTCTCTAGTGAGCTACTGATACCAAAACCAATAGTACTGAAACTGTAAACATGGGTAGGACTAGCAATTACAGTCTCAACAGAAAATTTCAGCCCGTATGTAAATATTAGGTAGAATTCATTTATCTAATCTACATAAATGATTCCCCTTTTAGCTCTTTTGTTTTTAATCAAATGAAGTTAGACTGCCTCACAAGCTTGCCATAAATGATTTATTTTTGCAATAACCACATGGAAGAGTGAATTATTTTTTTTTGACAGCCTAATTAATGTTAAGGTACATATGAAGTACAGGTTGAGTTATTCCTTATCTGAAATGCTTGGGACCAGAAGTGTTTTGAATTTCAGACTTTTTCAGATTCTGGAATATCTGCATATACATACTGAGGTACCTTGGGGATGGGATCCAAGACTAAACACGAAATTCACTTGTGTTTCACATACACCTTATGCACATAGCCGGAAGGTAATTTCATACATTATTTTAAATAACTGTATGCATTAAACAAAGTTGTGTTAAGTACTTATGTGTAGAATTTTCTACTTGTGGTATCATGGCACTAAAAAAGTTTCATATTTTTCAATTAAAAAATGGGCAAATGATTTGAACAGTCATTTCTCAAGAGAAGGCATACATGAAAAAATGCTCAGCATCACTAATCATCAGGGAAATGCATATCAAAACCATAATGAGGTATTTTCTCATCTCAGAATGCCTATTCTCAAAAAGACAAAAAAAAATGCTGGTATGCTGGTGAGGATGCAGAGAAAAGGAAACTCGTATACACATTGATCTTGGGAATGTAAATTAGTATGACCACTACAGAAAATAGTATAAAGTTTCCTCAAAAACTAAAAAAGAACTGCCATATGATCCAGCAATCCCACTACTAAATCCAAAGAAAAGGCCATCAGTATGTTAAAGAGATATCTGCCTCTCTTCTTTATTGCAGCATTATTCACAATAGCCAAGATATGAAATCAACTTAAGTGTCCATCAGCAGATGAATGGATGAAGAAATGTGGTATATATAAACAAGGGAATACTATTCAGCCATAAAAAGAACAAAATCCTGTCATTCACAGCAACATGGATGAGCCTAGAGGACAATATGTTAAGTGAAATAAGCAAGGCACAGAAAGATAAATAACACACGTTGTCACTCACATGTGGAAGCTAAAAAAGTTGATCTTACAAGTAGAGAGTAGAATAATGGTTACCAGAGGCTGGGAAGGGTTGAGGGAGAGGGATAGGGAAAGGTTGGTCAACAAATGCAAAATTACAGTTACATAGAGGGAATAAATTCTAGTGTTCTATAGCCCTGGTAGAGTGACTACAGTTAACAATAATTTAATGTTTATTTTCAAATAGGGGACAGGATTCTGAATGTTCCCAAAACAAAGAAATGATCTATGTTTGAGATGATGGATATGGTAATCACCCTGATTTGATCATTACACATTATATACATATATCAATATATCACACTATACTTTATAACTATGTACAGTTATCATGTGTCGACTAGAAAGAAAAAAGTTTCAGATGCTCTAAAATCCCAATCCCAAATCCAAAATGCTCTAAAATCTGAAACTTTTTTCTTGGATGCTCAACCTGTATTTCATTCCAGGGAGGCAAAGGAACAGGCAAAGAGTTAGTATATTTAACCCATTAGTAACTTGCTCCTATTTAAGTTTATTCACAGATGAACATGTCCATATAGTCATATGATAGTTTTAATTCCTTAAATAGAGTTAAGGAATCCAAGAAGGCCATCTGAAAAATGAAAAGGAAAAATAATGACCATTAAACAACTCCCTGATTTTACAGCCAACCAAAGCAGGAAGATACAGTTATGGGTAGTTCATGGCAGTGCACAGCCTGCTCTACTGTACTGCAGTTACACCTTGTTCCTCTGGGCCTCAGGAAACTGCTCTGTCTGACTACCTCATGGCAAGCCATCACTATGGCACTGCCATTAGCACAAAAGGGTATTTACAGTCAAGTAAAGACACGTGGACAAGGCTACAATCCTTAAGATCAAAGAATCAATATTTAAAGCACAAAATGCTTTTGAATTTTTATGTGGGAAAAAGACATGGCAAATGAAACAGGATTAAAGGGCATCCTTTTTTAACATATAAAATATTTAAATATACAGAAATGTAGAAAAATGGTACCATATATACCCACTCAACACTTTGCCATTTTGTTTCATTATTTAAGTAAGTTTATTAGCTAAGCCATTTTAAAGTTACACATGATAGTTCACTTCCAAATCACTCCATGTGCATATCCACTACACCACTGTAACTAACAAATCTAAAATGACTCATCTCATACCTAATCAATTTTCTCCAACCTAATTCGAATTACCTGTGAATTATTTCTTTGTTCAGTTTGCCTTCCACCTCTAGAAAATGTCTGATTTTTTTCCATCCAAGGTTTTTTCTGAGTTGCCTGGCAAGTTACATTGGACCAATTTACACCACCTATAACAAATGAAATTTTAAATTATAATTTACTTATAAAAGGTAGGAAAACCTAAATTGACCTGACTTCACATACTGAAATTCAGTCACTAGAAATGTAATAGTGAAAATTTTTCTATAAACCTTATTATTTTTTTTTTTTTTTGAGACAGAGTTTCACTCTTCTTGCCCAGGCTGGAGTGCAGTGGCGAGATCTTGGCTCACTGCAACCTCCGCCTCCCGGGTTCAAGCAATTCTCCTTCCTCAGCCTCCCAAGTAGCTGGGATTACAGGCGCTCACCACCACGTCCAGTTAACTTTTTTGTATTTTTACTAGAGATTGGGTTTCATCATGTTGGCCAGGCTGGTCTCGAACTCCTGACCTCGTGATCCACCCACCTCGGCCTCCCAAAGTTCTGGGATTAGAGGCGTGAGCCACCTTACCCGGCCCTATAAACTTCTAAGCAGTACTACAGCTCTTAGTAATACAAGTGTCCTCTTACAGAATACCTCCAGCTGGCATTTTCTCAAGCTGATCAGCAAAACTGTACTTCCAAATTACCTTGAATCTCTGGAAGACTTCTAAGTTTTTTTTGCAGTATCAGCAAGCCTCATGCTTAAAAGGAAAACTCTGATATGGACAAAGTAGAAAGTATAGCAAAAACACAATGCAGAAAACAAGTACCTGCACACATAGATGATTCCACATGCTAAAAAAAGAAACAAAAAGACAATTATACTCTACTTGAGAACCAACATTATGTACTTTGCTAAATGTTTTATAATTTATCCTAGTGTGAAGCATGCATATCACAATATTATCATACTTCTTCATAAATGAATATTTTTATTAATAAAATACAAAATACATTTGTAACTATCCTATTACTACAGGAATTGCTAATGAAAACAGATACTTAAGCTTTAGCAGAGGATGCAAAATAATAATACTGATATCAATGACCAATAAAGAAATCAAGACGATGTCACATACATTCATGGTCCCAGAATCAGGATTTCTCAAAGCCCCTGCTGCAGGCTGGTTGTTGCTGTGTTTGGGACTGCAGTAACCACTATCACTGTCAATGTCGGCTTCACTAGCCCCCTGCTCACTAGAAGATTCAGCAGTAGGGTGGGATGCTCTTCTTCTCCTGCCCTTGGACTTCCAGAGCATTGTTGCAGTGGTCTCTGAGAGAGACTTGTTAGCGATATCTGATGGGAAATCTACAAAGGCAAGGAAAGTTTGACAATTCTTTGTGATGAACAAATTGATAAATTCTCATTAAATCATCATTAAGATTGTAAGAAAATAGATACCAAACTTCATAAATGAAGAAATAGGTGACAACTTTTTGAAAAGGTCATTAAAAGGTAAGATGTTCCTGGTAAGTTGGTTCATAATGTTTTTTGTTTTTCTTGAGGCAAGGTCTCAGTCTGTTTCGCAGGCTGGAGGGCAGTGGCGCAATCTTGGCTCACTGCAACCTTTGCCTCCCAGGCTCAAGCAATCCTTCTACCTCAGCCTCCCAAGTAGCCGGGACTACAGGCACGCACCACCACCACACCAGGGTTATTTTTTGTAGAGACAGGGTTTCGCCATGTTGCCCAGGCTGGTCTCAAACTCCTGAGCTCAAGCGATCCACCCGACTTGACCTCCCAAAATGCTGGGATTACAGGCATGAGCTACCTCGCCCAGTCTATATGTTCTATATGTTTTTTATTATGAAAATAGAATAAAATATATCACTAAAATACTAAAACCACCATCAACCATTTAGGAAAGAGAACATCGTCAATCTTTTGAAGGTCACTGTGTGCTCCCCTCCACTACTATACCGTTTTCTTACCCAGAGCTTACAATCTATTCTGAATTCTGTGCATATCATTCCCTCACTTTTCTTTACGCATTTGCCATGGATTTCTGTATTTCTAAAACCTAAATCATATAATTTTCCAGTTTCTAACTTTATTTTAAAACGCCACTTTATCCATGTGACTTCTCACCCCTGCCACACCTCAACACTGGCTTTCAGATTCTGGTGCATGTGATTCATGCCTTTACATGAATATACCACAGTGTACTTATCCTTTGTACCACTGATGAGACACCTGAGTTGTTTTGGAGTTTTGCTACTAAGAACAATAGTACTGTTGACATTGATACACAGACACATGAACATGCATATATGCATATGTAAGTTTCTCTAAGGTAAATACTGCAAGAACTTAGGGGATGCACATATCCAACTTTACTTGATGCCAAATCATTTTCACAGGTACTTAATAGACAGTTATACTCCAACAGTAGTATATACCCCCAATGATCCACATATTCATTAAATACTTTACATTATCATCCAGACTGTACCTAATCTGTTGGTTATAAAATGGTGGCTCATTGTGGGTTTTAATTTGTATGTACCTGCTTAATAATGAGGCTGATCTTTTTTTTTTTTTTACTTTTAGCCACAGTGTTTTCCCTTCTGAGAAATTTTTATTAATATTACTTTTGAATTATCTGACTTCTGCCATTTTTCAACTGAGTTGTATTTCTTATTTACTTCACAAATCATAACTGTACCAAGACAGTCCAAAAAAAAAAAACAAAAAACAAGACTCTCTTTGAACAAATTACAAGTTTTCCTTTTTCCACATTTCTGCCGATTCATAATTTTTATACAACACTGATACAATTTTGAGTTGTGCTCTGCTTAATATGATGTCATGTCATGACAAGTCTTCATAATTATAAGATGACTCCATATTATTCCATTGAGTGGGTGTTCTGTACTTAGAGTAGTATCCAAGCAGGACTTGTTACCTGCTACTAGTGGACACTATGAAAGCTTCAGTACTTTTGCTGCACTGCTGCAATATGCATCTTTAATCAAATACCCCCTCTCTTTCTAGGGGGAGGCTCCATTTGGATACATTCATAGGAATGAGATGACTGCGTCCAAAGAAAAATTCCCATATTCCCGCAAAATTGTTCAGCCTGCTAGCACAGTGTTCCACGGGCCCCAAGGACAGGGTGGGATCATTCTCTTATTGATTCATATTAATTCTTTATATATCTCATGCTAATCCTTTGTCAGTTATATACATGGTAAAAGTCTTTTCCAAGTTGGGGATTATTCTTTCACTAACTTTTAATAAATAGAAATTCTTGATTTTAGAAATAGTTCCCTCCCTGCAGTCATAAAGTTATCTGCCTATATTTCTTCTACCATAGGGTTTCCCTAAGTCTTTAATCAATCTGAAATAGATTTGCATGGGGCATAAATCAGTAATGCTATCTGTCATCTTCCATATACATGTTTTCATACACATGTGGGGTCTGTTTCTGGGCTCTCTGTTCTGTTCAACTTTTGTATTCTGCATTGACAAAATAAACCTATAGGAATTAAGATGGCTTTACAAGTTTCCATATCTAGAGGAAAAGTTCTTTTCCAGGGATGTCTTGGGTCTTCTGAGACCACTGTTCCTTTATTTTAGCATTAGTTTATCAAGTTTCCCCAAAATCACTTTGAACATGATATTTAGGTTTTTCTTAATGTCCCATAATAAAGACTTATCATTTTCTTTTTTTTTTTTTTTTTTTTTTTCCCTTTTGAGACAGAGTCTTTCTCAGTTGCCAGGCTGGAGTGCAGTGATGTGATCTCGGCTCACTGCAACCTCCGCCTACCAGGTTCAAGTGATTCTCCTACCTCAGCCTCCCAGATAGCTAGACTACAGGCACGTGCCACCACACAGAGCTGATTTTTATATTTTTTAGTAGAGATGGGGTTTCACCATACTGGCCAGGGTAGTCTCGAACTCCAGACCTCAAGTGATCTGTCTGCCTCGGCCTCCCAAAATGCTGGGATTACAGGCATGAGCCACGGCGCTCAGCCTATTCTTACCATTTTCTGCCTATACATCCCATATGTCTTCTCTAAGATTTCTAGAAACTCTCTTTTTCAGTGTTATTGTTAATGACATCTTTTTTTTAAATTTTGTGGGTGGCAAACTGAAATGCAATTAACTTTTGTATATTATATTAGATCCAGCTATCTTATTATAAACTCTTATTAAATAATGAGCTTGTGTTCAAATGTAAAAATCTGTTAGAAATGGAAAGACATTCCTAATGAACTATAATATTTAATTCGATCTCTGATTGATACCAATTAATCCTCAGAAATTAAAAACTTAACTGAAGAATAAAAATACTGACAGAATTAAAATCCTCAGATTTGAAAACTAAAAATAAAAATACTAATAGGATGTATAATATATAACATTCTATTCAAATTTCACCTTCATCTTTTCATTTTCTAATTCCTGTGCCTTAGAAAGAATGTCTTTGTGGTTAAAATAATAAGCAACGTAAAGAAGTAAGGATATTTTAAAGCCTTCCCAGGGTTAAAAGCACATAGAAATGGGTCACTATGACTAGAGACAACCAAACCAGAAAACTTAGTAATATATTACATTATGATTCTTTTCCATAGCCACTCCAAGTATTTGTCAGTCTGTTAATCTCAAAGCTTCATGCCTTTATGCTTTAACCACACAATGACTGTACTATCAACAAGGCTTTTAAAACTGATTTTCAGATCCTTTCTCTGCTCCTAATGGATCTAAGCAACCGTAAAAAGATACATAGATCTCCAAAAGAAAGGGTATAATCTAAATGAAAAAAGTATAAGCCATCTTATTCATTTCAACTCAGACTTCATTTGAATGGAGGCTGTACAGAGATAAAAAAGCTAATTCTGCCTTTGAACAGATCTTGGCCTTGGATCACAAACAAAGATTTTTTACTAGTGTCAATAACTATGGGTGAGAGGAGATAAACATCTACTCTACAGATAGTTTCTGTACTGAGATCAAAGATACAAAGTGAAATTTCAAAATATAAACTGTAAAAAATAGCACATTGTAAGAATACTAATTCTTGTCTATTACCAGGTGAAAGCTTTTTTATTTAATGCCTGTACAGTCCTCTAAAAATTTTTGACAAAATGATATTTGACTAGTTCAAAACTTGTACTTGTTTAACAGGATATACATGACATACATAGGTTTGGTTCAGATCTATGCTAAAATATGGCATAGAAAACTTCCTAAGTTCTTTCTACAAAGATATATAGGATATTAGGATGTTTTATAAAGGGCTTTAATCTAGTTATAAAAACATGTACAATTTTAATTTTAACCAAAATGAGTTCCTCAAATTTCTACAGTATCTGCAAAATTCCATCTCTGATTTCTGAACCGCTCCATTATTACAAAAGGAAAGGACATCTTAAACCCGCCCAAAATTGTACATAAGGCCAGCAAGCAAATTGAAAGAACATTAAGGACACAGATTGCTTTATCCTTCCTAGAGAATTTCACAAAGTGGCAGGACAAATGAAAGGATGAAAGTCTACAATTCTGACAAGTGGTTCAGACCACAATTATAAAGTGAATGAATGAAAACAGATAAAAATCAGTGACGCACATGTAAGAACCCTTGCCTTACCAGTTTGCTGTGAAGCATCTACCAGAAGCACAATTTTTGATCGACTATCAGGACCTGCTGCATTTGTTTCTTTCTGAGTAGCTACATTTTTCACCAGCGGCCTTTTGCTTTTTATGTGCTGTTGTAAAAGCTGTTGCTGATTTAAAAAAAAAACAAAAAAACAAAAAACACACAACTATTCAATGTACTGAACATTATAAAAAACACATCTAAAATAAACATTATAAAATACACATCTTAAGTGTATGTTCACAATTCTTGGCTTCCATGGGGAAATAGTACTAGGGTTTCATGAAATGCCTGCAGCAAAGCATACGAGGCTAAACAATGTATTATACGCACATATATACACTTTTTCAAATAATAATTAACACAAGTATGATTAATAAATGAATTCATTTTTAACTGCTAATTTTCTCAGTCAAAAAAATAATTAATAGCAGGGGTATAATAATGTCATACAAGGGGTTGTAAATTTCTTTAAAAGGGTAGTAACCTATCCCAAAGTAAATTTTAGTTTCAGAAAAGCAATGACATGAAAAATGGTTTCTGCTTCAGAGTTCAAAATGAAAATATAAAAAAGCTGATCATGGCAGGGCACAGTGGTTCACACCTATAATCCCAAACTCCTGGGCTCCTAGGCTGAAAGATCACTTGAGGTCAGGAGTTTGGGACCAGCCTGGGCAACACAGAGACCCCCAATCGCTACAAAACAAACAAACAAACAAAAAAACAAAGGCATCGGTAGTCTTAGCTACCCAGGAAGCTAAGGCAGGAGGATCACTTGAGCCCAGGCGTTTGAGATTACAGTGAGCAATGATTGCTCTACTGTACTCCAGTCTGGCTGACAGAGACCGACCCTGTCAATCAATCAATCAATCAATCAATATTAATAAACTGATCTCTTCCTTTACTTTTAAAAATATAAGTATTCATCACTTAATAGCAACTTACACAATAGAACTCTGAATTTATTTAACTTCTTGAACGTCTGAAATTGAAGTGCTGGGAATGTATTCTAAGAAATCATGTTCCTTAAACATCTGTAAATTATATACTACTATCTTATTTCCAACACTTTTTTTTTCATTCTGAGTTCCCGAAAAGATATTTCTTGACCAAGAAAGTTTCCATGAACAAAAACTAAAAGCTTTTTAAAGCAATCTCTGCTGCTTGTATTTCAATTTTTAGAAATTATACGAGGAGGCAGCAAAGACTTCACTGAAGAAGTTGGGCTAATGGAATCTAGGGAAAGCATCAACTCCTTGATGATGTACTCATAAGATATGTCTAAGATGTCCCTCTTCTATCAGCTCAAAAGTGCCAACTAGAAACACATTCTTTCTTCCCATTAGCTTTGACAATAAGGCTTCAACTGTAAAATAGCCTTTTAAGTTAAAAAGTTAACTAAAATTAAACCTTAATTCTCTTGTGATTCAAAGCCTTCATTTCTTTCTTTTTTTTTTTTTACTTAGTCAAAAGGCTCGTACTGAGTAAGTGGTTTCACATATTTATCTTCCATTTTCTTCAGTCTTAGGAGACCCTTGTTCATATAAAAGTAAAGCACCTCTTAAATAACAAAGTGCTATTCCTACTAAAAATTCACAGAGTAGAAACAATAAAGTTGAAGCGATCTAATGAACCACAAATGTTCTTTTCCATAATGTCTCCAGCTAACTTTTGAAGATTGAAAGTATATCTTTTGTTTTTTTTTTTTTGAGACAGGGTGTCACTCTGTCACCTACGCTGGAGTGTAGTGGTGCTATCTCAGTTCACTGCAGTCTTGACCTCCTGGGCTCAAGCGATCTTCCCACCTCAGCCCCCAAGTAGCTGGAGCTACAGGCATGCACTAACATACCCAGCTAATTTTTGTATTTTTGGTAGAGATGGGGTTTCGCATGTTGCCCAGACTGGTCTCAAACTCTTGGGCTCAAGCGACTAGCCTGCCTCGGCCTCCCAAAGTGCTGGGATTATAGGTGTGGCCACTACACCTGGCCCATTGAAATATCTTGAAGTGCATTAGCCATTCAACACAGCTAGCACAAGATCCACACTAATCACTTACAAATGTTAGTGTCACCATGCAATTTTTATCACTAAATTTATTTGTAAATATTTCTGCCTTATGTTATGTAAAACTCTCTAAAGGAATGTGAAAATGATTATAAATCATATCACAATTAAGAATGAGGAACAAACAACACAAAGAAAATTATTTTAAGAATTACATACCCTTTACCATTTTACAATAGTGAACAATATGTTTTATAGTAAATTCAGCATTAATGGTCAATCAACCCAAGTAGCAAATTGCTTATACTAATATAAGTAATATCAAATTTAAAAGCCAATCAAGACCAGACACTTACTTTTGGGACCACTGATCCTCTGTTACTGTTTCTGCTTCGATGGCTGGACAATGGGAAGACCTGTCCAAGCTGACTTGGACGCTCAGTGCATTCTGTGGTGATAGCATTTACAGTATTTGCAGCCTGAAAGGTGTTGGAGTAAGGTGTAGGAAAAGGATGATAGAAACCCATAACCTGGGCACATGGTGCTGGCATCAGCTGATAATATGTATACTCTGTAGAAACAGGCGGCTGAGCAGATATAATGGGATAGGCAAAGTATGGTCCAGTAGGGTTTGGATTGGGTTGTTGCCATCGTATATCATTGTTATATAAAGGAAACTGTCTGCAAAACCAAATCAAAGAAGAACAAATCTATTGACAAGTCTAAAAATACCACTAAAGCAAAATCTCTTAACTTACACTAATAAAAGACAAAACAGAACAGTGGCTTCATGATAATTTTGGGAAAGGAGACAAAACTATCATCATCTTATAAATTTCTTTGCTATAGAGATCATTATGTACATGCAGTAACAATGTAAACAACAGTATAAACGAACCCAACCTGATGGTTTTACAGTATTCCACATACCAGCATTGTCTGTAACTCTGCCTTCCAATTCCTCAAGATATTTCTGCCTAAAAGTTAAACACCTAGCTACTGTATCTACCAACAATGGCAGTCCAAAGTTCCCATTCAAGGTACACAACCGTGACAGCCTTCTGTAAAGAACAGAGTAAAGTGACCATTGTGTAAGGTGATCTTTACATAGGGTGATTTAATTCCTCATTTTCAGCTCAATCTCAGAGCCTCCTACTCCTCCTCTCATACTCCCCTAATCACTTGGCCAAGTCCAGCTCTTTTCCTGGCTCCCCTCCTGGCAATAGAAGCAGGCTCTGGGTCCAAGGGAAAGAAGAGAAGAGGCAAATCTGTCCACTGACATCTTCAGGAGTGGAGCTTCTTCTAATGCAGTTCATATAAAACACTAGCAAAATTCTTCCTGTCCCAGCAGCCCCCTCACCAAATCAATATGGGGTCCTAAGGACTAGGGAGTTGAAGCATAGGGCTTTTCCTCATTACTCCCATGACAAAGCAAAATAGTAAAATGTTCACGGCCATATTCTTAAAAATATTTTTTAAATAATCTGTTGGCTTGTTTACTCATAAATTCACAAAGATTATTTGGTAAACCAAGAAAATCAATTAAGTTTATCATACTGTATACTTGGCCATTTTTTCAAATAGAAAAATAGTATTATTAAATTTAGTTTCATGAATCAGTTTGCACATTATCCAATATAGGCAAAGATATTTAATATCATGCTAACTTCAATTGAAAATGATTCCTTAGTTTCTACTATTTGTCTAACCCTCAAGACTCTTGATTAACAGCCTCAGAATATTAACTTGAACATTTAATATTTGAGTAGTTGAATGGCCTTATATACCATACATCCACAATTTCTCAAAGAATGTGCACTGGCACACTAATGTGCAACAGTGGTTTATAGATGGGTGGAAATATTGATTGACTCAGCCCTCAGGAATGACAGAGCCTATAGCCAGTTAACAGCTGCCTCATCCATTTACAGTCCTAGAAAAACGAAATTTTCTGTGTGACATAACTTGAAAAAGGCTGAAAGTACTTTTATACAGCCATAAAATAAACTATACCAATGAAGTGCTAATCACTCAGACAGTATAAGCAGGGTTAGAATGGCTATCACGACTATCATAAGTAACACCCTAACCACTAGGTTACACATGACCTAATTGCGGGCAATTTTGCTAAATCATCCTGTAACTATAGCACAGACATAAATTTAAACTAAAATCTGAGTCTAGAAATACTAATATATGCTAACCATGACAGCTTCAAAGTTAAGGACTATTGCTTGGTATTTTCTTTTACACCAGAGACTATCTTGGCAACTATGAGATTAGATGTTCAATCTCAAAAAAAAAAAAAAAAAAAAAAAAAAAAAAAGGTTTTTGTTCACCTCTGAATATTTTATTTCTCCCTTTGAGCTGACTTACTTCAAATAAATTTCAATGACTTACTGAAGGAGACATAGCCTAAGAATTCAATTTTCTCTTAGAAAAAATGAGAAACTAATCCATATCAACAATTTCCAAATTTCAGTATCATTTTATTTACTCCTCTTAATAGAGAAATGGTTAAAGTCTAAAAGTTGCAAAGGAAAAATATTAAGTGCACTTTGCCAGCTTTTATAGCCACCCCCACAAAAAAGAAAATAAAAATAAACAAATTACCTATTGGACTGGTTTTCCTGCACAAATGGGTAACAAGTAATCAGGTAGCTGGGAATTGGAGTTGGTTCCACACCAGAAACACTTCCATTATCATTTGGGAGAGCCATAGGGATCATAAATGTATCAGGACTCTTCTTCTGGGGAATAAATGGCTCCACCTCAGCTGACAGCTTGACATTCTTCAAAGAGAAAGTAGAATACATTAATAACAAATGAGCAAGCAACTTCCTACAAATTCAAAATTTAACAACAGAAGAGTCAGTCCTTATAAACAGTAATTAGGTCTCTTCTCAGCATTCATAAAACATCCAAAAGGAAGAGCAATGTCAATTTTAAAATAACTGAATAATGATCAAGTTATTTAGACAAAGCCATCAAATAAGGAAAATAAACCAAATGTTACATTTCAATGTAATTAAAGCTGTTAAAACAATCAAGAGAACACAGAAGTTATACCTCAGGTTCTAAAAATAAAGTTGGTAGTAAGAGATGTAGCTCTTCAGACAAAACAATGTGTTTTTAACTCATTTTGTTGGGGGAAAAATTGAACAAAATTATGAAGGATAATTATTACTCTATATTTGTTTGAATAGTCTTAAAAGTTGTCTATTTCTGTCCATTTCTGGAAATTAGATCAGTATCATTAAAAGAAAAAATGTCTAAGATGAAAAAATACTTAACATTAACAAGAAAAAATCTGCACAGTTAAACTGGGGAAAATATGAGTACTTCAGTTTCCCAGTACACATGTGAGTAAACTAAAGTAATCCAAGATATGTAATCCATTTTAGTTTACTTTGTATCTTTTCTTACAAGAAATCTATAGAGATTTAAAAGACATAAAAAAAAAAAAAACCCTGTAGTATTTAGGGATGCACATATGGGCAACAAAACTATAAAGAAAAGTAAATAAAATCCATAAAAGTCAGGATAGGAATTATTCTTAGCAAAGAGAGTTGTGATTAAGAGGAATCTGGAGAGCTTCCAGGGTGCCTGGCAAAGTTCTATATCCTAACCAGGATAAAATTTACAAGGTGTTTGTCCTGTAACAATTCATCAAGCTGTACATTGGTTTTATGCAGTTTCTATATGTTATAGTTAACAACAAATTTAACATTTTAAATTATTTTTTGAAATCATTAAGTACATTCTGTAAAAAATCATATAAATATTATAATATCAAATGATATGAAACATGTTTTAATGAAACCAGTAAGTGAAATGCAAGCTAATGTTTTTAACTACTGTAAAAAATTACCTTAAAAGCCATGGTCCTAGCCAGAACTTTTTCCCAACAAACCCACTAGGGTGATATTTATTAGAGGCTCCCACCAAAACATAGTTGTAAGAATAAATTTCATGTTTCTCACAAAAGCAGCTAGTAAGGAATCCAAGTAAAAAATCTGAAGATGAGATATGCTCATTTGTTTCAGAAAAATTAACTTCTCTAAAAAGTTCACTGTAAATATTTATAAATGCTTGTTAAAAGGGAAGGGGTGGGGATGGTAAAATCTGAACTGTCCAGCAGTATTAATTCAGTATCCTTCCTCCCTACCTGATTTGAGGTTTACATTTGTACTATTAACCAAATCAGAAGTAGATATACTATAATAATAATACAAATATTAGTGAACTGAAGTTGGTTTCTTAAAGATTAACATAAGAGGCAAAAATATCTTCAAACTCTAATGATACAAGCTAGTAATTTTCACTCTGTGATATTCATTAGAACCCAAACTCACTTATATAGGACACAATATATCAAAACAATAAATATTTCCCCAATTAGGAAAAAGAAAAGCCGACGTACAGCAATAATGCAAAGATAATGGAAGCTTGCTTTATACAGTTCACACATACATGCATAAGAAAAGAAACTGAAATCACAGTTTAACTGCACTAAAAATGTAATTTTTAGGATTTCTTTTTTTTTTCTTTCTTTTTTTTTTTTTTAGACAGGGTCTCGCTCTGTCACGGGGTGGAGGTGGAGGTGGGGTGCAGTGGTGTCATCATGGCTCATTGCAGCCTCAATCTCCTGGACTCAAGTGATCCTCCCACCTCAGCCTCCCAAGTAGTCAGGACTACAGGTGCACATCACCATACCCAGCAAACTTTTTAATGTAGAGATGGGGTTTTGCCACGTTTCCCAGGCTGGTCTTGAACTCCTGGGCTCAAGTGATCCTCCCACCTCAGCCTCCCAAAGTGCTGGGATTATAGGCATGAGCCTGGCCAGGATTTCTTTTAAAAAACAAAAAGTTCTTTACGACATATGAGAACTCACTGAGCAGTTTTATAAATCTGAGCTAGTAGACATTCGGGGTTTTTTTCAGCAAGGTATATGGGTACATCAAATTATCAATCTTAACCATACTAATATAATCATAAATAAATAATTTTAAAATAACACTTTTTCTGACCTCTCCCCCCAAAACATATCAACTCATAAATTACTTTGGTAGCAATACATTCAAATTCTTGCTCAGCTCAAAAGCTGCAAAAAATTTTTACACCCCACTTCATTTGTACTTCATAGAAAGTTTTATAAACTTAGGCAACCTACTGTTTAAAAGGTATTATGTATAATTCAAAACTAATGGCTGCACATATACACAGTATGTGCCTTTATTAAAGTTTGTATTGGTTTCTAAGTGCAATTCTAGTTATCAGAGTTCAACAATAAAACTCACAAACACTAAAATGATCCTTTGTTTTTAGCACACACACAAAAGAGAGAGAGAGAAGCTGCTATAGTCAACAGCTGCACAAACAGAAGATGTCACTAGTAGGAACAGACTGGCAAACTTTCTCCTATAGCTACAACTCTGTATGGTTTCAAAAGCTGTTTATTGTGACTTTGGGGCCTTCAGTAATATACATCAAAATGCAGCATCTGTTGTTCTCAGGACTGAAAAGGAGTGTTATGATCCCAAACTATTCTTTTTTTTTTTTTTTTTTTTTTTTTTGAGACGGAGTCTTGCTCTGTGGCCCAGGCGGGAGTGCAGTGGCGCAATCTCGGCTCACTGCAAGCTCCGCCTCCAGGGTTCACGCCATTCTCCTGCCTCAGCCTCCCGAGTAGCTGGGACTACAGGCGCCCACCATCACGCCCGGCTAATTTTTTTTTGAATTTTTAGTAGAGACGGGGTTTCACCGTGTTAGCCAGGATGGTCTCGATCTCCTGACCTCGTGATCCGCCCGCCTCGGCCTCCCAAAGTGCTGGGATTACAAGCGTGAGCCACCGCGCCCGGCCGATCCCAAACTATTCTTAAAAGTCCACATAATAAAGCCCATAACATTAACATGTTAAATAAATAACAAATTCTGGCAGTGTTTTAATTATATTATTATACAAATAAAAAAAAAAGCCTTGCATAGTGAACAACAAAATGTATGAAAAAACTAGACTAGATACATTATAGAACGTTATTCCTCAGTTTGAATTTCTGTGTTTAGTCTCTCTACTTTTGCCAAGATCTATTTTTTAGGAATAAGAACTTTCATAGCAGAGAGTTGTCTTCATAAAGGAAATAAATATGGAATAAATGTAAACTACACTTAACAAAGTCTAATCATTCTTGTATTATTTGCTTCACAAAAAAGCACAACCATCTACATAGCAAAACTATCTTCATCTTTCAGAAATTATTTCAGAATTTTCCAAATTAATGAAAAAAATCATAGTCCCAGAATCATCTTTGTAAAAATATTTAAGCAGTTTCATGTTCACTTTTTATTTTGTGTACATTAAGGCAAATGTCTATAAACAAAATGCCTTTGATGTAAATAATCTAGAAAGCTCAAGACTCTGTCAGAGTATGAAACAAAAATGTTATTTAAAAGAGTTTATTAGACAAATGTATTCAGATCATTGAGAGCCTATATAATTCAACAAACGTGCATTTAGCATACATTCCGGAAAGAGCACTGTGCTGGACTGGGTTAGGGAAAATGGGCAAACATTACCACAAAGCACACGTCGGCAGAGAATGTACACTAAATTCCTCAGACATGGAACCTCCAGATGAATGCAAATAATTTTCCCAGATTAAGCAATAAAAAACTGACACCCACTTAAAATCAAAACTGAAGTTGGAACATAACGAGACACTCTCCCACAGTGAAACTCCAGAGTATGTACCACACACCCACAGAAAAAATATGACCATGGAAACCCTCCATATTCTTTCTATGTTAAGGTAAAAATAGAATATCTCAAACTTTAAGATATTTTACATCTCATGGCAAAAGATAAAATAAATGTCCTCTGAAGGGAAAAATGATTAATGCTTAAGAGATAACTACTAGCTGTGCTGTTTTTTTGATTAAAATGCCGAAACAAAACACAGTACTTACACGTGTAAGTTTCACAGACTCCAGACAATAATGAGGAAGACAAATCAAAGTATTTAACTTAGATTCTGCCCATACTGGGCAGAATGCTTTGCTACCCATACTTTTCCTTTTTAAAAAACAGACCAAATCTAATGTTTTTTAAATCTGATGGTTACTTTTTTAAAAAACCAGCTTTCTAGATTTAATATTAGTTTCTGAATTATCCACTACTTTGTTTTTAACTTATTATTTTCTCTTTTGATTTGATGGAGTTTCCCCTCTAACTTCTTGCCTTGGATGCTTAATTTTCATTCTCCTTGTAAACTGTTTAACAATGAAGGCATTTATGACTATGCATTTGCCTCAGAGTATAGCTTCAGCCACATTCCATAGGTTTTTTGTTTGTTTGTTTGTTTGTTTTAGAGATGGGGTCCCACTATGTTGTCCAGGCTGGAGTACAGTGGCTATTCACAGGTGTGATCTCACTACTGATCAGCACCAGAGTTTCTACATGCTTCATTTCTGACCTGGGCCAGTTCACCCTTCCTTAGGCAACCTGGAGTTTCCCCACTCCAGGGAGGTTATCATATTGATGCTGAACTTAGTGCAGATACCTGATCCACATAGCACACTACAGTCCAGAACACCGAGGTAGGGTCAAGCGATGCCCCTGCCTTAGCCTCCTTAGCAGCTGGGACTACAGGTGTACACCACCATGCTGGGCCCCATAGGTTTTTCATATGTGGTATTTTATTATTAACACATTTTTAATAACCTATCATACTACTTTTTATTCTTTTTTGACCTAAGAGCTTGAAAATGTCTTTTTGGCCAGGTGCAGTGGCTCAGCCTGTAATCCCAGCACTTTGGGAGGCCGACGTGGGTGGATCACCTGAGGTCAGAAGTTCGAGACCAGCCTGGACAACATGGTGAAACCCCATCTCTACTAAAAATACAAAAATTAGCTGGGTGTGGTGGTGCACACCTGTAATCCCAGCTTCAGGAGGCTGAGGCAGGAGAACTGCTTGAACTGGGAAGGCGAGGTTGTAGTGAGCTGAGACAGTACCATTGCACTCCAGCCTGGGTGACAGAGTGAGACTCCGTCTCAAAAAGAAAAAACAGAAAATGTCTTTTTAAATTTCCAAATGCTATTTTCCCTAAATGTATATATTAATACTTTTTTATTATGAACATATTATTTTTTAAATCTGATAAGACAGCTCATTTACTTATATCCTTACGTAAGGGCCAACTATACGTATTACTGAATAATAAACATTTAAAATAACTTATTTAGAATACATTTCATTTGGAGTACTGACATTACTTAAAGTTTATAAATTATTTAAAGGAAACAATGAAAAGCTAGACAATTTTCTATCCTGATTGGTAAAACGCATGTTGCATGAAATCATACGTATTCATTAGTTTTTCCAAAAATTAAAGACATTAATAACTAGTAATCTTATAAATTCTTTTAAAAGAACTAATGTTAATGTACTAAAAATTAAGCCAACATTTAAATTATTTGTGATAACAGAAAAGAGACTGTTAACCTCAAGTGTTCTGTCACTTCTAAGCCCATTGTTTACTTTAAAAAATCTCAATAAATTTCCTAAAAATAGAACCAGTAAGCCTTTATAAACAAAATGAACTCCATGATTTATCCTTCACATCTCAAAATGCAAGTTTTTTTTTTTTTTTCAGGGGAAAAAATGCATTATATACCAAGCAACACATATTCTTAGAATATTTAACTCTGGCAGTTAAAATTAAGCTAGCTATTTTGATTAAATACAGAGAATACTCTATAAAAAGTGCTGAAAGAGGATACTCCTAAGATTTTCTTCTAGTTATAACATTCTTTCAAATAATCATTATTGCAATTAAGATTATCCATCTAGCACTGTATTCCCAGTAAGTTACTTTTTACAATCTTGATCAGCACACATACAATTTACCTTTTCTATAAAAAGATTTTATATATTAAAAAAAGGTAATTCACAAGAACAAGAACATGAATGCCTTCAGGCAAAAAAAAAGCGTTTTTTTTTTAAAGTTACACTTGTAAAGTACACAAGGATTTAATTAGGTTAAGATAAAATGCAGAAAGTCTATATTAAGTACTACTTTTTAAAAACCAAACTTCTATGAATTGCTAACTACCACAATACTATAATGAGTAAGTTTTAATGCTGTAGGCATCTAGAGAAATTCTGAGTATGTCAACACTGGTCTAAAGGGAAAAAAACATTCTGTGAGGAAAAATGGAAATTGACACATATTACATATACTTTTCAATGACGTCAATCTACCTAAATTCACTTCAATAGTAGAAATACAAAAGTATAATCCAAATATCCTGGAAAAGCCATTACATGACTCTATGGCATAAAGAATCAAGAATTCCACAAAATTGAGAAATCTCAGTTCCCAATCTACTATTAAGTTAATGGTTCTTAGCCGTCCTTTGAGAATACGATGAAAATAATGGATTCTTGCCCTAGAAAAAGGCATATAAAGAAGCATACTCCTTCTAGGTCATTCATGGACCCCTGAATTAACTGCCTATCGCATAAATGAGGTGAAGACATCACTTTTCTATATATATTTTCTGAGTGTATAGGGAAGTGGAGGATTTTCAAATTATTCTTTCATTTAGGGTTAGGCTGGGGAAGAGGCAAGAAGTACTGGAAGAAAAAAAAGTCAACAGAAAACCTTCTTCCATGTTTTTTTCCTAGTTCTTAAATTTCTACAAGGTTTTAATAGGTCGTGGACTTTGGAAAGATGTGGAAAGGGGAAAAGGCTCTCTAGTTTAAATAATTTGCTCACAGCACTTGCTGCTAGGATAATCACAAACAGCTATGCTAAAAATTACCATCTAAATAGTTAATTATATTTCCTCTAGGATGAAAGGAACTCTAAGTATACATAAGGTAGCATTACTGGTTTTAGTCCTGGCATCCTAGTGAAGGAACAAAATGTTGAACCCTTTCATTAGTAACACACATACAAGGAAATGATTCAAGGAAAATTCGTATTCATTTGTCAGGCTTTGAAATCTCAGGTATTTATGATAGATACCTTCAAAAATGTTTTTAAATTAAACTAGATACAGGCTGTATACAGAATACTTCTGGGTCACATAAATGCCTAAGTGTATTTGCCAAGAGACTCTGTATCAATTTCTCTTTGGTAATTCCATGTATTGTTTTATAAAACTCATTTGTGTCTTCAGAGTTACATTCACATAAAGCTTTTTTTTAAAAAAAAAAGTCTTCTGTAAAAACAAGTATACACAACTAGGAAGCTGTGCTTTGCCTGCTAAGAGTCCGATTTCAAAATACAAACCGGCTTCAACTACATATAGACACATACAGGAATTTGGGAAATCTTATCTCATTAATTCAGGTGCTAATTATCCAACTGTAAAATTAATAGGCAGAAATTACTAGCCTCTCTTCTTCCGTCATCTAGTCATCAATGGGCAAGGCCTTCGAAGAAGGGAATAGAGAGTGAATAAACTTGGACTTCAAATTAAGTCGTTTCGCAGAGATCTTAAGAGTGGAAAATACTGGGGGGGAAACTATTGTTTTCGATTACTTTTAACACTGTTATCATCCCTGCCTGCTACCACCTACTAGCATGCATAATCAGGAATTTGATGCAAATAAAAATAAAACAGAACACTAATAGGACTACTTTGCGAATATGAAAACGGGTTCGAAAATAAGCTTATGCTTTACACCCTTAAAATAGAGCTAGCTTTAAAAAAAAACCCACTAATTACAATTCTTTGCAAAATAACTGGATAAAAGGACAAGGGGAAATCGTAGTATCGTTTCTTAAAAGAAACACCTCCGTAAAACCACTGCAAAAACAATGCTTCGCTCCATTGAACACAGACCTAAAAGGCCCGTGACTTCCCTTCATCTGTAGTTACCACACATTCTCTTACAGTCTTTCTGGGTGAGAAGCCTTCAAACGCCTTTCCACCTTGAAAACACATTCCAGAGCTGAAGGGAATGGGGGAAGCGGGGAGACTACTAGAAGTTATAAGCCCTCCTCCCAGGAGAGCAGGGACAACTTGGAGCCTTCTGACCCCTTCACCAAGCAGGGGAGAAGCGGCAACGGCGAGCCCTCCGCCTGGGAAGTAATCAGGGTTGGAAAAGCCCCCAAGTCCCAGGCAGCAGCTGGAACAATGAAGGAGAGCTGGGAGCTGCCAGGCTCCCAGGTGAGGGGGTCTGCGGCCGCAGGACCGGCCCCCGGTCCCCACGTTCGGAGAACTGGGCCTGGCCTGTGAGGAAGCGGCGACCCCAACCCCCGGCTCGGCGGGCCCAGCCCAAACCCGCGTACCTGCTCCGTGGGGGCTCGGTCCATGGTGCCTGCAGCCGCAACGGGCCCGCGCTAGTCGGTGTAAACAGCGCCTCGGGCCGCTTTCTCCATGGCCCCCCGCTCGGGTCCAGACTGGGTTCCGGACCTCCGCCCCTATCTGGCTGGCCGCGACACCGATTCGGCTACGCCACTGGCCGAGGAGGCGGCTCCAGCTCCGGGAGATGGAGGAGGCGGTGGCAGCTTCGGGGAGGGATCATCTGGGACGGAAGCCGAGGAGGGCCCGAATGGGCTGGAGGCGTAGTTAGAAATGGAGGCGCACGGAAGGAAAAGGAGTGGGGAGGAGGCAGAGAGGGGCAGTGGGCGGAGTGACAGCAAATGGCCTCAGCAAGGGTAGGAGGAACCCGGCCTGGCCTGGAGGCTAAGGCCAGGTGGAGGCGCCCAGGAGCAGGTGCCCCGAACCACACGCCACCCCTGCGACTGTTAAACGAGAAGTGTCAGACCACTTGGGACCCAGGTCTCCCGGGACTTCAAAGACCTCTTCAGGATCTGAAACCACCTCTTAGTGATGTTGGAAAAGCTTTCATCTGCCCACCGTACATCTGCTCCTTCCTTATGTTACGCAAATAAAGGGAGTCATGACTATAAAGGAATGAGAATATTCTGAAAATAATGGAGTCTTGCCCTAGAAAAATGCATATGTAAAACGCATACACAGAATGACTGGAAGAGGCCCGCTAGGAAGCTCCCCACAAATATTTATTGAGAGTTAATTCATTATCCAGGTTCATGCCCACTTCTAGGCTCACATCCAGGCTGACCTCGCCCATCTCAGAAATCCTAATTTTATGCAGGATCTGTATAACACCACCCAACGGGTAATTATTTTATCTTCAGATCCTTAGCTCCTTAAGGGCAGAGACTGTCTTGAAACTGGGCACTACCGTTAGCATGGCAAATTTCTTCTGGGCATCTCCTCAGACACACCCTCCAACACCCACACCCTCTGTGAAGATTCAACCAACTGCGGATAGAAATATTTTGAGGAAAAAAGAAATATCAAGTACAACAATAAAATACAAGTAATACAGTTTAACAACTGCTTATACAGCATTTACATTGTATTAGGTATTATAAGTAATCTAGAGATGATTTAAAGTATATCGGAGGATATGCATGGATTGTATGCAAATACTACACCATTTTATATAAGGATCTTTAGCACTCATGGATTTTGGTATCAGCAGGGATCCTGGAGCCAATATCCCCCCTGGGATACTTAGGGACAACTGTATAAGCTAAATTACACTTAAGTGAAGGTAGAGTTGAGGTGGCTGCTGTTTGGGGCACTGGTGTGGAGATCCACAGCTAGGAATGGGAAAGAGATTTTAAGAAATTTGCTTTGTCATGCTTCAGGAGATATCAGTAAAGACTAATTGCCTTTTCAGTTAGTCTAGGTTATTAGTCTGGTTATTAGACTCCAATATGAGGCTTGTTATGTGAAGGCCCCTTGCTGTACTTATGTTGATACAGGTTGGGTATCTCTAATGGAAACTATGAAATTCCAAACCCTCTTGAATCCCAAATGTTCCAAAATTAGAAACTTTCTGAGCACAGACATGACATTTAAGGATAATGTTCGCTGGAACATTTCAGATTTTGGACTTCCAGTTTAGAGATGCTCAACCAGTAAGTATAATGCAAATCTTCCAAAATCCAAAATCTGAAACACTTATGGTTTCAAGTATGTCAAAATAAGGGACATTCAACCTGTATTATATATTGGCCTGCTGAAAGGAGCTATATTGTGTCAGCAAGACTTATATCAAGGCTGGCAATAGAAACATCTTGAAAGGAGAAACATTTATATTTACACATTTATATTTACATTTAAATATATTTATTTAATTTTAGTAAATTTTCTGCCACCTCAAATTTAATATCAATGCATGTGTATTTGAACTGCAAATTTATGTAACATTTGTAAATATATGTGCAATTAACGTAATGTTAGGTCCCTGGTGCCTATCACACACCTAGCTGGGATTCAGTGAATGCTGAATGAATTTAGGGTTGGTTGCTCAGAAAAACTAAGTTATTTATAAGGAGTAGTTATGTAAACTAACAGATGACCGTCCTCCTTCACAATTGAAAGACAAAATAACTGAATTTTCAGATTGTCTTCCTACTGGTGGTCTATAGCCATAATATACCCTCATCTGAGTAAAAAGATAATAGCAATGCACTCATAAAAATACTATAGTACTTTTGCTTTTCTTCCTTCTTCTGAGGAATGATCTGAGGAAATTTAAATATAGGATTCCCAAGGATCTTTCCACATTATAGGATTTTTATGACTGTAAAATTGTTTTCATTGAGAATCTATGTACAAGACATTCATTAAAATTATAAGAACAGAATCATAAGAATTATGAGAACAGAAATGTCACAATGCCCTTCTCATTTAATGTAATCTTTAAAAAGATGGCAATAGCTAGTAGATAAAAAATTAAAATCTGTGAAAAAAAGTAAGACATATTAAAAATACTACACTTTACAGATGATATAAATGAATGCAAATTATTTTATTCACCAATAAATATTTAATGTGCAAGGTACTATGCTAAATACTAGAGGTACAGCAGTTTATGAGACACCTTGAGGGCTGAGACCATGTTTGTCTTGTGGGCAAGACATGCATAGGAGAAGTCTTTATAAGTGAGATGAGTGTAATGAAAAAGGAAGTATAATAGGTGCTACCATGGTAAGGGATGGAAGGTCAGGGAAGGCTATTTGAGTAAATAGCATCTACAAAAAGACCTGAGTAGGAGTTATGATCAGTAAAGGAGAAGAAGTAGGAAAATTGTTTCAAGAAGAGGAAATGGCACATGTTAGCATTCTGAGGAAAGAGAAAATTCAGCCTTTAGTACTCACACAAGCTCATCCCTTGGAATGAGGGTTCAGAATGTGAGGGATAATCCAATAGATGAAGGCCTCTGAGAAGCTCGGAGGGGATAGGACACAAATACCAGGGGCAAGAAAGAGGCCTTTGATGGGAGTAGGGGCATGTTATCTACTGTAACAGAAGAAAGGAAGAAAAGATCAATATGGCTACAGATTATATACATTTGTAAGTTTGGTGCCAAAAGTTGAGGGAATGCCTAATGGCTTCTGTTTTCTCAGTGATGTAGGAGGCAAGGTTACCTGCTGACAATAAAGAGAGGTGGAGTTGTGGTGACTAGGCACTTGTCAAAATTCAGCAAACATATAGTTAAATTATGTACATGTCATTATATGTACATTTTATCTCAAAAGAAAAAACTATAACCAAATATTGAATTCTAGCTTTAACAAACGCATACACCTATGTAATTCAAATCTCTATCAAAACATAGAATGTCACCATTACCTCCAGTGACATTGAAAACTTCTCTACTTATATCAAATGCTTGTCTTATACATTGTTGTTATTCTTACTACCTATACCAAAGCCTAGCATGCAACAGGTGCTCCACAAATATTTATTGAATAAATGAGCTGTAATATTATATTAAATCAGGATTCTTTCATCCAGGGTTGGGGTTTTGTTAGGCATGTGCATTTTATTGAAGGAGCAGGATTCACTAGGGTGCAAGTAGAATTATTATTTATTGTCCTGTACCTTCAAATTCTCTGAAGATGATTTCTTTTTCTGCCTTGGATGAAATCTCGTGAAGGTCACACAAACTTTATTCCACGTCAAAACTTCTCCTTTTCCCCAGCTCAGTCCTGCTTCAAGCTGGAAGCCTGCAGTGAAGGACGTGGCTTGGTCCACTTCAGTTTTGTTTTCTACATTTTTTATCTCCACCTCCTGTACCTTAAATACTCAGATTAGGCTTTTAGATTTCTCTAGGTTTGGACTGTGAGGGGGAGGATGGCAGAGCTTCTCAGATGTTTAATTACTACTTTCCTGCATGTTTACATGCAGCAAAGTCATCTCAGAGCAGTCACTTATGACCCTAGCCCTCAGCCCTTGTGCTTCTGAGGGTTTAAATCTCAGCTTGATCAATTTGGGGAAGAGCAAGCCAGCCTTATTTGCTGGATTCCCTTTTAAAATGGCTTCAGGCAGAATTCCTGGGATCCCATCAATCCCTGGGATCATTTTGCTACACTTGATTTATCATGTAGCTATCCATCCCTCCGTCCCTTTATCCAGCTATTAATTTGTCTTATTTTTGGTGCATGTCAAAGTAGATTACAGACTTCAGTACACTTTGCCCTGGGAAAAACTTATATAGCTACAGTAGGCAAAAATGCAGCTTGTTCCCACTGTTTCTCTCAGGTCCTTGTATTCTACCACACTCCAGGCAACATGTATCAAGTTCTCCAAGTGTTTCCCAGAAAGTTTCTCTCACATAGCTTGAGGTAAGGGGAAGCATCTCCTTTTGCCCATGGGAGGTGTGGGTATGTATAAGGTATACAAAACAGTACCCTTCGTGAGTCATTGTATTAGTCTGTTTTCATGCTGCTAATAAAGACATACCTGAGACTGGGCAATTTACAAAAGGAAGAGGTTTAATGGGCTTGCAGTTCCACCTGGCTGTGGAGGCCTCACAACCACAGTGGAAGGTGAAAGGCACATCTCACATGGTGGCAGACAAGAGAACAGAATGAGACCCAAGTGAACAGGGTTTCCCCTTATAAAACCATCAGCTCTCATGAGACTTATTCACTACCGTGAGAACAGTATGAGGGAAACTGCCCTATAATTTATTTATCTCCCACTTTGTCCCTCCCACAACACAAGGGAATTATGGGAGCTACAATTCAAGATGAGATTTGGGTGGGAACACAGCAAACCATATCATTCTGCCCCAGCCTTTCCCAAATCTCATGTCCTCACATTTCAAAACCAACTGTGCCTTCCCAACAGTCCCCCAAAGTCTTAACTCATTTCAGCATTAACTCAAAAGTCCACAGTCCAAAGTCTCATTTGAGACAAGGCAAGTCCTTTCTGCCTATGATCCTGTAAAATCAAAAGCAAGTTAGTTACTTCCTAGATACAATGGGGGTACAGGCATTGGGTAAATATACCCATTCCAAGTGGGAGAAATTGGCCAAAACAAAGGGGCTACAGGTCTCATGCAAGTCTGAAATCCAGCAGGGCAGTCAAATCTTGAAACTCCAAAATGATCTGCTTTGACTCCATGTCTCACATCTAGGTCACGCTGATGGAAGAAGTGGGTTCCCATGGTCTTGGGCAGCTCTTCCTCTGTGGCTTTGCAGGGTACAGCCTCCCTCTCAGCTGCTTTCATGGGCTAGTGTTGTGTCTGCAGCTTTTCCAGACACAGAGTGCAAGCTGTCAGTGGATCTACCATTCGGGGGTCTGGAGGAAGGTGGCACTCTTCTCATAGCTCCACTAGGCAGTACCCCAGTGGGGACTCTGTGTGGGGGTGCCCGCCCCACATTTCCCTTCCACACTGCCCTAGCAGAGGTTCTCCATGAGTGCCCCACCCCTGCAGCAAACTTCTGCCTGGACATCCAGGCATTTCCATACATCCTCTGAAATCTAGGCAGAGATTCCCAAACTCAATTCTTGACTCCTGTTCACCCACAGGCTCAATACCACATGGAAGCTGCCAAATCTTGGGGCTTACACCCTCTGAAGCCATGGCTCGAGCTGTACCTTGGTCCCTTTTAGCCATGGCTGGAGCGGCTGGGATGCAGGGCACAAAGTCCCTAGGAGGAAGAAATGGATTACCTTAGATGGTTGACCACTGAAGAGGTGATATCTGATGTGAGATTTGAGAAATACAAAAAGATAGAGAAAAGACAAGCAAAGGCCTCAGGAGGGGAAACTCTTAAATTGTGGAAACAGAAAGGAGAGACCAGTGTGAATAGTGAATGGTAGGAGGGGGAGAGTAGTATGGACAATAGATAGAATGGAAGACTAGACCAGGCCAGATTTTGTACTAATTTGCAAGCCATGGTAAAGAATTTGGATTTAACTTTAAGTCAAAAAGCCATTTGGAGAATTTTAAAGAAGTGCATTGAATTCACATTTTGTCTGAATGCTGAATAGCAAAATGTTAAAATTAATACTTCTGGGATATAAAAACACATCTAAATGACTATTGAAAAACTGGATTATTATTACAATTTTATTATTAAAAGGTTTAGTAGTGTTCAAAGAGAAACTGTAGACAAATTAAATTTAAGAATTTAATTAAGCAAAGAATGATCTGCCAATTGAGCAGGTCCCCAGAACCAGAATAAGCTCAGAGAGACTCTGGGGTTCCCACATGATCCAATCATACTTATAGAAAGTGAGGTACAGAAAATGGAAGCGGGGTACAGAAACAGCTGGATTGGTTACAGCTTGGTACTTGTCTTATTTGAATACAGTTTGAACAGTTGCCCACCTATGATTGGCTGAAACTGCGTGATTAGTACAAGAGTAAGTTAAAGTCTGTTTACACATCCAGTTAGGTGACAGTTTACTATATGTGTAAGGAGGCAGCTTTAACTTAATTTAACAGTTCACCCTTTTGGTGACCCTCTCAGTATAGACAAAACTGATCTGTTTTGGGATCGATCTGCTTCCATAATGTTTCACTTTAATTACGTAGCATTTAGCATGAGTGACTCCATGTTGGTTTGGTCTGGTCTGTTGGGGCCTACTGCAGGAGCTCTGTCTAGAACACTGGTTTCCCATAATTTTGACTAATAATTTCCCCCTTTCGCTCAAGTTCTCACCTAAGTGAGTGTAACCAAAATTTAGGGTTTAGCACTACTCCCAGTTGCCATCATTTTGGATTTCTAGTCACAGCACATCATTCATAGGTTACAGCGTCTTCATGATCACTCATTTCTTTGAGGTTTTTGTCATACCAACAAAAGGGAGATCATTTGACATTCTACAGATGGCTATATGCAAGCATTTATAATTTTGGAGAAAATACAGTGCACCAGGGATACTACTCTTATGGTTATCAGAAGGATAATACCAAGAGTTGGGAGTATGCTCCCTGGCCAGGGTCCTCATGAACTAAGCCAACTAAAATCAAATAGATCTACGAATGAGCCTGATAAAGAATCTTGTTTTAACCAACCAGCCTGTTTGTTAATCCCGTGAAAGTGAGTCTTTATAAAACCTGATGTATTCATACAACAAGAAGTGTCAGGAACTGCACAGATCCTTCCCTGTTCAGTCAAAAATAATCTAGAGTAATTCAGTCATCTAGCACAACTTTAGCAAGAAAATTTTTAAAAGTTTGTTGTGCAACCATAGCCTTTGCAGTAAAATCTTCTATAAAGTCTACTACAAGGAACACATTTCTAATCATTGTCTGATTTATATTTCCCGCATGCCACAGAAAAGAAGACCTAACAATGATGCCCATCCAGAAAGGTGAAGTCCTCCTGGCAATGTTCTCTTTAACCTATGATGTATGCTAAGAGTGGACCAAGGTTGTTTTTGACTGTTAGTGGAGCAACAAAGGTACCTTTAAAATTCCTAGTCCAGCTGGCCACGGTGGCTCATGCCTGTAATCCCAGCACCTGGGGAGGCCAAGGCATGAGGATCACTTGAGCCAAGTAGTTGAAGATCAACCTGGGCAACATAGTGAGACCTCACCTCTACAAAAAAATAAATAAATGAAAAAAATTTAAAAAAAATAGCCAGGTGTACTTATGCGTGCCTGTAGTCCCAGGTACTCAGGAGGCTGAGGTGGGAAGATTGCTTGAGCCTGGGAGGTCAAGGCTGCAGTAAGCTATGATTACATCACTCCACTCCAGCATGGATGACAGACTGAGACCCTGTCTCTAAAAAAAAAAAAATCCCTAGCCACAGTGGCCCCTCATCTTCCATTTTTTAAGGCAGGCGTTCCCAATCCCCGGACCATGAACTTGTACCAGCTAGGGGCCTGTTAGAAACTGGGTCGCACAGCAGGAAGTGAGCAGTGGGTGAGCAGGCATTACTGCCTGAGCTCCGCCTCCTATCAGGTCAGTGGCAGCATTAGATTCTCACAGGAATGAGAACTGCACTGTGAACTGTGCATGCGAAGGATCTAGGTTGCACACTCCTTATGAGAACTGAATGCCCAATAATCTGGGGTGGAGCAGTTTCATTCCAAAACCATCACCACTACCACCCAACACCCCCAGTCCATGGAAAAATTGTCTTCCACAAAACCAGTCCCTGGTGCCAAAAAGGTTGGGGACCACTGCATTAAAGCATAAGGTTTCCCCTGTATAGGGTTAGCTGTAAAATCCTCCACACATAAAAGTATACCCTATGGGTACACCCAAAGCACCTTTTCCAGTTCTATTGTTCATAGAGGCATAAGCAAGAAGATGTAAGCGTCACAGGATGGCAGGTCCTTGATCCATGATCTTGAGAAACTTGTTCATGTCTAGGATTCTGTCTGCTTCCAGGGAGAAAATTCCCAGTTAACTTTACCTTAAGGTCTCCAATAGGTATACAGTAGCAGTCCCCAACCTTTTTGGCACCAGGGACTGGTTTTGTGGAAGACAATTTTTCCATGAACCTGGGGGTGGGGGATGATTTTGGGATAATTCAAGTGCATTACATTTATTGTGTACTTTATTTCTGTTATTATTACATTGTAATATATAATGAAATAATTACACAACTCACCATAACATAGAATCAGTGGGAGCCTTGAGCTTGTTTTCCTGCAACTAAACCAGGGGTCCCCAACCCCAGGCTGTGGACAGGTACAGTCTGTGGTCTGTTAGGAACCAGGCTGCACAGCAGGAGGTGAGCAGCAGACATGCAAGCTCAGATTAGTAACAGCATTAGATTCTCATAGCAGAGCGAACCTTATTGTGAACTGCCCACGGGAGGGATCTAGGTTGTACGCTCCTTATGACAATCTAATGCCTGGTGATCTGAGGTGGAACAGTTTCATCTCAAAACCATCTGCCCCTTCCTCTCCTCCCCATCCATGGAAAAATTGTCTTCCATGAAACGAGTCCCTGATGCCCAAAAGGTTGGGGACCATTGAACTAGACAGTTCCATCTGGGGATGATGGGAGACAGTAACAGATCATCAGGCATTAGATTCTCATAAGGAGCGTGCAACCTAGATCCCTTGTGTGCACAGTTCACAATAGGGTTCACGCTCCTATGAGAATCTAATGCTGCTGCTGATCTGACAGGAGGTGGAGCTCAAGTGGTAATGCCAGAGATGGGGAGCAGCTGTAAATACAGATGAAGCTTCACTTGCTTGCCCACTGCTCACCTCCTGCTGTACAGCCTGGTTCCTAACAGCCCATGGACAAGTACCTGTTAGGGGGACCCTGGTATACAGTCCTGAGTCTGAAAGGGCTGTTTAGAGTTATGAGACTATGGATACAAGGTTTGCGGTCCCAAAGTTTTGCTGCAGTGTGTGTGGCAAGGGCAGTCTTTCTCTTCACTTCCAGAAGACCCAATATCTTGGTTCTATATCATCAATGTTTTAATTATCCTGAGTCAATGGGTCATTAAAATTTCCTTTGCCTGACTAAAATACACTTTGGCATAATGCATTAAAGCCTTGCGGCAATTAGTCATATCAGAGTACAGGAATGGAAGAGATATAATGTTCTATTATTAGGAGGATAGGCCTTCCAGTGACTGTTTCATAAGGGGTCAACTTATGTTTTCCTCTGGAAGTGGATCTGATTGCCATCAATCTTCAATACTTTGGATCAAGGCAATCCAGTCGATTCATTTAGCTTTGCCTAATGCTATAATACTTTATTTAACTTTTCTACAACCTGTCCAGTGAAACAAGTACCTCCATCACTGGAGATTTCTTCAGAATTCCCCATGAGGGAAACACATTTTAAAATAACCTTTTAGCTACTGTTATAGCATTGGCCTTCTTGCATGGGAAAGCTTCTATACAATCAGAAAATGTGCGTAGAATGGCAAGTGAATGAAATGCCCTCATAAATGTTCAAAAGGCTCATCATGTAGCAGAAATGTACCCCAAATTTTGATATTTTCCCTTAATTATGGATTTGACAAACTAAACATTGATCATAAGCCATTTTAGCAGTTTAGAATAGTCACCACACACACACACACACACACACACACACACACACACATAATTTAAATCATTTTACCTCTTTCCTAATAAGTCATAGGGTATACAGCTTTTAATAATGGAAGCTATAAGGACTCAGGAAGGGCCAGGCAGCCATCCAGGCTCTCCATGAGTCCACACTTAACATTGGATTTTTATCATTCTTAAATAGCGATTTTGTTGCACAGCACTGTTTGTTAAATCTGTTATCATAGGTAATTTGCCTTGGGCCATGGAGTTCATTTAAGTTGAATTTCTTAACAATTTCAGTACTGGCTCATTTTGCATAACATTTGGCAAAATTTTTTCTTGATATTCAATCAATTCTTGTCCTGCTTGGTTTAGCAGTTTTATGAATCAGTCAGTCTCTTCATGAGAGTTCTAGGAATTCCTACCCAGTCCAAATTATATGATCCTAAAGTTATCAGAACCGTGTATTCAAGAGTGCTTCTCAGGGTCCTTTCCATCCTTTCCATGAGCCTCCTTGAAGGCACAATACTCTAGGATTTTAGTTGCTTATAAATAGCTTTCAGAAAATGCACCAGAATTAAGCAATTAACTGGAAGCAAGACTTAAAATGGTCACGGTTAAAGACACAATTGACAAGGAAATTTGGTTATTTCTGTGACCTACAATAATTAAACATACTAACTATAACTATGACTGATAACATATACCAAGACATATCAGAATTTTAGGAGTCTCATACAATTTTAGAACATATATTAATAACATATCCTTAAAAATATAACATGAGAAGGTTAAACATCATTTCTTATTTGGCAGTAGTCAAACTTCAGAAGCTTAAATAATGCAGGAACAATTTCTTAGCATTACTAGTGTTCCTACAGTCATGATACTGCACATTGCAATTTTAAATATTAAAGTCCACTATTAACCAAAGTCAGATGAGGAACAAGATTATTTTTGGCTAGCTCTGCTAGTATAGGATACTTCTGATAGTGATGTCATCATCTGTTATTAAGCTTCCCTTCCTTTCTAATAGAAACTAAGTTTTATCCGCTTTTCTGCTGCTGGACTTGAAGATTTGGTCAATGGACATGATTCCATTTCATTGAAGCCCCCTAGAAACTGAAGTTTGTGCTGTGCTTGAAGAAGATGCTTTGTGGATATTTTCAGATGCACACCTAAGATTGTTATTCTCATTTAAAATTTTAATTTCTAATATGCGTTTATTTCTGCATGCCTTTTATTATTAATTACATTGTATGAATATTAGTGGTTCAAAAGGATGTAATTTTCTTTCTAAATTTATGTAGCCCATCTTTTGTATAATTGTATTAATTTTCAATTATTTTCTTACCTAACTACTTGAAAGTTCTACATTTTTGCATAAAATTAACAATTTTCACAATTACCTTTATTACTGAAGTTTATATTAAACAATTAATAGAATTTCAACAGAGGAAATACATCCAAAATGCTTACCTATATTTGAAAGTGCATATCCATATATTAACACTAACTCTGACTAACATACTTTGCTCTTATAATTTACATAGTTATGCTGATTAGATATAATGGTTACCCAGTAAGATCACATGATGGGGAGGCCATACCCAGTTTAGACTTGCCAGAAGGTGAAATAGAAATTTGACAATATGACCTTCCAAAGGCCAATGCTAAAGGTGAAATTGAAAAGCAAATTTTGGCCAATGCTGAGGCCAGGGCACAGCTGAACTGGAGTATGTATCTCTCATTATTTGCAGGAAAGTAACATGATCTAATGGCAAGAGGGTGGTTAGGGTGACAGAACAGACCATGGAATCAAACCTGAGTAAAGATAGTATGAATCAAAATTACTAGAGATAATATCTTTATGTTTTCAGCATATAAGATGAATCCACCAAAATTCCTAAAAACTAGTGGCAAACTCATAAGAAAAAAGATTCCATTGATAATATAAGTGTTATGATGGAAAGAGCACTACTAGACTAAGACTTGATAACTTGGGTTTAAATTTTATCTATACCCATTTCAGGCCATGTGCCCTCAAAAGTCGCTTAAGCTTCCCTGGGCCTCAGTTTCCTCATCTGCACAATGCATGGGATTGTTGAGGGGTTCGAGTTGAGGTAACGAATGCAAGAACACATTGCAAGCCCTAGAGGAGTGGTTCTCAATCTGTGGCACTCTTAAAGCTAGAATATTCAGTCCCCTCTTAGACCGATTAAGTCAGAATCTCTGGAGCAGATAATCTCCCAATCAGCCATAGTCAGCCATAAAATTTTAAGTCAGATCATGTCACTCCTCTCTTCCAAGGAGCTCCAGTGGAGCTTCCCATCTCAGAGTAAAAGCCCAAGTCCTTAGAGGGGCCATTGAAGTCCCTATGATCAAGCCCCTACCATGCCTCTGGCCTTAATTCCTATTCCTCACTCACTTGCTATTCACTTGCTCACTCCTTGCTGTTCCCTTGTCATTCTAAGCACACTCTCATCTTGAGATCCCTTGGCCTTGCTGCTTCCACTGGCAGGAACTCCCTACCCCCAGTTAACCCACATGGCTCAAGCCCTCACTTCAGGCCTTTTCTTAAATGTGACCTTGGAGTGAGGCCTTTTCTGACCACCTTCTTTAAAGCAGGATGCAATACAGAGCGATCTAATGGACTATGGAGACTCAGAAGG
Organism: Homo sapiens; assembly: GCF_000001405.40. Lineage (NCBI taxonomy): Eukaryota > Metazoa > Chordata > Mammalia > Primates > Hominidae > Homo > Homo sapiens. Next base: position 49,058,970 of record NC_000015.10, read on the forward strand.
AGGAAGGTAGAAGAGGGGGTGAGGGATTTAAAAAACTACATATTGGGTATAATGTACACTACTTGGGTGATGCGTGCACTAAAATCTCAGGCTTCACCACTGTATAATTCATCCACGTAACCAAAAACCACTTGTACCCCTCAAAGCTATTGAAATTTTTAAAAAAGAAAAAAAGAAAAAAAAAACAGCATGCAAACACACACACTGCCTCTCCTTTCCAGCTTTTTCTCCGTAGCACTTATCATCATCTAAAATGCTGTATGTCTGTTTTGTTTATTGACTGTCATTTTTATCTCAAATATAAGCTCCATGAAGGCAGGGATTTTGTTTGTTGTGCCCACTGCTCGATGTTTCCAGTGCTTGGAACACTGCCTAGCACATAGCAAGCCCTCAGAGCACATTTATTATTGCTATTCCAAATGGAAGCTCTGAGCATGCACCTTATTCAATCTACAAACTTCATTGATGGCTCACTGCCTATCCCAAATGTATTCTGTGCTTTCCCACCTCCCTGACTTTGTTCACACATTTTTTTTCTACTTAGTGTGTCTTTTTTGTATTGAAAATCATTTCCTCCATTTCCTGGATGAAACAGATCCTCCTCAAAATTCCTCTAGCTTGTTGTGCCATATCCTGCCTGAAATTATTTGTGTACTGTGTATAATTATTTATGTAATTATTTCCTTTCTAAGAGCATAAACTCCTTGAGAAATTACTCAACAGTGTTTTTTGAATGAACAAATGAGCTTGCCTTTAGAGCTGAGTCAGATGTTTACCAGAAAAAGGAAGACAGGTAATTAAATGGTGGATTTAAACGGAAAACTCCCTAGCTCCTTTGAGAATATTAGACGCAGGTAAGTAAAATGAAAACAGAAGACGATAACATCAAAAAATGATTTTTGGATGGTAAGATCAACTACATAATTAGCTGTCTTGTAAACAATCTAGTTTAGGTAAGAGTGAGTTGAAAAAGAATGAATAAATGCATAAATGGACTTGGAGAACTAGATAAAAATTGGACATGACATTCATTTTTATGGCAGTGAGGTCTTCAGACCATTCCAACTAAAAACAGGAAATAACTTCCCAGATTTATTATGATGTCCTTAAGATGGTTTTCTTTTTTATTTTTGAGACAATGTCTCATTCTGTCACCCAGGCTGGAGTGCAGTGGCACAATCTTAGCTCAAGACTGTGAGCCAAGATTGGCTCACTGCAACCTCCTAGGCCCGATGGATTCTCCTGCCTCAGCTTCCCAGTAGCTGGAACTACAGGCTCATGCCACCACACTGGGCTAAATTTTGTATTTTGGTAAAGACAGGGTTTTGTAATGTTGCCCAGGCGGTCTCAAACTCCTGAGCTCAAGTGATCCACCAGCCTCGGCCCCTCAAAGTGCTGGGATTAGAGGTATGAGCCACTGTGTCTGGCCTATCATATTATTTTCATGAACTATTCCAAATCTCAATCTTTCTCTAGAGGATGCTGTCTTATGATAGTGAAAGCTATGAATCTTTGATAGTCCCCCTTCATTTAGAAGTACTATACAACCTGAAATTGAAAAATATCCTTCAAAACTCAATGTTTTCTGGCCAGGCATGGTGGCTCATGCCTGTAATCCCAGCACTTTGGGTGGCCTAGGCTGGCAGATCACTTGAGGCCAGGAACTCTAGACCAGCCTGGCCAACATGGTGAAACCCTGTCTCTATTTTTAATATTTAAAAAAAAAAAAAACGCAATTTTTTTTTACTCTGTCTTTAGAAATCTTTGCAAACAAGCTATCTAGATTTTTCATGTCAGTGACTCATATCCACAGCTCCCCAAACCTAACATTCTTTCTGGAATGTCCTTTTTGAACCAGTAGGCGCTTTCTTCATCAGCAGGCCCTGATTCTTAGAATCAAAATGTACGAAGCTCAACCTGTAAATGTGTAATTCTTGTTAACCTTGATGTGCCATCAAGTTTCCTTAAGGCTTCCAATGATAAGCAAGATATCGCCAGTCTCAGAAGGAAAATAACAGGTGCTAAATAACTAAAACTAGCAGAGATACCATCTCTGAAAACATTCCTGCTTCAAAGAATACCGTGACAGGAAGCATACATTATAGATGACAGAATTTGTTTTTTTTTTCTTAAAGAAAGAGTTTTAAATGTTTTTGCAAAAATAACATCAGAGCAAAAATAGTACAATAAAAAGAAAGAGAATCCACCAACTTAGCTTTTTAACATAAGAAAAATATTTCTTAGTTTCTGTTCATCTATGTGCATGTGACATGATTTTTAATCTGTGTGACCTGGAGGTTCTCAGGCCTATTGTGCAATGGAGTGTCTGCCCATTCTCTAGAAATAGGGTAGGAAGAAGTCACTGGCCCCTGCTCTGGGGCCTGTATAAATGAGGTGTGGAAGCTTAGGAAGAGCCTAAAATAGTTAAGAGGAATGTGAGACATGAGGCCCAGAACTAACCTGAAGGTATGTATCACTTGGCTTGATGCATGATGTGGGAGCTCCAGAGATCCATCACTGACTCTAAAACAGAACAGGGTATATCCATGAGAATATCATTTCCATCCATTTAAAGGATAGCTGGAATCTTCATGTTGACAATTATATCAACTCAATCCTCCCTTGCCAAACTATCTAGGCCCTGTGTTATCTGGGTCCTGCGGGTAGACGGTAGTATAAGATAAACATTGAGGGAAATAAGAAATTATTTATAATAATATAAAACCCTAAAATTGTCTTGGAGATAGAGAGAAGGGCACCAATACTATACTGTGGGGTTTTAATCTCAAAAGACCCGTCAATACCAAAGTCAATCAGAAACTATACCTACTTATAAAACCCCAGCCTCTTCTCCAGTCCATCCTTAATCAGAGTTGGCAGAACTCTTAAGGAAGACAACTGTTGGAATCCTGGTCTCGTTGCTTCTGGCTGACCTGCCCTGCTTCTTCACATTGACTTGTAACAGGCAGGCCATTCACTCGCCAGCTGACCATGGGGTCTCCAGATTTTCAGCTGTGCCAAACTCTAACAGGTTATAATTCACAGTCTTTGAACTGGTCAAGGTCTCTAAAAGAAATAATAGGAACTACAGCCCCTGGCCATCAAGAACAATGAATGATAAGAAGCTGTTCACAATGACCTCTTACCAAGTAGTAATAATAGCTTACACTGATTGTTCCAGAAACAGTGCTGAGCCCTTTACAGAAAACATTTCATTCAACCTTCACAAGCACCCTTGAGGGAAAAGCTACTGCCTTTTTTTCTCCAGAAGGAGAAACTAAGACATATATGTTATATACATGATATAATTACCATGTATATATGGTAATTAGCTTACACAAAATTCCTGTATAGATAGAAGTGGCAGAGCTGGAATTTGAATACAGCAAGCAAAAGAACTTGTATATAAGGAAACAACTCCTTCCTGTTGGTGAGACTAATACAGGAGACACTCATGGTGAGCTTGGAGCTCACAGGCTATTAGGTCCTGGGCAAGGCCTCCTAAATGGTGCATCTCATCACATGTGCCCTGAGTTATGCTGTTTGCTCCTCACGCCAGCACGAAATGCTCTGGCGTAGAAAATTACCACAAACCTAATGAAGGTGAAATGGGAAAATTTCCCTTGTCCCCCTTGCAGGGCATGTGATGGGGGTGTGGCCCACTTCTTCAGTGTCCCCCTGCTCAAATCTTTAGGGGAGCATACAGCCTGCCAGGCTGTGGGTCTACAACCCCACGGCAGTGTATAGGGGTGAATATTTACAGCCGAAGCCCCAGTGGGTGTGTGTTACCATGTGCTCTTTTAGTTTAGCTGTCCATAGGCAGCTTGTGTTAGTCAGCTAAATGAGACCCCTGCCTTATGGCAAGAACAGAGGGCTTTCTGTATCCCAGCGTTCTTGCTTTGGTGTACCGGAAGAATTGGATCATGTGTGGGCTTGGAGAATTAGTGCAAGGTTTTATTGAGTAGAAGTAGCTCTCAGCAAATGGGAGAGCCAAAAGCGAGATGGTTTTCCCCTGGATTTGGGCCACTCGGCAGCCCCGGCTCTCCTCGGACTGCCCCAGCCAAACTCCTCCCCGTTCTGCCAGTCCATAGCCTGCCCACGTGCCGTCTGTCATGTGCTCTTCCACCAGCATGCTCCCCTCCACGTCCTCTCGCAGTCCAGCTGCTTGTGTCTTCTTCAAACAACGTGTTCCTCTCGACGTCCAGCGGCTTGTGTGCCTGCCTGCTATGGTCTTGTCCTGGGCCTCATCTTTCACATTCCTCTTGACTATTTTAGGGCTCTTCCTAAGCTTCCCACCTCATTTTTACAGGCCCCAGAGCAGGGGAGAGTGACTTCTTCCTACTCCATTTCTAGAGAATGGGCAGACACTCCATCACACAATAAGCCTGAGAACCTCCAGGTCACACAGATTATAGGCACAGGACGGGGGCATGGTGGGCCAGCGTGGTCTTGGGAAATGCAACATTTGGGCACGAAGGCAGGCGTGCCTGTCCTCACCAAGGTTTGTGACCACCGGCAGGTAGGCAGAGCCCTAGCCGGGGACCTGCCCTTCCCTTCCCAGCACTTCCCCACCCCCCTTCCATATCAAAGTGATCCGTCTGGGACAGAAAAGGGAACTAAGCCTCCAGGGGAAAGGTCCTTGTGGCAAGTTCGCAACCCGATTACAGTATGAGGAAATGATTTGGATGTCCCAATCAGCTGGGATTAGAGAAGAGCAGCCGCTGCTTCAGCAAAGCTGCTTCACAGGTACAGATGTCCCTATGTCTGTTCATATATTTTCCCAGGGCCCAAGAAAATCTAGTGTCTCCTTTGCAGGCAATAAATGTGTCCATTGCAAATGATGGTAAGACAGGGTGTTTGTCAGGAGGAAAGCACAGGGACAAGGAATATGCAGAGGAAATAAAGAAAGGAGAGGAGAAATAAGAGCGACAAGGGAGAGGAAACAAAAGAGAGACCACACAGGGCAGAGCCCTGTGTGTGAAGCTTTTCGTTTCTCAACATACCCGTTACCAGCCAAAGCCTGACTGCAGCGCCAGCACCAGGGAGGTGTTCAGATAGAATCACTCACATGCTGACCCTTCTCTGCTGCTCTGTCCCGGCCCATCAAGTTTCTCCTTCTTTCTCTCCTGCTCTTCCTTCCCCATTTTGCCACTCTCTTTCCCTTTTCCATCTCCCAATCATTTACTTTTTTCTTCTCTATTTTCTCACTCTGTAAATGCTCAACTCAGAAACAGGCAGTACTGAAAGAGCTGTTAGCCCTGGCTGTGGTGTGTGGCTCATTACTATGTTGTTGTACTAGGAAATGGACTGAGTGAAATAAAGCAAGTCCGAAGAATTCAGCCCCCTTATTCTCATTGAGGTCAGGTCCTAGGTCAGAATTTGAAAACATCCTAACACTTTCAATTGTATAACTCAGTCCTGAAGTCCTTGCCTACTCCACCCAGTTCTCTGTGACAGCCTTTGATCTTTATCACATGTAACATTTTGCAGTCCCACCGCTGCAGGGGAAAGATGTTTGCATGCAATGGGAACCTGTGATTCAGTGCTGTTACACTGATTTCTTCTGAGATCTTTGCTGGTGTTTGGGCACTTTCATGTTCTTGAAATTGTATATATTGATGTGATTAGTTTGGACTCAGTTTCAACATCATTAAGAAAATCTCTTTACTGCCGGAGGAAAGTATGTTTTGAGGGAGTATATTCAGAGGGAAAAGATGCAATGCCTTTATATATAAAGTTGCACAACATTAGGTGGTGAAAATTCACTTTCTAGCACTATTAGGAAGTCATTCATTCATTGGACACATACTTAAATATATCAGAAGTTATATATGCTATGAATAAAAATAAAACATGGTAAAGGGATAGAAAATGGAGGGGAGGCTAGTTTAGATAAGGTGGACAGGGATGGCCTTCCTGAAAAAGTAACATTTAAATAGAGCCCTGAAAACAGTAAGGTAGTGAGCCATGAAAACATCTGCGGAAGAGTGATGTTCCAGGTGGAAAGAACAGCAGATGTTATGGCCCTGAGATGGAAATGAGCTTGATGAGTTTGAAGAATAGCAAGAGGGCCAGTCAAGTTAAAATAGACTCAGGAAAAAAGCAGTACTTGTGACGTCACAAAGGTATGCAGAGCCTGATAAGCTATATTTCACAGTTGTGAATGTCTTGTAAATGTGATGAGAAATCGCTGGAGGATTTCAGCAGGAGAATGGCATGATCTGTTTTATGTTTTATAAAGATTACTCTGGCCTCTGATTAAATAATAGACATAAGAGTGCAGGGAGAGAAGCAGGAAAGCAGGGAGAGAAGCAGGAAGGCTGTTAGAGTAGCCAAAGTAAGAGAGGATAGGAACTGTCAGGGTTGGGATATATTTTATAAATAGAAACAAGAGGCTCACTCTGACTTTGTTTCCTTTAATTGGGTCAAGTCTTGTGGCATCTCCTCCACCAAGGTTGCTGTTCACCAGCAAGACCCCATCATTGCACTCATTCACTTGAAAACTAGACAGGTATATTTCTGCATTAGAAAAATATGATGATGCTTTGGGTGTGAGGGAAAGAGAAGATTCAAAGTCACCCCCAGGTTTTTAGCCTGAGCAATAGGTGAACGATGGAGCCATTTACTGAGATTGGAAAAGTTTGGGAGGAAGGTAGTAAATCCAGTGCTCAGTGTTGAACATATTGAGTTTGAGATGGCCTAAACATCCAAGTGGAGAGGCCAAGTAGGCAGTTGTAAAGCAATTCTGAAGCTCGTTGAGAGGTGCTATTTACTAACTGAAACACAAAATAAATTCAGCCCCTGGCGAGGGCACTGCACTCTACCTGGCAGAGCCCTGTTCTCTGTTTCAATTCTACAGGTCAGGGACGGTTAGATGAGATGCCGAGGGATCACCTGGTTTATGGAGTTCACAATCGTATCCTCTGATACTGCCTCTTGAGCAATTAAAATCTGACATTTAGGAAGGGCTCCTTGACAGGCATGGTGGCTTACATTTGTAATCCTAGCAGTTTTGGAGGCTGAGGCGGGTGGATGGCTTGAGACCAAGAGTTTGGAGACCAGCCAGGGTAATGTGGTGAAACCTCATCTCTACAAAAAATACCAAAAAAATTAGCCAGGCATGGTGATGAGCACCTGTAGTCCCAGCTACTTGGGAGGCTGAGGTGGGAGGATCATATGAGCCAAGGAGGTTGAGGCTGCCGTGAGCTGTGTTCATGCCACTGCACTCCAGACTGTGTAGCAGAGTAGGACCCTGTCTCAACAACAACAACAACAAGAAGGGCCTGAACTAGTGAGGCTATGTGCTTCTTAAATATTGTCCCTAACCTAGGCAGAAACTCTGGACAACAGAGGCAGCTGAACACAAGGAACGCATGTTCCATAATATCTGCAGATCAGTTTCAGGCATCTTAACCTTTTTCAGAGGATGTGGCGAGTCACAGAGTTAAAGATAGGGAGTGTTGATTTTGAATGAGGAAAGGCCTACCTTAAAAGAGCATGCTATTCAAATGCTGATGGATGGAAGCCTGGAACTTATGCGGTAGGGTCACATCACCTGACATGATGATCTGGATTCTTGACAGGGCACTGAGATCCAAGAGTTGCATCATACTCAGAAAAATTGAGGATATATGCCTTAGGATACTTTAGAACATATAACTGGATAAGTGAATAAATGAAGCATAGCATGACATTTCAATAATCAATACAGGCTTTGCTCACAATATTTTTTCATGAGATGTTTTGCCAGAATTACCAAATTAGCCAAAACTCCTTTAACATTATAATGCTCACATAGCTGATCTTGCAAGGACTCCTTTGTGAAGAGAGTACCACCTATCCTTTCTAGAGATAACACCTTTTGAGAAGGAACATAGAGACCTGGGTACACAGCATCTGTACCAAGAGAAAGTCTGATTGAAGAAGGTGTCAGTAGATTTCTCATGGTATTTCTCCAGACATTGAAAGCTTATAAGGCTCACTCTGACTCTGACTTTGCCTCCTTTAACCGGGTCAAGTCTGTTTGGCATCTCCTCCACCAAGGTTGCTGTTTACCAGCAAGACCCTGTCATTGCGCTCATTCACTTGAAAACTAGACAGGTATATCTCTGCAATTAGAAAAATATGTAAACGTCTTGCTTATCTTATCAAACAAGGTCTCTTTAAATCAGTTGCATGTACTACCATGAACTGTGTCATTTGTGTCCTTGGCATTATTAACAAGAAGCATAGGCTTTCGATCAGTGAGATTAGAGTTTTGAATTCAGCCTGCCACTTATTGCTCTGGTGGGTAAACTTGGGTTACTGTAAAATTAGAATGATAACAGTACCAACCTCATAATGTTGTTATGAGAATTAATTGAGTTAATACCTTCAGAAAGATTAGTAGAGTATCCAGAATATAGTAAACACAATAAATGTTAGCTATTATTATGACAATGATGAACATTATTCATTTAAAGCCCATTGGAAAAGAGACTGTTGGAACTATAGACCCAATACAAATAAGATACTTAAGCAGACCCTTCATCAAGTTTCTGCAGTCAGTTAACACTATACTATTTGTAATTTTAGAGAATGAAGTTTAGTATAAATCTTGGCCCAGTTCAAGGTTGTCAGTGACTTTTTTTTACTGAGGTGAAATTCACATAACATAATATTAACTTTTTTTTCGAGACAGGGTCTTGCTCTGTCACCCAGGCTGGAGTGCGGTGGCGCAATCATGGTTCACTGCAGCCTCAACCTCCCAGGCTCAAGTGATCCTCCTGCCTCAGCCTCCCAAATAGCTGGGACTACAGGTATTCATCACTGTGCATGCTAATAGAATTAACCATTTTGAAGTGTACAATTCAGTAGCATTTAGCACATTCACAATGTTTTGCAACCATCATCACTATCCAGTTCCTGACCAATTTCATCACCCCTGAGGAAGACCCCCTATCCTTTCAGCAGTCACTCTCCATTCCTGTCTCTCCCAAGCCCCTGGCAACCACCAAACTGCTTTCTGTCTCCATGGATTTACCTATTCTGGATATTTCATGTAAATGGAGTAATACCATATGCAATGTTTCGTTTCTGGCTTCTTTCATGTAGAATGATTTATTATCAAAGATGAAGCTGCAGACTCCCAAAAGAATCTCCATCCCTTCATCTCTGATAGGCTTGGAATTTTCCAGTGCTTCTAATGGAGACTCTGATCTCCAGGATCTCAGATTCTGTCCTCTGTTAATAAAGTACTTGAATCAACAGTGGATGGATTCTTGGGAAAGCTTCAGGCAGTTCTAAATTATTTGAATATATCAAGTATCTGAGACAAATGATGACCTTTAGATCTATAGATCTTGGCAATCATGCAGTTCAACCCTCTCATTTTATAGAGAAGGACTTTGAGGCATAATATTGTTTTCTTTGGCTACTGTAAGACACATACAACCATTGATGCACTTATTTTTAAAAGTTCCTCTTATGAGGTTGTATAATGTTCTAGTGCCTAATGAAAGACACAGTCCCCAACTTCAAGCTGCCTATAGTCCACTGGAGGAAAAAGACAAATGATCAGATATTAAAATGCAATATGGGGAGGTCACTTCCAAGATGGCTGAATAGGAACAGCTCCGATCTACAGCTCCCAGTGAAATCAATGCAGAAGATGGGTGATTTCTGCATTTCCAACTGAGGTACCTGGTTCATCTCATTGGAACTGGCTGGACGGTGGGTGCAGCCCACGGAGGGTGAGCCAAAGCAGGGCGGGACATCACCTCACCCAGGAAGTGCAAGGGGTCGGGGGATTTCCCTTTCCTAGCCAAGGGAAGCCATAAGTGACTGTACCTGGAGAGGCAGTACACTCCTTCCCAAATACTGCACTTTTCCCATGGTCTTCACAACCACCAGACCAGGAGATCCCCTCCTGTGCCTGGCATGGCAGGTCCCATGCCCATGGAGCCTTACTCACTGCTAGCGCAGCAGTCTGAGATCAACCTGGGATATGGGAACTTGGTGGTGGGAGGGGTGTCTACCATTGTTGAGGCTTGAGTAGGTGGCTCTATGCTCACAGTGTAAACAAAGTGGCAGGGAAGCTCAAACTGGGCAGAGCTCACTGCAGATCAGCAAGGCCTACTGCCTCTCTAGATTCCATCTCTGGGAGCAGGGCATATCTGAACAAAAGGCAGCAGACAGCTTCTCCACTTAAACATCCCTGCCTGACAGCTCTGAGGAGAGCAGTCTCCCAGCATGATGTTTGAGCTCCGATAATGGACAGATTGCCTCCTCAAGTGGGTCCCTTACCCCCATGTAGCCTGACAGGGAGACACCTCCCAGTAGGGGTGAACAGACACCTCATACAGGCAGGTGCCCCTCTGGGACAAAGCTTCCAGAGGAAGGGTCAGGCAGCAATATTTGCTGTTCTGCAGCCTCTGCTGGTGATACCCAGGCAAACAGGGTCTGGAGTGGACCTCCAGCAAACTCCAGCAGACCTGCAGCTGTGAGGCCTGTCTGTTAGAAGGAAAACTAACAAACAGAAAGGAATAGCATCAACATCAACAATAAGCACATCCACACCAAAACCCCATTTGTAGGTCACCACCATCAAAGACCAAAGGTAGATAAAATGACAAAGATGGGGAGAAACCAGAGCAGAAAGGCTGAAAATTCCAAAAACCAGAATGTCTCTTCTCCTTCAAAAGAACACAATTCTTTGCCAGCAAGGGAACAAAACTGGATGGAAAATGAGTTTGATAAGTTGACAGAAGTAGGCTTCAGAAGGTCGGAAATAACAAACCTCTGAGCTAAAGGAGCATGTTCTAACCTACTGCAAGGAAGCTAAAAACATTGAAAAAAGGTTAGAGGAATGGCTACCTAGAATAACCAGTGTAGAGAAGAGCTTAAATGACCTGATGGAGCTGAAAGCCACAGTACAAGAACTTTGTGAAGCACATATAAGCTTCAATAGCCGATTCAATCAAGTGGAAGAAAGGATATCAGGGATTGAAGATCAAATTAATGAAATAAAGTGAGAAGACAAGATTAGAGAAAAAAGAGTGAGAACAAACAATCAAAACCACCAAGAAATATGGGACTATGTGAAAACACTTAATCTACATTTGACTGGTGTACCTGAAAGTGATGGGGAGAGTGGAACCAAGTTGGAACACACTCCTCAGGCTATTGTCCAGAACTTCCCCAATGTAGCATGACAGGCTGACATTCAAATTCAGAAAATATAGAGAACACCACAAAGATACTCCTTGAGAAGAGCAACCCCAACACACATAATCTTCAGAGTCACCAAGGTTGAAATGAAGGAAAAAATGTTAAAGGCACCTAGAGAGAAAGGTCGGGTTACCCACAAAGGGAAGCCCATCAAACTAACAGTGGATCTCTCTGCAGACTAACAGTGGATCTCTCTACAAGCAAGAAGAGAGTGGGGGCCAATATTCAACATCCTTAAAGAAAAGAATTTTCAACCCAGAATTTCATATCCAGCCAAACTAAGCTTCATAAGCGAAGGAGAAATAAAATCCTTTACAGACAAGCAAATGCTGAGAGATTTTGTCTCCACCAGGCCTGCCTTATAAGAGCTCCTGAAGGAAGCACTAAACATGGATAGGAAGAACTGGTACCAGCCACTGTAAAAACATGCCAAATTGTAAAGACCATCGACGCTATGAAGAAACTGCATTAATCAATGGGTGAAATAACCAGCTAGCATCATAATGACAGGATCAAATTCACACATAACAATATTAACCCAAAATGTAAACGGGCTAAATGCCCCAATTAAAAGACACAGACTGTCAAAATGGATAAAGAGTCAAGACCCGTCAGTGTCCTGTATTCAGGAGACCCATCTCATGTGCAAAGACACACATAGGCTCAAACTAAAGGGATGGAGGAAGATCTACCAAGGAAATGGAAAACAAAAAAAAGCAGGGGTTGCAATCCTGGTCTCTGATAAAACAGACTTTAAACCAAGAAAGATCAAAAGAGACAAAGAAGGCCATTTCATAATGGTAAAGGAATCAATGCAACAAGAGCTAACTATCCTAAATATATATGCACCCAATAAGGAGCACCCTGATTCATAAAGCAAGTTCTTAGAGATCTACAAAAAGACTTAGACTCCCACAAAATAATAATGGGGGACTTTAATACCCCACTGTCAATATTAGACAGATCAACAAGACAGAAAATTAACAAGGATATTCAGGACTTGAACTCAGCTCTGGACCAAGTGGACCTAATAGACATCTACAGAACTCTCCACCCGAAATCAACAGAATATACATTCTTCTCAGTACCACATTGCACTCATTCAGAAATTGACCACATAATTGGAAGTAAAGCCACTCCTCAGCAAATGTAAAAGAACAGAAATCACAACAAACTGTCTCTCAGACCACAGTGCAATCAAACTAGAACTCAGGATTAAGAAACTCACTCAAAACCGCAGAACTACATGGAAACTGAACAACCTGCTCCTGAATGACTACTGGGTAAATAACGAAATGAAGGCACAAATAAAGACGTTCTTTGAAACCAATGAGAACAAATACACGACGTACCAGAATCTCTGGGACACATTTAAAGTAGTGTGTAGAGGGAAATTTATAGCACTAAATGCCCATAAGAGAAAGCAGGAGAGATCTAAAATCAACACCCTAACATCACAATTAAAAGAACTAGAGCAGCAAGAGCAAACACATTCAAAAGCTAGCAGAAGGCAAGAAATAACTAAGATCAGAGCAGAGCTGAAGGAGATAGAGACACAAAAAACCTTTCAAAAAATCAATGAATCCAGGAGCTGGTTTTTTGAAAAGATCAACAAAATAGATAGACCGCTAGCAAGACTAATAAAGAAGAAAAGAGAGAAGAATTAGATGCAATAAAAAATGATAAAGGGGATATCACCACCGATCCCACAGAAATACAAACTACCATCAGAGAATACTAGAAACACTTCTATGCAAATAAACTAGAAAATCTAGAAGAAATGGAAAAATTCCTGGACACATACACCCTCCCAAGACTAAATCAGGATGAAGTTGAATCTCTGAATAGACCAATAACGGGTTTTGAAATTGAGGGAATAATTAAAGCCTACCAACAAAAAAGGTCCAGGACCAGATGGATTCACAGCTGAATTCTACCAGAGGTACAAAGAGGAGCTGGTACCATTCCTTCTGAAACTATTCCAATCAATAGAAAAAGAGGGAATCCTCCCTAACTCATTTTACGAGGCCAGCATCATTCTGATACCAAAACCTGGCAGAGGCACAACAACAACAAAAAGAAAATTTCAGGCCAATATCCCTGATGAACATTGATGCGAAAATCCTCAATAAAACACTGGTAAGCTGAATCCAGCAGTACATCAAAAAGCTTATCCACCAAGATCAAGTTGGCTTCATCCCTGGGATGCAAGGCTAGTTCAACATATGCAAATCAATAAACGTAATCCATCATATAAACAGAACAAACAACAAAAACCACACGATTATCTCAATAGATGCAGAAGAGGCATTCAACAAAATTCAGCATAAAAACTCTCAATAAACTAGGTATCGATGGAACATATCTCAACATAATAAGAGTTATTTATGACAAACCCACAGCCAATATCATACTGAATGGGCAAAAGCTGGAAGCATTCCCTTTAAAAACCGGCACAAGACAGGGATGCCCTCTCTCACCGCTCTTATTCAACATAGTATTGGAAGTTGTAGCCAGAGCAATCAGGAAAGAGAAAGAAATAAAGGATATTCAAATAGGAAAAGAGGAAGTCAAATTGTCTCTGTTTGCAGATGACATGATTGTATATTTAGAAAACCCCATCGTCTCAGTCCCAAATCTCCTTAAGCTGATAAGCAACTTCAACAAAGTCGCAGGATACAAAATCAATGTGCAAAAATCACAAGCATTCCTATACACCAATAATAGACAAACAGAGAGCCAAATGATGAGTGAACTCCCATTCACAATTGCTACAAAGAGAATAAAATACCTAGGAATAAAAGTTACCAAAGATGTGAAGGACCTCTTCAAGGAGAACTACAAACCACTGCTCAAGGAAATAAGAGAGGACACAAACAAATGGAAAAACATTCCATGCTCATAGACAGGAAGAATCAGTATCATGAAAATGGCCTTACTACCCAAAGTAATTTATAAATTCAAAGCTATCCCTATCAAGCTACCACTGACTTTCTTCAGAGAATTGGAAAAAACTACTTTACACTTCATACGGAACCAAAAAAGAGCCCCCATAGCCAAGACGATTCTGGGCAAGAAGAACAAGGCTGGAGGCATCACGCTACCTGACTTCGAACTTCACTACAAGGCTACAGTAACCAAAACAGCATGGTACTGGTACCAAAACAGATATATAGTCCAATGGAACAGAACGGATGCCTCATAAATAATGCCACACACCTACAACCATCTGATCTTTGACAAACCTGTCACACACAAGCAATGGGGAGAAGATTCCCTATTTAATAAATGGTGTTGCTATTTAATAAATGGCAAGAGAAAGAAATAAAGAGTATTCAAATAGGAAGAGAGGAAGTCAAATTGTCTCTGCAGAGACAGATTGTCTCTGTTTGCAGGCTAGCCATATGCAGAAAACTGAAACTGAACCCCTTCCTTACACCTTACACAAAAATCAACTCAAGATGGATCAAAGACTTAAACGTAAGACCTAGGACCATAAAAATCCTAGAAGGCCGGGCATGGTGGCTCACACCTGTAATCCCAGCACTTTGGGAGGCCAAGGTGGGCAGATTACGAGGTCAAGAGATTGAGACCATCCTGGCTAACATGGTGAAACCCCGTCTCTACTAAAAATACAAAAAAATTAGCTGGGCGTGGTGGTGGGTGCCTGTAGTCCAGCTACTTGGGAGACTGAGGCAGGAGAATGGTGTGAACCCGGGAGGCGGAGCTTGCAGTGAGCAGAGATCGCGCCACTGCACTCCAGCCTGGGTGACAGAGCAAGACTCTGTCTTAAAAAAAAAAAAAAAATCCAAGAAGAAAACCTGGGCAATATCATTCAGGACATAGACATGGGCAAAGACTACATGTGTAAAACAGCAAAAGCAATGGCAACAAAAGCCAAAATAGACAAATGGGTTCTAATTAAACTAAAGAACTGCACAGCGAAAGAAACTATCATCAGAGTGAACAGGCAACCTACAGAATGGGAGAAAATTTTTGCAATCTATTCATCTGACAAAGGGCTAATATCCAGAATCTACAAGGAACTTAAACAAATGTACAAGAAAAAAGCAAACAACCCCATCAAAAAAATTGGCAAAGGATATGAACAGACACTTCTCAAAAGAAAACATTTATGTAGCCAATAGACATAAGAAAAAATGCTCATCATCACTGGTCATTAGAGAAATGCAAATCAAAACCACAATGAGATACCATCTCATGCCAGTTCGAATGGTGATCATTAAAAAGTCAGGAAACAACAGATGCTGGAAAGGTTGTCGAAAAATAGGAACGCTTTTACACTGTTTGTGGGAGTGTAAATTAGTTCAACCATTGTGGAAGACAGTGTGGCAGTTTCTCAAGGATTTAGAACTAGAAATACCATTTGACCCAGCAATCCCATTACTGGGCATATACCCAAAGGATTATAAATCATTCTACGATAAAGACACATGCATACGTATGTTTATTGCAACACTATTCACAATAGCAAAGACTTGGAACCAACCCAAATGTCCATCAATGATAGACTGAATTAAGAAAATGTGGCACATACACACTGTGGAATACTATGCAGCCATAAAAAAGGATGAGTTCATGTCCTTTGCAGGGACATGAATGGAGCTGGAAACCATCATTCTCAGCAAACTATCACAAGATCAGAAAACCAAACACTGCATGTTCTCACTCATAAGTGGGTGTTGAACAATCAGAACACATGGACACAGGGAGGGGAACATCACACATCGGGGCCTGTGGGAGGTGAGGGGGTAGGGGAGGGATAACATTAGGAGAAATACCTAATGTAGGTGATGGGTTGATGGGTGCAGCAAACCACCATGGCATGTGTATACCTATGCAACAAAACTGCACGTTTTGCACATGTAACCGAGAACTATTAAGTATTAATATAATACTTAATTAATATAATTAAGTATTAATATAATAATTAATACTTAAGTATTAATATAATACTTAATTATATTATTAAATATAATAATAATTTTAAAAATGTGATATAATAGGTGCTGTGACTGAATGACGCCAGGGTGCCATGAGAGCACATGTGAAGCTATCCAGCCCCATGGGATGCACTGTAGGGACAGTCTTCATACAGATGGTCCCAACACATGATGGCTCGACTTAAGACTTTTCGATTTTATGATAGCACAAAAGCAATAGGGATTCAGCAGAAATCATCCTTTGAATTTTGAATTTTGACCTTTTCCTTGGCTAGTGATAATCAGTATTATACTCTTACATGGGATATTCAACACTTTATTATAAAATAGGCTTTGTGTTAGATGTTTATGCTCAACTGTAGACTAATGTAAGTGTTCTGAGCACATTTAAGGCAGGCTGGGCTAAACTATGATGTTCAGGAGGTTAGGTATATTAAATGCATTTTTTACTTAGAATATTCTGTACTCATGATGGATAGATTAGGATGTAACCCTACTCCAAGTGAAAGAGCATCTGCACTCTATCTGCCTTCCACAAAATAACAAGTTATTGCATTGCTAGTGGAAAAGCAAATTTTATGCATCACAAAGCAATGTTTTTTAGAATGTGAAACAGTTGTTGGCTTCAGAGACTGTGCTAATTTATTATCAGAAAAAGAGAGCACTGTTACCTTAGGTGTTTCTCCTTACATTACTTTTTTCTGTTTGGACACCAATGCCATGTGGCATTAAGGTACAGATTGTTCCTAAAGATAATGTTTCCTGTTGAATGGAACTACACAGTTACTGACCAGGAAATCCTTGCTGGTATTGTGGGAGTTATTCTTTCTGACTAAACTCTAAGAGCTTAAACTCACCACAGGCTCTGGGAGGATTCTATTCTAAGAGTAAACATGGTCTCTTAATTACATTCTGTCTCAACTCTTTGCCACAACCATGACTCTACCCCCATTGTTTGCAACATACAAGTGTTGTCACACTTGACCTTGTCATCTATGCTCAATATCAGTCCCTAGCTGGATATCAGCTGATAGTATTGCAAGTCCTCCAGCATTATGGGCACACCCATTTTCATAATAGCAAGTAAAAATGGCTCTGAGCACCATCTCTCATCTCTCTTCTTCCTCAGGGACTCTTGGGGCTTTCATTTCTCCTAGTCACTTCTTCTGACATCCTGCTTTTGCTGAATTATTGATTCTTGCTCTTGGTCTCACCTTCTGTATGTGTTTCTCCTTTTCTGTACCACATCACCACATGTTGGACACTTCTGATCTCCACTTCGCAAAATACTATTGACTAAGCAGTATCAGAATACTTGGAGATAATTGAATGGTTTCTATTGCAGAAAAGGAAAGCAAATAATTTAAAATTGAATATTTCAGTGTGCTCCAAAATCCTTTTGTCCACTTACCTCTAATCATTTTTCTTCCCCATTTCTATTTTTTTCTCCCCTAATTTTCCCCAGAACTCAAATGTCCTCCCACTTTATTATTATGCAGAGCTCAGTACCTTCTGCTTCTACCTCAAAGTCTGCTACTGGCCAACTTTTGTACTCACCAAAATGGCCTCGTAAATAAATAGCCATTTGCTTTGGAACACTACACTTGAACAGCACAAAGCACCTGTAGAGACTTTACAACTTGTCCTTGCTTTAGCAAGATTAAATGATCAGGCAGTGGTTCTTATAGTCCCCCAACCAACAGCCTTGGCATCCCCTGGGAACTCGGTAGAATTTCAAGGTCTCAGGTTCCACCATAGACCTACTGATTGCGAAGCCATCCACAAGCCCTCCAGGTGATCCTGGTGCATGCTAAAACTTGAGAACCCCTGACTTAGGCAAACTTTGAGTTTATATATTTGTAACATGCACATGTATAGAGATCTACTTCAATTTTAATGGTTGTATGAATTTAAAGATTCCATACTCATGGACATTTAGGTTGCTTCCATTTTTCTTTTTTTGAGATGGAGTCTCTCTCTGTCACCCAGGTGGGAGTGCAGTGGTGTGTTCTTGGCTCACTGCAACCTCTGCCTCCCAGGTTGAAGTGATTCTCCCACCTCAGCCTCCCAAGTAGCTGGGACTACAGGATCCTGCCACCACACCTGGCTAATTTTAACCAGGCTGGTCTCAAACTCCTGATCTCAAGTGATCCGTCCATCTCGGCCTCCCAAAGCGTTGAAATTACAGCCAACGTCCAATTTTAATACATGAACAAACACTAGAAGGGTATGTGGAAAAATAAAAACAATTATGAAAAGATCTAGCTATTTTTTAGATAAATTTTTTTCTTAAAAAATTCCTCCAATGTTACAATATTGTTTTAACAACAAATAAAAATTGGAAGAGAGAACAATGTTAGGTTAACTAAAGAAGTGAGGGAAGGATGGATTCTCCATAAAGGGTAAAGGGAGCCCACTGCAGTAGGCTGGAATAGCCATGAGGCCAGAGACCATGTCCAGTGTGCTTACTTCTATATGCCCAGTGTCTTCAATGGTGCCTGACACAGAATAGGTACTTAGAAAATATTAAATGAATAAATGGATGAATCAAATGCTGCTGAGGCTTCAGCTCCTATGTCTGGATTTGCCACAGTTCATGCTCTAGGACTTGAGCTTTTTGACTACCCAGGGCTATAACTGTGGCTCTACTTTGTGCCCACGTCTCAATTGGGAAGACACTCATGATAGTAGTGCGGTAAGGAGCTGGGTATGCATTTCAGCACAAACCTTTATTAGTTTCTTTCTCCCAAAAGACCCTACCTATGACCTATCAGTAGGCAGGGTCAATAATCTGGTTCTATAACAACTGAATAATGGAAGATATTAAGGAATTAATTTTTATTTAGTTTGAATAATGGCATAGTAATTATATGTCTATTTTAAAAGAGTCTAGGATTTGCTTCAAAATCATCTGGATTGGGGAGTTGAAGAGTTGGCGTAGAGATGAAATAAGATAGGCCATCAGTTGATAATTGCTGAGGCTGGGAAAATGAAAACATTTTCAAGTACATGGGGGCTTATAATGAATATATTGAATATACACATATATTTATTTATAAGGAATAGAATAATGATTGTATTATTATTAAAAAAAAAACTTCAGGTCAGCAGCAGGTGCTCTCCCAATGAGCACAGCACAGCTGTCACACCTGCCACCAACTCCTGGGTACATGTCTCTTGTTCCTTTTGGTTACAGTAGAAGAACACTCTGGATCCCAATCTTTCTTACATTTTGATGCACTTAGTGACATCAGTTATCTCTTTCTCTCCTGTATCAATGTCTACCTCTCCTCTGGAGTTTTATACTCAGACTTTAAATATAACTCAATTATCTTCCATATTAAAAATCAAATAAACATCCCGTCCCCTCAGCTCAGACACTTCCTCCAGCAATTGCTTGATTTTTCTTTTATCCAGAACAGCCAAACTTACCAAAAGAGTTACCTATTTTTCTCTCTACATTTCTTTGCTTCTGCCTCAATCTACTGGAGTCTGGCTCTGTCCTCACCATTCAACCTTAATGGCTGTTGTCATAAAATTTCATGTGCATATTTCAGGTGTAAAATAGCAGCTCTAGCCCAAATACTTCTCCTTAAAGAGACTCTAGTATTCAAAACTCACTGACTTCTCTATTTGGATATTCTGTGGTTCTATTCAGACTCAGCACTGTATGTCCAAACAGAGCTCTTTGTCTTCCTCCCAACCTGTGGTCCTTTCAGTGAATCACCAATTGCCCAAATAACAAACACCCTGGCAACATTTTGCTTTGTTTTATTCTAAATAGCTTTACTGAGGTATAAATTATAGACCACAATAAACTGCACATATTTACTGATTTGCTTTTCTGTCAGTATAGATTAATTTACAGTTTTCAGAATTTCATATAAATGGAGTCATGTAGCATGTACTTTTTTGTCTGGTTTCTTTCACTCAGCATAATTATTTTGAGATTCATCCATGTTGATGTGTGTATTAATAATTCATTCCTTTTTATTAGCATGTAGCATACCATTATATGGATATACCACAATTTGTTTATTCATTTGCCTGTTGATGGCCATTTGAGTCATTTCTAGGTTTTGGCTATTGCAAATAAAACTACTATTTCATGTACAAGCCTTGGTATGTACATATGATTTCATTTTTCTTGGTTAAATTTGCAGGAGCCGAATGTCTAGGTCACATGGTAGGTATGATTTTGTGTTAACTTTTAAAGAAACTTCTCGGTGTTACTCTTGACTTTTTGTGGCAGTCCTAGTTGGCTGCCTTCCCAACAACCATCTCATATTCCATCCCCTACTTTGCACTGTCTCTTCCACTGCAGAAGCGGAAAAGGTGACATTTGCTTTCCCAGAACCCTTTGCATCTGTGGCCAGGGCATGTGGCTCCACCTGGCTGCGGAGACTTGAAGACAACTCCCCTGGGAGTGAGGGGTGGGGAGGGAGGTTCTGGGAAGCCACGAGAGGATGTAGCAGAAGGACTCCCTAGCACTCCTCTAACGGCGCCCTTCCCTGTAAAGGGTGGTGTCTTGGAACCAAGGGGACATTCCCACGCGGAGCTTGTGGCCCCCATCCACACCACTCTCCTTGTACCCAGGACGCAGAACTCCTTAGGCTCATCGCCCCGACCCCTGCCAGGGGCTCAGAGGGACTCTTCCAGTCCTTTCCCCGACCGACTGACTGCAGGCCCCGCCGCTAGCGTGTTTATCCCTGGACACAGACGGTGGCCAATTGCAGGAGGAGATGCGCTAGGGTGGCCATACGCATGCGTGTAAGGTCCCTAATGGCGCAGGTTGCTGCACCGTGTGGAGAAAGTTTTGGGAGAGCTCTGCTTATACACTTAGGAGCAGAAAGTCTGCTTCTGACACCAGAAAGTGAAACAGATATTCTGAGGCTACGAGGGGCACAGCACTGCCAGCATGCTGAGAATTGTCCTTAGAAACACCTTGGAATCCCCCAAACCTTCCCTTCCAACAGCTTTGCCTCTGGTTTATATCAATTTTGTTTTGTTTTTAGAGTCTGAGTCTCCCTCTGTCACCCAGGCTGCAGTGCAGTGACACGATCATAGCTCACTGCAGCCTCAAACTCCTGAGATCAAGCGATCCTCCCACCTCAGCCTCCCGTGTAGCTTAAACCACAGGCCCTCTCCCCCATGCCAGGCTAATTTTCTTTTCAAATTTTTCTGTAGAGACAGGGTCTTGCTCGGTTGTCCAGGCTGGTCTTGAGCTTCTGTTCCTTGCACTGCAAAGCGTCCTGACTAATGCTCCCTCCCTCCCTTCCTCCCTTCCTCCCTTCCTCCCTTCCTCTCTTCCTCCCTTTCCCTTTCTCTCTCTCTCTTCCTTTCTCTTTTTCTTTCTTTCTTTCTTTCTTTCTTTCTTTCTTTCTTTCTTTCTTTCTTTCTTTCTTTCTCTTTCTCTTTCTTTCTCTCGCTTTCTTTCTTTCTTTCTTTCTTTCTTTCTTTCTTTCTTTCTTTCTTTCTTTCTTTCTTTCTTTCTTTCTTTCTTTCTTTTCTTCTCACTTCTTTTAGCCCATCACCAAGTCCTTTCATTCCTATCTTCTTAATAGTCTTCAAATCTGTCCACTGTTCACTGTTCTCAACCCCTCTGCCGTTGTCTCAGGGCAGACCACTGTTATCTTCACCTGAATTACTGCCGATTCTGAAGGTTACTCTCACAGCGCAGACCTAGAGTCACTGGGTTCAAATGCCAACTTGCTCCTTATGAGCTTAGTGAATTCTCTGTGCCTAAGTTAAAAGTGCTTTTCTGCCAAGATTATTGTGAAGACAAAATGCAATAAAATAAGTGGGGCATTTAGCACAGTTCTGGTTTTTAAAAATGTTTTTTTTTTTCTTTTTTCTAACTTCCATATAATCATGTGCATTGATTTTTTTGTTTGGAAAATATTTACTTCTACTTACAAAAATAATAATAATAATAAGTGTAAAACAGCCTTAGGCAGGTCCTCCAGGAGATATTCTGTAAGGCATTGCTATCATAGGAGATGACAGCTTCATGCGTCATCTGCCCTTGAAGACCATCCAGTGGGACAAGATGTGGAAGTGGAAGATGGTGATGTTGATAATTCTGACCCTGTGTAGGCCTAGGCTAACATGTATGTTTGTGTCTTTGTTTGTAATGAAAAAGCTTAAAAAGTTAAAAAAATTAAAAAATGTAAAAGTAGAAAAAAGCCTATAAAGATATAAAGAAAGAAAATATTTTTGTACAGCCATACAATGTTTGTGTTTTAAGATAAGTGTTATTACACAAGAGTCAAAAAGTTGAAAAAAGTTTAGTTTTTATATAAAATAAGAAAATTTACATTGAGCTGAGGTTAATTTATTACTGAAGAAAGAAAAAATTTTGCGTAAATTTAATGTAGCCTAACTGTACGGTAGTTTATAAAATCTATAGTTGTGTACAATAATTTCCTAGGCCTTCTCATTTACTTACCGCTCACTTACTGACTCACCCTCCTAGATCCAATCATAATAAGTGTCCTATACAGGTGTATCATTTTTTATCTTTTATACCATATTTTTACTGTACTTCCCTATGTTTAGACACACAAATACTTATCATCGTGTTACAATTGCCTAGGGTATTCAGAACAGTAACATGTTGTATAGGTTTGTAGCCGAAGAGCAATAGGCTATACCGTATAGCCCTGGAGTGTAGTAGGCTATACCATCTAGGTTTGTGTAAGTACACACCACGCTGTTTGCACAGTAAAAAAATTACCTAATAATGCATTTTTCAGAACATATCCCTACTATTAAGTGGTCCATGACCGTATACATATTTTGTATATCTAATATATGTATAAACGTTAGGAACCTAAGCACAACCCACTGAAATGAGTCAATTTGACACTCATTTGCTTCCTATGTGCTAGGGTGGTAGGAATGTGGCTGTGGAGAAATCATCCCTGCCTTTGTAGAGGCAGACATTAAACAAATAATTATACAATACTACTAATTATTATTATTATTTATATACCACTGATGAAGTGCTATGGAGCTCAGGATCTTCCATAAGAAAGTAAAATTTAAGGTGATGCCTGAAGGCCAAGGAGGAGTTAACTCAATAAAAAGGCTCTTTAAAGAGCCTAGTGCCCAGAGGGAACAGTGTTCCAGGACCCTAAGGCAGAAAGGAGAGGAGGTGCAGGCAGACCAGGCTAGTTGGAATACAGTGAGTAAAGGTGATAAGATTCAGAGGGGAGAGAGTGAGCAGAGGGACAACCATACAGGGTTTGAAGCCACAATTATGGTTGGAGGCTGCGTCCTAAGAAGAGTGGGAAACTATTGAAAGATATTAAGTAGGCAACTGATGTGGTCAGGTTTGAATTGAAAAAAAAAGAAAAAAAAAACAAAAAACTCTCTCTGGCTGTCACGTAAGTGAATGGATCAGAAGGGACAATCTGAAAGTGGCTTGACCAGGGAGGAGAGTATTGCTATATTCCAGGTAAGGTAAATAGAAAATGCAAAATATTTAGCTCTTTGTAGACATACTCCATGTGGCTATGGGCAATGCAGAAGTGGCAAAAGAAAGAGGAAAAGCATGTGGAAATGGCAGGAAATATGAGCAGAGAGTTTATGGCATGATAAAGCTGAATAAATTGATATAGATTTTGATACTAATGTTTTTTAATAATACCACTTTTGTAACAATGATAATAATAAAACAATAACCATAGTAGCTTAATATTTATTGAGTACTTACCATGTGCTAGATAACTGTTCTATGCTCTTTATATAAATTAATTCATTTCATCCTTGTTCCAGTCATTTATTGCTTCTTAACAAACCACCTTACAATTTAGTGCTTAAAACAACCACAATATATATTTTGCTCCCAAATCTGCAGCTTGGGCAAAGCTTACGGGTTGAGGGGAGTTCATTTCTACTCCACTTGGTGTCAAAGTGTGAGAAAGTCTGACTTCCAGCTTAAAGTCTGAGAGCTGGAATCTCTGAATCTTGCTCACACACATGTCTGTGATTGATGCCAGCTGTGTGCATTCTTCTACTATTACACTCAACACACTATATTGCAATGTTTTTGTTTAAATATCTGGTTCTCTGCTAGACCTTAAGCTCCTCCAAAACATGAAATAAGTCTTATTTATCTTTGTATCACCACTGTTTGGGGCACCATCCACACAGTGGGTGCTACACAAATGTTTATAGAGTAATGAACAAATGAATAGTTCTGATCTTCACTAATAGAATATTTTCCTTCCCCAAATGCTTACGGGAAATTCTCCATCTTCTATTTGAACACTCATAGTGACTGGATTTTTAGAACTTTGCAAAGCTACTATTTCATTAGGAAGTTTTCCTTGATCTTCAGCCAAAATCTGCTTTTGCATAACTTTTACTCAGTTGTTGTAGTTAGGATTCATAGAACCGCACAGAATGAGTCTAAGTTAACATAAGACATAAGATATCATTCCCTCTAAGTTAACATAAGACATAAGACATCCATTCCCTCTAAGCTAAACACCCTAGTTCCCATTTCTGGGCCTTATGGATATGGTTTCCATGATTACCTCACTCTAGATGCATTCTCAGATTGTCATTGTGGTTCACAGAGGTCCAGAACAAAATGCCTGGAGAAATATTAATGGTGAGCCTGTGGACAAAGGAACAAAGTGGGAGAGAAAACCATTCTGAAACTGTCATAAGCAAGTGAGCTAAAAAAGGAAGTGCAGGATGGGAGTGTGGATTGAGGACAGGATGAGTGGGAGACCAAATTCTGTCATGGACCTTCTCTGGATAGGCTGCCTCTCTGTTGAGAAGTGGAAGGAGAATGTCTAAGAAAGTAATCTGAGGCAGTGACTGAATGGAAGTGGAGAAGGAAAAACAGGAAAAGTGGGGAGGTCATTGAAACCCAGTTGCCCACTTCCATCTGAAAATAACCTTTTTTCAAAGCATAGTTTATATTGATCATGTACGTAAGAATCTCATAACCCACGGGTTAACATGCAATGCCGGAGCTCAGCTCCGTAACTATGGAATGTGCATTCTTCACAAACTCTAAGGTAATTCTTAAGTGTGTTGAAAATCTTGTTTTAAAGAATGAGGTAAGGTGGGAACTACTCATATGCAGGTTTAGAAGACTGTTTTTGAAATGTTATGTTTTGCAAAGCAAAAGACTCTCATGTTCTTCAGAAATGTCTTGGAAATATAAAAAGCCCCAGCTTAATTGTTCCGTTTGCGTAAGTTCCAGCACATAGGTCCTTATCCCAACCCATAAGGGCCTGAAAAACAACTTAAAAAGAGCTGCCTTTGTCAAAAGATCCTATCACAATAACTCTCAGAGTAAGGCCTCCCATCCGTAACTCCCTCCAGCCCTCCCCCAGAAAAATAAGTAGTTGAAGAATTCAAACTCATGATACATTTTTTCCATTCCAAGTCCACAGCTTTATAGAAATATTAAATCCTTTCTCCTTTTCTACAGATGGATTTGAAGACAGATTTTACAATAAATTTTTAGTTAAATAATGAGTAAAAAATGTGAGATATAGTTGTAGCAAAGACTCTTTTTGCTTAGAATTAGAAAGAAGCTAAAATGAAATTTAGGCAAAAAATATGGTTTGTGCTCTTTTAGGAAAATGTTTTAAGTACCTTTACGGAGTGTCCCAGGTAGATATCAGTGCATTTTTTTTTTAATGAAGTTGCAACAAATGAAAATCTAACATTATTACACAAAAATATAAGGACAAATTTTTCATATGTGAAAAGATTTTGCCTTAATAAAATAATTCAGCAGTAGCATTTCTTTAAATTTCTTCTCTGACCCTTAGCCTATCTCCCCAAAGCATTTATTTACAGAGCAGAAGGAAGATCAATGAGAAATAGATTCTTTTAATGAGATAATGTCAAGGGAAGAGCAGGCAGAAATGGGGAGAAGGCATTGGTGATAATTTTACCACAAGTTATTGGGGGGGAAAAATGGATTTAAAGTGGATTCACCTACAGCCTTTCAGAAGCACTGCTTTAAACAGAAACACAGACTACTGCACTCACTCACTGACTCTTCAAATGTTTATTAATATCACCTATTGTATGTCAACTGGAGATACAGAAGTTGCCAAGACAGACACAGTTCCTCCCTTCAAGATAGAGTTCATAATACCAGGGATCAAGGCATTTAGTTATAGTTGTGATAAATATAAAGGAAAAGTGCAAAATGCTTTGAGAATTAATTTATCATCATTACAATATTGAGCTAGAGGTTAATCTTAAATGAGGGGACAAATTTAAACAATTTTTCACAGGCTTCAATGTGGGCTTTCTTCTTTAAGTTTTTGAAAATGGTTTGGGAGAGTGATTTTTCAAAACATGTATTGTTGGCTAAAGGTAAAACAGGGAGTGAGTCCTGTAGATTGTTTGCAGTCAGCTACAACTCAAACTCCTTGTTCTGCTCTTTCCCCACCTCTCATTGCTGTACTTGACTAGTAAAAAACAACCACCACCACCATCATCTATTGTGTGTCAAAGCCTGGATGCAAAACTCAGATGAAGAGATGACTTACTGCTTTCCAGTGACTTTGCTTTGCTGGTGTAATTTCCTACAAGATCCTTCTCTGAGGGCAAGGACATTCACATTTATTGAGTGCTGATTCTTTTGGAGGACTTGGATCAATTTTGCTCAGCAATCCTAAGATGGGTGTATTTGCAAATGAGAAAATGAAGGCTCAGAAAGACAAAATAATTCATTTCAAGTCAGCTGCGCCTGTTCCTGTCACTACACTAAGCTAGAAAATGGAGGAGGGGAGAGGGTGACAGATAAAACACAAGTTTGACTGACAATTAGTTTATTGTTAGCAAAGCTAATGGGTTGAGCCAAACCTAATTAGAGCCAACAAAATGCCGCCTTTTTATCAAAAGTAAACGCAGGCTCTGTAGATGAAAGAATAACTGGAGTTTCTTGAGCGAGAAATAGTAGTTGAGATTTTGTGTGAAAAATAGCTTCTAATAAAATTAGATTGTACCAAAATGCATGAGGAGACTGAGCATTGCACTCAAGCACTTTTTAAGATGTTTATTTTACCTTCAGCAAAGTTTGCAATAGATAACGAGGTAAGATTGTAGAGAATTTATTTTGTGAAATAGAAGAAATTGTGCAATGCCAGTTTACACAACCAAGTTAAAGTTTTTAATTCTAAGCAAGGAATGAGGGGAAAAGCTAAAGTAATTAGACCAGAGAAATTATAGAAAACTAGAGATAAGCTGAATATATAGTGTTAGTTAACAAACAGTAATGTGAAAGATCAAGATTTGCTTCCTCCTGGATAATCAATCAAGAACAGAAAGAAACAACTACCAAGATTGGTAAATTCTAGTCTTAGCTCTGCTACATCTACTCAATGAAGACCAGATACATGTCAGTTAATCAAAAAAGTTTGAAGATAGTATAAACATTCAAAACAATTGGTGAGAGTCAATTCATTTTAAATTCAAACCCACCAGGGCCTCATCATTCAAGGTGACCCACAGGAAGGTAGGCTGTGGTGGAAACAGACTGAGATTCACCTTGAAATTTTATTCTCCACCAAACTGTCACCGTTTTTATTTAACTTATTGTGCCTTTATCAATACAAGTGAGGAAATGCTAAGTATATATTTGTATATATAGAAGTATATATTATATATTATTAATATGTTGTGGAAAAATATATATATTTGCACAACATTATAAGAAAGGTTCACTTCTATATACAAAAGAATACAGTTTTAGAGAGTCTTCAACAATACCATTCTGTTGAACTAGCTACAAGAAATTCTTTTCAATGATAATTTTGCTAGCAAATTATCTTACAAAAGACCGATTTTTCTATATAAACATGCCTGATGGTGATGAGCTCATCACCATTCTTTTATTCTACTACCAAGTAGCAATGACCTGTTACTCTTCCTCCTTTCTCCACTAAACATCTCAGTCACTTCCTAACCAAAAGCAGATCTAAACTCTTAAGCCATTCACCAAACAAAATAATATTGTAGAAGGCTTAGACAATTAAAAAAGAAAATAATTTGAGATTAAATTTCATATAGGACATAACCTACTTTCTTCTGTATAATTTAACATCTTTAATTTATTTACTAGATATCATATCACGTCTGCTCAGCCTCTAGTTCCTATCAACTTGTGTAAGAATTCTAGTAATTCACCCAGAACAATAGAATCCTAGTTCAGTAAAACAATGTGTATATTATTTTAAATATACATGACATATTTCTGAAAACATTTAAATGAATTTGAGTTCGTGTGCCTCATGTAGTCTTTTATTTCCTTTTGAAATGGACTCTCCTGATTGCCTTTTCAATTCTCCTTCAACAGAAAGTAAGAAATGAATAGCAGAAGGAGGTAATTGATGATGGACTTTTAAATATCCCAGAAAGCAGCAGTCTACATAATTTCTTTCTTTTTTTTTTTTTTTTTGAGATGGAGTCTTGCTCTGTCGCCCAGGCTGGAGGGCAGTGGTGTGGTCTGGGCTCACTGCAAACTCCACCTCCCGAACTCAAGCGATACTCCTGTGTCAGCCTTCCAAGTAGCTGGGATCACAAGTGCACACCCACGCCCGGCTAATTTTTGTATTTTTAGTAGAGACAGAGTTTCGCCATGTTGGCCATGCTGGTCTCGAACCCTTGACCTCAGGTGATCCATCCACCTCGGCCTCCCAAAGTGCTGAGATTGCAGGCATGAGCCACCGTGCCAGCCCAGTCTACATAACTTTTAAACAGATGCCCATGAATAAGAATGGCTCTTCAATGTGACAGCACTCAATCAGAACTCTTTCTGTTCAGTATGGAATGATAAATTAATTGATTTAAAATGATCAGATTACTAATAAGTATAATAATGATTAAATTATTGACTTAAACCAGAATTTTAGGTGGTTTGCAAAAATACATAAAATACCTATGACAGAGTTGTAACAAAGAAATATAGTGAAAAAAATAATAAAGCCTGCCATGAGATTAGTACGAGTGCCTTAAAGTCCTACATACTTGCCAGAGCTGGGTCACAAACGTGAGTCTGATCTTTCTTACAATTGAGGGGCCAGAGTCAGTTACCTGATTCACAGGATCTGTGAGACAGAAACTGGTGAAACACAGCCACTCAGATCTGCCTGGGAGGCTGACACTTCGCTTGAATCAGATGTGATAGGTTGACTGAGTGACCCTCAGTCAACATTGGGACATGTCAGTGATCCAAGGCCAAATGTTCTATGCCATGGCAGCACAGCTGAGATAACACTGGTGGGGAGCATTTTTTTTTTCTTTTTTGTGAGACGAAGTCTTGCTTTGTCGCCCAGGCTAGAATGCAATGGTACAATCTCAACTTGCTGCAACCTCCGCCTACCGGGTTCAAGGGAGGATATTATTTGGGTGACAAGGAGTCTCCTGCCTCAGCCTCCTGAGTAGCTGGGATTACAGGTGTCCGCCACCACGCACAGCTAATTTTGTTTTGTATTTTTAGTAGAGACGAGGCTTCGCTGTGTTGGCCAGGCTGGTCTCAAACTCCTGACCTCAGGTGATCCGCCCACCTTGGCATCCCAAAGTGCTGGGATTACAGGCGTGAGCCACTGCGCCCAGCTGGGAGCATTTTTAAAGCAAGTTTTATCAAATTACAAAAGTGAACACACAAGAAAATTCTCCATAAACACCCATAGAAAACCTAACCATCAGCAATAGATTTGTTAGTGAAGATTTTAAATTGTTTGTCAAAGGTATCCCTGGGTAGGTATCTGAATGAAATCCTTGCTGAATGCAGTCATTAGGTTTCAGCCAGTGGTATTTTGAGAGATAGCTACCAAAATGGACAACTTTGGCCTTGGAATAATTGGCAGTGCTATGCAAGCATAGCCCTGCCTAGCATCTCATGACAGAACCAGTTCATAGGCAACCAAAGAAAATGTAATCTCCTGTCTTCCATAGCTGGATACTCATGCTGAAGGAACAACAGCCCACCACTTTGAGGTGGGTGCAGGAAGCTGTGTGTGGTTGCTGGGTATGTTAGTGTTAAGCCTGCATTCAGAAGAGATAACGTGTACAAGTTACAGGCCTGAGGAGTGGAGAGACAAGAAGCCGAGGAGGGGAGTTACAATCACAGGCATTGTGTTGAGCTCAATGCTATGTGTGACTTCTTATGGTGCTTGGTATAACAGATTTTGTGGGGGTGCTATGAAAAAGCTTTTCATCCTTCGAAATAATTAAATAAAAAGGAGGATGGTCTGGCACGCTGCATAACTCTGGGGAATTTGTCTGCTCTGGAAAAAAGCAGACAATGTCCTGAAAATAGGACATTGACTACAATATGACTTATGAAATGTTAAAGATTTTCTTAAATTTCACTTTAAGGAATTTGCAAATCCTCAGTTTATAATTTTAAACAATGACATCCAAGTAGGATGGACAAATGCCTTCAAATTTTTAATTTAAAGAGGTGGCATAGAAGATGAAGTCAGGAAGACCCTAATAATGTAGGACAAAGAACTAAAGGAAAAGGAAAGAATGCTTCTTTTTATCATGTCTAAGGCCTAACCAAGAATATAGGTTAAAAAGACGCAAGAGTCAGAACTGAATATTTTGTTTGCTTGTTTTGAATATGCTTTGGGTGGAAGAATTCTAGAACTTAACTTGCTATTTTTTCTTATTTTAGTTAATGGTTCCGATACTTATTTAAGAATGTATGTATTGCTGAACCTGAGTTACTTTCCCTCCTCTGTGGTCAGGAAGGAAAGGATTGCTTTAAAAAAATTCAAACAGGGCTGAGTATGGGGGGGTCACACCTGTAATCCCAACACTTTGGGAGGTCGAGGCAGGAGGGTCACTTGAGCCCAGGAGTTCGAGACCAGCCTGGGCAACAAACTGAAACACCCCCCCACCACATCTCTACATTAAAAAAAAAAGAAAATAGCCAGGCTTGGTGGTGTACACCTGTGGCCCCAGCTGCAGGGGAGACTGAGGCAGGAGGATCACTTGAGCCTGGGGGGTCAAGGTTGCAGTGAGCCATGTTTGCACCACTGCACTCCAGCCTGGGCAATGGAGCGAGACACTGTCTAAAAAAAAAACAAATCAAACAGATGATGTCCATGGTTATGTTTTTCCAGTAGTAAAAATACCATCCCTAGCTACGGCGTATCTTAAACTGTGTCATGTGATGCTCTGGGTTGATTGGTTTCTTAGCTGGGCTAAAACTAAATATGGCTTTGTTGTAAAACAGATTCTTTCACAGTCCAGCAGGCATTTGCTGTAAGACTTTTATTTAATAATCTGCACACAACCTTAAGTTCAAAGTAACGTGGATAAATAAAAGTCAAAAAAATTTTCAACATTGGCCAGGCGTGGTGGCTCACGCCTGTAGTCCCAGAACTTCGGAAGGCCGAAGCAGGTGGATCACCTGAGGTCAGGAGTTTGAGAACAGCCTGGCCAATATGGTGAAACCGTTTCTACTAAAAATACAAAAAATTAGCCGGGCGTGGTGGTGGGAGCCTATAATCTCAGCTACTTGAGAGGCTGAGGCAGGAAAATCACTTGAACCCGGGAGGCAGAGGTTGCAGTGAGCTGAGATCGTGCCGTTGCACTCCAGCCTGGGCAACAAGAGCGAAACCCTGTCTCAAAAAAAAAAAAATTTTTTTTTCAACATTAAAAGAAATGCTTAAGTTAAAAAATTATAAATGTTTCATTCTTTTTTTTTTTTTTCTTTTTTGAGGTGGGGTCTCACTCTGTCACCTAGGCTGGAGTTCAGTGGCAAGATCTCGGCTCACTGCAACTTCCACCTCCTGGACTCAAGCGATTCTCCTGCTTCAGCCTCCCGAGTAGCTGGGATTACAAGTGTGTGCCACCACACCCGGCTAATTTTTGTATTTTTAGCAGAGACGAGGTTTTGCCCTTTTGTCTAGGCTGGCCTCAAACACCTGATCTCAAGTGATCTGCCTGCCTCAGCCTCCCAAAGTGCTGGGATTACAAGTGTGAGCCCCCTCTCCCAGCCTTCATTAGTTTTTTAAAATGTCTTTTATCAGATTAACTACATACTTTGATTTTAATTTGTTATTTTCCATAATTTTACTGATATGTGGCAATAATTAGGCCATAATCAGTTCACTTACTCAAAAATATTTGTGGAGGGTCTATTACATATAAGCCACCATGCTGGCCTTGAAAAGCAGGGTTGGGTGCTGGGGTAATGGTTAGCTTATTTTCCTTAAATCTTAGGGAGTTAGATAGTAACACAACTGCTACCAAAAAAATCTTTTATGCAAAGGTTGCCATTTACAGAGCAGCCCATTCCTCTGCCTATAGCAGTAATTAAAATAAGTTATTTCTCATTATAGCCCAATATCTACTTCCCACTGGGCTCCTAATTTTAACTTTTAAAGCAACACCTTGCAAAGCCAATTTCTCTTTCTCTGAATCCATTTTAAATACTTGAAAACAGCTATTTTCTCCCCGCTAAGTCTTCTCTCATCTACACTAAAAATCCCAAGTGATGCAAAATTTTTTGGAACCCAATATAAAATTTTATATCAATTACTGCTAAATTTTACTTTATTGCTTTCATCAGCTAGCCCACTTTATGGGAATATTTAAATATTTATTCTAGATTCAGTGTATTAGACACCTAAGTTTATCTTCCTGCCTTTGAAATATACTGAGAAAACATTTAAGAATTTTAACAGTAGGAGTCATCTTTCTTTTCCAGTTTAAAATAATAAAAAAAAAGGATAGTGAAGATAAAATTATTTAATCTATTTAAAAAATGTCTCAGCTGGGCATGGTGGCTCATGGCTGTAATCCCAGCACTTTGGAAGGCCAAGGCCAGAGAATCACTTGAGGCCAGGAGTTTGAGACCAGCCTGGTCAACATAGTGAGACCCCATCTCTACAAAACATTAAAAAAATTAGCTGGACTTGGTAGTGCATACCTGTAGTCCCAGCTACTTGGGAGGTTGAGACTGAAGGATGGCTTAAGCCCAGGAGTTTAAGGCTGCAGTGAGCCATGATTGGTCCACTGTACTCCATCCTGATGGACAGAGTGAGATTCTGTCTTAAATAAATAAATAAACATTTCTCATGTGAACCCATCTGAAGTATTTAACTTTTATTTTTAAATGACACATAAAAGTCATATATATGCACAAGTGTTTTGTTTTTTAAGTATCTGAAACACGTTTTTTTATTCTAATAAGATAAGTAGTGACAGATGTTTTACTGTCTAAAAATATTTCCAGAATAATCAGATTAAGCTCATGAATTAGAGATTATTTCTTGTAACTTCATAAACATTAGTTTGGTTTGTCAAATAATAAGTTCAATTTTTCAGTGATACAAATTTGAAATATGCTATGACTTTAAATAAACCTCCAAATATATATAATATGTTATATATATTATATATTTTATATATATATATATATATATATATATATATATATATACACACACACACACATCCATTTTTTTTTTGAGTCATGGTCTTGCTCTGTCACTGAGGCTGGAGTGCAGTAGCACGATCATAGGTTGCTACAGCCTTGAACTCCTGAGGCACGAGCCTCTAGCTTTTCCCCCTCCCCTCCCCTCCCCTCCCTTCTTCTTCCCTCCCCTCCCCTCTCCTTCCCTCCCCTCCCCTCTCCTTCCCTCCCCTTCCCTCCCCTTCCCTCCCCTTCCCTCCCCTTCCCTTCCCTTCCTTCCTAGAGACAAGGCCTCACTAGTTGACCAGGCTGGTCTCAAACACCTGGCCTCAAGTGATCCTCCTGCCTCCACCTCCCAAAGTGTTAGGATAACAGGTGTGAGCCACTATGCCCAGTCCATCTATCTTTAGGTTGTGAAGAGTATGCTTTAGGATTTTTCCAAACAATACTAATATACTTATTTTTTTTTTTGAGACAGGGTCTCACTCTATCACTCAGGCTGGAATGCAGTGGTGTGATCTCGGCTCACTGCAGCCTCGACCTCCCAGGCTCACATGATACTCCCACCTCAGCCTCCTGAGTAGCTGGGACTACAGGCACTCACCACCATGACCAGTTAGTTTTTGTATTTTTTGTAGAGACGGGGTTTCACCATGTTGGCCAGGCTGGTCTTGAACTCCTGAGCTCAAGGGATCCATCTGCCTTGGTCTTTCAAAGTGCTGGGATTACAGGTGTGAGCCACTGTGCCTGGCCAGAAGCACTTTTAAAATAAGTGGATTAGGTTACATAATCTCTAAGGTCACTTCTAGTTAAAAAAAAAAAAAGAAATATTTTCTTATCAATTGAGCTACACTTTCAGTGGAGAGTTGGTGTACTCTATTTTAAAAAATGCTTTTAAATGATGATTCTGGAATTTTCATATGAAAACAATTCTGTTACAACATGAATAACTCAGTTATCTATGAATACTTGGTTAAACCTTATCAAAATATCAGAAGAATCTGCTAAAACTCTCAATGTAATACATGACCTGCTGTTCTTCAGAAAGACAACAGATAGAGACATTTTGATTTTTGTCGTTATTTGATTTTGATTTTGTACTGTAAGACACACTTCAAATGTGCTAGAAAAAATATTGCTGAAGTTATAGAACATTTTGTAGCTCTCAGCTTGATAAATAGCAGGAAGTAGAGAGAAGTTAGCATTCACCTTCTCTTTCCAAGACTCTGTCACCAAGCACTCCTCCTCCCTATACTCTTCGAGCCTGCCTCTCAAGAGAAGCCATCCAGAGCTTCCTTAGGTACAATGCTACTTTCTTCCAGTTCTACCTTCCACACAGGCCCCCTTTGTGTTCCCTGAATGAATGCTTCCTTCTTGGGATCATACCCAGACGCAAAGCTGTCATCAGAGAGTGGACCAGGATCTTCCCCAGCTCTGTCTCTCAAATGACCAGTATGCTGGTATTTAATGAATGTGACAATGATTTGGGACCACTAGTGTTATATCTGTGCCTTAGCTATTCATCTTTGCTACTTTCGAGGGGAGTTGGTGCTGTTGCTCCTGAAAACTGAAATGTGGAAGGATCCAGAGACTACTTAGCTAGATCTGCCCAAGTACTGAACCCCTCAGGCCCTCCCAAACTGCTGCTCAGCTTTGGCCTGGCTCCAGAGGGGCAGGCTGGACCTGGTTCTCCTCTGAATCCGGGCATCTCTGGGAAAAGAAATCCAGATTAGGATCCAGTTTGTTTCAAAGGAATCTTGAGGAGAGATGAGAACCAGGTCTTCTCTAGAGTCAGGTTTCGGTTTACTTCTGAAAAGCCTGGTGCTGGACTACAAGGCTAAGACGTGGTGTCTGATTCGGGTTCTGCCACTGATGTGCCCTTGGATAAGTCATCGCTTCTCTGGGATTTAGTTTTTTCATTTGCAAAATGACAGTTCAGTTTTCATGACTCCTTCCATTGTACCATCTGATCATTCAAGCAGATCAAAATCTACCTG
Organism: Homo sapiens; assembly: GCF_000001405.40. Classification (NCBI taxonomy): domain Eukaryota; kingdom Metazoa; phylum Chordata; class Mammalia; order Primates; family Hominidae; genus Homo; species Homo sapiens. The sequence goes on from NC_000015.10 coordinate 49,094,555, forward strand.
CCGAGCCAGAACTGAATAAACCACCCCACACCAGACCCTACCTCCTTTCCCAGTGCTGGAGGACAAGGTAACATTTGTCCTTCACGTTAAACTGGTTACGTCCACATAAATGTTTTTATTTGTGTCTGTATTATTTGCATTTGTATTATTTTGCTATTCTCCTTGCAGATAAGATACTGTTGAATTCACTCCAGCTCACTTGGTACCAGATATTCCTTTAAGAGGGAGAGAGTAGCAGCTGTATTTGGTATTTTCACAAAGAAAATATTTTCCAGTAGAAGAGGCCAAGATGTGAGAAGATAAGTCAGGTTGTCCTACATAGCTATAATCTCCAATTGACTTTTTTTTTTGACATAATTGAAAAAACAGACAAAAACTCTGAACAAGAACAACAAAAGGTAACTTTATTTGCTCCCTTATGCCCCTGCTATTTTTTTCTCTTCTTTTAGCTCTTACAGCACCCTAAGTTTTCATATTTCCCTGGATTCCTTTTGTCACAGGAAAAAAGCACGTCTCACAGACTAAGTTCTCTGAGCTGAGCTGAATGTGTTGTCTCTCCAGAATAATTCATCATTAAAAACCACAGAATGGCATCTCTTGACAGGCAAAGAAACATTAGAATACAAATTGTTAGAGAAAAATCATTCTCCCCTTTCTCTTACACTGCTGTTAGCATTTTAATTGCTGCTAAACTTTTTTTCTTTGCTTAGGCTTTTTCTATGTGTATAATATATGGATTCCACAACTTGGTTTTCCACAGACTTTTTTTTTTTTTTTTTTTTTTGAGATGAAGTCTCACTCTGTAACCCAGGCTGGAGTGCAGTGGTGCGATCTCAGCTCACTGCAACCTCTGCCTCCTGGGTTCATGTGATTCTTGTGCCTCAGCCTCCTGATTAGCCACCATGCCTGGCTAATTTTTATATTTTAAGTAGAGACGGGGTTTCACCATGTTGGCCAGGCTGGTTCTGAACTCCTGACCTCAGGTGATCCACCCACCTCAGCTTCCCGAAGTGTTGGGATTACAGGCATGAGCCACCGCGCCCGGCCATTCCACAGCCTTTAATGCCTATGCACTAAACCCTCCAGGGACAAGTAGCACGTTTTCTTAACCACCATTTCTCTTTCTTAACCCTGGGAGTTGGGTATCTCAGGGTAACTTGACGGTTAGATGAAGGAATAGAATGATACGGAGCAATCAGTTCTCACTGTTGAAACCTTATGTTCACTGGGAGGCAGATGGGGTAGAGATTTTGAACATGGGGAGAAGTTCATAGGCCCCATCCTCTAGATATTAAAGAGTAGCCAATCATGGTCAGTTTCTCTTTTCTTTTTAAAAATTAAAAATAGCTTTATTGAGATATAATTCACATATAATACAATTCACCTATTTAAAGGGCACAATTCAGTGATGTCTAGTATAGTCACTGAGTTCGTGCAGCCATCACCATAGTCAATTTTACAGCATTCATGGTCAATTTCTATGAGTGATGAGAAAGCGAATACCTTTATTTCACATAGCATTTGAAATCAGTACCCACTCATTACCTTTATACAATTGTTTATTTTAAATGATGTTTCTCACACCAAGACTGATGGGTTAACACCCTCTAACTCCAGTCCTACCTCTGGATAGGTAGGAAGGTTAACTAGAGTTCCTATATACCAACACACACAGTTCCTTAGGGTCAACATGTGAGAGAACATTTAGCAAACAGTCTTTGTCCTAGGGCTGGGTTCACTTCTGGTTCCTGGTGCTGTGTTTTCATCTACCTTTGTTTCTGCCAGGAGTTGGGAGAGCTGGTGACTTCTTTCTGCTTCAGACCCTTTGGCTTCCAGACTCCAGCCCACTCTTGACTACAGGTGACCCACTGACACCCTGGAGCCTGCTCTATTGCCTTGGCCACCTTTTCTAGGGCTCTTGGCCTTGTTCCTGACCTTTTGCTGCACTAGAGTCCTCACCTTCTGTTGCAGATCCCAGTCCCTGACACTGGTGTGGCCTTCTCACCAGAGCAAGCAGGCCCAGCCAATCAGTTTCATTCTATTGTAACCTTTGCCCTATTTTGAAATCATGAGTGATTCTCTGCACTTCAGCAGGGCTCACTTCACCAACTGAAGATAAGGAAGCCCCTACTACCAAGGTCATGTTTCTAAATTCAAGACTTGTAAGATAGACTGAGAACCAGAAATAAACTAGATTGAAAAATCTAGTTAAGCCTTAGTGATTTTTTTTGTACAAATATATTCAGCTTGTGTTATTTATAAAATTGAAATGTCCAGCAATAGATGGTAGTTGAATGAATTATAATACATCCCCATGATGAAATATTACTCAGCAATTGATATTTATCAAAAGGCTTTGATGAAGAAGGTAACGCTTATCGTATAATAGTCAGAAAATCAGGATATAAAATTGCACACAGAGAATGGTATCAACTATGTAAAACACACACATTTTTTAAAAAAAGACCAGAAAGAAATAGCTAATTTTTAATCTCTAGATAGGTATTGATTATTTTCTTTTCTATGCTTTTCTGTACTTTCTGAGTATGCATTCCTTTTACAAGCAGAAAAAAAGGTAATATTAACTTTTTAAAAGAACTATTTTAGGCTAAGCGTTATGACTCACACCTGTAATTCCAGTGCTTTGGGAGGCCAAGGTGGGAGGACTGCTTGAGCCCAGGTGTTTGGAAACCAGCCTAGGCAATATAGCAAGACTCCTGTCTACAGAAAAAAAAAAGTTTTTTTCAAATTAGCCAGACACACACCTATAACTACTGGGGAGGCTGAAGCGGGAGGCTCGCTTGAGCCCAGGAGATCAGGGATACAGTGAGCTATGATCACTCCATTGCATTCCAGCCTGGGCAACAGAATGAGGCTCTATCATAAAATTCACTCATTTCAAGTGTACAAATCAATGTTGTTGGTTTTTTTTTTTTTTGGAGACAGAATCTTGCTCTGTCACCCAGGTTGGAGTGCAGTGGCGTCATCTCAGCTCACTGCACCCTTCGCCTCCTGGGTTCAAGCGATTCTTGTGCCTCAGCCTCCTGAGCAGCTGGGATTACAGGTGCACACCACGACCTTTGGCTAATTTTTTTTTGTATTTTTAGTAGAGACAAGGTTTCACCATGTTAGCCAGGCTGGTCTCGAATTTTTGACCTCAAGTGATCCGCCCGCCTTGGCTTCCCAAAATGCTGGGATTACAGGTGTGAGCCACTGCACCTAGCCAAATGAATGGTTTTTAATAACTCTACCAAGTGGCACAGCCATCATCATAAATCAGTTTTATAACATTCTCTTCACCCCAGTAAGAATCCTCATGTTCATTTATAGTTAATGCTCCTCCCCCTCAGCCACAGCACCAAGCAACCACTAATCTACTTTCTGTCTCTGTTACTTTTCTGAACATTTTATGTAATAGATTCATACATGTGGTTATTTGTGTCTGGCTTATTTCACTTAACATAGTGTTTCTGAGGTTCATCCAGGTAGCATGTATCAATTTATTTTCTTTTATCGCTCTGTATTCTAACATATGAACAAACTACATTTAATCTATTCATTCCTCCATTGATGGACATTTAGGTTGTTTCTATTTGGGGACTATTATGAATAATACTGTTATGAACATTTGTGTACAAGTTTCTGCGTGTACATGTTTCCATTTCTCTTGTTTGTAGATACCCAGGTATGAAACACTGGGCCATACAGCAACTTTGTGTTTAACTTTTTGAGAAACTGCCAAACTGTTTTCCAAAGTGGCTACATTAACATTTTTTTCTGGCCCTTTTCTGTAAGTATATATTAGCTTCTAGAACTCCACCCTAGAACTTAAAGTATGCCTCTTGGCCTTTAGATAGACAGCTGGATCTGGCTTTTTCATCCTTTTCTCAGCAGATTTAGCTGGTGACTGAGGAGACAGACTATTACAAAAGTTATAACCATACTTGTATTGGCCCAAGACATCACCTGAGAAATTATTGATGATTCTTGTGCATCCTTCATATTTCCTTAAGCTCCCAATAAACAACGGACCCTTTGCTTGGCTTTTCCGGGCTATGAAAATCTCTATAATAAAGAATTTGAGTGTTCAAGAAGGAAGTATACCTTTAGCCTAGTTGTCTGCCCTTTTGGAAATTTTTTATAGTTATCCAATAGGCAGCTTCACCTTGAAAGACTCTAGTTTACTGTAGATAGAATCTAATCATCAAGAATCTAATGAATGTTGACTATATGCCCAGCACTCTGCTAGGAGCTGTGGATTGCAGAAAATTAATCCTATGTTGTCTTTGCCCTCAAGAAAGTTACAATTTGGCTGGGAAGATTAAAAAAAAAAACAAGCACATGTTAAACAGAACAATTGATGTCTGATCAGATACTATGGTTTGGGATAGTAAACCAGAAAAAATTAAATCAGACAGGAAAAGGAAGGCAAAAGCCCTGGGATTCATTTAATTTGTTTTTCTTGAACAGTCAGGCACTGTTCTAGTCACTGGAGACATAGCAATGAACAAAGTTGACAAAATCTCTACCCTCAGAGAGCTTACATTCTAAGGACATGAAAATAAGAAAAAATAAAGTAAAATAAATAGTATGACAGATGGTGGCCATGGAAAAATAAAGCAGAAAGTGGGATGTGTGTGTGCAAATTAAAATAGGTTGGTCAGGGACCATGTCTCTTAGAAGGTGATATATATGAGCAAACGGCTGAAGAAATGAAGGAAGCAGTCATGTGGCTGTCCAGGGGAAATAGTATTCCAGACTCAGAAATCAGCAAGTGCAACAGCCTGAGGAGGGATGTGCCTGGCAGGTTGGAGAAACTGCAAGAAGACGAATATGGCAGGGGCGAAATGAACAAGAAAGTAAGTAGTAGGTGATCAGGTCAGAAAGACAATGGGAGAACTTTTTGGGCAGGGCCTTGGGGGCCATTTTAAGAATATGATCTTCTACTCTGAGTGAGATGGGAATCCAGTGGGAGGTTTTGGACAGGGGAGTAAGATATTTGGACATGCTTTAATAGAATCACTTGGCAGCTGTTCTAGGAGTAGATTGAAGATAAACTGAAGGGGAAAGGCACAGAGACCAACTGGGAGGCTGTTGAAATAATCTATTGGCATGGTCTTATTTTGAAGCAGGAGCCACCATGAACAAAAGGTAGTGTTCAGGAAACACTGAAGAGCCATACTTGACTGCAGAGAATGCCAAGTTGGAGATGATGGGCAACTATGGTAGGATTGGATTTGGTAGGGGGTATAAAGGAGTCTAGAGTCAGAAAAATAGGGAGTTACCCTAGTATATTAGTCTGGTAGGGTTGCCACAAGAAAATAACGTAGGCTGGATGCTTTAAACAACAGAAACTTATTTTTTCACAGTCCTGGAGGCTAGAAGTTCCATATCAAGGTATGAACTAATTTAGTCCCTGGTGAAGGCTCTCTTCTTGGCTTATAGATAATTGCTTCTCACTTGTCTTCACATGGCCTTTCCTCTGTGCTGGCATAAAGAGAAAAAACTCTGGTCTGTCTTTCTTTTCTTACAAGGGCACCGATACTATTGGATTGGGAACCCACTCTTATTACCTCATTTAACCTTAATTACCTTCTTAGAGACCCTATCTCCAAATATATTCCCATTAAGGGTTAGGGCTTCAACATATGAATTTGGTGGGGGTAGGGGGAGCAACATAATTCAGCTCATAATATGTAGGTTATCAATTAGAGAATTTTGGGGAGACAAATCTGATATTGGCTACTAGGATGAATTGAAAGAGGAAAGCTTAGGGGACTAATCTGGAAGCTCTATGTAAGGATCAAGACAAGAGATGTTGCAAGCCTTGACTAGGGCACAGGTTAGCTAGTGAGGGACAGAGAGAGCCTTAGAGAAATTCCCTAGCTCTATTACCACATTTCTGTTATAGAAAAGGAATTTTGTGTCTTTATTTCCACTTATTTATCATATTTATTGAACATATGCCAGAGCATATATCAGAGAGTGAATTGGGCACACAAATATACCATTTGCTCATCCATACACATACACACCAAGACACTCCACTATATGTACTTTCACTCACCCTTCCCCACTTGCACATGCCTGTGAGCATCTATGAAACAGTATTTCAAGGATGCAAATGCAGAAGAAAAAGAACATGCTTACAACATAAATTTGTGAGAGAAAAGACTGGGTAGATAGGAAGGAGAATCAGAAGTATGACAGTTAAGAGAGAGAATTGAAATTCAGATTGCTGAAGTCCAGGAGAAGACTCATGACCAGGTAAGGTGAATTTCTCTGTAACATATTCTACTACCAAGTTACACTAATTTTCCACTATTTTGTGGATGTAGGTCATACTAAAAGCCAGTGTTTTATAAACAGGCATATGTAGCATACAGAGTTGATATTCATTTGATGGTTATCTTTGTTCCAGTTTCAGAAAGAGACCACCTGGCCGATGTGAACTCCCTGCTTTCAGTTTAATAGGCAGTGTCTGCTGACCCTTCTTGTACTAGGGTGGTCTGAGCTGAATGAGGACAGGGCTTTCTAGAAGGGAGATTCAAAAGAAACAAATAAAAGGTAAAGGCAATATGCTGTTTCAGCTAACACTGCCGACGTGCTGAGTAGGGTGCACCAACAGTGCAAGGGCAATAGGTGGGAAGAGAAGGGACAAAATACTGCACAAGAGAAGTTAGGTAGCACAGAGGTTAGCATACGGCCTCTGGAGTTACACTAATCTTGGTCTCAAGCTCAGCTTCTCCACTTAGTGATGTGGTCTTGAACACATTATTTAACCTTTGTGTGCCTTTGTTTTTGTTAACAGAAAGGAAATCAGAAAAGAACAGTATTTACCTCATAGGTTGCAGTGAAGATTAAATGACATATCAAAAGCGTTCATCATAGCTTGGCACACAGTAGGCCTGAAAATTAACTGGTGGAAGTTGTTTTTCTAAAAGTCAAAAGTGGAAACATTTGCAGTGCTAAAAATAATAAGCATTAAGCTTTCCATTTACAAATCTAACTAGATTATAGGTCTTGAGAATGGTGGGAGTATCTTGGTCAAAAAAATTTTTGTGAAACATCCCACTGGTAAAATGAGTTTTCTCACAATCCCATTCTTTGTGAGACTGAATATGGAATGCCACAGAACTAGACAGGAATCTCACTCCAAGTTTGCTGACCACCAGATGCACGATGACATTTTCCCAAGATATTTGCTAGGTTTTTTTTCCTCCAAATAATGAGTCATTATTGTAAGATATTGTTTATTGTAAAACTCTTGTGTTCCTTCCGTACATACTAAAACAAAAGGTCACTTTAAAGGCACATTATGTTGTAGTCAAGAATAAAAGAATACAATGTTGTGAAATGTCATACTGTATGATGGGCCCTGTCTTGCTGTGCCTTCTTTATATCAATTTAAAATATACACATTAGATACAAAGCAAGTGGCAGAACATTTAGTTGGACCCTACTTATGCAAAAATTGTATTTTTTTATATGCACAGAGAGTTTCTGGAAGGACAGAAAATAATCTACTGATAATGATTCTATCTAAGGTCAAGATTCTTTTACTTTTTCTTGTTTTTTGAGACAGAGTTTCACTGTTGTTGCCCTGGCTGGAGTTCGATGGCGCAATCTCGGCTCACCGCAAACTCCGCTTCCCGGGTTCAAGCAATTCTCCTGCCTCAGCCTCCCGAGTAGCTGGGATTACAGGCATACACACCTGGCTAATTTTGTATTTTTAGCAGAGACAGGGTTTCTCCATGTTGGTCAGGTTGGTCTCGAACTCCCGACCTCAGGTGATCCATCTGCCTCAGCCTCCCAAAGTGCTGGGATTACAGGTGTGAGCCACCGCGCCTGGCCTGATTCTTTTGCTTTTCATGATATATCCTGTGTACCTTGAGTTTTTTACCAATGAACATGTATTATTTGCAGAGTAATTTTCTAAGCCATATGAAAATGCATACAGAAAAAAAAATTACACTGCCAGATTAATAGTAGGCCTCAAAACTATAGAAATAATTTAAGGAGAAGGAGTAAGAAATGTCATCTGAGATTGTCTTTCAAGATAAAAGACAAACATAACAGATAAAAAATAAATATATGTGTGTGCACGTAACTATTAAAACATTATAACACACCGGGCTCAGTGGCTCACGCCTGTAATCCCAGCACTTTGGGAGGCTGAGGTGGGTGGATCACCTGAGGTCAGGAGTTCGAGACCAGCCTGATCAACATGGAGAAACCCCGTCTCTACTAAAAATACAAAATTAGCCGGGCGTGGTGGCACATGCCTGTAATCCCAGCTACTCGGGAGGCTGAGGAAGGAGAATCGCTTGAACCCGGGAAACGGAGGTTGCGGTGAGCCAAAATCGTGCTATTGCACTCCAGCCTAGGCAACAAGAGTGAAACTCTGTCTCAAAAACAAAAAAACAAAAAACAAAACAAAAAAAACCACATTATGACACCTACAGGCTAATTCATGTAGAGAACCAGGATCTCTTCACGGGTAATACCATGAAGAATTACCTCCAAGTATTCCCAGGGTTATTCCATAAATGTGGGGGTTTGAGCTACAGCATTTTTACTAAAATGAGGTAACTCAGTGGAGCTCAATCCAGAAGAAACTTCTGACTCAGAGGTTCTAGCCACATTTAGTATCTGGATGTATCTACGCTGCTACACCCAACTCTGCTCAGTGTTTTTCCTTCACTGAGTCAGAATAATGACTCTAGGGGTGTAGCTGTATCACAGTAGTAATGGAACCCCCATCCCTATATTGACTGAAAGCACATTTCTAAGTACTTTGCTTTTTGTCCTATGCCCTCACTCTGACTCTTGGATATTATGACAGAAAAGCCAAATAACTTGCTCATAATTAAATGTCATGCACTCTTACACAAAAATGGACATTTAACTAGTGAAAAATTAAAATATCTTGGTAAGTCTCTTGATATGGGGTTATAGTCATAAGTGACCTAAACCAGAGAATGAAGTCACTAAGAGACCTCCCAAAAGCTTCAAACTAAGAAAAGCATGCTAAAAATTAAGGAAAAACCTTCCAAAAATAGGAGTCTTGGTGAAGACAAGACAAAATGCCATTTTATTGACAGCATCCTCTCTAAGTTATGGAGATTGTTATAACCTCCCCTGCAGGTGTCTTCAGTAAATATTTTGCTCTACAAAATAAAATAATCCAAAAACTTGTAGCTTCTCTGCCCAAACAACGATCATTTTTAACTGCTCTATGGACAGTGAGTGAACCTATATATATGGGTAGCATGAGAAGAGTTTATGGAGCGTGAAGCTTTACTTTGTTCAGGCTTACAGGAAGAAATCACTGGCCAATATAAATTTCCTGCTTTCAACTAACATGACAGTGTCTGTTATATCCTTTCTTATGGTCTGGGCTAAATGAGGACAGGACTCTTTGCAAAGGAGATTCAAAAGGAAGTTGCAAAAATATGTCTTCTGTCACTGTGAATCTGCAGGTCTCATCTGGGTTTCTTTGTATTTTTCAAAACCATCTTATAATCTATTCCTCTATGCCTGATTTCCCAAATAGAAGCACTATAAAAAACCAAACCCTTGCACTGGGCACGGTGGCCCAAGCATATAATCTCAGCACTTTGAAAGGCTGAGGTGGGAGGATTGCTTGAGGCTAGGAGTTTGAGACCAGCCCGGGCAACATAGTGAGATCCCATCTCTACAAAAAAAAAAAAAAAAAAATACAAACACTAGCCAGGTGTGGTGGTGTGCACCTATAGTTTCAGCTACTCGGGAAACTGAGTTGGGAGGATTTCTTGAGGCTGGGAGGCCGAGGTCACAGTGAGCCATGATCATGCCACTGCACTCCAGCCTGGGCAACAGAGTGAGACCTTATCTCAAAGGAAAAAAATAAAAATAAAAAAATAAGAAGTAAAAAAATCAAACCCTTAAATATATTGATTCAAAGTAACAGGAAAGAGGAAACTGTCTGGATTCTGTCCCTGGCACAAGTATAAAATACACATTATTGACAAGTACCTGGAGAAAAAACAGGATAGAAGACTCATGGTAAGATTATTGAATTGTTTGGATTAGTTTTAGCTTTTGACTATTATAACAAATGTTCCAGATTTTATCTAAGCCAAGCTATCTGCTCAGCAGTCACCCCTTTTTTTTTGCTGCATTATAAGCAAATAAGGCATAATGGTGGTGGTGATGGCAGACCCCAAACCTGTGTCACTGGAGACAAGGAGAGAGAGCTGGGACTCTGTTAAAGAAAAGTGTGTAACAGGACAAGGGAATAGCCTATCAGGGAAAGGTGAGAAACAAGTAAGGAAAGGGAGGTGTCCTTTTACTTGGGTTAAGATAGCACAATGTAGGCTGGGCACGGGGGCTCCCGCCTATAATCCCAGCACTATGGGAGGCTGAGGCGGATGGATCATCTGAGGTTGGGAGTTCGAGACCAGCCTGACCAACATGGAGAAACCCCATCTCTACTAAAAAAATAAATAAATACAAAATTAGCCAGGCATGGTGGTGCATGTCTGTAATCCCAGCTATTCGGGAGGCTGAGGCAGGAGAATCACTTGAATCCAGGAGGCGGAGGTTGCGGTGAGCTGAGATCACGCCATTGCACTCCAGCCTAGGCAACAAGCAAAACTCTGTCTTAAAAAAAAAAAAAACAAAAAAACAAAAACAAACAAAAAAACAGATAGCACAATATAGAAGACGCATTAAAGTGGGGGCTTTAGGCAGCTAGCTGTGAGAAACCATGGAAAGTCAATTTGTTGAAAATGTTACATCATCATTTTCTGCAACGAATGGTATTCAAACTCCATATAGTACCATAGCTTCATATTTGACATTATATAAAATCTGACTTTCAGCTCCCAGCTGGAAGTTTAATGCATACCTGGATTAGTTGTACACTTGACTCTCATTGTTTGCAGATTTCATATTTGAGAATTCACCTACTCATTAAAATGTATTTGTAAACAGAAAATCAATATTTCTGGTGCTTTCACAGTCATTCATGAACATACATTTGCAAAGACTAATGAAAAATGTGAGTAACCCAAAGCGCACATTCTGAGCTGGGACTGATTCTCTGTCTTCTAGTTTCAGCTCTCAGAATATACACAACTGTTCTTCTTGCAACCTATTTAGTGCCACAGTTTTTGCATTTTTGGGCTTTGTGTTGGTGACTTTGCTATTTAATGGCCCTCAAAACATAGTGCTGAAGTGCTGTCTAGTGTTCCTAAGTGCAGGAAGGCTGTATCTTATGGAGAAAATATGTGTGTTAGGTAAGCTATGTTCAGGCATGAGTTATAGTGCTGTTGGCCATGAGGTCAACCTTAATGAATCAATAATATACATTAAATAAGTTGTTTTTAAACAGAAACACACACAAAACAAAGGTACGTATGACTGACTGACAAATTGGCTCAAAGGAATTTCCCGTAAATGTTGGAAAATAACTTCATGGATAGGGATATTTGTTTCCTAGGACTGCCAGAACAAACTACCACAAACCTGGTAGCTTAAAACAACAGAAATTTATTCTCTCACAGTTCTGGAGCCAGAAGTCTGAAATCAAGGTGCTGGCAGGGTTATATTTTCTTTCTTTGAAGGCTTTAGAGGGGAAGTTCTTCCTTGCCTTTCTCCTACCTTCTGGTGTTTCTTGGCTCTTGGTTTCTTGGCTTATGGCAGCAAAACTCCAATCTCTGGTTCTGTCTTCACTTTGACCTCTTCTCTGTGTGTCTGTGTCCAAATCTTCCTCTCCTTTCTCTTATAAAGAAACCAATCATTGAATTTAGAGCCCATCCTAAAACCAGGATGCTTTCATCTTAAGATCTTTAATTACATCTGCAAAGATGCTGCTTCCAAATGAGGTCACATTCTGAGGTCTTAGTATACATGAATTTTGGGGTGACATTATTCAACTCACTACGATGGGCTTAATAATGGATTACACACAGCTAAGTGACAATACAAAACCAATATAAATTTAATAATGGATTACACATAGCTAAGTGACAATATTAAAAAAAAGGCAAATGAAAATCCAAAATAAAGCATATAAAGGCAAAAAAAAAAAAAAACGAAAAAAAATTAAGGTTAGAGACATAGGATACAATGAAAAGGTCTAATATATGCTTATTTGGAGTTTCAGAAAAAAAGAAGAGAGAAAATGTGGCAGAAGCAATACCCAAGGAGACAATATCTGATATTCTGCTATAGCTGGTGAGAGATATCAATCTGTAGATTCAACAGACCCAAAGGATGCCAAGAGGATGCATTTTTAAAAGTCCACATCTAGGTACATCACAGTAAAATTGTGGAAAACCAAAGACAAAGAGAACATCTTCAAAGCAGCTAAAGATAAAAAGACAGTTAATTTTCAAAGGCAAAACAATTAGATTGACAGTTGACTCCTCAAAAGAAACAATAAAAACCACAAGATAGTAAAATATTTTTGATGTGCTGGAAGGAAATAATAGCACACTTAGATTTATATACCCAGTGAAAATATTCTTCAAAAATGAAGATGAAATAAAGACATTTTCAGACCAATAAGTACCAGAAGAATTTATTATCAGCAGATCTATATAAGGAAAATACCAAAGAGGATTTTCATATAGTTTTGAGCAAATTTACTATAATTTAATTTAAAAATGATTCAATTCAAGAAGCTAGAAAAGGAGCCACAGAATATATATTTAAAGAAATGACAATAAAGGAAGTCATACAGATCAGGGCAAAAATCAGTAAGAGAACAAAAAACATAATAAAGATGAGCCCCAAACTGGAAAGTTAGAAAGACTAATAAGATAGACATAATAAACAAATACAGAACAAAAAAGGGGAATAATCATAAATATAATGGATATTAAAAATAAAAAGAATATCACAAACTATATCCTGATAAATTTGAAGACTGATATAAATCAGGTATATTTCTGAAAACAAATAAAATGCCAAAATAGCACAAGATAAGTTTTTGAAAGGATGAATAATCATTAAAGAAATTGCAAAATTTAAAAATCTTACTATCTCTGAAATGTCTTAGTCCAAACAGCATTACAAGTGAGTTCTTTCAAGAACATATTATACATATTATATGTATATATATAATATTATACATATTATATGTATATATATAATATTATACATATACACATATATTATACATATTATATGTATACATATATTATACGTATATACATATATTATACATATGATATTGTATGTGTATAATATGCTACATATTATATGTAATATAATAATGTATATTATATACTGTTATAATAAACAGAAAGAGTGAAAGCTGCCTATTCATTTTATGATGTAAAATAACCTTGATAGCTAAACCAATGAAAGACAGTCCAAGAAGAGAAAATTATAGCCCAATTTTACTTAAAATCATAGGTGGCAAACCTCTAAATAAAATGTTGGCTATTAAATGCAAAATTGTACTGAAAAGGAAGATATAATCATCAGTCTGAGTTTATCCCAGAATGTTGGGATGATTTAACACCATGTAACCCACTATGTGAACACACATGTTCATCTTATTAGGTCGAGGAATATTTTATATAGCTCATAAAACCTATTTTCATAAAACCTATTTATGATTTTTAAAGAGCTTTTAGAAGACAAAAAACAGAAGAGAATTTTTGTAATTTAAAGAATGCTAACTCCTCAAAACTGATAACGAATTTCATGCCTAATGGAGAAATTTGAGATGCTTACAAATAAATGTGTGTGTGTATTTTTGACATGATTATCCATATTAAAAACACAGGTGATTGGGAGGCTGAGGTGGGCAGATCACGAGGTCAGGAGATCGAGAACATCCTGGCTAACACGGTAAAACCCCTTCTCTACTAAAAATACAAAAAATTAGCTGGGCATGGTGGCACGTGCCTGTAATCCAAGCTACTTGGGAGGCTGAGGCAGGAGAATCGCTTGAACCCAGGGGGCGGAGGTTGCAGTGAGCCAAGATCACACCACTGCACTCCAGCCCGGGCGACAGAGTGAGACTCCGTCTCAAACACACACATACACATGTGAATCAAAGACCAACTATTGATAAATAAGGTTCAGCAAGGTTGGTAAACATAAAAACCAGTATGCAAATTATCAATATCATTCTTCTATTTCAATAATAACCAACTAGAAAATATTTTAGAAAATGACAGATCATAAGCTATAAAGATTTTGAAATTAATATAACAAAGAATGCTCAAAATCTTTATAGTGAAAAAAACTAAAAACAAGAGTCACATAAAAGTCACATAAAAGGAAACAAATCTATCTCTGAATTTAATGTAATTCCAATTAAAACTCCACAGTACCTTAAAGAAACTTGACAAACTGATGGCAAAATTGATACAGAAAAATAAAGATAAAGATACATGAATACTAAAATAAATTTCAAAATGAGCAGAAAATTGGGTGGAGAGATTCTCCTGTAATGAAGACATCACTCAGCTCAGTAATAAAAACACAACGTGGCACTGGTGAGGAAACAAATAGAACTAGACTACAGAACCCAGAAATATACCCCTTGCCTTTGTAGAAGTGGTAGTTAAAAAAGGTAGCATCACAAATCAGTGGGGAATAATAATTTAGTAGATGAAATTGAGAAAATGTGCTTCATTACAAAGAAATGAAAAGCTTGATGCTTACCTCAAATCATATACCATAATAAACTCCAAATAAAGATTTAAATATAAAAGGGAAACTATAAAACAACACTTCTGTATTGGAAAAGATTTCTTAAATGAGTTCTTAAAAAACATGGATGATGAGGAGGAAAAAGGATAGACTTATCATTAGAATGAAAGTTTTATGTTCAATAAGGACATAAGAGACAATGCTTCGGAGAATAGTTGCAAATCTAAAATAAGATAGATAAGAGTTTAATATCTAGAATACACAAATGGCCTGACATAGATCAGTAAAAATAAGCCAATAACAGATTGTGAAGAGTAGACAGTCCATAGAAGGGGACAACTAAATGGCTAATAAATGTATGAAGAGATGTACAAGCTCATTAGTAATAAAAATGTGCATTTAAAAAACAATAAGATACCGAAGTTAGATATTATCAAGGGCTGTCAAGGATAAAAGAAAACTGGAACCCTCATGCACTACTGGTGGGAACATAAATGATACAGCCATTTTGATGAGTTATCTGGCAGTACTTGGTGAAATAAAGTACTATGCCCTAAGACCCAGTATTTCCAGATACACATGCCAGAATAAATTTTGCACAGGTACATAAGGAGATAAAGATAAAGTGTTCATCAGAATTATTTATGTAGTAAGGATCTGGAAGGAACCTCCATAGATGTCTATCACAGGATAAATATGTAAATTGCGGCATGCATATGAGATATAAGTGACAAAACAACAGTCAGAAGTAATAAACCAGATTTAAAAATAACATGGATAAAAGCATAGTTTAAAAAGGTACTGAGAGTGTTAAAGGGACGGGTTCAAAAGGACTAAGTAGAGGCATTTGATACTTGTCTCCTCCACAAAGAAGAACCAAAATAGCAAGTAGATAATCACACTTTGAATGGATAATCTAAGAAAGAAAACTAGAATTCAACAGAGAAGTAACAGGAAACACCTAAGGCAAAGAAGGAGAGGGAATCAAGGCAGCCTGCTCAGCCAGGATTGGCTGGTAGCCTAAAGAGGCTGCTCAATGTGGAGAAAGGGTAAGTGAGAGACGGAGAGACCACCCGTGGTCCACATTCCTATGGAGGACTCCCACAGTCCTAGACAAAGGAAGAGTCCCTTACCTTTACAGGCCCTGAGACTAACATAGGGAACTGCCTGGAGACCATACCACACAACACCCTTGCTCCAAAGAGGAAACTCATGCTAGGTCCCATGCATCCCTATGAGTCCTAAGTAGCTACAACATGGCAGGATACTGAGAGCTCAGTCTCCACCAGACTGCCTCCTGCCATGGGGCCCAACAGTCTCTGCATCTCCACATTCCTGGAGTCCCACTGACATGCCCTGCCTACAGCCACTGCCACTGCTGGCTACTGCTGCCAGGGCTGAAGTGGGAGCCAATGCCAATAATCCTGTTGTCCCCAGAAGCACTGCTGTGGCATATTTATGAGTGCCATGAGGACAGGCTATCCTATCCACAGCCATACTCTGAGGCCAAATCATGTGCTACCCAGCCACCTGCTTTCTGCTGGCTACCACTGAAAGCAACCCTGCCATCCCCACAGGGGCCTGGGGATCACTCTGCCTCTGCCAAAAATAGCCAATGCCCACATGTACAACTGAGGGACCTGAGGACAGGTCTGCCCAGCCAAGCTCCACCCTCTGGCCAGTGCCTGAGAATGTCATCTGGGGCCTGGGATCACCCTGCCTCATCCATCATCACTGGCACCTGAGCACTCTTCCCAGGGTCCTAAGGATGGGACCACTCAACCTGCCACTACCACCACAGTTGGCACCCACCTGAATGCATCACCTGAGGGCCTGAGTACCTGTTGCAGCCACCTCCAACACCAGTGTGAACCACTTGGGAGCCAGGGAGTTGTTCTGTCACTACCACTGCCATTGTTCATGTACCACCCACTGCCCAGGAGCTCAACAACCTGCGCACACACCAGGCCACCAATGCCACTGCTGGCACCCAAGCAAGGTGGCGGAAGGCCCAAGAAATGACCCACCTGAAGCAACTAACACAAGTGCCAGTGCATGCTGTCCTGGGGCCCAAGGACAGGCATGTCCAGCCTTCCATGGCCACCACTGGGGCCAGTGGAGTAGTCTACCTGGTGTCTCTGTTCCCAGTAAAATTTCACCAGAGCCTCCACTAACAACAAAACCCTAAGCCACTAAGGAAATCACATACATACACCACAGATGCTGTTTATAGCCAAATAAATCATACAGACCCTATACTACTGCTCACACCCATAATCAAAGCCAAAGTGTCCTACCCAACAAACATTATAGATATATCATCAGGAAAAAGTCCTCCTCTAAGAGGAAGAAGTGACTATTATACCAGATGCACAGGTATCAATGTAAGGACACAGAAACACGAAAAAGCAAAGAGATATGACACCTGCAAAGGAACATAATAATTCCCCAACAACAGATCCCAATGAAAAAGAAATTTATGAAATCCCAGAAAGAGAATTCAAAATGATGATATTAAAAGTATCAGTGAGATACAGAGGGACACAGATAAACAATATAAAGAATAAGAAAAACAATTCAGGATATGAATGAGAAATTTAGCCAAGAGATAGGTATCATAAAAAAGAACTAAACAAAAATTATTGCAGAATTCATTGAATGAAATAAAAAATACAATTAAAAGCTTCCACAATAGACTAGAACAAGCAGAAGAAAGAATTTCAGAACTTGAAGACAAGTCTTTTGAAATAACCCAATTTATTTTTTTAAGGAATAAAAAAGAATGAACAAAGCATACATGACACGTGGGACTCCACAAAGCAACCAAATATTCAAAATTTCAGTGTCCCAGGATGTGAAGAGTCAACCAAAGGGATACAAAACCTATTTCACAAGATAATAGCTAAAAACTTCCCATCTAGCAAGAGATTTACACATACAGATTCAGAAAGCTTAGAGATCCCCAAACAGATACGATTCAAAAAATCTCCATACATTATAGTCAAACTGTCAAAGTGAAAAACAATGAGATAATTCTAAAAGCAGCAAGAGAAAGCATCTGGTCACTTATGAGGGAATCTCCATCAGACTAACAGTAGATTCTCAGCAGTAACCTTACAGGCCGGGAGAAAATTGGATGATATATAAGTGCTGGAAGAAAAAAAAAACCATCAGCCAAGGATACTATACCCAGCAAAGTTATCCTTCATAAATGAAGGAAAAATAAAGTCTTACCCAGACAAGCAAAAGCTGAGGGAATCCATCACCACTGGATTGGTCCTACAAGATGTGCTCTGAAGGGTCCTACACGTAGAAGTGAAAGGATATTATCTACTATCATGAAACACATAAATGTATAAAATCAACTGGTAAACACACAAATAAGGAACAGCAAGGACTCAAAAGTTACCAATAAAGAAAACCACCAAACCACAATGACAAACAAGAAGAGTAGAAGAAAGGTACAAAGGATATATAAAATGACCAGAAATCAATAAAATGACAAGAGTAAGTTCTTACACATTAATAACATTGAATTTGAACAGATTAAATGTTGCACTTAAAAGATATAGACGGCTGAATGGATTTTTTTTTTTAAAAAAACCATGACCTAATTATATGCTGCCTACAAAAAACTAATCTCATCTATAAAAGCACATATAGTCTAAAAGTCAAAGGATGGAAAAATATCCACCCATGCAAATGGGTTAAAAAAGCAAGCAGAAGTAGCTATATTTATTTATATCAGATAAAAAAGACTTTAAGTCAAAAATAGTAAAAAGAGACAAAGAAGGTCATTATGTAATGACAAAGGGATCAATTCAGCAATAGGATAGGACAATTCTAAACATATATGTAGCCAACACCTAAGCACTCATATATATAAAGCAAATATTATTAGATCTAAAAGGAGAGATGAGATAGACTCTAATATAATAATAGTTGAAGACATCAACACATCACTCTCAGCATTACCCAGATCATATAGACAGAAAATTAACAAAGAAACATTGGATTTAAAGTGCACTATAGACCAAATGGACATAACAGACATACACAGAACAATTCATCCAACAGCTCCAGAATACACATACTTCTCATCAGCACATGGAACATTTTTCAGGATAGACCACACGCTAGGACCCAAAGCAAGTCTTCACAATTTTTTAAAAATAGAAATCATATCAAGTATTTTCTCAGACCACAGTGAAATAAAACCAGGTATCAATAACAAAAGGAATTTTAAAAATTGTACAGATATATAAAAATTAAACAACATGCTCCTCAATGACCACTGGGTCAAGAAAGAAATTAAGGAGAAAAATTTAAAAAGCTCTTGAAACAGATGAAAATCGAACACAACATACCAAAACCTATGGGATATAGCAAAAGCACTGCCAAGAGGAAATTTTGTAGCAATAAATGTGTACATCAAAGAAGAAAGATTTCAATAAACAATCCAATGATGTACCTCAAAGAACTATAAAAGCAAGAACAAGCAAACCCGAAAGTTAATAGGAGAGAAATAATAAAGATTAGAGAACTAAACAAAATAGAGCATAAAAATATACAGAATCAATAAAACAAAAATTTAACTTTTTGAAAAGATAAAATCAATACACTATTAGCTAGACTAATCAAGAAAAAAAAAAGGAAGACAGAAGACTCAAACAAAACTAGAAAAGAAAATGAAGACATTACAACTGATACCCACAAAAATGCAAAAGATTGTCAGAGATTATCATGAACAAACTGGGAAACATAGAGGAAATGGATAAATTCCTGGACATACACAATCTACCAAGATCGAATCAGGAAAAAATAGAAAACCTGAATAGACTGATAATGAGTAATAAATCAGTAATAAAAAGTCTCCCAACAAAAAAAAAAGCCCATGACTGAATGGCTTCATTGCTGAATTCTACCAAATTTCCAAAAAAAGAACTAACACCAATTTTTTTTCAAACTATTCCAAAAACTTGAGGAGGGTATTCTTATTTATTTATTTATTTTTGAGACCAAATCTCACTCTGTTGCCCAGGCTGGAGTGCAGTGGCATGATTATATATATATATATATATATATATATATATATATATATATATATATATATATATGTGTGTGTGTGTGTGTGTGTGTGTGTGTGAGAGAGAGAGTATATATATATGTGTGTGTATGTGTGTGTGTCTATATATGTGTGTGTGTATATATATATATATATATATATATATATATATTTTTTTTTTTTTTTTTTTTTTTTTTTTTTAGCTGGAGTCTTACTCTGTCACCAAGGCTGGAGTGAAATGGTGTGATCTCAGCTCACTGCAGCCTCCACCTCCTGGGTTCAAGCAATCCTCCTGCCTCAGCCTCTCATGTGGCTAGGATTACTGGCACATGCCGCCACGCCCAGCTAATTTGAATTTTTAGTAGAGATGGGATTTCACCATGTTGGCCAGGCTGGTCTCAAACTCCTAACCTCAGGTGATCCACCCGCCTCGGCCTTCCAAAATGTTGGGATTACAGGCGTGAGCCACCACGCCTGGCTGAGGAGGGTATTCTTTTTAACTCATTCTATGAGGCCAGCATTGTTACAACCAGAAGAGGATACAACAAAACAAGAAAACTATAGGCCAATATCCCTGATAAACACAGACACAAAAATCCTCAAGAAAATACTAGCAAACCAAATCCAACAGCACATCCAAAAGATAATACATGATTAGCAAATGGGGTTTATCCCATGGATGAAAGGATGGTATAACATATGCAGATCCATAAGAGTGAAACATCACATCAACAGAATGAAGGACAAAATCATACGATCACCTCAAAAGACACAGAAAAAGCATTTGATAATATTTCACATCTCTTTATGACAAAAGTTCTGAAGAAATTGGGTACAGAAGGAAAGTATCTCAACATAATAGACCATATATGACAAACCCACAGCTTACATCATACTGAATGGGGAAAAATGGAAAGCTTTCTATTTAAAAACTGGAACACGATAAGCATGCCTACTTTCACCACTGTCATTCAACATAGTACTAGAAGTTTTACCACAGCTGTTAGGCAAGAGAAAAAAATAAAAGATATCCAAACTCAAAGAGAGGAAGTCAACTTGTCCTTGTTTGCAGACAGCATATTATACATAGAAAAACTTAAGACTCCACCAGAAAACTCTTAGAACTGATAAACGAATTTAGTAAAGTTGCAAGATAAAAAATGAACTTTAAAAATCACTAGTGTTTCTATACACCACTAACAAATTCTTTGAAAAAGAAATCAACCAAGCAATCCTATTTACAATAGGTATAAAAATAAAATAAAATAAAATAAAATAAAATACATACGGATAAATTTAACCAACTAGGCGAAAGACCTTTTCAAGGAAAACTACAAAACACTGATGAAAGAAATTGAAAGAACTTATTGAAAGACAACCATTCTTATGGATTAAAGAATACTGTTAAAATGACCATACTACACAAAGCACCTATAGATTCAACGCAGTCCTTATCAAAATGCCACTGTCATTTTCACAGAAATAGAAAAAACAATCCTAACATTCACTTGAAACCAAAAAGAGCTCAAATAGCCAAAGCAATCCTGAGCAAAAACAAAAACCACCAAAGCTAGAGGCATTATACTACCTGACCTCAAAAATATTACAAGGCTATAGCAACCAAAGCAGCATGGCATTGGTAAAAAACAGACACAATGACCAACGAAACAAAATAGGGAACTCAGAAATAAATCCACATGTTGGGAAAAGAATACTCTGTTAAACAAGTGGTGCTGGGAAAATTGGATATCCATACGCAGAAGAATGACACTGGACCTCTATCTCTCACCATACACAAATATCTACTCAACATGGATTAAAGACTTAAAACATACCACATGCAATTATAAAAGTACTAGAGGAAAACATAGCGGAAATGCTTCAGGGGATTGGCATAGGCAAAGATTTTATGGTTAAGGCTTTGAAAGCACAGGCAACAAAAACAAAAATACACAAATGGGATTATATTAAACTAGGAAGTTTCTGCATGACAAGGAAACAATCAACAGAGTGAAAAGACAACTTGTTGAATGGGAGAAAATACATGCAAACTATTCATCCAACAAGGGACTAATATCCAGAATATATAAGGAACTCAACTAAACAGTACAAAAAAAATAATCCCATTAAAAAGTAGTCAAAGGATATGAATAGACATTTCTTAAAAGACATTCAAATGGCCAACAGGTACATGAAATAATGCGCAACATCACTAAACATCAAAGAAATGTAAATCAAAACCACAATGACATATCTTCTTACACCAGTTAAAATGGTTATTATCAAAAAGACAAAAATAACAGATGCTGGGAAGGATGGAGAAAAAGGAACTCATACACTGTTGATAGGAATGTGAGTCAGTACAGCCATTATGGAAAACAGTATGGTGATTTCTCAAAGAACTAAAAAGAGAACTATCATATGATCCAGGAATCCCACTACTGAATATTTATCAAAAGGAAAAAAATCAGTAGATCAAAGGGATACTTGCACCCTGTGTTTATTGTAGAATGATTCACAACAGCAAAGATATGAAAAGAACCGGTGTCTATCAACAGATGAACGAATAAAGAAAATGTGGTGTGTACACACACACACGAATACTATTCAGCCATAGAAAATAATGAAAACCTTGTCAATTTGCCACAACATGGATGGAACCAGAGGTCATTATGTTAAGTGAAATAAGCCAGGCACAGAAAGACAAATATCACATGTTCTTACTCACATGTGAGGGCTAAAAAAGTTGATGTAATGGAGATAGATTAGAATGATAGATACCAGAGGCTGAGAAAGGTGTGTATGTGGGGTGGTTGAAGAAAGGTTGGTTAATGGGTATACGTACACAGTTAGAAGGAATAAATTCTAATGTTCGATAGCAGAGTAGTGTGACTATGTATTGTATATTTTAAAATAGCTAGAAGATAGGACTGAAAATGTTCCCAACACATAGAAATGATAAATTCTCAAGGTGAAGGATACCCTACATAGCCAGACTTGATCATTACACATCCTATGCATGTAAAAAATATTACATATGCCCCATAAATACGTACTAGTATTATTTATCAATAAAATTTGTCATTTATAAAAATTAAAGGCCAGGCGCGGTGGCTCACGCCTGTAATCCCAGCACTTTGGGAGGCCGAGGCAGGCGGATCACCTGAGGTCAGGAGTTCGAGACCAACCTGGCCAACAGGGTGAAACCCCGTCTCTACTAAAAATGCAAAAATTAGCCTAGTGTGGTGGCCGATGCCTGCAATCCCAGCTACTCAGGAGGCTGAGGTAGAAGAATCACTTGAACCCAGGAGGCGGAGGTTGCAGTGAGCCAAGATTGTGCCACTGCACTCCAGCCTGCGTGACAGCGAGACTCCTTCTCAAAAAAAAGTTAAAAATAGGCATATGTATATTATTTTTTCAAAATATACACATAACTAAATACATGGAAAGTAAACTGAAAAGACATGCTATTATGCCAGGTGACAAGGATAATGATTTTCTCTGTTCTATATACCTGAGGTTAAAAAGAATCGCTCAAGAAAAAAAAATGAAGCCCAGAGAGATTAAGTGGCAAGATCTCAATTCTTAGTCAACCATATAATGCAGGTCGCCTGTTTCCTAGGTCTTTCTACTCTACCACACTCCTCTTTCCTGGGAAGCTGAAAGTGGCATCTATTAAGATAGCAACCTTGGGCACCGTGGCTCACGACTGTAATCCCAGCACTTTGGGAGGCCGAGGCGGGTGGATCACCTGAGGTCAGGAGTTCGAGAGCAGCCTGACCAACATGGTGAAACCCCATCTCTACTAAAAATACAAAAATTAGCTGGGTGTGATGGCAGATGCCTATAATCCTAGCTACTTGGGAGGCTGAGACAGGAGACTTGCTTGAATCCAGGAGGCGGAGGTTGCAGTGAGCCAAGATTGTGTCACTGCACTCCAGCCTGGGTGACGGAGTAAGACTCTTTCAAAAAAAAAAAAAAAAAGATAGCAACCTATTGCTAGAATTCATTGTTTTTTCCACAGAAGCACAATCTCACTCAACTGTTTCCTGATTTTCTATTGAGGAGAAATAGCCATTACTTCTGAGATATGATTGCCTGCAAATTTAATTATTCTTGCTTCATAAGCATTCAAATATGTAAAGCCAAGTATACTTTCAGATATTAGGTTGGCACAAAAGTAACTGCAGTTTTTTCCATTACCTTCAATAGCAAAACCTGCAATTACTTTTGCACCAACCTAATAAAACATGGTAATTTTAGATGTATTGTTATTCCACTGTGAATTTGAGATTACTCAAAATACAATCTTTCAATGTTGTTTATATTTGAACTGGTTTGTTTCTTCTAGACAAACCCAAACTTTTCTATAATTCATGATTTTTATATTAACATCTAGCTATAATGATATTCTGAGATATCACAAAAATTGATAAACCAAAAGGGCTTTGTTTACATATAAAAAATTCATTCTTCATCAACAAGGAAAAATTGACAGCTTTTGTGGGGACATACAAATGTTAGGTAAAGCAATGGATTTCAACAATTTTATAGTTAATAGGCATCAAAGAAAAACTTTAAAGTTAAATGCTTATAAATATACAGTGTTGGGCCAGGCACAGTGGCTCACTCCTGTAATCCCAGCACTTTGGGAGGCTGAGCCAGGCAGATAACCTGAGGCTAGGAGTTCAAGACAAGCCTGGCCAACACGGTAAAACCCCGTCTCTACTAAAAATTAAAAAATTAGCTGGGCGTGGTGGCACACACCTGTAATTCCAGCCACTTGGGAGGCTGAGGCAGGAGAATCGCTTGAACCCGGGAGGCGGAGGCTGCAGTGAGCCGAGATCGTGCCACTGCACTTCAGCCTAGGCAACAAGAGCGAGACTCCATCTGAAAAATAATAATAATAATAAAATATATATAAATACACACACACACACACACACACACACACACACACACACACACAGTGTTGGAAAGGAAACAAACTGGTTTTAAAATACTTTATAGGAAGAGACATTTTATAGAAAGCTGTTTGTTATTAATGTCTGGAGTTATAGTTGGCTTTATTTCAAAATTTCCTAAGTTATTCTACTTAACATTCAGAAGATGGAAAAAAGAACCAACTTTCAGGTAAGGACAAATACTGCATGATCATTTATGTGAGGTATCTAAGATAGTCAAACTCACTGAAGCAAAGAATAAAATGGTTACCAGGGGCTGGGGGGTGGGGAAATGGGGAGATGCGAATTAATTAGTATAAAGTCAGTTACGCAAGATGAAAAAGTTCTAGAGGTCTGCTGCGTAACATTGTGCCTGTACTTAACAATACTCTATTGTACACTTAAAAATCTCATGTTTAGTGTTCTTACTACCACCACAACCACCCAAAAAAAGGACTTTAAAAAAAAACCTTTAGGTCGGGCACAGCGGCTCATGCCTATAGTCCCAGCACTTTGGGAGGCAGAGGCAGGCAGATCACGAGGTCAGGAGAGTAATTTCATTTAAATAGTCATCCTTAATTTCTCACTATAAAGTTTGTTTGTTTTGTTTTGTTTTGTTTTTTGAGACGAGTTTTGCGATTGTTGCCCAGTCTGGAGTGCAGCAGCGCGATCTTGGCTCACTGCAACCTCTGCCTCCTGCATTCAAACGATTCTCCTGCCTCAGCCTCCTGAGTAGCCGAGACTACAGCTGTGCACCACCACGCCCAGCTAATTTTTGTATTTTTAGTAGAGATGGGGTTTCTCCATGTTGGCCAGAACCTTATAAATATACAGTGCTTATATATAAATGCTTATAAATATATAAATGCTTATAAATATATGCATATATATTTATATACATATATGCAGAACCTGGCCAACGTGGAGAAACCACATCTCTACTAAAAACACAAAAATTAGGTGGGCGTGGTGGTGCACAGCTGTAGTCTCGGCTACTCGGGAGGCTGAGGCAGGAGAATCGTTTGAATCTGGGAGGCAAAGGTTGCAGTGAGCCAAGATCACGCTGCTGCACTCCAGACTGGGCAACAATAGCAAAACTCGTCTCAAAAAACAAAACAAAACAAACAAAAAACCTTTAATTTATAGTGAGAAATTAAGGATGACTATTTAAATGAAATTACTCATAGTTAAATAGAAGAGCTGGAACATCTTCATCATTCCACTGAAAATGCTTATTAACATTACCAAAGACTTGCATCTTGCTAAATCCTAGGGCCCTTCTCTGCCCTTATTTAACCTCTCAGCAGCATTCAGTTAATACTTACTGTTTGAAATGCCTGTTTCTGTGACACCGCTCTCATTTATTTCCAAGCTCCTTGTCCACTGTCTTTTACCAAAAAATACTTTCTTAGTCTTCTCATTTCATTTAATCATACCACTGTCTACCAGTTACTCAGTAACAAATCCAAGAGCCATCCTTGATGTTTCTCTCCTTCATAACCCCCAATTTCAACTCATAAGCAAATCCTTGTCAGCCTTATCCTGATCTTACCCACTTCTCCTGTCCTAGTCCAAAAATCTCCATCATTTCACCCAGACTTCTGCAATGGACTCCTACTGTCTCTCGGCCCACACTCTTGCCCCATACAGTAATTTTTCCACATAATAGCCAGTATCATCTTTTAAATTTCCAGTCTTCCCAGTGTATTCAGAGTAAAATCTCAGCTAATTACCTCTAAGACTACACATAATCTGGTCCCCGCCCACTTCTAAAGTCTTAACATCATACCCTGCCTCGTTTGAATCTGAGATACCCATCTCTACGAATATGCACTTAACCTCTGCCTGAACTGCTCTTCCTCTAGATCTGCATGTCCAGCTTCTTTCCTCATTTAAGTGTGAAATAAACTTTTATTGATAGGATTTTTCTCTAAAATCAACTTGTGTATCTGCCTCTCCCCATACAGCTAAGCTCTTTGAGCACAAGGATAATTTATTCCATATGGTATTCTTCAACTTTAGAATGGTCCCTAGCACATGGTAGGCACAATAAATACCTGTCTCAATAGATTAAGCGGTTAGAGAAAGGATATAACCCTTTTAGTATTCTAGCATGTTTGAATTCCTTTCTTTACCTGTTGGTGGTAAAGACGGTAATAATGACAGTGACTTAAGTTTTAACAACCAACCTTACCTTACCCAATTAGTACATTAGTTTATCATCTATATTTAGTCCCAAAACTTGAGACAACGTCTGTCACCCAGGCTGGACTATAGTGGCATGATCATGGCTCACTACAGCCTCAACCTCCGTGGGCTCAGGTGATCCTCCCACAACAGCTCTGGAGAAGCTGGGACTATGACTCGTACCATCATGCTGGCTAATTTTTATATTTTTTTGTAGAGATGGGGTTTCACCATGTTGCCCAGGCTGGTTTCAAACTCCTGGGCTCAAGTGATCTGCCCACCTTGGTCTCCCAAAGTGCTGGGATTACAGAAGTGAGCCACCTTGCCTGGCCACAAAACTTATTTTTTGAGTTAGGTAACTCTTCTTCAGTTGAAGACCACTAACCTACAGTGGTTCATAATCCGAGGCTTAAAATAGGTTTCTGGAAAGAAAGAAAAAAATTCCATTCATTACTCTAAAAATTGAGAGTTGGGAATATAAAACCATTAAGTACCACAAATAAAATAACTCAAATGTCAGATGTATATTGCTTATGTAGTTTCTTGCTGGGCTAATGCTATCAACATAATACCACCTACCACTGCTGTGTGAAATGCAGCTGAAATAGAAGTAGCTAATCTGTTTCACTCCTCTTCTACTCCCACAACTTGGAAGGCCAAAGGATTTGCAATGACAATTTGCAGTGACATTAGTTTTAGACACTTACATTGGAACCTTGGTTATACGGCTATTAGTCTGAAAGTTCTTTTGACTTTCAAGAGCTGTCTGATTGTGTTATCACTGTACTTTGAGATTAGGGTGGTCCATTCCACCAGGTGAATGTTACATCTGAGAACATTATTTTTAGATATATAATAAATTCACAAGTGGTTTCTTAGATGTTGCAGTCCTTAAATAGTTCATTTTAAAGCACCATAACAAGGCTTACAAAGCTTGGGAGAGAACATTTCTTACCCCACGTCTTTCCTTGGCTTAATTTCCTGCTTTAAAGTGTTTAATTTTATACTGAAGGAATAATTCCTGAGACATTTGTTTGAAACATGAATTGTTCCAGGTCAGATAATTAAACAGCTCAGGAGAGAACAGCTCCTCCATGAATGCTTCAAAGCATAATAAAAAGGTAATCTTAAACATGGAAAATACTAAAATCCTTTCAAACCAAATGAACAAGATTTTCAGTACTTTAGAGAAGCATTCTTAAAACATTCAACAGCTATTTTACAGAAGTATACATTTTTGAAGTACTAGATCAAACATAAAGTTACTGTGCTGATCTTGAGCATTGTAACTAATGTTAACACAGTAAATACTTAAGAAGTAGATTACGTATTTTTTATTACCAATAAGGAATGTGCACTTCCAGATAAATAAAAAAACCCTTGAGTATTTAAGCCTTACAGCATCTTATGACACATCCTGCACATATAATCAGTTCTCAATTATTAATTGGTGGAACTGACCATTTCAGGCAGACATCCTGTTACATTCCTAATCACCTACTACTTCCTTCCCACCTAGTGTTAGCTCAAGGAATTTGATACCTTTTATATTAGCTTATCATAAACAAAATGGAGAAAATTTATAATGCAACCAATTATGTAACACATTGCAAAACCAAACAACTTTCTATTTTCCATGTCATTGCTCCATTTCTTGAAATATATTTTAATTTTCTTCAGTGTTATTTAAAATAGATGCATAAAAATTTATTACTGTCGTAAACAGTAAGGGATAGGCAAACATTTGAACAGAAATTAGATACTCAACACTTGGCATTAATATGTTGCTAATAAGCATGCCAAAACTTTTGACAACTTCATGGGATGACGCTAGAGATTACTTTTTCTAAACTCTAAACTCCCATAAAATGGATGTACAATAAAACAACCTTTAGCAATTAATTTTAAAATGCCCTTACTTCAGAATTAAAAAATTACTCTAGATTATGTAAATTTGGACAGTCTTCCACATGAAACCTAGTCATAACACGCAAGTTACTGGTACACTGGTAATTCTTTTCATGGCATATGACATTTGCCTGTGTCAGAAATAAGTGATATTAAGTAAAATAGAAAACTGGAAAATTACTGTGATAAACTGGTGATGAATTTTGTACTCCCACAAGTATGTTTCACTTATTACATATGTATACATATGCACACAAAAAAGTTTTGGTCAGCTATTCATGTGGAAATTCTGAGCAAAGTTCATAATTTTGCCAACACGGAACAAAGTTGCCCCCGAATAGTAAGTACTTAAGAAATAATTTTTTCTTTTTTCCTGTCACAGGGTTTTAAGGTACACTTGGCATATACCTTTGATGCCGTAATATTTTTAACTACTACAGGTAGTTTAGATATTATTATACGTGACAGTAAAAAAGTAAAATTTTAGAGAACCACACACTGGTTTCTTCTGAGACATTACCTAAGACGAATCTCCTTAAAATTCAAAAGCAAGTAAGTGATGCTAAACTTTAGCATTTTGAGAAACATGTAGAATCACTAGTTGACAGTTTAAATTTGTGGTGCTTAATATAACACAAATCCTCCAAATGGCATTTAAACTCACATTTTAATGGCCCAAGAAGTTACTATAAATTTAATAATCTCGAGTTAAAGAGAACCTCCAATTTGTCTTCGTTACGAAATTTCTGCCAAATTCCTGCTTAAAACTGTATCAGGCTGGGCGTGGTGGCTCACGCCTGTAATCCCAGCACTATGGGAGGCCAAAGCGGTGGATCGCCTGAGGTCAGGAGTTTGAGACCAGCCTGGCCAACATGGTGAAATCTTGTCTCTACTAAAAACACAAAAATTAGCTGGGCGTGGTGGCGGGTGTCTGTAATCCCAGCTACTCCGGAGATTGAGGCAGGAGAATCGCTTGAACCCGGGAGGTGGAGGTGGCAGTGAACTGAGATTGCGCCACTGCACTCCAGCCTGGGTGACAAGAGCGAAACTGTTTCCAAAAAAAGCAAAACAAAAACAAAAACAAAAAAACCGTATCAAACAAATATAAATAGGATGCTGATTTGGGGGAAAAAAAAACCTAAAACAATGAAAACTAAAAGAAAACCTCCAGAAAAAGAAAAAAAGAGGAAAATTTTAATTGTGGTCACATAAATGAAGACCAAATGCCTTTTGCGTCACATTCTGAAACCTGATACTCCATCTCTTGTTCTGGATAGTGTTCTTAAACACTTTGATACAAAATAGTTAAATGTCAAATTCCTTTTTTTGTTATATACTTCAGTTCAAAATGTTTATCTTCTTCAAAATGCTAGAAATATTTAGTCATAAATCCCATATGAAGAATGAAACTCCCAGCTTTACTTGTGTATGCTCAAGCCTCACTTCAAAAATCTAAATCAAAAGAGAAATTTTCAGGTTTAAAAGTGACTAAAATAATATTTTAAAAAATCCTTAGTAAATTAATGATTACAGATCTCTGAGCTTCTTAAAAAGAGGTAAAGGGAATCCACTAGGCAAATAATTTTTTGTCTTATGGACTAACTGCTTCACCCATAGATTTAGACTGACACTGACACCACAAAAGCATACATACCTGTGTTTACTGAAGAACTGTAACTATTGATTAAAAAAGAAAATTTCCCACAAAATTTCTACCATCATGGATATTTTAAATATTAAGAATAAGAGTTTTTCAGTCTAAGACAAACCTAAGTCTTACATAAGGTAACAAACACTACCACCCACAGTATAGCTCATTTAAAATAGGCCTCACTTAAATATTAGGTTCTCAGTTTTCCTGAAAGATGTATCAGCCTGTAGTTAGAAGGGACTCATGTAATGAGAGCATTACTTAGTACATATATACTCATCTTTAAAAAGAAATCAGTTATGTTACATTAAGATGTAGAGAAAAAGTATTTAATCAACAACTTTAATGTAAGAGCAAGAGTGAGTAATGGAAATCCAGCTCTTGTAGTAGAGAGCATCTACTTGTGGCAGCCAAAGATTTCTTTGCAGTAACTTTTAGCTAGGTTTAGGG
Source organism: Homo sapiens (assembly GCF_000001405.40). Taxonomy (NCBI): domain Eukaryota; kingdom Metazoa; phylum Chordata; class Mammalia; order Primates; family Hominidae; genus Homo; species Homo sapiens. The sequence continues at coordinate 49,125,417 of NC_000015.10, forward strand.
ATAAAAAGAAGAATGAGATGAACACATTACAATATGATGTAAACCACTGGTATGGTTTTCACAAAAGTGGAAAAGATTTAATCAGTGAATAAATGCTACAAATTTGCCAATCGATTTTTAACTTCCCCTAAATTTATATTTCGATAAGCAATCTCTAAGATTTCAACTCTACAATATTTGATGCACAAAAACACAGAAAAATGTTTTAAGGGAAGAATAAATTATTTTAAGTTAGTCAGACTGTTAAGATATATTTAAAAACCTGTATTCCAGAACAAAAGTCACAGATGACTAACAGAAAAAAAAGAACGCACCTATATCTGGGTAAACAAAGCTATGTAATACACAATTACAATAAATTATTATGGTATAACTTTGGATACTGTTATATATTTAGCCCAGTTTTCCAAATAACAAGTGCATGCTTTCTCTCTAGAAAGTGGAAGATGCACTATTGTACAAAGCAAAGATAGCACAGGAGAACTGGGCACTGTAAGAATTGGAGGATAAAGGTTAAATCATTTCATTCAAATCTTTGAATTCTAATTCCATCAACTCAAAAGTTAAGAAGGGCTTTAGCTTTCAAGGGTTATCACATGCATACATATTTGAATACAGGCACAAAAACTCATCATTTTTATTTGGATAACAAAGGGTCTCCAAATTATATTGAAAAATAAATCCTAATTAATATCACTCTTGTAAAAAAAGTTTAGCACACTTTTCACAAATGATTTATGTAAAAGAGAAAATACACATAATTTTATAATATCTTAAACTTTTATTCCCTACCATAGACATTTTGTCTTTTGTTTTCTTTCCGTTTTCTACAATTTCCAACTTGTACCTGTGTTTAATACTGCTTTAGTCTGCTAAAGACATTAACTGATTGCTTTTCTAAATCTAAGGATTATATATTTTTAGTATAAATATATATCACATATTTTCGTAAAATTTTGACAAAACCGAATAAGCATGCCTTGTTTTAAGTCCATGCTCCTTCCACTGTTTATAAAATCTGATTTAATGATCAAAAAATTCTTGGTTGTCACTCTTCTGTAACCACAATCTTCCTTCTGAACTGCCACCCAGTTTTTACATAATAATAACAAGCAATAGAAAAACCAAAGAAATTATGTTAATCCTAGTTCTTCCTTTCGACACTATAAAATAATGTGAACTTTTTAAAAAATGAAACAAATACATCCAAAACTCAATACATTCAAATGAGCTGAGTTCCTTTAAGGTAGTTACCTTGGAAGGCCACAGTTCATTCTCCTAAGTATACTGCCACTGCTCAAAAAACCTTTAAAACTCTTTTGGGATTGCCTTCAAAGCCAGTTATATACTTTCTGCATTACCTCAAAGTTAGGTGGAAGTTTTGGAAACTTTCATTTGGTGCCAAGTAATGGTAACTAAAAATAATCAAGCTTCCTAATACTATATTTTTTAAAACAATGTATAATCATAAAGTTTAGTGTGTGTGACAAATTAACTTTGAATGCAATTCTAAAAGAGTAAACTCAGCAGGTTTTGGGCAATGGTAGATTGCTGGCATTAGGAAATAACCTTCCAGCATGATCACTATGCAGAGTAACATTCATTTAGCTGTCTATGTTCTGGCATATTCGTTTAAAGTGAACATTCTGAGAGTTAGTATTCTTTTGAAAAGGAATATCACTCTTTAAAAAAAAAGAATTTTATTCCTTTAAAGCATCACTGTCATAACTATGCACGTGTTTTGTTAGAAAGTAGTTCTCCTTACTCTATCAATAAAGACTACTTTTAAAAACTTGAAAGCAAATAACCAACTTATTTGCCCCCAGGCTTTTTAAAATCATTAACTGAAGATAAAATAATTTGAAATTTCGAAGGTACTAAAAAACAAAACAACTCCAAATGTAATAAAAACACATCAAGAACCAAACTACAATTTCTGAGCTGCACTGTTTATTTTGCTGCTTGAAACCTAAGTGACAGTATGCCACTATAATTATGGGGTTTCGTCTAAACCTTTACTACACTGCAGGTACAGAAATATACGGACACATTTTTAGAGAATTGACATTTTGCAAAATGCAGCAAACATTTTAATTTATACATGAGAAAAGGAAGTGTTCAAAAGGGTATGCATTTCAAGTTATTGCAGGTTATTTGTGAGAGAATTTCTGCAGGTAAAACATGTTTAAATTTAACCAACAGTAGCGTGTCAGTGTATTTAAAATCATGACAAAAATCTTCTCTCTGGTCATGTTGCCCATGACAAATTACTATGATGTTGTACGTTTAGGGCAAGATGTCAATACAGCATAAATCCCATGGTATTTTGGTTTTCTTCTGGAGATTAAAGCTGTTTTTCTTGGGATAAATGCAGCAGCAAAACACAAACCAGTTGATCAAAAAAGCACTTCTGCCATAACTCCAATAATTTTCAGGACACATCAACCGACAGTAGTTTTGCCATTCCCAGTTCTTTTAAGGATTACATCTCTGCACTGTTGCCTTAAGGACGTCTGTAAAAGCTTGTTCTCTGTTAAGCCAGTTTACTGACTACAGCCTGGTTGAGAGAATTTAGTTGGTTGGTCCATTTATCTAGTGCAGTATATCGTGCACCACCCCTCTTCTGATGATCCAGTTCAAGGAGTTGGTTGACTTGATCAATTCGGCCATGAATAGTGCTAGAAAGAAATAAATAAGATGTGTCTACAAAAGACTTTCATCAAGCACAGTTTCTGGATTAATGTTTCATAAAATACAGTATCAACAAATGCCAAAAAAAAAGCAGCTGCCTACATTAAATGAGTTCAGTGTTAGTTTTAACTTCACTGTGTTATTCAAACTCTAGATAGAAACCAGATTTCAGATACTTTTCATCAGTTTCACTGAAAGACCCATAAGGCATAGATTTATCCGATTAATCAAAGGCAAGTATCACCTGTGAAGCTTTAAACAATGTACTGTTTTCAAGTAAGATACAATTTCAAAAATGTTATGTACCACATACCCTATACTTAAAAACATACATAAATACTATTCATTAAATAATTCTTTGGCTGTATATAATAAGAAATCCTTCTGAAAAATCATTTAGAACTTTTTCTGAGATGTGTTTAATACGCTCATTCATCAAAAACCATCACACATACATATATATCTCTTCTAATAGAAAACCATACCCAAGGGTGCTTTTTATGAATAATCAAGAATCCAATTGTTACCTTTGTCACTATTATTCAAAACTTACGGTACCAAATATTTTGTGATAAAAAATAGTAAAGTACTTACTTATCCAATATGCACTGCACCAGCAAGCTCTCCACATCAGCTACATCTATGTTTAACTCCTAAGACAAAAGACTTGTTATATACCAATTAACATTTTAAAGACTTCATAATTTTACACAATCATTCTAATTTTAATTCATTTCTATCACTTAAAGGAAAATTAGTGAAGAGAAGATTTTTAAACATATTTCATTATCACTTCAAAATATATCCGAGAACACAGGTATGATAAAGACTTAAATTTTTAACTTCTGAAGCACATTCCTGCAACAATTTTATTGTGGTTGAAGTTAACCCTTCATCAATTACATATTTTAGCCACTACTTTCCCCTACAATTTTCTCTGAGGGTGAAAGAATCCTTAAAAAGAAATTTAGTGATTCCTAATTTCTTTGTTACAATGTTAAGGCTCTTTTCTGTTAACTCAATTTATGCCAAGAAAACAGAAAAATTCACATTAAAAGTAAAGCCCAGTCCCAGCTACTCAGGAGGCTGAGGTAGGAGGACTGCCTGAGGTCAGGAGTTCAAGACTACAGTGTGCCACACTGTGCCTGTGAATAGCCACTGTACTCCAGCCTGGGCTATACAGCAAGACCCTGTCTCTTAAAAAAAAAAAAAATGATTAAAAGTAAAGCCCTTAAGTTATGTTTAATTTAAAAAATGTATTATTATAATAAAATGTTACCAAGTTAGAGTGACTCTTAAATGCAAGACTGGTATACTGCATTTATAACTATAAATTATAAACATCATTAAAATCTATGAATATAAGTACCTTAGAAATAAAAGGAATATGTATTCTTGTGTAAGGCTTAATTAATTTTATAAGCACTTGTGTTCTGATGTTTCGCAAAAGCTCTGAAAGACAAAAAATTAAAATAACATTTTATTTAACAGTTTGTATGATATCTTTATGGATCATTATGTACTCCTAATTATCTTCTCAAAATACATCTTCCTGCTTGGCAATGATATAAAGTGTTTAGATTTTAAAATACCTGGGTCAATGGATGGACAGTATGATCAGCTGCTGCCTATCCCATAATTTCTTGTTCCCACCTCCTTGATTTTGTTGACATTGAGACTCTACTAAAATATTATTTTGCCTTCTCAATATTACACTACTTATCATTTCCTCAACAGTTAATATCTTTAAAGAAGCTCTGATTTATACCAGCCAGCCAAGTTCCTTGTTTTAGACTCTCTCAAAACCTAGAGTACTATATTTTATATAATGCTTTTACAATTTCCTCCAGTTTTGTCTGTACAATAGTTCTTAAAATTTTTTAAAACCAGGTTGAAATTCATGTACAAAGATTCTACGTTTTTCTATATCTATAAACTGCAGTATCATTCCAGGTTCATGTAAGAACTTTTAAAATGTCTGTTGATTAAAAGAGAAAGAAAGATGGGGAACAGAACATTACTTCTGATGCATCTGAAATTTAGTTCCAAATGGTCATTTAAAAACCTTCAAATAGCTCCATAATAGGTGGGAAAATCGGAGCTATAAAAGAAGTCCAAGAGCAAAGAGATGATTGTAGTCTTTGGTAATTCAATATAACTTGCTAAAAACCTCATTCACTTACTGGTATGAAACCTTCACAGTGTTGCCTTATCTTTCATAGTACATATATCTTAGCATTATCTATAGCAGGATATTTTCATAACTTTTGTTATTTGTCAAAAATAAACCTTAAAAATTAACTTTGAACCTAAGCATCAATAATAAACATGCAACAGCATCTATATTAGATTTTTTTAAAAAGGGACAGTTACCTTAAACAAAATGGACATTATATATAAACTTGACTATAGTAATATGAAATTGGTCAATTTCTTTAAAAGAGCTTCATAATTTTAAGGAATATCCCATCCAATGACAGCATTTAGAAACATATCTATACTTTGCAATAGACAGAAAGAAAACAGCTTAATGCCATGCAGCTTCATTAAGTGGCATTTCTTTGACAGTGGCAAAGAAAGTAATAGAATCCAGTTGGCAGAAAGAACATACCTTCAATGTGTTCTCTTATGAAAGGATCATCCATGATGTTGCTGTGATTTGTTTTTAGAATCTTTTCAAATTCAGTGATGTCATTATTCTGATAGGCACTAATAGAAAAACAAAGTGTAAATTATGTCAAACATGAAGAAGTTATGTATTAAATCAGATAATCCAAAGACCCTGCTTCTCAACTTTCATATGCAAAAATCTAAATAATATTATACTTTCTGTCATGGAAATCACAGTTAAACAAGCACACATAACCTTCTGCCAAAAAAAACATAAATTTCCTTTTCATGCTTTTGGTTTTTTAAAAGAAAGATTAAATAAATCTTCTTTTGGGGTTATATACTATATTTATACAAAGTTAATTAAAATCACCTCAATATCTTACTTCTCTTAAAAGTTGGCAATAAAACATTTAACAACTATTTAATGTTTGATGTTTTCAAATGAAATTGTGCATTTAATTCCTAATTGTTCATAATGAAAGGAACCAGGCTTCATGTACACTACATGAAGGGGTGTAGCCTCGTCTTTCAAATGAGAAAGCATATCCTCTGTGTAGGTTATTCAGAAAATGCAGCTTCTTAATTTTTATATTCTAGAAAGCTACCAGCAACTGTGAAAATTTTCAAAAGGAACATTTCTCAATCCCCTGTTGCAGAAGGCCAAAGACTGATTTATATTCATAATTCTCTGAGGTATCTAGTATCTCCTCTTGAAATAATTCTGTAAAGCTCTATGGGAATTGCTAAAGGTGCTGAGAAGGAAGAATCCAACCTTGTGGATATGGCACCATTGTCTGCTTTATACGTAAGACATTATCATCAGCTATACTGCACGCCCTCTGCTAGTGCTTCCATCTGTTGGGTCCCAATGTAACCTCATATTAGGGGCACGTGATTCAAGTGCTTTGACAGGAATTATTTTCCTCTAGTCTCCTGGCAACTGACTAGGAAGACAAAATTAGGAAGCATTACTTTCTTACCTACCCCAAATACACTGCTGTAATATACTATAGGAGGACATATTCAAGCATTGAAAACACTTGCACAAACATTTGTTTTATATTTGTGTACATACATATTTTAACCGTAAGACATTCTTCCATTTCTTAAGTGGGGTTTCAAAAAAAACATCTTATACAAAATTGTGGGACACCATGCATCACATCATGTGGGTCAAAATTTACCATTAAAATAAGTTTTGAGTTCTAATACAGTGGCTTTGCTGGAGTAGTTGGATATAATAAATTTATAAATGTCATTATATATTCTGATATAGGTCAGATAAAGGTCTGACAAATCAGTCCTTTAACCAATTTTAATGTACTTAGCCAATTTAATTTATACAAAATATCAATGTCTAGGGTAAAGCTTTTCCTCAATATTTCTTAGAGTTTTAAAAGTGTAAACTGCTGCTTAGCAATTTAACATTATAAACAACTTTGGTTCTTAGTTAATGTGACCAAATGTGAATGAAATAAACTATCTGAAATAAAGATGACGTTTCCTTTAATAATGAAAAGCAACCTAATTCAACAAATAAATTAAAATAAAGTAAACAATAAAGAAACTGATTTAATGTGGTAACTTAAGGTTTTTAATTCCAAACTGTTCTTAGTCCCCCTAAAAAAAAACGCTTTTTTTTTTACAGCCAAAATTAAGGTTTCTTTAAAAAAAGTTAAATGAGGACATTTTACACAGGAACTTTAATATCATGAAATAAGCTATCTTCTCCAAGTATACACAATTTATATGTAGGTGACCCATAATGTACAGTCTAATAGTGTTTTCTGTTAAATGAAAAAGTACTATAAATAGAACTTCTGGTCACCTAAATTATTTACATATATCTGCAAAAAAAAAAAAAAAAAAAAAAGCCCTGCTTCATGTCCCTAACTACATTTTTCCAGCTGTGGTAAAACTCAGCTGTACAACTTAAAATAAAAGACTTGAAGAAATTTAGTAAATTTCTTATACTTTTTTAATGAATAAAACCCACAAAAACCCTGGGTTCCATTTATTCTATGCCTGGAGGAAAGTTTCTCTTACTCACTAATTCCTTTTGCAAAAATGGGCCTTTTCTTCTAGGTTTTTTGTTTGGTCTTATCTTCCATAATTTTGTCGAATATTAATTGACTATGGTAGGTTCTTCAGTGGTTAACCATCATTACATCTTCCTCCACAGAATCATTCAATAAATCTTGGGTTTCTTACCAGTACGACCCTTCTGTCACCCCACACTCCACCTCAGAAAATTATCCATTGTAAACATTTTTTTTTTTTTTTTTTGAGACGGAGTCTTGCTCTATCGCCCAGGCTGGAGTTCTGTGGCGCAATCTCAGCTCACTGCCACCTCTGCCTCCCGGGTTCATGCCATTCTCCTGCCTCAGCCTCCCGAGTAGCTGAGACTACAGGCGCCTGCCACCACGCCCGGCTAATTTTTTGTATTTTTAGTAGAGACGGGGTTTCACCGTGTTAGCCAGGATGGTCTTGATCTCCTGATCTTGTGATCCACCCGCCTTGGCCTCCCAAAGTGCTGGGATGACAGGCGTGAGCCACCACGCCCAGCCTATCCATTGTAAACATTTTTAAAAATACTTTCATCTTGTCATTGAGAAAATATATGAGTAAAAAAATATGCTTATGCTGTCTTGTCTTACTGAAAATTCTTGACTCATCTTGGACTAGTTCGTAATTTCATTCTGGATTAAGAGAGGTATAGGCAGTATCATTGTGAAATAATGTTTTAAGACATCCACAATCAGTTTTCCACTGAAAGACACAGGTGCATTCGTGCGTGCGCAGACAGACAGACACACACACATGGATAATAGGAAAACTAAGTAGATACTTTATAAAATCTTGTGGCTACAGAAAATAGCGTAATAAATAACCTCAGAAGATAAAAATTCTACAAACTTTTCTAAGAAAATACAAAAGGGCAAATGTTGAATATTAACTGAGTTCTGAAAAGTTTTCTCACTCTTTCCTTTATGAACTGCTTTAAGGAAATTTACCTTAACTGAAATACAAAATCTTACCTTACTAAATTCGTCATTGCTAAAATTTCTGGATCATTTTTGTACGGCTTGGCCTAAACACAGTAAAGAAAAAAATTAAATATATGTACAAAGAAACAACATTTTAAAAAAAGAAATAACATTTATTTCCAGATAGCTGATAAGAGAAATTAACAATTAAAACACACGTACCTCCTGTGAGTCAAATGGATTTATTCCCGATTTCATAAGCATATTTGCTAAGACCAAATATTTTAAGCAAGTGGTTCGTCTTGGACTTCCAGATTCATCATAATTCTTGAAGGCTTCAAAAAAATCAGTGTGTGCCTTTTCAAATTCACCTTCCCTCAAGTGCATTTTACCACCACATTCTGTGAAGAATAAGACATGAGAAAATAGGACATTTTCAGTTCTGTAATAACAAAACTGACCACCTCATAAATGCCAAATGAAAACTATTTCAGTGCCTTTCAGTTTTTAAATTCTGTAACTTGAATACTACTGGCCCCAAGGTATACACTGAAGTTCTAAAAAGCAAGAGTTTAATTAAACACTTTGATATCTCCCCATGCCACTGCCCACCCTCTCCAAACCAAACTTGCCTCTGATAACTCCCATAATCAGTGGATGAGGGATGGCAGACTTGATGTGAAGTGACTGTTCATAGAGTGCTTTAAGTTTTTTGTTATTTTTCTGTGCTGTGTACATTTGAATTTCCAAAGCATATATTTCTAATAACTGTGTACCTTTTTTCAGATCATCTTCTCCATCATCAGTCTAGGAAAGCAAATATTTAACTTTAGACAAGATAGAATTCAGACAGTAATTCTTATTTGCATTAGCCTGGAAATCTTACATTTATAATACTATTTCCATGTGAAAACACAACACAAATTTTAATTGGGAGCTACAGTACTAAGAATACCACTTGTAATGGCCAAAAAGAAACTAATACATCCTTTCTACTTTTTAGTTATGAGATAAGGAAAAAGTAGCCAAAGGTTTTTTTTATAGTAGTCCTTCCTTATCCACAGGGAATATATTCCAAGACGTCCAGTGGATGCCTGAAACTATGTATAGTAGTATGTTTTTTCCTATATAGTAAGTCCTCGTTTAACACTGTCGATAGGTTCTTGGAAACCATGACCTTAAGCAAAACAATGTACAATGAAATCATTTTTTCCCCTCATCAATGTAGTGTTGAACAAAACAACATTAAATCACAGTTTCTAAGAACCTATTAACAACGTTAAGTGAAAACTTACTATACAGACATACCTATGATTAAGTTTAATTTATAAATCAGGTACAGTGAGACATTAACAATAACTGATCATAAAATAGAACACATAACAATATACTGTAATAAAAGTTATGTGAATGTGATCTCTCTCTCTCAAAATATCTTATTTTCAGACCACAGGAAATAAGCTGACCACAGGAAACTGAAATTGAAGAAAGCAATCTGTGGATAAGGGTTGGGAGGACTGCTGTACGTATGAAATGTTTTAATGTTTATGTTTTTATCTAGGAGATTTATTATTGTCTTCCCAAAATCTTCACAACTGCTTTAGAACCACTTATTCAATTAAAAAGCCCTTCCTAAGTCCCTTCCACATGCCAGGCACTGGGTCTGTCATGGGGAAATACAAAGTTAAAAAAGCCAAGGTTCCCGGTCTCAAAAAGTTCACACTCTAGTAGAAGATTAATCTGTCAGTAGATAAATTACAATGTAAGTGACAATGACTAGGTGAAGCATAAACCAAGTGCCTAGGAGAATGAAATAGGGACTAACCTTCCTGGAGGACGTCACAGGAATCACAAAAAAGTGCTGACATTTGAGCATGACTTTAAAGTTGACCAACAGCCCATGAAATGTGGGCCATGAAAAATAGCAATATGATCAACAGGAAGATATTCATAAATATCTCACACTGACATACACTAAGCCAAAATTTATTGGGTCTTCAAACTTAAAATTCTGTTTAATTATTCACTAATGAATCATAACCAGAGTAAAACATACAATATACAAAACAATTTATACATCTAGAGTATCCTGCATCTTTCCCTGAACATACTTCCATCAAAGTACTAAGTAATATAATGCTATTTACCATCCTGATAGCATTTTTATGTTCTTAAAGCAAAACTTCTTCAAAGGGTTTTCTCAAATTCCTTATATACATACTGAAAGACCCTCCACCATTCAGAGATGGCTGTTCCAGCATTTCCATTTCATAGGGAACTGAACCTCCAGTTGGTTATGCATCAGACTAAAGCATCTTAACAATGTGTAGATAAGAAATAATTCCTAAGTGACTAATCTGCTTTACAAAACAAAACTATTGAATATCTGCAGGTGATTCATTTAGAACAGTTTCTTAATCGTTTCTCCCATTCACAGAAATGACACATATATCATTAAAATAATACTACATGGTGGCAAGCGTGGGGAGGGGTTGAAAAAAAGTAGTACGTGGCATTGGAAGAGTTTAAAAATATTTAAAGCAGTATTTCCACATTCAATTTAAACTAGTATTAAATGATGTATTTGGTTAAGACAAAAAAGGGAATATAAAATGAAAGCCTGGTTAAAAAGTTATAGAGCCATTCTGTCCTGACCATATGGCTTTTCAAATTTAAAGTAATTAATTACAGAAAATAAAGAACTCAGTACCTCTGTCACAATAGCCATACTTCAAATGCTTGATAGCTACACATAGCTGGTGCTACCATATTTGATAACAGATATAGAACATTCCCAGTATCACTTGAAGTTCTGTTGGACAGTGCTGCTAGGATTCATATAAATTGGAATATAAAAATATCTTTATTACACGTTTGTAATATCCTGGCTCTGTTTTCACAGGGTATATAACTACATATCAATATAATAGTAAGTATTACAATAGGCCTGTTTGTTTATTGATACTGGTACCTCATTAGACAAAGAATAAAGATTGAGGGGCCAGGCATGGTGGCTCACACCTGTAATCCCAGCACTTTGGGTGGCCGAGGCGGTGATCGCCTGAGCTCAGGAGTTCAAGACTAGCCTGGGCAACATGGCAAAACCCCACCTCTACAAAAAAATACAAAAAATTAGCTGGGCATGGTGGTGTGCACTTGTAGTCCCAGCTACTTAGGAGGCTGAGGTGGGAAGACTGCTTCAGCCCAGGAGGTAAAGGTTGCAGTGAGCCAAGATCGCACCACTGCACTCTCCAGCCTGGGTGACAGAGCCATACCCTCTCTCTCAAAAAAAAAAAGATAATTTTATAACTTATTTTCTAAATTTTATTTTTCAGATAATGCTTAAACTAAAACATCCCTAAACAATATTTTGAATATAATTATTGCTTATACTTTTTTTTTATTATGAAGAAATATTCAGAAAAAAATAAGGGAAAGCTACCTGGCACGACTGATGTAACTGGCGTAAAATTTTTTGAAGCTTTCCATATTCCTCTCGTTCTAAATATAATTTTCCAAGCTGCAAGAAAGCAAATTTATTAAAATCAAGATTTCAACAGAAGATGTGCATCTTTAGGAGACTTTATTAAAAACACCCACCCACTTTTCAAAAGAAAAGTGTAAGTATTATAACGGTTACCTTTGTGTTTGTCTTAAACCACAGTCTATCATTCTTAGCATCTTTCAAAGCTTCCAGTGTTGTTTCATAGAATTCCTGCAGTAAATCCATCTGACATAAAAAATCAGAATTCTATAATTGTAAACAGCAAATTTGTACCTGTTAATAAAGTTAATTTGAACAAACTAAAAGTGCATCTTTGAACTTTAATACACATAAGATACACTATCTGTATCTTACTGTCTTCTACAGTCCAAAAAATTAACAAACTGAAGCAAAATACAGACCAAATTTACAAGTACCATGATGCGTTGTTTTATAGAACCCAGAAAATATTTCCCCATATAAACATAGTGCTGTAAGTTCTCATGCTGTAATAGTACACGTTTGTCCTTCCCAATCTAATAATACATTCTGTATTTTATTTTACTTTTTAAAAAGCTATTCAAGTGAAGCAGTGGGAGTGGAGAAGGAACAAAGTAATCTGTAACTGGTTGTGCTCAATTAGCTGTAAATACCACTCCACTCACATCAGCCACTCATTTCATATTAACAGCAGTAAATGAAATGTACATAGAACTAGTTGTATTATTACTAACAGTGTATATCTTATTCACTCAACTCTTATTTGGAGCCTACAATGTGGCAAACACTAAGCATGCTGGTGAAGAAACAAAGAATAAGCTCCTTCCCTCAAAATTCTTCTATAAATATGACTAAGTAACTCAACTGCATAGCTTTTAAGTCACTGGTAAACCATGGAGGTGGGTGGAGAGAAAAGTCTAGTATAATTTTAGCTATGTCTAATCACCACCAAATCACCAATCTGTGTGGCATTTTTTCACGGAAATCATTATTTGTTTTACATCTTGTTAAGTTCCCCTGCCCACCCTCTTCCCCCCGCTTCTGGCTTTGCCTTTGTTTGAATATCTAATTCTCTGCTTAACAGGATCAAGAAGAGGACTGTAAGAGCAGGAAAATTTCACATTTTCAGAAAACACTCTCTATTTATGCATGACTGCTGATGGCATATTGAATAGAACAGAGTACCACCCACCCAATATCTGTTGTTACTTTCAAAAGACAAAAACCTTACATATAACCACACACAGAGCATGCAGTCCTGAAGTTTCAAAATCACTCGATTCCCTCTCCCTGCTCCAATTACTGGCATAATATTTATAAACAGTATACAAAATATGTTTTGATGACACTTGTTTTTAAGAGTTGGAAAACATTTTCCCACTTTAGGAAAGCTCCATGATATATAGCTTAACTCTAGAATTAGTGTCATTAAGTGTTAATATTCTAACAAAACATGTAAGTTTACCTTCCTCTATTGGCATTACATAAAATTTAAATGTAAAGAGTACAAACTGCCTGAAAAAAATGACATCTAGTAGAAAAGACATTAAATGAGGCTGATTCTGATCTGAACATTCTTTGATTACGAGTACAAAAAGTATCAAATATTCTAAGAAATACTAAATGACATAGAGACTATATCTTGTACTCAAGTATCACAGAGTAAGAGGACGAAAAACTAAAACTGAGGACTATACTGCTTACAAGGATAAGGACAAATGATCCAATTAAAAATTATCTTAGCAAAAATATATATAAAATAATCATTGGTTTTCTTAATAACCAAAATCTAGACTCATAATGAAAGCACTATCACTCCCAATACCTTCTTTAGTTTCTTTCATCAGTAGCTCTTCTTTCATTATCCACCCATCCTTTGCAGAAGCATTTACTGAGCACCTGTTGAGTAATGCCAAACACTAACTGATAAGAGCACAGGCACTTCTCAAAGATTTTAATATAACCAAATCCACACAAATAACCTGTGATTCAGTGTATTTAACACCTCAGAATGGCTAGCTAAAGTGTTAATGTAGTTTATTAGAAGGACCTGTGGTAGCAACTGTATAGGAGTCTAACATAAGCCTGAAAAGTTGTTTACAGATTTTAGCATCTGAAGGCATTATTTAAAGAGATCAAGCTGGAGTTATTACCTTTTACTATTATATAATCAGTAATATAACCAGGAAAATAGTACTTATCATTTTTAAAGCATACTAATAACTAGCACAACTACTTAAATAGAAGCTCTAGGCCTTTCCATCTATAAAGAACAAAGCCCTTACTATAAATAATAAACACACTGATCGTCCCAAGAGGGGAAAATTGAGTCTAACCTGTTTAGAAGTAGAGATATAATCAAGAATAGAATTAATGGATTTTTCAGAATAATTTCTTGTGACTGCACTCCGAATATAGGTCAATAGCTGCTTATATCTATTCATCATTTCTGGAAAGTTTGTCTGTGAGAAAAGAAAAATGAATTATCAGATGCAAATTTAGGTACTAAAATATGTACACATGATTAAGGTTATAGAATACACTACTACATAATGAAATGTAGTTCATATAGTTCCTGATATAGTTTTGTAAAAGAGGAACTATGTATGACAGGAACATTGTAATTACCTTAAATTTGAAATGACTAGATTACTCAAACCAAATGTATAAAGTTAGCTTATGAAACAAGTACAACTGCTAAATTTTCCAAATTTCAGAAATTGTCATTGCACAACATATTTAAATCATAAAACCTACTACAATATTCATAAGCCAAAACATACAAATAAAATCCAAGTATTTTCTTTTTTTTTGAGACAGAGTTTCACTCTTGTTGCCCAGGCTGGAGTGCATGGCGCGATCTTGACTCACCGCAACCTCCGCCTCCCAGGTTCAAGCGATTCTCCTGCCTCAGCCCTCCAAGTAGCTGGGATTACAGGCATGTGCCACCACACCGGGCTAATTTTGTATTTTTTTTTTTTTTAGTAGGGACAGGGTTTCTCCATGTTGGTCAGGCTGGTCTTGAACTCCCGATCTCAGGTGATCTGCCCGCCTTGGCCTCCCAAAGTGCTGGAATTACAGGTGTGAGCCACTGCACTCGGCCAAAATCCAAGCTTTCAAATGCCTTGGGTACCTGCTATGCAGGATATTAGCTATATTCTTCCCTGTAATTTTATCCCTTCCTCAGGAAGCTCTGCAATAAGAGTTACCTGTTTCTTTTCTCCCTACAACTGGCTGGTTATATATAAAAATGTGAAATTAAACAATTTTTTCAAGCCTCAATACTCGTTTCAAGTCAAGAAAAGACCCCCCATCTAAGGTTCTATTCAAAAGTAGATATAGTAAATGTTGTTATTCCTTGTATTTGTACTATTGAGGTTGTTCCAGGAAACAAGAAAGGTCTAAAAAATAAAGGAGTACTGAGACTTATTCTGGGAGAGGTTTACCATTCCTAAGTATATCCTGTAAGTCAATTTATAAGTCTAACCTTATAACCTGCATCCACAATCCTCATAATCTGCAATTGCTGTTAACCTCTCTTTTTACTGAGTTCTATTTTCTTTTTTTTTTTATCAAAGACATGAAGCATTGGCAGATACAAATGCTTCTTTCCTTGACTAACTGAACATATGTATTTATTAGGGTGAGGAATAAACTAATAATGCTGCAATTATCTTGCTTATGACAATACATTCTGCCCTGAGGCACAGCACAAAGAACAAGAAAACTTGAGAACAATCCCTGAAACCTAACCAAGAATTGAATTACAATAAAGAAAACAGCAGAGGTGGATGGGACAAAAAAAAAAAAAGGATAGAACTATGGAAATATATACATATATAAAACCACTTCTGTTTCCAAGTTTCATGTGGGGGTAAATGATAGGTGACATCCTGTCAATGAGCTGCTAAATCCACATTACAGTACATATCTTGCAGCAAAAGGGAAATCAGAGAAATACGACTATCCTAACTTTGAAGCTGTATCTTGGCACTGAAATAGGAGTTTTGCAAAAAGTTACAGTTTTTGGCTGGGCTTGGTGGCTCACTCCTGTAATCCCAGCCCTTTGAGAGGCTGTGAGCATTGCTTAAGTCCAGGAGTTTGAGACCAGCCTGAGCAACATGGTGAAACCCCGTCTTTACAAAAAACACAAAAATTAGTCAGGTGTGGTGGCATGCGCCTGTAGTCCCAGCTACTTGGAGGCTGAGGGAGGAGGATAGCTTGAGCCCGGGAGGCAGAGGTTGCAGTGATGCAGTGAACCAAGACTGCGCCACTGCACTCCAGCCTGGGCAACAGAGCAAGACTTCATCTCAAAAGAAAAAAAAAAAGTTAGCTTTGAATTTATCTCATGTTATAATAATTTATAGCTCATTTAAAAAACAATTACATTCTAATTAAAGACTGAAGGAAGAGTAGGTAAATTGGTCCCAGAGAAGTTGATAGTGAACCCTTCCAACTTTTTACTATAAAATCACCACACATAACATAGCTCCTACTCTGAGTCCAATCAGAAAACGAGAGGGGCAGGTACAGAAGCTGAAATCACTCTTGTGAACCATAACTTATTCACAGATGCTGCTACAGCAAACAAAAGGTAGATAAGGTAAACAAAATAACATAAAATGCAAAAAACCCTCTCCCTTCCTTCCCACTCTGCTCAAGGTAAAATGGCAAAACCAAGTCTTAAGGGTAGCACAGTGTTCAAATGGACTCGAAACCACTGCTAGTACGTTAAAATAGCAGATTTCTATAGGGACTCTTGGTATTATCTCAAATCACAGAACCTACGAGTTAAACATTCAGCCCCTAATGGCACTATAATTGTTTAATCACAAATTTCTGTCCCTTGAAACACTTGGTGCTTCTTCCACAGCCTTCTAAGTTATTAATCTGAATACAGTAAATGTTTGTGTTTAATATTCTTGCAAACAGAAAATGGAAAGAAAGCATGGGGCTCTGGGCAACATAGAAATGTTTTGAGAGTATCAAAGCAGTAGGAGTAGAAAGGGTAAATATAATGTAGATAATTTTCATTCTTTAACTAGATTTAAGTGCAATATACAATATACTTAATAACATTTAACATGTTTTGAATTGTTCTGATGTATTTTGGGGAAGAAATGAACAAAGACATTTTGTCAACAGCTTCTGTAGGAGATGCCATGGAGTGCCCCTCCTATTAAAGGTGAGATAAACCATACCAGAGTGACAGTACCTCAAAAAGAAGAGGTACAAGATTAGTAGAAGTTAACCTGGATACAAGTACTAGTCAGACGGGATAGAGAAGCTAATGGAGAGGTGGAGGAAACATATCATATGGGAAATACAAAAACAGGGGAAAAAGAAAGTGGTAACATATCAGCTATTCTTCAATTTGCCATAGTTCCTGAACCTTCCAACTGCTTCACTCCCTGCTCATCTGAGCTTCAACTTCATCTTTCTCTCAAAAGTTCTTCTCCTTTAGTGATCTAAGATTCATGTTTGTACCTAGTCCTATCATCTCCTGATCCTTTTTCCCTCCGCTTCTACCCTGTATTCTTTACCAGTTTAAAGAAACCGAGGAATGACATTTTGAGTATAATGTCATAATTCCAGTTTCTCTAGAATAAGTTATGAGTTCATTCAATAAAATATTTGAGCACCAACCAAATGACAGTCACCATTATAGGTTCTAAGATTATAACAACGAATAACACAAAGTCCTGCTCTCATGGAGCTTACAATTTACTTGGGGGGAGGGGTGGGGTGAAGAGGAGCAATAAATAATAGATCACATGGTGACATATGCAAAGAAAAAGAGCAAAGAAGAAATTTAAGTGACGATGGGAAGAATGCTATTTTATATCAGGTGGTCATGGGAAGGCCATCCTGATAAGTGGTGCCATTGAGCAGAGACCTGAATCAAATGAAGAAAAAATCCATATGGTTATCAGAGAAGAGCTTCTGAGGCAGAGGAAACAGCAGGTGCAAGCCTTTACACAGGATTGTGCTTGGGATGACTTGAGGAACAGCAAGAAGGCCAGTGATGGAGCAAATAAAAACAGCAGCAAAGGATGAGCTTACATAGGGATCTGTAGGTCATGGTAAGAATTTTGGATTTTACTAAGGGAGATGGGGACCACTAGAAGATATGGAGCAAAAGAATGGCATAATCTGACTTACATTTTAAAAGGATCACTCTGCTACTTGTGGAAAACTGTAGCAGGGTAAGGATGAAAGTAAGGAGACCAGTTAAGAGGCTATCTCAATAATCCAGGTAAGAAATCATGGTGCCTTGGACCAGAGTAGCAGAGGTAGAAATGGTAAGCACAGTCATACTGGATGTAAAGCCATGTGGATTTGCCAATGGATTATTTGTGGGGTAATAGACAATGAGAAGAGTTAAGCATAATGCTAACGTTTTGGCCCTAGTCAATGGAAGAGAAACTCTTTATAATAAACAGGAGAATTTTAAAACTCCAAAGTAAACACTAATCCTTTGTGGAAAAGTCAATCTATTAATAATGCAGCCCTGGCAGGGTGCGGTGGCTCACGCCTGTAATCCTAGCACTTTGGGAGGCCAAGGCAGGCAGATCACGAGGTCAGGAGATCGAGACCATCCTGGCTAACATGGTGAAAGCCCGTCTCTTCTAAAAACACAAAAAATTAGCTGGGCATGGTGGCATGTGCCTGTAGTTCCAGCTACTCAGGAGGCTGAGGCAGGAGAATCACTTGAACCCAGGAGGCAGAGGTTGCAGTGAACCAAGATTGCACCATTGCACTCCAGCCTGGGTGACAGAGCGGGGGAAAAAAAAAAAAGGCAAATACTGTAAATGCATCTAAAAGAGTAAGTTTTCTTAAATAGAAAACTTCTGTATCCTATGAAGAATTTGTTTTTTTTACTTAGTATTACTATAGTCCCAACTGCAGAGCAGACTAAATATAAAAACACATCCAAAGAAGTACTTTAGAAAAGAAGATATAATAGTACTTTGTCGTGATGAGGTTTTTACCTACAAAATTTATTAGTTTAATTCCCCTCAAAACAAATCTTACCAACTTGAAGTTAATCTTAATCATTTGTTTCAGTGCTTTAAATCCCCATTCTCCTTTTTCACCTTCAAGTTCCAAAACCTAAAAAGAGGAAGAAATTTTTAGTTTATCTTAATATTAACACATTATTTTCTAATGATGCCCAATGTGTAAGTATTGAATTAATTTTATACTATATGCATAAAAAACATTTCCCCAAGGATACCACCATTTCTCAATGTCATTTTTCAGTCTTTAAAAAAAACAAGTTGTAAGATGCCTACATAAGGATAAGCAAGCTTAAAGTTCCTTCATCAGCAAAATAAAGAGCCACTTCTTGATTATTATATAGTTTCTGAAATATTTTTTCCCCTGAATAACCAACCTATGGTAAAAATAATCCGTAAGTGTATCAGTAAGTCAAGAAATCAAGCTATTCATAATAATGAAACCACAACTGTATGATTTACCCCTAAAAGAAACAAGATTGCAGTGATAATACCTACTGACCATCATGTTGGTGGTTCTTCTGCCAGAACCATCCTAGTTTTTCAGGACAATGGCCCTGCTCCATAGACAGCTTGATTGGAAAAAACATCAGGATAACCGTTTTGAAACACTTGCTTGTGCTGCCTAATGCTAACTGATAGGATAATTAAGTATTCAAAACACATTTCTGAGATAAAATCACCTGGGACTTATTTGTTCTAGCATATCATTAAAAAAATTAACACATAGAATCAAATGGAAAAGAATATAAACCTTTTGGAAACTGCTTAATGCCGCTTTTGGGTCATCTTCTTTTAATGCTTTGGAATTATAGTACTGATTTTCCAAATCCACATTTGGCTCGGAGTTACTATCTTCAGAGTATTCCTGTGTTGGAAAGAAAGAAATATTAAAAGAAAAAAAGAAAAGAAACCCACACGTAGCAACGTAAAAAGTGAATGCTGTTAAGACAGAAAAACCACATATTTTTACAAAACAAAACAACCTTGAATACATACGTAAAATGCCACTGATATTCAACTGTTATATAAAACCAGGGGTTGAAGAGAGGAGGAAGGAGGAGTCAAAATCAAGTGTATAGCAGAATATAATCATTACTTTCTTTCAGATGAAAGCTAAAATTTCTATAGAATCAACATAAAAGAAGAATGCAACCTAATATTGGTTAATGACCCCAATTCTGTAGTTGCTAAGCTTTCGTTAGTCATGAAATCTGAGGGAAACCTAACGTAGATGTGTTCTAATTATTAATCTTTGGTTCTGTAATCTAATTTTTCTATTCCCCAAGTCTAAATTTCATTATTGTAACACGGTTTAAAACCAGCTAGGATGGTAATCTACACATGGCAAAGTCATCTAGCACTAAATATAATTATGTTAATAAGAATACTTTCCTTATGTGCACTATACAACAGCTGTTTATACTAATGTTAACTTAATCAGCTTTATAACAAATCAAAATAAATAAAACAAAATGGATTTATATAATTTTATGAGACTTTCTATTACATGAGTTCAATTCTTAGTGGAAAAAAAACAAGGCAGAAGGGAAAACTGGAATAAAACAACTATTTTGTGGAGCAGTATAAACAAGAGTGTTACACAGTTCCAGGACATTCAACCTAATAATGAGGATTACAAAATACACATGGATTGGTATAATGGAAATTATTATCTTATGAGTCATAAGATATAGATTATTTCCTTCTCAGCTTTAAGTCATTACAAAGGGCAAGTTTATATCAAATTAAGAATAGTACCTGGAAACAAACACAAAAAGACAAGAATAGTTTTATAGTTATTTCTAAATCCAAATACAGGTAACAAATTTCTTTATGAGATATTTATGAAAAATTCTGTTACAGTCTCATAAAAGCATAGGAGTGAAGAAAGGTATGCTGTGTATAATAAGTTACTTGAAAGCTCAAAAATACATTAACACAAGATGAATTTTTCAATAATCAAGAGTGGCTTTGTAATGTGCGCCCTCTGGAGGATAATTCCTTCCTCGTGTGAAGACCTGAGTCTGTCAGTCTTACAGATTTAAGACCTGGAATTCCATTCTGTTTAACATATGAAAATCACTTGGAACACTTCTTTTAGGGACAAGATGAAACTAGGTAGTAAATAAGTTTCATAATTATTCATTTACTTCTTAACCCTTGTAATCTAGGCTTGACTACAAAGAAACTGATCAAGCTAAAAAAAAAGAGAAATTAGTAAAGAATGAATAAGCCAACCATACACAGAATGATGCTGTGACAGTGATGGCTTCAAACCTGGGTTTTGAAAGATAAATGGAAGTTTGCCCACTAGACAAAACAGGAGAGGATAAAGAGAATAGTACACGTAGTAACAGCATAAACAATGAAAGGTAACTATTTGTTGGAACATAAAAATCCTTATTGACTCTACCTTCAAAATAAATCTCAAATCTATCCACTCCCGAACCCCCTGCCTGCTACCACCCTACCCTACCCAACTACTTTCATCTCTCCACAAACTTTAGCAGCCTTCTCATTCTCCTTTTTAAGTTCTAATATCCTCATGGTTAAGCAGGTGAAATAATTTTCACAAAATGTAAATTATCTTATTCCTCTCCTCAAAAATGGTTCCTATTCCTCTTAAAATCGAGAGCAAAATCAGCAAAACTTGACTCCTGTGTCCAACCTTATCTCCTATCTAGTTCTCCCTCATTCACTTTGCTGCAGCCATCCTGGCCTTAACTCAACAAGTGCCAAATTCTCCCACTTTTATGTGCTATTTCTCTCTCTTTCCACCTCTACCTCTACCTCTCTTCATCTAGTTAACTACTGCTTATCATTTCAGATCTCAGCCTAAGGGTATTCTTTAGGGAAGACTTGGAGTAAAGAATCACAGCTATAAAACCTACTCTATGCCTTCGGAAATCAGCTCTTTTCTAATTGTTTTATTAAGTTGGAACAAATATAAACAGATTTACCATATATGATTTATCATACAATAACTAAAATAAAAACTTCACTTAACAGTGTTGAATAAGATAGAGGAATAGCTTGCTGAACCAGAAAATTACTTTTTTTTGCAACCCAAACCTTCAGAATGCAGCCTTGAACCTGGAAGTAAAATGAAAAGTATTTCTGATTTACATTGATCACAAAGTAAAAATTCAGAGTCCATTTATTTTTGGTTTCTTGGCTCAAAACAAATTAGAAAAAACAATTAGGTCAGGTTTCGAGAAGAGGAAAGTAGAAGCTGAAAGGTATACATGACAACAGTAGGACTAGTATTTTGGAGCTTCCCAGCAAATGAGAAACAGTATTTTAGAAAGGGAAGAGATTAACTTCAATTATCTGGAAATTACTGAACCAATTATAACATTGTTAAAAACAGGATCCTTGACATTTCCTGTCATATGTCACACAGTGTCTTGTCATTCAGTCACGGAATACTTATAATAAGAGTAGTTACCTGTAACTTCTGGGACCTGATAGATTTCAGATAGAGATTTCTAAACTTTAGATGTTACAACTCCAAAAAAAAAAAAAAAAAAAAAAATCACAATGACTGAGAAAAGATTTGATTCAGCCCTCTTCGTTTTGTGACTACATTCTTTTGGTTTTTCATATCATACGGATTAAGAAATGGCATGTATAATGTTTTTGCATAACTGCAATTCAACTCTTAAACAAATGTTATTGCTAAAATATATAAATACATGAGAATCGGCACAACTGATGTTCTACTGATTGACTACAAATAGACAGTTCCTTGTTATGATCTGCAACGCCATGTTCGTAGGCTTGAACCAGCCATCATGACATCACTAACCCATCATTTGCACCCCACTGAATCAATTATCACAAGCTGTGCACTACTGCAAATTATTCTTCAGTTATTACACAGGCATAATTTTTCAAACTCATGTTTTGAAGTCTTTGGAAGAACAATTCTATTGTTTAGGTGCTTCTACTATTTATACTCAAAAATCATGATCTTTAATATATGCCAGCAATTAATTATTGCTCACAGAAATCCAAATTAACAACCCTTCCCCTCAAGGTATTCATGGTCTATTAAGGAACAGATATGCAAACAAAACCGTAATATAATATAATATAATATAAGCAATAACAGACACACATACTAAGTCCACTGGCATCTCAAAAAGGAGTAATCAACTACTTCTGAGTTAGAGGAAGGAAAAAGATACCCAAGTCAGGTATAAAAGTATGAATAGGAATCGCCAGCAATGAGGAAGGGCAGCTGAAATAAAGCAATTAACATGCAAATGCAAGGAAGCTTGAAACAGTATGAATAGTTTGGGCTGAAGCACAGGATGTTATGTAAAGGGCTGATGAAAGATGAACTGGTATTGAACAGAGGAACAGGACAACAGAAGTCTTACAAGGAGATGAGATCCAATAAAGAGCCTCTAAAAGATTTTACAAGGAAATAGTCAGATTTGTGTTTCTGGAAGCAATGAAGAGCCCATTGGATAATCTTAAAAGTCTGGCCAGGAGCTGTGAAGGCCTGACTCCAAGAAGCAGAATAAGGAGAAAAGTTAGGGGACACAATAAATGATGGAATAAACACAGAAGATGTTAAACAATGTTAAGGATGTAAAATAAAAGTGCCCATATGGGCACAAGATAAAGGAAAATAAAGTTATCCATAATGACTATCAAAGGCTTGGTAACACATGATGCCATTACTCAGAATAGGAAATCTAGAAGTATTGAGTAAGTATTGCTAAACTGAATTAGTTACGTCAAATGAAAAAGAGATAATTTGTAAAAGTGTAAATGTTCTTTAACAGAAGAGAAAGTGAAATTTTAATTAGTATATAAAGAATGCTTTAAAAACAAATGAAGAGGTTAAGCAAATTATGAAAAATAATCAAGCACTTGTTTTACAAGAACAGTTGTAAAAGGGATTAAAAATAAAAAAACCCCCTAAAGTTCAATAATAGTTCCAACCTACTCATGTCCTGTTATTTCCCCCAAGCAATTTGTGATCCATCCACACAACCAAAATCTACTCTTTCTCAAACATGCCACACAATTTTAAATCTCTGCTTTGGCATAAACTGCTCTTTTTGCTAGAATTCTAAACCACTTTCCCTCCTAACAAACTTTCTGATTTTCTCCTAAGATACTCCCCTGCCCTAATACTGCTGGGAAATGTGTTCATCAACTCATCTTAGCATCACTCTTCTTAGCAAACTAAATTTTTTTTCTCAGTCATGCTTCCATATGACATGCATCTCTCTAACATAGAGCTTTGTATGTTAAAACAGTCCAAATTGTGAACTTCTCAGAAGCAGGAACTTTCTTATTCATCTGTGTATTCTGAGAGCCTGGGATATTACAAAACGCTTAGTGAGTGTTTGGTGAGTTAAAATAAAAGGTGGATAAACATTCCAAAATAACACAACACAGAGCAGCCAGGGTCAATTTTGACTATATCTGGAATGTCGCTACTGCTGAACAGGATCAGTTCCATAGCTCATTTACTTACTCTTGTATTTACCGCCAATAGAAGTCCTAAGAAATGTACTTTAGGAAAACAATACTCACCATTAACAATGCTTTCTGAGTCTTGTCTAACAGCTGTACCATATGTTGGCACACTAAGAGGTACATGGCAGTTGTTTCATTATCCTTAAAAACCAGACACGATTCAAATCCTAGGTAGCCATTTATGGTTTAGCTACTGATAAAGTTATCCATTTAAAAAAATTCACACAAGTTAATGGGTGCTGATTTGTTAACTATGGAGTAAATTAGAATTAAAAAACAAAACAAAACAAAAAAACTGTCTGCTGGGCACGGTGGCTCATGCCTGTAATCCCAGCACTTTGGGAGGCGGAGGCAGGTGGATCACCAGGAGTTCGAGACCAGCCTGACCAACATGGAGAAACCCTGTCTCTACTAAAATACAAAAAATTAGCCGGGCATGGTGGCGCATGCCTGTAATCCCAGCCACTTGGGAGGCTGAGGCATGAGAATCACGCCACTGCACTCCAGCCTGGGCAACAGAGTAAGACTCTATCTCAAAAAAAAAAAAAAATAAATAAAAATAAAAAAATAAATAAATAAATAAAACCATTGATAATTTATTTGCAGACATTTTTCTATATTTTTCCCACCTAACAAAATTGGGATAATATGGATTATACCGTCTTTGATATTTTTTGAACTTAACATTTATATTGAATACATGTTCGCTATGTACATAGCACTGGCAATCGACCATCATCTTTCTACTGATCTTTTTATTAAAAGGATGACAAATACGAGAGTCTGTAAGAGATCCTGTAGCTAAGACTCATTTACCTCCCCACTGCACACAAAAAAATAGACAAATAAGTAAAAATGTAGAGCATTAAAACTGCTATACCATAAAAAATAATGGCAACATGGGTGGAGCTGGAGGCCATTTTTCCTACCCAACTAATGCAGGAACAGAAAACCAAATACTGCATGTTCTCTGTTATAAGTGGGAACTAAATGATGAGAACTCATTAACACAAAGAAGGGAACAGACACTAGGGCCTGCTTGAGAGAGAAGGGTGGGAGGAGGGAGAGCAGCAGAAAAAATAACTATTGGATACTTGGCTTAGTACCTGGGTGATGAAATAATCTGTATAATAAACCCTTGTAATACGAACTTATCTATATAACTAACCTGCACATGTACCCTTGAACCTAAAAGTTAAAAAAAATAAATAAAACTGCTATATATTAAGACAAGAAGAACAATACTAGTAAACATTTATCCCCTAATCCCAACTATGAGCTTGACTAGGGGAATATAATGAGGCTCACAGCTGGTCATATGGTCATATATTTAACCAAGTGGAATTATTCTAACTTTTAGACAATGTTTTCCTTGTAATACATTTAAATAATTATATCCAAATATAGGCCAGGCGTGGTGGCTCACGTCTGTAATCTCAGCACTTTGGGAGGGCGAGGAAGGCCAATCACCAAAGGTCAGGAGTTTGAGACCAGCCTGGCCAACATGGTGAAACCCTGTCTCTACTAAAATATAAAAATTAGCCGGGCATGGTGGTGGGTGCCTGTGGTCCCAGCTATTCAGGAGGTTGAGGCAGGAGAATTGCTTGAACCCAGAAGGTGGAGGTTGCAGTGAGCCGAGATCATGCCACTGCACTCCAGCCTAGGCGAAAGAGCACAACTCTGTCTCAAAAAAAAAAAAAAAAATTATATTCAAATATATAATATCCTACATATAACAGGACTTACTAAAGACTAATTTTTGGAATAAAGTCAATTGGTCTTAAATTCTTTCTAAAAAGATTATTAGAAGTTTCACGGTAGAACGATTGGACTGCGGAATTAAAACAGTTAGCTTATCAATGGCCTTACCAACTTAATGAATGGCACTATGATTATTATTTAGTGTTACTGGATCAGCAAATAATCTATAAACCTGTAAAATTAGCATTGCATTAAATGTCATTTACTAGCACCATCACCTACCACAGATTACTATGTTTAGAAATGCCTGCTTCTGCCTCTAATGAAAATCAAACAGATCTTAGAACATACATGATCATGCATGTATGTTGAATTTCTTTTATATTCGTTTCTTTTTTTTTTTTTTTAAATAACAAGTTTGTTTTATTTTAGATTCTTCTTGGGCAGAAATCATTATTTACTTTCTTGGGTAAAAACAGTACAGTTTTAGAAACAGACTTAATTTTTCAGGTGGTATCCTAACTACCTATTTCTACCAGATTGGGGAAGAACAAAGTGATTTAGGGTGTTAAAATATATCATTGGACGACCAATAAAGATATGCTGAGTATCACTGTGGTCAGCAATACTCACTGCTCTTAGTTAACACTTTAACTAAAACGAGGTGATGATCAATTTTCCAAAAAACAATACATTTTTTATAAAAATAAATCTTGAGAAAACAAGTCAATTACGCACATTTTTTAAATACTAAGAAACATAAAAAAAAAAAAAGAAAATCCCAGACAAAATAACTATTTTAAAAAAAGAAAAACTCTTTTGGCAAAAGGTAAGCATGAAATGGTAACCTGCTTCATTAATCTTTTTTTTTTAAATATATGATTTAAGGAAATGAAAAACAAATTACTAAATAAGTTTTATGCCACCAAAAGTTTTAACTGTTAGTAAATTGATCATAAATAATTTTACAATTAGACACCTGATGAGAGACAGATGAGGGGAGGAAGAGCTATTTAATAGAACGCTAGGGAAAGAAAAACAAAAAACCCAACAGAAAACTCCAACATTTCATTTCATTATGTGGTAGTGCAAAATCTTACTTTAAGAAATAAAAAAGTTAAAACAAGGCTGGTTGTGGTGACTAACACCGGTAATCCCAGCACTTTGGAAGGCTGAGGAGGGCAGATCACTTGAGGTCAGGAGTTCAAGACCAGTCTGACCAACATGGTGAAACCCCGCCTCTAATAAAAACACAAAAAATTAGTCAGGTGTGGTGGCAGGCGCCTGTAATCTCAGCTACTAAGGAGGCTGAGGCAGGAGAATCGCTCGAACCTGGGAGGCGGAGGTTGCAGTGAGCTGAGATTGTGCCACTGCACTCCAGCCTGGGCAACAGAGTGAGACTCTGTTTCAAAAAAAAAAGTTAAAGCAATTATATATTCAACTTCATTTTACTGCTCATGTAGCGTAGGCCCTAAAAGGCTGGGAAAATATGACCAAGTTAAAACACTGTATGTTTAATAAAAAATCTTGCAAAAGTTAATCAAGTACTTCATGGGACAAAAAGATTCTCACTGCTATTGCTACATTACATTCTCAAAGATGATCATCAGCTTGATCACAGTGCTAATAAGTTATGTATCCAACAGACTATTGCTTAGGAAAGAGGTAAGCAGAAACACTTACAAACACAAACTAATAATACAAATGCAATTTCTCAAGAGATGACATACAGCTGGGCATGGTGGCACGTGCCAGTAGTCTCAGCTACTTAAGAGGCTGAGGCGGGATGATTGGTTGGGCCCAGGAGTTTGGGCCCAGCCTGAGTAACACAGCAAAATCCCATCTCTAAAAATATATACATGTGTAAATAAATAAAGAAGACATACAAATGGCCAACACATACATGAAAAAAAAAAAGGTCAATATCACTACCAAGAAATGCAAATCAAAACCACAATTAGAATGGTTATTAATCAAAAAGACAAAAAATAATAGAATGCTGGCAAGAAAGTGGAGAAAACAGAACTCTTCTACACTTTTGATGGAGATGTAAATTAGTATAGCCATTATGGAGATTTCTCAAAAACTAGAAGTAGAACTACCATAAGATCTTGCAATCCACTCCTGGGTTTATCCAAAGGAAAGAAAATCGGTCTATTAAAGGAATACCTGCACTCCATGTTCATTGCAGCATTATTCATAACAGCAAAGACAGGGAATCAACCTAAGTGTCCATCAATGGATAAACGGATGAAGAAAATGTGGTATATATACATAATGGAATATTATTTGACTATAAAAAAGAATGAAATTCTGTCAGTTTGCAGCAACATGGATCTGGAGAATTAGGTTAAGTGAAATAAGCCAGGCACAGAAAGACAAATATCACATGTTCTCACTCAGATCTGGGAGCAAAAGAAGTTGATTTCACGGTGGTAGAGAGTAGAATGATAGGAAGGGTGTTGTGGGGGGAAGAGGAGTGGGGAAGTAAGAGAAGTTGGTTAATGGTATGTACAAACCAACAGTTAGATAGAAGGAGTAAGTTCTAATGTTTGACAGCGGAGCAGGGTGACTATGGTTAAAACGTATTTTATATTTCAAAATATCTAGAAGAGATGACTTTAAATATTCCCTAGACACAGAAATGATAAAAACACAAGGTGATGGATATCCTAAATACCGACTTGATCACTACATATCCTGTGCATGTAACGAAACCCCCCATAAATATGTACAAAATACTATGAATCAATTAAAAAAATACAAGCACATATAAAAGAAACATTTTGATAACAAAACACCTGTAATATAAATAAACAGGTAATAAGTAAAAATGGACAGATACATATTCTTAATGAACTGAAGTCACTGCCTACAACTGGCTTGCACAAACTAAAATGTAAGGTAGAAACCATAACTATTAGCGAAACTACATTTAACTTTAAAAATTATAAAAATCTCTACTATGACTTTCAAATAATAGCGAGAATTTCCTTTCTCCCTTTTGCAAAGTGTGCCTTATTTTAAAATGCAAAAAACTGAAAATATATACGAAAAAGTTATAGACTAATTCAAAACAATGTATTAATATTTTGACAATCTCTGGCACTTAAAATGAGTCAGACGTCCCAAAACATCTATTTCGTAACTTTATGATAATGCAGCATCACCATAAAAGAACCATATGAAACACCCCCAAAATAAAGAAACACAGCAAAATTGACGTTAATTCTGGATCAAGATAATTTTCTGAGTTTCCACACGATGTTTTTGAATAGCAAACGTTATTCAAACTTGCAAATCCATTAATAAATGAAGCTTTGAATCTTTAAAAATCTCCATTCGGTCAGAAAAATTCGTTTATTTCTATGCTGTTGCTGTTTTAAACTTTGTATACTGGGAAATTTCTAAGGGAAAAGCCATGGGTTCAATTATCTTTCACCCGTCCTCCAAAAACACCACAAGCAAAACCTCCTCCCCAGCTTTTCTTTATAAAGAACTGAAAAAGTGGTTCGACTACCTTTTTTTCAGTTATCTTTGCTCTGAACTCTCCCCTACACACTTACCTCGGACCAAAACTGGCCCTGGCAAGACTATTTAAGCTATGTCTCCAGGAGACTCACAAGTTGCGTTTCGCAGTCAGGCCTGGGAGCAGTAAGGACACCCCCGTTTTCTGACTTCTCCTAGCATTTCGCACCCGCTCAGTTCCAGTGTGAAGAAGTGGGGGCCCGGAACGCTGGGCCCGAAAGGGCAAAGCCAGGGCCTACACCGCAGCATGGTCACCGAGGCGGCTAGCGCGGTGGGGAGGCAGAAGACAGAGAACCGAACGCCTGGGACCAGGGGCATCCGTGTAAACCGAAGAGGCGCTCAGACTCGGAGGGCAAGGCCCGGGGCCCCCTTCGCTGCCTCCTTTGCCCTCCCTTCCCCCATGCTGGAGAAGCAGGGCCCGGGCCCGGTGCGGGAACGGGGAGGAGGTAAACCAGTCCTGTCACCGCACTGAGAGAGGCTGTAAACGGCACATGCTCTACGGGGAGAGGCCGCGGGCGCCCCGGCCCGGACCCCGAAAACAAGACACATCACCACCCTCAGAGTTCCATTCCCTGCGCCTCACCAGGTCGTAGTCCTCCTCATCATCGCACATGAAATCATCCTCCATGTCAGACATCTTGGCCGGGAGGGGGAGGAGAAATTGGAGACAACCTCCTCCCACAATCCTCCGCGGCTCAGAGGCGTCACTCTCAGCTTCTTTCCGCCTTCCAGTCCCTCTTAGAGGAGCTGTTTCCTGCCGGAACTAATTATCTCGACTTGTAGCTGATTCGCTACGACTCCAAAAGAGACTGCACCACCCCCCGTTTCCTCCGAAGTGGTTGGTGCCTTAGCAACTAAAGCTGGCAACTGGGACATCGTCCGGTGCTGCAGGTCTCAGCCGAAGGGCGTCGGAAACTGCGCTCGCATCGAGCAGTTTCCAGCCTCCTGGGTAAAGGAGCAGTCTCCTCCCTTGCTTGGGACTCTGGACGCATCTCATTCCGGTGAAAGTAAGGGACAGCTTAGGACCAGAAGCCTTTCGCGGAGAAAAGGCTGACATGCCCGTCCTATATGACAGGTATTATTTCTGCTATCATTGTACGTGTGCATTTAGCCCACACATTGCGGTGGGTGTTCCTAAGATACTTGGAGTACTTTTCAGCAACACAGTTTACACTTAATGCTTGTTATATTTGTAGTTGACAAAACAATTCTATGGATATCCTAAATTAGGTATGCAGCTATCAGTTGAGTTGCCTTAAATCTTACTCAGTTGTTCAACGAGTTGTAAACTGACCTTTACAGCCCTTGGGACCAAATTAAGGTAACAACGACTGGTTTTTAAAAAATACATTACTGTGAACCTGAGGGCATCATGTTGTAAGGAGATGGGGGCTGCGGTGACTCGCGGGATCAGGAATTTCAAGAGAACCGAGCGGAAAGGGAAATCCGCAACATGAAGCCCTCTCTCGCTCCCAGGCACCCCTCTACCAGCAGCCTCCTGCCAGAGCAGATTAGTCTCTATCCAGAAATTAAGGGAGAGATTGCTCGTAAAGATGACAAGCTGCTGTCATTTCTAAAATATGTGTGTGTTGATTCCAAAGATCCTGTGTCTTCCGTGCAGCTGAAAGCTGCTGAAACACGTCAGGAGCCAAAGAAATTCAGATTGCCGAAAGGCCATCACTTTGATATGATAAATATTAAGAGCATTCCCAAAGGCAAAATTTCCACTGTAGAAGCATTGACACTTTTCAATAATCATAAACTTTATCCAGAAACATGAACTGCTGAGAAAATAGCGCAAGAATATCATTTAGAACAGAAAGATGTGAATTCCCTTCTTAAATATTTTGTTACTTTTGAAGTCAAAATCTTCCCTCCTGAAGACAAGAAAGCAATACAATCAAAATGAAGAAAATCACAAAAATTTCCTATGTGTACTCCTCATCCCTCATCCTGTATATTTTCTTATTTTTGCATATTAAATTATGTTAATTACCAAGTGTTTAATGCTCTCATTGTGAGAGCATCCTCTTAATATTTATTGAGCTCCCTGAATTTTCAAGATTGCCATAGACTGTATTTTGTTTTCTTTTAATTTGGTTTAGGCATATTTCATATGTACATGTTAGCATGACTAATCAGCACATCTGTACCTTTATTATAAGTAAAAGAGTTAATTTGTTATTTTAGACACATCATACCAACTTTTAAATTGGTCATATGACCCCTTGGGAAGTGTCCTGAATCCCTCATTTAAGTTTTCCTATCCAATTTAGGTGTTTAGTTCATTCTTCATATGTGATAGTGAAAGTAAAAGCTTTCCTGACTCTTAAGACTGACATTTTCTTGCTAGGGAAAGAGACTCGATAGTAAGGTAGACTAACAGTATTTCCCAAATAAAGGCACATAGGAGAAAATAAAGAATCAATAAAATCTAATTAAAATTACTACCCCAGGGAATAAGAAGTATTGAGGATTTATTTTATTTTGAATTGGTTTTAAGTATGGAATAATTGTCTTTACAGTTATAAAAAGTAATTAGTGGTGTTTACGAAATGTTGGGAATTTCTGCTTTGACAAATAGTTAAGTCCCATGGCCTTCAGAGAGAGAGGCAGTAGTAGAAACTTTCGAAAAAGTAACATTTCTCTGGATTTAACATGGAACTAGAAAAATTTAAAGAATAATTAAAAAACCATGGTAAATGAAATTTGGTGATTATATATAGTTTTGGATGTTAATGCTAGTTGAGAGAAGAGAGAAAAAATAGCAAGTAGAAGCAGAGAACAGGATCATTGGAAGGGACCTGAGAAATTGCTGCTTTATCCATTTTAGCAAACTTATTAGCACGGCATGTACCAGTACTAGGATCTTGAGTAAGAGTGTGTGAGTTTAGCTCTGCCTAATATATTACTACTTGTGGGATCTTTGGGAGACTATGTCCTCTTTGAGATTGAATTTCTTCTATAAAATGAGCATAATGCTACCTTACTTAAATTTAAGGGTTATCATGAAGATAAGTGAAATAGTAAAGGACTACAAAAGACCAAGGGAATAATGAATTTTTTTTTTGTAGTGGAGAAACGCCTGGGGAGAATATATGACCTAAGGTTTCTGTAGTTTATGACCTAACCAGGCCCAGAACTTAGTTTTTCAAATCCTAGTAGTGTGTTTTTTCTGATGTGCCAAAAAGCAGCACACCTCAGAGAAGGGAATAAGTGTGAATTGTGGGTATATTGGGGTTATCAGTGTGCTTCTGAGGGAAGATAGGCATCACTACTTCCCAGAGATGCCCCTGGAAATGATACAGAAGATGCTAAAGAATTCAACAAGATGACGGAATGAGGCATTTGTAGTAATGCTGAGAACAGAAAAATGAACTAAGTGGAAAATTTGTAAGCATGTCTTTGAATGTAGATTGGTTAGGTGAACAAACTACCTAGTTTATTTTTAGTTCAGTACAATAATTGTTTTAAGAAAACATGAAATAACTACTCAATATAAAATGCATTTTAAAA
Organism: Homo sapiens; assembly: GCF_000001405.40. Lineage (NCBI taxonomy): Eukaryota > Metazoa > Chordata > Mammalia > Primates > Hominidae > Homo > Homo sapiens. Next base: position 49,158,458 of record NC_000015.10, read on the forward strand.
CTCCTGTAAATCAGTCAAAACTTTATTCCATTTGTCATAATGGTAACTAGTTGAGTCACTAATACTAGTACACTCTTATTTCTGAGCCATCTTTATTCATATCTACATTGTGTGGTTAGGCAGCTGTTATGTGGTATCACATGATAAAAGATTTCTTCCCATACCATTAAAAAAATACTATTACACAAAATCATTGGCAGAATTCAAAATAAAGAAAAAAATGAAATAAAGGGGAAAAACTGCTTTTCAAATAGGTAGCATTTTCCACGTAAACTTCCAGATCTGTCCACGTGACTCCACAAATGGTTATGTAGTTAAGCATATAGATTTGGATTATTTTTGCATCTATGTAGCAGCATAGGTCAATATTTGGTTGTTTATATTTAGAGACAAGATCTTGCTCTGTCACCCAGGCTGGAGTGCAGTGGCACCATCATAGCTTACTGCAGCCTCGAACTCCTTGGTTTAAGTGACCTTCCCATCTCAGCCTCCTCAGTGGCTAGGACTTCAGGTACATGCCACCATTCCTGACTAATTTAAAATATTTTTTTTGTAGAGACAGGGGTCTCACCATGTTGCCCAGACTGGTCTTGCAATCCTCCCACCTCAACCTTCCAAAGCACTGGTATTACAGGTGTGAACCACATTGCCCAGTCTTAAAATATATTCCTAATAATAATTATTTTAGTGGCTGTGTAATAATCCCTCGTTGAATGTACCCGTGCACCATAATTCATGCCATTATTGTTATACATTCAGAGTATTGCAGAAATAACACTATTTTAAGCAATTCTGCAGTGAATATCTTTGAAATTTTATTCTTTAAAAAATAATTCCGGCTGGCGCGCTGGCTCACGCCTGTAATCCCAGCACTTTGGGAAGCCGAGGCAGACGGACCACCTGAGGTCAGGAGTTTGAGACCAGCCTGGCCAGCATGGCAAAACCCTGTCTCTGCTAAAAATACAAAAAAAAAATTATCCAGGCATGGTGGCGGGTGCCTGTAATTCCAGCTGGAGGCTGAGGCAGGAGAATCTTTTGAACCAGGGAGGCAGAGGTTGCAGTGAGCCGAGATCGCACCATTGCACTCCAGCCTGGGCGACAGAACAAGACTCTGTCTCAAAAAAAAAAAAAAAAATAAAATAAAATAAATAATTCCAAGAAGAGAAATTACAGGCTTGATTCTTTTTTAGTAATTACTTGAATTGACACCTTTTTGGTCATAGTTCTTTTAAGTTATATTTGTGACAATAATGTGTTCTCACCTATACATACAAATGTTTTTCCCTAACAGTCTTCTTCTCAATATTTTATTATGATAAATTTCAAGCATACATAAAATTGAAAGAATAGTATAGTGGACATGTATATACCCATTATCAGCTTTGATTGTATGTATGTGTGTGTTCCCTGTATCAGTTGAAAGGATTCGGATATCATGACACATCACTCCTAAATGCAGCTGTGTCTGTTTCCTAAAAATAAGAACATTCTCCTATGTAATCACATCATTATTACATATAAGATTAATAATACTGGCCAGGCACGGTGGCTCGTGCTTGTAAACCCAGCACTTTGGGAGGCTGAGGTAGGTGGATCACCTGAGGTTAGGAGTTTGAGACCAGCCTGGCCAACATGGAGAAATCCTGTCTCTACTAAAAATACAAAAATTATCCAGGCATGGTGGCACATGCCTGTAATCTCAGATACTCAGGAAACCTTAGGCAGGAGAATTGCTTGCATCTGGGAGGTCGGGGTTGCAGTGAGCCAAGATTGCGCCACTGTACTCCAGCCTGGGCGACAGAGTGAGAGTTTGTCTCAAAAAAGAAAAAAAAAGATTAATAATAATTCCCTATCATTCAATATCCAGTCTATATTCAAAATTACCATATTAAATGTATAACTTAGAATTGGAAGAGCCTTTAATGATATCACTTTACAGTATAAGGCTTCCCAAATCCCACAGTAGAGATTCTGATTCAGTAGTTCTGAGTGGCATTCAGAAACCTATACTTGTAACTTTACAACAAAACAAACCTCCCTGTACCTGGGATGACTATACATCCCAGTTTTCCTGGGACTGATCTCGTTTACTACTGTTGACCCATCATAATAGTAATAGTACCCAGGCCGGGTGCGGTGGCTCACACCTGGAATCCTAGCACTTTGGGAGGCCGAGGTGGGTGGATCACGAGGTCAAGAGATCGAGACCATCCTGGCGAACATGGTGAAACCCCGTCTCTACTAAAAATACAAAATACAAAAATTAGCTGGGCGTGGTGGTGTGCGCCTGTAGTCCCAGCTACCTGATGCTGAGGCAGGAGAATCGCTTGAACCGGGGAGGTGGAGGCGGAGGTTGCAGTGAGCTGAGATCGTGCCACTGCACTCTAGCCTGGTGATAGAGCGAGACTCCATCTCAAAAAAAAAAAAAATTAATAGCACCCATCACTTTCAGAAGTTAGACAGTAAATCACATGGTTACTCTACTTTTAATTGTTCAAAAGAGAAAATAGGATCCCGAGGTAGTTAAGAGGTTTATTTGCTCAGAGTAATCAAAGTTTCATAGTTTTACTTTGTACTCAAGATAGCAGTTGCAAAATGGATAATATGCTTAACAAATGCATACTGATCACATATATGAAACTGCATGTTGATTTACATTTAAATATATTGCATAATTTGCTGCTTTTAAATGTAATGCCTTATTCCTACAATGGGAAAATAAGTATGCAAATAAGCTGGTAAGTAGGAAGACTGGGTGAACGGCAGCTAAATTTTGAGTATAATTTCCTTGGCCATGACCAAATTTATTAAGTCTAGTCTGGAAATTTACTAACAGCAGTTGAAAAGGTCTTCACTGTGCTGAGCATGCTGCTTGAGTACACAGGTGCTAATAAGTGCTAGTTGGATAAATAAAAATGTTAATAGATTAATCTTTCTGTATCACACATCAAAATATTTTTCTGTCCTTAAAAATCCATGTAAATGTGACCTTATTCACATAGCCTATCCTGAATACTTTATACCGTTAAGATACTCTCTTTTATTTTTTCTTGACATTAATTTTATTCAATGGTAAATAATAGAAAATTGTAATTTTAACAGAGTGTATTTGTGTGACATGCTGCCCTTGTTGAAAGTGGATCCTATGTTTTTAAAACATATTTTCATAAAATGGCATTATTGAGGTATTATTCAGTAGCTTCATTTACCTCAATAAGGTAAATTAAGCTGCACATACTTAAAGTATAAAATTTATTTATTTATTTTATTTTATTTTTTGAGATGGAGTCTTGCTTTGTTGCCCAGTCTAGAGTGCAGTGGCATGATCTCGGCTCACTACAACCTCCGCCTCCTGGGTTCAAGCGATTCTCCTGCCTCAGCCTCCCTAGAAGCTGGAATTACAGGTACTCACCACCACGCCCAGCTAATTTTTGTATTTGTAGTAGTGATGAGGTTTCGCCATGTTGGCCAGGCTGGTCTCGAACTCCTGACCTCAGGTGATCCACTCGCCTTGGCCTCCCAAAGTGCTGGGACTACAGGCATGAGCCACCACTCCCAGCCTTAAAGTATAAAATTTAATGAACTTTGACATATGTATACACCTGTGAAACTATCACGACACAAGATAATGAACATATTATCACTGCAAAATTTCCTCTCAGATTCCTTGCAGAAATTTCTCTCCTCCCCCCTTAACTTTTCCCAGGTAACTGCTGATCTACTTTTTGTCACTATAGATTAGTTTACATTTTCAGGAATTTTATATAAATGGAATCATGCAATATGTACTCTCATTTTCCTGGTTTCTTTCACTTAGTATAATTATGTTGAGATTTGTCCAGGTTGTTGCATGTATCAGTTGGTTGTTTCTTTTTATTGCTGAATATTCATTACATGGATATATTACAATTCATCTTACCCATTTATCTGTTGATAGATATTTTAAGTTTTTTTCAGTTTGTGGCTAATATAAATGAAGCTGCTAAGAACATTTGTGCACAAGTTTTTGTGTGGACATATGTTTTGTTTCTCTTGGGTAATTTATGGTAGACAGACTCTGGTGGCTACCCATTATCTATTTCCTTGAATAATTCTTTGCTTTTTGAGCGTGAGTGGGATCTGTGACTTGCTTCTAACTAAAATACAGCAAAGGTGATATACGTGATTATATATACATGATTACATTATACAAGATTGTTAAGTCAATCCTGATAGGAAAGATGATCTCCTGTGCTGGCTTTGAGGAAGGCAAGTGCCCATGTTGGGAAGGACAACACAACAGGGAGCTGATGGTGGCATCTGGTTAGCAGCCAGCCAAAAAATAAAAAATATGGTCTTAGTCTGACAGCCCACAAGGAACTGAATGCTGCTAACAGCCATGTGCTCTTGGAAGTGAATCCTTCCCCAGTTGAGCCTCAAATAAGCCTTTGTGAGACCTTAAAACAGGATGGAAAATTGTGAGATAATAAATGTGTATTTATTTATACTACTACATTTGTAGTAATATTGTTACGCAGAATAGATGTGAATGCAGTTAGTAAATATCTTGTAGTGAAATGGTTGGGTCATATGGTAGGTATATATTTAACTTTTTAAGAAACTCTCAAATTGTTTTCCTAAGTGGTTTTACCATTTTGCATATCCAACAGCAGTGCATAAGAGTTCTAGTTGCTCCACATCCTTGCCAACATTTAGTGTGGTCAATCTTTTTAACTTTAGCTACTCTAGCAGGAATGTAGCAGTATACTATTGTAGTTTTAATTTGCATTTACTTAATAACTAATGTTGAACATTTTTTGTGTGCTTATTTGTCATCTATGTATCTTCTTTGGTGAAATGTTTTTAAATATATTTTGCCTATTTTTTAAACTGGGTTGTTTATCTTATTACTGTTGAGTTGTAAGAGTTCTTTATGCTTTTTGTGTTGTATTCATCTTTGTCATACCTAAGGGCGCTGAGATTTTCACTTATGTTTTTTTCTGGAAGTTTTATATAGTTTTACCTCTTCCATTTAGGTCTGCGATCCATTTCAAATTTAATTTTCGTGTATAGTGTGAATGAATGTGGAGGTTCATTAGTTTGCATATGGATGTCAAATTGTTCCAGCATCATTTGTTGAAAAGATACGCTTTTTCAATTGAGTTGTCTTGGCACCTTTGTCAAAAATCCAATGACAGTTTAATTGTCAGCATAATTTGATCCTTTTAAAATATATTTTTCATAATTGTATGCTACCTTGTATTACAATTATTTCCATTTATTCATTATTAAACAGAAAGCTCCTTGAGGACACAACTGTCTTTCTTACTTCTGAATTCTCTGAAATGCAGCATATGCCTTGCTTATAGAAGATTCTCAATGAAAATGTGATGTGTTTAAGTAAACTTTAGCATTCATGACTCTTCACAGGCCTTGGCTGAGTCATACCAAACAGGTTTATGATTTGGCATCCTTTCAGACCAATCATCTTTAAAATTTTTTTTTACTATATTAATTTGGGGAGACTGAACACTGTGTGTTAGAAGAGCAGAAAAAGAGGACTCCTTTTGTATTAGTAAAGTTCTGGAAAGAAAACTCGTGGCATACTCAGGGAAGTTAACTGAAAATTTAATTAAGGGACTATTTATAGAGATGGAGGCAGGGTTAAGGGAATCAACAACTACTTATACTAAGCCTTCAGAATGCTCCAGACTGCAATTATATCTTTCATCTCTATAGTTGACATAGGAGGAATATGCTAATACAGTATGATTAAGCATTGAAGGGGTTCAGAATATGCCACCCCAAAATATGCTACTTTGGCCTAAGTATTATTTTGAGCCGAAGCCAATTGACAACCAGTAGATGCAGTTATGTCAGTCACTGGAGAGCATTAGCAAATGTATTCCAAAAAAAAAAAAAATTGCTTAAGATAATAACCACAATCAGCTCCTCATTGAGGTGGGCAACATTGGATGGTTATGACAAGGTGAGGAAAGAATTGTCTAGTTTGAAGATTCTTGGTACTATATTTAGTTTCTAGGTGAAGAAATAAAAAGGAAGGCTGGGCATGGTGGCTCATACCTGTAATCGCAGCACTTTGGGAGGCCAAGGCAGGTGGATCACCTGAGGTCAGGAGTTCAAGATCAGCCTGGCCAACATGGTAAAACCCCATCTCTACTAATCATACAAAAATTAGCCGAGCGTGGTGGCGCATGCCTGTAATCCCAGATGCTCCGGAGGCTGAGGCAGGAGAATCGCTTGAACCCAGCAGGCGGAGGTTGCAGTGAGCCGAGATCATGCCATTGCACTCAGCCTGGATGACAAAAGCAAAACTCCGTCTCAAAAAAAAAAAAAAAAAAAAAAAAAAGAAATAAAAAGGAAAAAACAAAATATAGTTTTAAATTGGGGCAATTTATCTGTAGTTTGGTCAGGCTAATGTACACTGTAAGCTTGAAATGCAAATTTCTAATTTCAGAGTCTAAATATTTGTTTCTCAGATTTCATTTTGATGATGGAATGTATACTAGATGCAGAGTTTGCATCAATTTTTGTAATATATTCATTTATTTACTTAACTAATTTTAATTTGCCATAATAGCAGGAGCTTTTTGTTTATGTTTATTGTTGTATCCCCAGTGCCTAGAATAGTGCTTAGAACATAGTAGCACAGAGAAACATTTGTTAAATGAATGAATGAATGATAGAATAATGGATGAAACATGGAATATGAATTTTAGTGGAGGTGACAGGTAATAAGTATAAAAATCAATAAATAATGTAATTTCAGATGGCCTTAAAGACAGCAAACCAGATTTAGGTGATAGAGAATAACTGGAGAGAATGTTGGGATGGTTTTTAAAATCTTCATAATAACCCTATGAAGTAGGTATTTTTATCTCCCTTTTTTAGAAGAGGAATTTCAGACTTGCCTAGGGTCACAAAGTAGTGGAACCACGCTAATCTGATTTCATTAATTTATTCCTTCATTAAACATTCCTTGAGTGCCTGCTCAACACTGAGCCAGAGTCTATAAAATCAGAGTAAAACAGTCTTTGCCTTCAGGGAGCTTATAATCTAGCTCTGTGCTGTCTAATATAGCAGCCACTTGTTTCTCATCATAATTGAGATATGCTGTAATTGAGATATGCTGGATTTTGGAGACTTATTTAAAAAAGTAAAATGTCAATAATTTAAAATATTATATTTAAAATGATATTTTGGTGTATTAGATAAAATATATTATTAAATTTAACATTTCTTTTTATTGTTTTGAAAGTGGCTTCTAGAAAATTTAAAATGGCATGTTTGACTTGCATTGTAGATTCTGATTCAGTAGGTCTGGGCCCAAGATAATGTATTTCTTTTTTTTTTTTTTTTTATTGAGACGGAGTCTTGCTCTGTCACCCAGGCTGGAGTGCAGTGGTGCCATCTCCGCTCACTGCAAGCTCCGCCTCCCAGGTTCACGCCATTCTCCTGCCTTAGCCTCCCGAGTAGCTGGGACTACAGGCGCCCACCACCACGCCCAGCTAATTTTTTGTATTTTTAGTAGAGATGGGGTTTCACTGTGTTAGCCAGGATGGTCTCGATCTCCCGACCTTGTGATCTGCCCGCCTCGGCCTCCCAAAGTGCTGGAATTACACTGCGCCCGGCCCAAGATAATGTATTTCTAAAAACTTTCAAGTGACGCTGATGCTGCTGTTCTGAGGACCACACTTTGAGTAGAAAAACTTAGACTAGACAGAAAACAAGTAATTAGAGTACTGATGTGATGCTTTGTATGACTGGGCAAGCAGAGGGTGCTTAGAGTCTTCGTTTTGTTTTGCTTTGTTTTTCACTCTGCAAAACAATCTATGTTCGGTTAAAGCATTTTTGCACAATTTTTATTTCCTCCATAACTACATAAATATAGATTTCTCTGATTCATGAGTTTATCTTTTGCCATTTAATGATTATATACACTAGAGAGCAGTATCTATTTTATGAACAGAAGAATAAGGGGCCGGGTGCAGTAGCTCACGCCTGTAATCTCAGCACTTTGGGAGGCCGAGGCAGGTGGATGGCCTCAGTTCAGGAGTTTGAGACCAGCCTGGCCAACATGTTGAAACCCCATCTCTACTAAAAATACAAAAATTAAGTGGCAGGCACCTGTAATCCCAGCTACTCGGGAGGCTGAGGCAGGAGAATCACTTGAACCCGGAAGGCGGAGGTTGCAGTGAGCCGAGATCGCGCCATTGCACTCCAGCCTGGGCAACAAGAGCGAGACTTGGTCTCAACAACAACAACAAAAAAGAAGGAATGTAACATCATTATAAAGAAGACATAAACAAGTATTACATATTATTTACTATAATGAGAAAATATCCAAAATAGGTCACTGAAGTAGATTCTCCCAATTGTGAACAATAGTTTTTATTGTAAGTCAAAATAGGAAATATTTTCCAGAGGTTGCACAAACAGATTAAACCACAGAAATAACATTATTTCAGATAAATGGTCAATCCCTCTGTGGTCTTAGACATTTAGTTTTGGGTAGAGAACATGGAAAACTTCCTGAAGGAAGTGATTTCTAAGCTGAGAAACATCAATAGGCACTAGCCAGGTCTGTAAGTCTCTAACACCCATGCTTTAACTCATATTTTGGATCAAGTTTTTGTATTCTTTCATTTTAGTGTTTGTTTTGTTTTTGTTTAGTTTGCTATAATATTTTATCTGAATGGAGACTAATATCCTTTGAGGAGAAACAATTTCAAGTTTATTAATTAGGTTTCTGTTTAAGACTCCATCATAATATACCATTTATTAGTTTATAATTCAGATTCTAAACCTATTGTAAGAGTGCCTACTTGCAAAAAGCAAAGAACCAGAGGTTCAGGATTTGTGAAAATAAAAATACTGTAAAATATAAATGTTTAAATATTTTCTTTTCTTTTTTTTTGAGATGGAGTTTCGCTCTTGGTTGCCCAGGCTGGAGTGCAGTGGCGTGATTTTGGCTTACTCAATCTCCATCTCCTGGGTTCAAGCGATTCTCCCGCCTCAGCCTCCCAAGCTGCTGGGATTACAGGCGCCCGCCACCACACCTGGCTATATTTTTGTAGTTTTAGTAGAGATGGGGTTTCACCATGTTGGCCAGGCCGTTCTCGAACTCCTGACCTCAGGTGATCTGCCCACCTTGGCCTCCCAAAGTGCTGGGATTATAGGCATGAGCCACTGTGCCCAGCCAAATGTTTAAATGTTTTCACTATTAGATATGTCTAATAAGAACTAAAGGAATATCTTCTTGAAATTGAAAAGGAAATAATATTTTTCTATCCCATAAGGATTGTTGGAAAGGTTTAAAGAGACAATAATATACGCAAAGTGCTTACTTAGCAAGATGCCTAGTATAAGGAAGGTAGTATAAGAAAGTAATGTTTTGTTTTTGGTGTCCATTTGGGGTTCTCTAGTAGTTTGGACAGGTTATTTTAAGAGTAATCCTTTATGAAAATTATAATGTACACATTTTATTTTGGGACAAGGATTCTAATCATTTCAATAATTTATTTTTAAGCACAGTTTACTGGGGTCTCAACAAAAGTCACATATTCAGAAGTAGTATGGCCTCTAGGCTAGGAGTCTAGAGACCTAGGTTTTAGTTCTAGCTCTGTTAATCCTGTTTTACTTTGTGCCAATCATTTCAAAAAAGGATGCTTTACTAATTGCTCTGTAAGGTGCTTTCTAGTCTGCATCGGTTTTGTTGAGACTGCAATAGCAATGTATCCAAGGTCCAAACTAATGATTTGCCATCTGGTTTCATTTAGCAAAGTTAATGTTCGGTCATCAAGTACATATTCAGTAGGAAGTATTCTTTTTCGAAACAGTTTCTACAGTCATTTTTTTTTAACCCTGTATAAAATGAGTTTATTTTGGACTGTTAAAAAAATTCAAAACTTTAAAATTTGTTATTTTTCAACTAATGCAAAAGAATATATTAGAAACATCTGAATAAAAAATGATTCTGGGCTGGGCACGGTGGCTCACACCTTTAATCCCAGAATTTTGGAAGGCCGAGGTGGGCTGATCACCTGAGGTCAGGAGCTCGAGACCAGCCTGCCCAGCATGGTGAAACCCCGTCTTTACTAAAAATACAAAAATTAGCTGGTGTGGTGGCGGCTGCCTGTATTCCCAGCTACTTGGGAGGCTGAGACGGGAGAATCGTTTGAACCTGGGAGGTGGAGGTTGTAGTGAACAGAGATCATGCCATTGCACTCCAGCCTGGGCAACAAAGAGCGAAACTCCATCTAAAAAAAAAAAAAAAGATTCTGTTCTTTTCTGTATTTACTGATGTCCCTAAACATTTTACATTTTTTTTTAAAATTTAGGTTATCTCCCTATTAAAACTATTTACAAGTGACAGTGATGACTCCTGTTACTCAAAATTAAACCAAAATGAACATCAAACTGGGATTTATTGGGGCCCAGAAACAAGAAGATATAATTCATTCATTTGAAAATGATAAAGAGGGACTGAAATAATAGTGAGAAAGCTGCCCTGAGACCAGAGTAACTTTGTTTCTTTGATGTATCATTTACAGTAATAACCCAACGGGGTGCCAAGGGGCTGCCACTCTTTGGCTATGCTTTATTGTCCATTCACACTTTGTCTCCATGTTTCCTTCCCCCTTCCTCCTGTATACATGTATACAGAAGGGGGAAGGAAACATGGAGACAAAGTATGCATATACATATAGAAATTCTGGAGCAGTAACTTACTGATGTATACAACTTATCGAATCTCTCTGAGTTATGCTACTACCCCTAGTGTGTTGGGCATGTTGGCTCAAACTTCCTTAATCAGGAAACTTTGGAATGGGTTTATTGCTAGCTGTCTTTGCTTGGGTTTAATCTCAATATTTCTGAGGTGCAAAGTGCACTAGATTGAGAGTTAATAGATCTGAATTTTAATTCCAGTTTTGTTCCCAATGATCACTGTGACCTCAGGCACATCATTTCACCTTTCGTCGTTCATTCAGTTTATCTTACCTATTCATTAAAAACCAATCTGCCTGCCCCCAGTTGCTTTCTAGTGGTAGTGATGATGGAGGTGGTGAGAGACACAATAAATACATAAGCAAATAGGAGAACTATGAAGGAAGGAAAAGTTAGTGATGTACTAGGGATAGTGTACTTTTGATAGGGCATCTAGGATTTCTCTAGATAAGTGAAAAATGAAGAGGTTTAACTGGATGCTAAGGGGTCTTGCACATTAAAAGGCATGTGTTTCCGTCTTTTCACTACTGTGTTCTAGGAAGGCCCACCAATGCCTCTAACCTGTAAATAAATGCAAATCTATTTAAATCAAGTGATACATCAATTTTATGTTGCTTGATTTGGAAGTAATCCGCAAAGAAGCAATAGCTAAACATTTTAGTGTTGTTTGGGGAGTAGCTGCTGAACAATAAAGACCAAAACCATAACTAAAAAACAAACAAACAAACAAAAAAACGCAGCCCGAGACAGATCAGAAACTAGGTGTATGTAGGGCGCCAGGTTATGACACTGTTCTCTGACATCCACAGGGCGCAAAAAGAAAACCTCACTAGTCAGCTTCGCACGTGCTCTGCGCAGGGGCTCCTGCGAGGCCCTAGTCCCTCCCTGGGAGCTAAGAGCAGGACGGAGGCTGTACCTGACTGCTGCTTGGAGGGAACCCTGGCTGAGTCCAGGGAGGAGGAGCCAGAGGAGGGGCCGATTGGAAGCAGCCACCTCAGCGAAGCTGCAGGATTTCCGCAGGGCGGGAGCTGTTTATCTCCCGGAAGAAAACGGCTCCTGTCACAGAAGTCTCGTGATTGCTCTGGGAGCTTTGCTTAGACACTTGAAACTACAGGAGAAAGAAGGATCTAGCGAAATATGGCTACAGAGAGCCCTGCTACGCGTCGGGTCCAGGTGGCAGAACATCCTAGGTGGGGGAGAGGAGACGCCGGGCTTTGGGATCTGCTGGGTTGGCTACGTGTAGATCGGGTCCACAGCACTTGGCTCCTCCCTTGGGGCGCTGCTTTTGGTCCCGGGGAGCAAGTGGAACCCTTGGGATTCTATAAGGACACGTGGCTGGGCTTGCAAAAAAGATCACGCCGCAAACACATTCTACCTTGACTACTACGAAGGGTTGTATGTTTTTTTCTTCATCCATGCAGATTCTTCTTTTCCTTTTCTTGTTGTAATTAGTGTACTCTTTCTACTGGGCTTCAGCAGAAATGCCCATATCCACACTGAACTCCTCTCTTTGTCTCGCATGCCAGTTGATACTGCTTTTTAAAAGTCTTCTTTCTAAATATTAATTGAAAACAAACACAAAAACCTTCTTGGTGTCTGCATCCTCTTTAAAACAAAACAAAACAAAAACACGAGAATCTCTGAACTGTCACTTAGGGAATTAATTTGCTGGCAGTCCCTAGCTACACAGTAACTAATAGTTTAGTGATGTCTCGGGGAGGATCTTTTCAGTTACAGGTACTTTGTAGAAATACTTCGTTCTGACTAATGGGGCTGAGGTCTCATAAAATGAAGTCTGTCACCTGCTACATTAGCGAAGGGCTTTCCTGACTCTCTGCTTTTGCTGTTTTTCTTTTCTTTTCTTTCTTCCTTCCTTTCTTTTTTCTTTTTCTTTTTCTTTTTTTTTTTTTTTTTGAGACGGAGTTTTGCTCTTGTTGCCCAGGCTGGAGTGCAGTGGCGCCATCTTGGCTCACCGCAACCTCCGCCTCCCAGGTTCAAGCGATTCTCCTGTCTCAGCCTCCTGAGTAGGTGGGATTACAGGCAGGCGTCACCACACCCGGCTAATTTTGTATTTTCATCAGAGATGGGGTTTCTCTATGTTGGTCAGGCTGGTCTCGAGCTCCTGAGCTCAAGTGATCCGCTCACCCTGGCCTCCCAAAGTGCTGGGATTACAGACGTGAGCCATCGCGCCCGGCCCTCTGCCTTTGCTGTTTTCAGTTTTTTTCTGTTAGTTTTTTTCTCTGGCATCAAGTCCTTAAGCTCTTCCTACTTGGTGGTTTATTACCACCGTGTGTCAGTTGATGATATTATACTTTACTACAACTTGAAAATGTTCTTTCATCCTTAAACCAGCAAACAGTGTGTCTTTAGTTACCAGAAAGAAGCATGATTTCTTATTATAGAGTCCAGCACAGCTTTGGACTACTTCTCAATGTCTTTGAATGTTTTAATATACTCTAGAGGTTCTTGTATAGCACTGTTGCCCTTATATATTTGAATTAATTAAGACACACTGTTAAAGGCATGCTTCCAATAAGATTAATGAGAAATTTGTTACATGAAAATAACTTGATCTCTTGTAGTTTAGTCTTATTTTTTTTTTTTGAGACAGAGTCTTGTTCTGTTGCCCAGGCTGGAGTATAGTGGCGCAGTCTCCGCTCACTGCAACCTCCACCTCCCAGGTTCAATCCATTCTCCTGCCTTAGCCTCCAGAGTAGCTGGGATTACAAGTGCCCGCCACCACGCCCCGTTATTTTTTTGTGTTTTTGGTAGAGACGGAGTTTCGCCATGTTGGCCAGGCTGGTCTCCAACTTGTGACCTCAAGTGATCCGCCCGTCTCAGCCTCCCAAATTGCTGGGATTACAGGCGTGAGCCACCGTGCCACGTCTATAGTTTAATCTTCTACATAAAACATACCCATGTGTAAATTCCTAATGTGTTTCCATTTTATGTGATTGTAATAATAAAGATCAACATTTCTATCTATATTTACCCTGTTTGGGGGAGGATGGTGGTAACAAGTATAGGTACATGTACTAAAAGTGAAGAATTGTTTACTGAATTTCCTTAGTGTTCTTCTTGCTTTTCATGATTTTTATATTATTCATGTAACAAATATTTATTGTTAATATTTATTCTGTGTTATCCACAGAAGAGATCATAGTAGATAAGCTCTGCCGTTTTCTTGTTTTTCATTTGTGCACAAAATGCAATTATTAGCTTCAAGCAATGTTTTATTTGCAGGAATGTTTTGCAGCCACTTACTCATTCTAGGAGGGATGTATTTTATTAAATCTAAATAGTATAATCTATAAATTCACCTAACCGGTCAAGTATTGCAATATGCTGAGAAGGAAAAAAAATGAATGAATGGTCAGCCTGCTTTCTTGTGGAACTCTTATTCTTTTTCCAGGATGCCTCTTCAACCTCACAAGGCACATGATCCTTTGAGTAAAGGCACTGGTCAACCATATCATACATTTTAGTAAAACTTAATTTTATTTTTATTATTTTTATGTAAAAATCAAATAGAAATTGAAGTTCTAATATTTTCTTTCTGTGTCCCACTCTTGCATGGTACCGGTACCGTAAGACTCTGAATTTCACTGTTCTGGCTTTCTTTGCATTCTTAGCAGTTGTATCTCTTATCTTTACTTTCTCTTTTGGATTAAGTTTTAAAACTTGTTGGATTATTGCTATTTTTGTAGCAGTTTTATTGACATTCACGTATCATATAACTAATTCATTTAAAGTTTGCAATTAAATGGGTTTAATGTATTCATAGAGCTATGCAACCATCACCATAATCAAATTTAGAACGTTTTCTTAGAAAGAACCCAGCCATCCCTTAGATTATCACACCCCAGAACTCCATTCCCTTTCCCCTCACCTAGCCTTAAACAACTACTGCTCTGTTTTCTGTATTTATAGATTTAGTCACTTTGGGCATTTCAAATGAATGGAATCATATAAAATGTGTGTTTTTTTGGTGACTGGCTTCTTCCATGTGGCATAATGTTCTGAAGGTTCATGTATCAGTACATCATTTAACATGTATCAGTATATCATTCCTTTTTATGGTTAAATAATATTCTAGCTTATGGATATACATTTTGTTTATACATTCAACAATTGATGGACATTTGGGTTGCTTCTATCTTTTGGCTCTTATGAATAATGCTGCTGTATGAACACATTCTTGAGTCTCTATTCTACCAGTTGAGCTAGCAGGGTGACACTGAATACATTTTTAATATTAAAAATTTGGATTATTTAAAAGTATATTCAGTAAAGCCTGAAAATCCCACAGTTTCTTTCCTGATTGTCTCTGATTTCTACCCTTGGCTGCCAATTTCTACTTCTCTTCTTAGAAGTTATTCATTTGGTTTGTATCCTTGTAATATTATTGTGTCCTTATATCATTGTTACTATATTTTATAAAAATGATATATTCACATAAGTCCAATAATTATATTTGTTTTTTTTTACTTACTTTTTTTCACTTAATCTTTCTCAGATATCTGGTATATCAGTTCATACAGATATATTTCACTATTTTTACTTATTTCATTTTATTTTTTGAGACAGAGTCTCGCTCTGTTGGCTGGAGTGCAGTGGCACTATCTTGGCTCACTGCAGCCTCCGCTCTTGGGTTCAAGAGATTCTCCTTGTCTCAGCCTTCCAAGTAGTTGGGATCACAGGAATGTGCCACCATGTCTGGCTAATTTTTGTATTTTTAGTAGAGACAGGATTTCACCATATTGGCCAGGCTGGTCTTGAACTCCTGACCTCAAGTGATCCACCCGCCTTGGTCTCCCTGGGATTACAGGCTGAGCCGCTGTGCCCCGGACTATTTCACTGTTTTTAAGGGCTGAGAGTATTTTGTAGTATGAATACCATTATTTAACCACTCAACATTTAGTACACTTAGATTTCTAATTTTTCTCTCTTGTAAACAATGCTGCAACAAACATCCTTGTGTACATATACATATGTACATATATGTATATATATTCTCTGAGCATTCTTGTGAATTTTTTAAAGCTCATTTATGAAAATGGAAGCAGAGCCAAAGGTAATAAACATTTAAAATGTTGATAGCTCCTGTCAAATGGCCCTGCAAAAAAGATGTTATTGGATTGCCTATTTCTTGCTTTTTTGTTTGTTTGTTTTGTTTTTAAGAGACAGTCTCACTCTGTTGCCCAGGCTGGAGTGCAGTGTCATGAACTCGGCTCACCACAACCACCACTTGCCGGGTTCAAGCAGTTTTCCTGCCTCAGCCTCCCAAGTAGCTGGGACTACAGGTGCTCACCACCACGCCAGGCTAATTTTTGTATTTTTAGTAGAGACAGGGTTTCACTATGTTGGCCGGGCTGGTTTCGAACTCCTGACCTCGTGATCTGCCTGCCTTGGTCTCCCAAAGTGCTGGGATTACAGGCATGAGCCACAGCACTTGGCCTATTTCTTGTTATTTTTAGAAACTCTTTTTATATGTGTGTATTTTTGTATTTGTATGTATTTTTAATAGAAACCATTTATTCTATATATATTATAAATATAGTTTCTAGTTTAACTTTATGACATCTTATGTAGACATTTTATAATTTATGCATTGTAGTATGTTGAATAATAATGATGATAGCATCTTTGTCTTCACCCTTATTTTAATATGTCATCCAAATGACCACCAGAATGGTGAGATAGTAGAAAGAAGAGCTTTATTGGCACTATCAGTTTGTAGACCAGAAGAGAGAGTCTGCAGTGTGGACTGAAGGTGTTCTAACTTCGAGTAGGGAAGAGGAAGTTTGGGTTTTAGGCCCCACAGAGTCTGTCTTATACAATAGAGTCATACATATTCAGTAGGTTTTGGGGAAAAGCTATACATATTTATGAGGGGAGCCAAGCACATGCGCAGTGGGTAAACATATATGTAACATACATCCCATGTTCCCTTCGTGGCAGGTTTTAGCATTAAAATGAGGTGGAATTTGGCTCACATAACAAGGTGAGCTATAGGACACAAAGACAGTTAGTGCACAGCCTTTATAGGCTGGCTGAAACTAGCTTAAGGTCTGCAGTTGTTTATCAGAAAAGAATGTTTGTAAGGCTGGTCCTCTGTCCAATCAGAGTTGTAGTGGCCTGGATCATAAGTCAGAGTTAGGAGGTGTCCAATAGCTGCTATTGCTAGGGGGTTTAGCAAGAGAGTGGTTTTACTTGTAGCCATGAGAATTTAGGAAGTTGTTACACCTCGACCTGTAACTTTTGTTACCTTAACTTTAGAGTCCCCCTTACCTGATAAAGGGACATCTACTTAAGTTTCTCAGATCACAAATGGGAATGCTTCTAATATTTTGCCATCAAATATGATGTTTGCTGTTTCTGGTAAACATCCTTTATTAAATTAAGGACATGCCCTTTTCTAGTAGGTGAGAAAAGAAAAATAGCTCTGAGCCATCTGAGGTATGTTAAGGGAGGCGACCACCTCTCATATTGTCTTATGCCCAATTTCTGCCTCCAAAAAAAGAAGTAAAAACTAAAAGGCAGAAATGAAATCCACAAGCAGACAGCCCAGTGCCACACCCTGGGCCTGGTAGTTAAAGATCAACCCCTGACCTTATCAGTTACTTGCATAAAAAAGCACTGTGAAGATCCCTGTCCTGTTCTGTTCCCTTCTAATTACCAGTGTATGCATCCCCCAGTCAAGTACCCCCTGCTTGCTCAATCGATCATGACCCTCTCATGTGGACCCCCTTAGAGTTGTGATCCCTTAAAAGGGACAGGAATTGCTCACTCGGGGAGCTCGGCTCTTGAGACAGGAGTCTTGCTGATGCTCCCGGCTGAATAAACCCCTTCCTTCTTTAACTTGGTGTCTGAGGGGTTTTGTCTGTGGCTTGTCCTGCTACAATGTGAGATATGCAAAGATTTATCAGGCCCAGAGAGACATGAATATGGCACTTTAGTCACATCCCTCGCCCTCCTTGCACCCATGTGCCAGGGGGCAATCATTTAAAGACCTTTTGTTCCTGACTTCCCCTGTTCCTGCTTCCCCTGTTATCTTGATGTTCCTGTAATCTGTGATACAAAGTACAGCCAATCAATAGGTTATGCTATTTTAATGTAAATTCTTGGTAAACAAGTTAGGAACCACCCCATTTTTTTCCTTTAAAAACCACTAGTAACTACTGCTAATCAGAGGGTATATTCATGTTAACTTGAATCTATGTTCCTGGGTTGCAATCTTCAAACTTGGCCCAAATAAACTCTGTATTAAGTTTGCCTCACTTTTTTTGTCTTTAGATCAACGCATGACAGAGATTTAAAAAATTTTATATTTTATTTTTAAAAATAAGGAATGGCTATGAAAATACATTTGTTTCTTATTTGGATTTTTTGAGAGGATCATGAAGTCATAGAATTTTCTTCTTTTTATTCTGTTAGCATAGTTCATTTAATCAACAGATTTCTGGTGCTGATTACCTTCATATTCCTGGAATGAACTCTGCTTGGTCACATAGGTTATTTTAGGTAATTACTGCATTAAATTTACCGACATTTTATTTAGGGTTTTTCTATCTATTTCCACAAGTGAGATTAGCCTATAGTTTGCTTTTGAGGGCCATTCTTGTCAAATGTAAGCATCTGGGTTAGACCAGCCTCCTAAAATGAGATGGGAAACTTTCCACAGCTTCTATTATTTAGAACCATTTATAAAAAGAAAATACCACTTTTTCCTTGAAGGTCCAACCAACTTGTTGTAACACTTTTTGGGCTTTGTTTCTGACAACTTTTCTATTTCTTTATTTTTAAACTCTTGTGTCAATTTTAGAAATTTGTATTTTTTCTAGAAAAATCAGCCATTTAAAAATTTTTAAATCTTTTTAAAATTTATGTTTGTCTATTATTTCTAGTATTGATTATGTTTAATGACACTCAAAGTTCTTTTTCTATATATTTTTTTAAATTGAAGAACCACCTTGTAATTTTTTTATCCAATCTGCTATTTTCCCCTGGTTCAATAAATTTTGCTTTTATCTGTTAATTTGCTTCTTCTAATTTATTTAACTACTTTTTGCTAGGTTCCTATGTTATATGCATACTTTATTTATTTTCATTATTTATTTTCTTTTTTTCTTTTAAATAATTTATGTTAAACCTATTGTATCACACAGTATGTTTTAAACACTGCCAGATAACTCCCTAATCAGATAAAGCAAAGACAAAAAAGTTTATCTTACTAGAAACAAGAGACATCATCACTTATAGTTTTCAAACATTATTGCACTTTAACTGTCATAATTTGACAAAGAATTCATGAAATAATCTACAGACTAGTTTTAACAGACAAATAATACTTGTAAGCAGACATGACTGTCCTAAATTGTTTTTTAGGTATCAACTTTACAAACATTACTTACATTAGTGGTAACGGTGGAGTTGGAGAGTATTGTGCCTTTTCCAAGATGCACAGTGAGAATCACCAGGAGTGTGGTGGAACTTATGACCCTACCAAGGCCACGGATCTTTCGGCCTGCAGATGTCAGCCCATGCATCACCCTTTGCTTGTGGACTGGTTTGGTGATCCACTGGGTGGCAGGATTTTTTCTGACAGCATTATGGAGTGGATGAATGAGGATAACTTCAAACATTTTGTATGTTGAATCTTCACCGAAGTGAGAACTCAGGACTCTTAGCCGGGCATGGTGGCTCACACCTGTAATCCCAGCACTTTGGGAGGCCAAGTTGGGTGGATCACTTGAGGCCAGGAGTTCGAGACCAGCCTGGCCAACATGGTGAAACCGCGTTTCTACTAAACAAAAATTACAAAATTACAAAAATTAGCTGGGTGTGGTGGCGCACACCTATAATCCCAGCTACTTGGGAGGCTGAGGCATGAGAATTAGTTGAACCCAGGAGGCAGAGGTTGCAGTGAGTGAGATTGTGCCACTGCACTCCAGCCTGGGTGACAGAGCAAGACTCTGTTTCAAAAAAAAAAAAAAAAAAAAAGAAATACTATATATATATATATATATATATATATATATAGAAATAAAATGTATAAATATGTCTATATGTATAAATAAAAATATATGTACATGTATATCATATATACATGTACATATATGTATGCACATATATGTATGTACATATATACATGATGTACATGTATATCATGTATACATGTATATATATGTACATATATATATATATGTGAATTCAGGACTCTTAGAACCCCACAGTGGCGTCCAGCTTTCTCGTCTTCAATGGACTTCAAGCATACTTTAGCTGGTTAACACCACAGTGGACAGGCTTGCCATAAGCTGCACCCTTAGGAACTGGGCATTTTCGGCCACCATGGTGCACACGAATCCTATATATAACGTAAACTTGCTTGGCCTTGTAGCCCTGTCGGTGCACTTTTTTGGGCTGGGTGGGATGTGGAGCCCTGTGGTAGAGCAGAGAGCTGTCAGTACTGCTAGCAGGGACTCTCCGAAGAAAGTGCATGGTATCAGACTGCTGCTTCCTCCACAGCTCCTGAATGTACTTGTATGCAGTTATCTTGGCTTACCTGATGGCTGTTGCCAGACGGAAAGGAAAGAGCCTTTCTCCCCCATTATTTATTTTCTTATATGAATAGAAGGCTAGAAAATTTTCTGAGTGCTATTACGGTTGTGCCTCATGGGTTTTGATATGTAGACCTCTCATTATTATTTTCAAAATAGCTATAGCTGTGGCCTTAATTTCCACTTTCCTTCAGCTTCTTGCTCATTAATTTGCTCTTTAACTCTTTTCATTCTTCTATTCAACCTATCTACTATTTTTATTTTCACCATCATAACCTCGTTTTCTAAGATCTCTAATATAATTTTAATTTTGTTTTTATGTTTAATTTTTGATCTTGGAGAAATTTATTGTGATGAAAGGAACAAAACAGAGATTCAAATTCACCCTCCTTTCCCAATGGTAATTACCAATCTTTGAAATTCCATCTCTAACATATATTAAATTCTCAAATATAACAGTAATAATAGTAATAACTAATAATTATTTTATACTTATAAAACCCTCAAACAAACCTTTGCAGTGAGTTCTAGTATTAGCCTCAGTTTGTAGATGAGGAAAATTGAGGCATGGAGCAACTCATACAAATTAACATAAAAATTCATGTTATAACCAATTGTTCTTAAATTAGTATTAAAAATTAACATTTTCTATAATGCCATGACTCGATATCCTGATATTGAAGAGAAAACAAGCACAGACAGGATGGGGGACTTGCCCAAGGTCACAGTGGAAGACTGAAAATACATGTCATAGCTCCTGAAATTTTAATTCATTCATTTCTGCAGTTAGCCACACGGTCTGAGAGAATCAGTCCTTTTATTAAAGTCCATTTCATTCACAACAGTCATAGCTTTGTTTCTCAAGTTCTGTTACTAATACTGCTGTTCTTTTTTCTTTGTTTCTTTCTTTTTTTTTTTTTTTTTTAAGATTTTAAGTCAAAAGAGCATTCAGAGCACCAGAGTCAGCAATTTGTGCTGCAATACTTTGGCCAATTCCCCATTTAACAGTATGATCTTTGTAGGAGCTCTTATTTTCATATTGAAATGCTCATTGTATTTTTTGGGGGGCATACTTTCAGTGACTGCATTAAGACACAAGGTCTTGTTGGTAGCTCACCTAGAGGTAAAATACAGCTACTTCCCCCAATTACAGCCCTACCATTCATTATTAGAGGGTTAGGTATGAAGTTTAGAAAAACACTGTACACTTCAGTTCTTTCTGTTCTTAGAGAAAAATGCCTTCCTTGTTTCCTTTTATAGCCTCCATGCATTTGAATTTCTAAGGTAGGAATGTTGTATAGTAAGCCTCTTGGTACTGAAGCAGTTATAAGCCATGAACAGACTGCCTTCCCAAGGAAGTCTAGGAAAATGACAAAGTTTTATAATTCAAAATAATTTCATTAAGACACATTTTAGGAGACTTATTCTAACTCTGCTGTTAGCACTTCATGTTATTTGTGTTTGCAGTCCTTATAAAAACAAATTAATAAGGATTCAAGTTCAGGAAAACTTGAATTTCATCTGTATATGATTTTCACAGGCAGAAACATTAACCCCTATTAAGGCTAGCAGGATTATCTAAACCAGCAAAGTGGGAGTTGTACTTATTGCTCTTTTTCCCACATTTAATTGTACCAATTCCTTTGGATTTGACATTTCAAATATCACCTTAATTTCACCCTTCTCTACCTATAGCTTTGAAGTACTTTCAGCATTTCTCTCTAGATATATTACAATGAACTGCTATTAGATCTCTTTATTTCTACAATCCGAATTCCACACACTACCCAGTGAGCTTTTTCAAATGCAAAATTGATGATTTACTTCATTTTTAAACATCTGTTCACATCCATTGCCTGTATGTTAAAAGCCAGGTTTCTCAATATGGCATAAGGCCCTTTAAGATCTGAGACTTGATATCCTCCAACCTCCTCCCCTCCTTTTCTCTTCTGATGTTTTTAGATACCTAATTGTAGTTTTCTGAATGCTGTATGCTTGGGCCTTTTCATGTCAATTGCCTAGAATGCTTCACCGTACCCCACCTGTCTGACATCATCCTTTAAAATTTATTTCAAACATTACCTCTTTGGGGATCCTTTAATGTACCTTCCCTCTTTTTGATTTATCTTACGGCTCATATCATATTCTGTCATAGCAGGGACTAAATGATGTTTCTCTGTGCTCCCAAAGGACTGTATTTGGCCGACTTATCACTCTGTATTGTCCCCCTGTATTGTGAATTTTGGCTTACCTATTTTCCTCTTTTGCTAGACCAATCCTTCCTTCCTTCCTTCCTTCCTTCCTTCCCTCCCTCCCTCCCTTTCCTTCCTTTTCTTTCCTTCCTCTTCCCTCCCCCCTCCCCTCATCTCCTCTTCTTTCTTTTGAGACAGGGTCTCACTCTGTTGCCCAGAATGAAGTGCAGTGGCACAATTATGGCTCACTGCAGCTTTGACTTTCTGGTGATTCTCCCACTTCAGCCTCCTGAGTAGCTAGGACTACAGGCATGCATGTGCCATGGTGCCCAGCTAATTTTTTGTATTTTTTGTAGAGATGGGGTTTTGCCTTGTTGCCCAGGCTGGTCTGGAATTCCTGAGCTTAAGTGATCTGCCTTGGCCTCCCAAAGTGCTGGGATTACATACATGAGCCACTGCACCTGGCCAACTTTTAAATTTCTTAAGGCCAAGGATTCTTATTCATCTCCTTTCAAAGAGTACTTAGTAAAGCATCAGTAAATGTTTCTTTTTTAAAAAAAAGACTTTTTTTTTTTTTTTTTTTTGGAACAGAGTCTCACTCTGTTGCCCAGGCTGGAGTGCAGTGGTGCCGTGGCACGATCTCGGCTCACTGCAGCCTCCACCTCCTGGGTTCAAGCGATTCTTGTGCCTCAGCCTCCCGAGTAGCTGGGATTACAGGAGCCCGCCACCATGCCTGGCTAATTTTTGTATTTAAAAAAAATAGTTTTTTATTTTGAAATATTTTTAGACTTATAGAAAAATCAAATAATAATTGAAAAAAGTACTGTATATTCCTCTCCCAAATTCCCCAAACTTAACATTTTACCACATTTGCTTTATCATTCTCTATCTCTGTTTTAATTTTTTTTAATTTTTATTTTTTATGGGTACATAATATAGATGTATATATTTATGGGGTACATGAGATATTTTGATACAGGCATACAATGTATAATAATCCCATCAGGGTAAATAGGGTATGCATCACCTCAAGCATTTATCATTTCTTTGTGTTATAAACTTTCCAATGATAATCTTTTAGTTATTATAAAATGTAAAATAAATTTTTGTTGACTATAATAACTGTTATGCTGTCAAATAGTAGATCTTATTCATTCTATCTAACTTCATTTTTGTACCTATTAACCATCCCCACTCCCTCATCTCTGCTACCCTTCGCAACCTCTGGTAACCATCATTCTACTCTCTTTCTCCATGAGTTCAATTGTTTTAATTTTTAGCTCCTGCAGATGAGTGAGAACGTATGAAGTTTGTATTTCTGTGCATGACTTGTTTCACTTAACATAATGTCCCCCAGATCCATCCATGTTGCTGCAAATGACAGGATCTCATTCTTTTTTACGGCTGAGTAGTACTCCATTGTGTGTATATGCCACATTTCTTTATTCATTTATCTGTTGCTGGACACTTAGGTTGCCTCCAAATCTTGGCTATTGTAAATGGTACTGCAATAAACATGGAGTGCAGGTGTCTTTTCAATACACCGATTTCCTTTTGGATATATGCCTAGCAGTGGGATTCCTGGATCATAAGGTAGTTCTATTTTTAATTTTTTGAAGAACCTCTCAACTGTTCTCGGTAGTGGTTGTACTAATTTACATTTCCACCAACAGTGTATGAGGGTTCTCTTTTCTCCACATCCTTACCAGCATTTGCTATTATCTTTTTTTTGGATAAAAGCCATTGTAGCTTGGGTGAGATGTTATCTTATTGCAGTTTTAATTTGCATTTCTCTGACTATCAGTGATGTTAATCACTTTTTCATATACCTGTTTGCCATTTTTATGTCTTTTGAAAAATGTTTATTCAGATCTTTTGCCCATTTTTGAATTGAATTATTACATTTTTTCCTATTACATTGTTTAAGCTCATTACATTTTCTGGTTTTTAATCCCAGTCAGATAGTTTGCAAATATTTTTTCTCATTCTGTAGGTTGTCTCTTCACTGCATTGATTTTTTTCCTTTGCTGTGCAGAAGCTTTTTAACTTGATGTGATCTGATTTGTCCATTTTTGCTTTGGTAGCCTTTACTTTTAGGACATTAGACAAAAAAAATCTTTGCTCAAACCAATGTCCTGGATGTTTCCCCAATGTTTTTTGTTTATCTTTTCAAAATACTAACTTTTCCTTTTGTTTATCTTCTGTATTTTTTGCTTTAATTTCATTTATTTCTGCTCTCATCTTTATTATTTCTTTTCTTATACTAATTTCGGGTTTGGCTTTCTCTTGTCTTTCCATGTTTAGATGCATCATTAGGTCATTTATTTGGTGTTTTTCTACTTTTTTGACATGGGCATTTATTTCTATAAACTTTTCTCTTAGCATTCCATCACTGTAACCCAAAGGTTTTGCTGTGTTGTGTTTCCATTTTTATTTGTCTCAAGAAATTTTTAAATTTTCTTCTTAACTTATTCATTGACCTACTGGTCATTCAGGAACATATTGTTTAATTGTGTTTGTATAGTTTCTAAAGTTCCTCTTATTGATTTCTAGTTTTATTCCATTGTTTTCAGAAAAGATACATGATATGATTTCATTTTTTTGAATTTTTAAAGACTAGTTTTGGCTGGGCGTGGTGGCTCACGCCTGTAATCCCAGCACTTTGGGAGGCCAAGGCGGGCGGATCACTTGAGGTCGGGAGTTTGAGACCAGCCTGACCAACGTGGAGAAACCCTGACTTTACTAAAAATACAAAATTAGCCAGGCGTGGTGGCACATGCCTGTAATCCCAGCTACTTGGGAGGCTGAGGCAGGAGAATGGCTTGAACCCGGGAGGCAGAGGTTGTGGTGAGCCAAGATCACACCATTGCACTCCAGCCTGGGCAACAAGAATGAAACTTTGTCTCAGAAAAAAAAAAAAAAAAAAGGACTAGTTTTGTGGCCTAACATATGGTCTGTTTTTGAGAATGAACCATGTGCTGAGGAGAGGAATGTGTATTCTGCCACCGTTGGATGAAATGTTCTGTAAATAACTATTATTAGGTCCATTTGTTATAGTGCAGATTACGTCTCATGTTTCTTTGTTGATTTTCTGTCTGGATGATCTGTCCAATGCTGAAAGTGGAGTGTTGAAGTCTCCAGCTATTATTGTTTTGGGGCCTATCTCTCTTTTTAGCTCTGATAATATTTGTTTTATATATTTGGATGCTCCAGTATAAGGTGCATATATATTTACAATTGTTACATTCTCTTGCTGAATTGACCCCTTTTATCATTATATAATGACCTTCTTTTTCTCTTCTTATAGTTTTTTTTTTGGAAATCTATTTTGTGTGATATAAGTATAGCTACACCTGCTCTTTTTTGGTTTCCATTGGCATGGAATATCTTTTTTCATCTGTTTTCTTTTTCAGTCTATGTGTGTCTTTAGAGGTGAAGTTTGTTGCTTGTAGGCAACAGATCATTGGATTTTGTTTTGTTTTTAATCCATTCAGCCATTCTATGTCCTTTGACTGGAGAGCTGAGTCCATTTACGTTCAATGTTATTGTTGATAAGTAAGGACTTTTCTGCCATTTTATTATGGTGTTCTTGTTGTTTTGTAGTCTTCTCTTCCTTCCTTCCTGTCTTGCTGTTTGTGAAGGTGATTTTCTCTGGTTTCTAATTTCTAGCTTTTTATTTTTTGTGTATCTGTTTTGTGTTTTTTATTTGAGGTTACCATGAGGCTTGCAAATAACATCTTATCACCCATTGTTTTAAACTGATATTAACACCAATTACAAAAAGAAACAAACGAGAAAAGAGAAAACTAATAACACTTCAACTTCATCTACCTTCTTTTTTAAGTTTTTGTTGTTTTTATTCATATCTTATTGTCTATGTCTTGAGAAGTTATTGTAGTTATTATTTTAGATGGGTTCATGTTTTAGTCTTTCTACTCAAGATATAAGTAGTATACATGCCACAATTATAGTGTTACAATGTTCTGTGTTTGTGTCCTTCTTATTACCAGTGAATTTTCTATCTTCAGATGATTTCTTTTTTAAAAAAATTAACTTCTACTGTTGATATGTGGGTACATGTGCACCTTTGTTATATGGGAATATTGTGTGATGCTGGGGTTTGGGGCCTGTATCCTGTCATTCAGGTAATAAGCATAGTACCTGATAGTTTTTCAACCCATACCCCACTCCTCCTTTCCTCTCTCTAGTAGTCTGGAGTGTCTTTTGTTTCCATGTTTATGTTCATGTGTGCTCAATGTTTAGCTCTTACTCATAAGTAAGAACATGTGATATTTTGTTTTCTGTTTATGTGTTTATTTGCTTAGGATAATGGCTTTCCACTGCAACCATTTTACTGCAAAGAATATGGTATTACTCTTTTTTATGGCTGTGTAGTATTACAGGGTGTTTATGTGCCACATTTTCTTTATCCAGTCTACCATTGATAGGCACCTGGGTTTGATTCCATGTCTTTCTTATTGTGAATAGCACAGCAATGAACATATGAGTACATTTGTCTTTTTGGTAGAATGATTTATTTTCCTTTGGATGTATACCCAGTAATGGGATTGTTGGGTCAAATGGTAGGTCTGTTTTAAGTTCTTTGAAGAAACTCCAGACACTGGCTAATTTACATTTCCATCAACAGTGTATAAATGTCCCCTTTTTCTCTGCAGCCTCATCAGCATCTGTTAGTTTTTGACACATTTTGGTAACAGCCATTCTGACTAGTGTAAGGTGGGTATCTCATTGTGGTTTTGGTTTTGATTTGCATTTCTTCAGATGATTTCTTATTGCTTATTAACAACCTTTTCTCTCAGTTTGAAGTTTCTTCAGCGTTTCTTGTAGGATATGTCTGCTGTCAGTGATAGCAGTTTTTGTCTGTCTCAGAAAATCTTTGTTTCTTTTTCATGTTTGAAGGATATTTTTGCTGGATATACTATTCTAGGGTAAACATTTTTTTCTTTCAGCACTTTAAGTATGTCTTGCCATTCTCTCCTAGCCTGTAAGGTTTCCACTGAGAAGTGTGCTGACAGTTGTAATGGAGCTCCTTTATATGTTACTGGTTTCTCTTCTCTTCCTGCTTTTAGGATCCTTTCTTTATCCTTGACCTTTGGGAGTTTGATTATTAAATGTCTTGAGGTAGTCTTATTTGTGTTAAATCTGCTTGGTGTTCCATAACCTTCTTGTACTTGAATATTGATATATTTCTCTAGGTTTATAAAGTTCTCTTTTATTATCCCTTTGAATAAACGTCCTATCCCAGTCTCTCTCACTCTCTATGCTTTTTCAGGCCAATAAATCTTAGACTTGCCCTTTACAGGCTATTTTCTGTAACTTGTCGGCATGCTATATTCTTTTTTATTCTTTTTTCTTTTGTGTCCTCTCACTGTGTATTTTCAAATACCCTGTCTTCAAGCTCACTAATTCTTTCTTCTACTTGATCAATTCTGCTATTGAGTGACTCTGATGCATTCTTCAGTATTTCAATTGAGTGTTTCACTCTAGAATTTCTGTTTGATTCTTTTAAATTATTTTAATGTATTTGTTAAATTTATCTGATAAGATTCTGAATTTTTTCTCTGTATTGTCCTGAATTTTTTTCTTTTTTTTTTTTTTTTGAGATGGAGTCTCACTCTGTCGTCAGGCTGGAGTGCAGTGGTGCAATCTCAGCTCACTGCAACCTCCGCCTCCCGGGTTCAAATGATTCTCCTGCCTCAACCTCCGAGTAGCTGGGACTACAGGTGTGCACTACCACACCCAGCTAATTTTTGTATTTTTAGTAGAGACAGGGTTTCACCATGTTGGCCAGGATGGTCTCAATCTCTTGACCTCATGATCCGCCCACCTTGGCCTCCCAAAGTGCTGGGATTACAGGTGTGAGCCACTGCGCCTGGTCTGTTATCCTGAATTTTGTTGAGCTTCCTCAAAACAGTTATTTTGAATTCTCTGTATAAAAGGTCACTTGTCCCTGCCACTCTGGGAATGGCCACTGGTGCCTCATTTAGTTGATTTGGTGATGTCATATTTTCCTTGATGGTCTTGATGCTTGTGGATGTTCACTGATGTCTGGACATTGAAGACTCAAGTATTATGGTAGTCTTTGCAGTCTGGATTTATTTGTATCCTTTTGGGGCAGGCTTTCTAGGTATTTGAAGGGAATTGAGTATTACGATCTAAGTCTTTGGTCACTGCAGCTATATCTTTATTAGGGGGTACCCCACACCCAGTAACACTGTGTCTCTTGCCTTCTTGTAGAGGTACTGCCTTGGTGGTGTTGGGTAAGATCTGGGAGAATTCCCTGGATTACCAGGCAGAGTCTTTAAATCTTTACCATCATTTTCCCCCAAAGAGAATTTCTTTCTCCATACTGATTTTCCTGGAGTTAGGGGATGGGAGACACAAGTAGACTTGTGGCCACTGTCAGTGGGACTGCACTGGGTCAGACCCAAAGTTCACACAGCACTGGGTCTTGCCTGAGGCCTGCAGAAACCATGTCATGGTTACCACTGATGCTCCCTCAAGGCCCAAGCAGGTGGCAAACCCAGCCAGACTTGTGGCTTTCTCTTTAGGGTGATGAGCTCCCCCTAAGCCCAGGATTGGTCCAGAAATGCTGTCTAGGAGTCAGGGCATAGAGTAAGGAACCTTAGGAATCTACTTGGTGCTCTATTCCACTGTGGCTGAGCTGGCACCCAAGCTGCAAGAGAAAGTCTTTCCCACTCTTCCCTCCTCTTTTCTTAAGCAGAAGTATTTCCCTGTAGCCACCTCCCCCAGCCTGTAGTGAGTAATGCCTGGTTATTGCTGATGTTTACTGCCTGGCTCCCACTGTTTACCCAAGGGCTCTTCTGTCAGCTTGTAGTACATGCTCCTGGGCCTGGGATGCTCCCTTCAGGGTAGTGAGCTCCTCTCTGGTCCAGCATGAGTCCAAAAATGCCATCCAGGAGCCAAGTCCTAGAATTGTGGACCCCAGGAGTCCTTGGGTGGTCTGCATCACAGTAACCAGGCTGGTACCCATGCTTCAGGACAAAGTTCCCGTTAATCTTCCTTCTTTCCTCAAGCAGAACGAGTCTCTTTCCATGGCCAACACACTGGGAATGCACAGGGTCACCCAAGGCCTATGACAAGTACTGCCTGGCAACCACTGATGGTTATTCAAGGTCTGACAGCTCTTTAGTCAGCAGGTGATGAATTCTCCCAGGACTAGTTCTTTCTCTTCAAGGCAGTAGATTCCCCTCTGGTCCAGGATGTGTAGAAATGTTGTCAGGGTTTACAGCCTTATAAAGGCTTAGAGTGCCTTTCAGATTTGTTTAGGAACCTGTTGTGCTTTAGCCCATGGTGGTTGGGCTAGCCAGAACTTACTTTCAGGCTGCTGGGATGGGCAATTTCCCTCTAGCTAGGGCTGGTCTAAATGCTGCTTCCATGGGCACTGGCTGATTTCTGCACTGTGTTACTTTCTACTGTTACAAGACAGCACTGAATTCCAAAGCAAAGCCCCATAATCACTGTACTCCTCCATGTGCACAGCTTCTCTCTCCATGCTACATGGCCACCACCATTGCTGGGGGTTAAGAGAGTGGTGGTGTCAATGATTCAAGACTATCTTTCCAACCGTCTTCAGTATCTCTTTCCTTGACATGATTTTAAAACCAGATGTTGTGATTACTCACCTGATTTTGGGTTCTTAAGAAGGTGCTTTCTTCTGTGGATAGATAGTTGTTCAACTTGGTATTTCTGCAGGAGGATGATCCCTAGAGGGTTCTATTTGGTTATCTTGCTCCTATCCCCTTATAATTTTTTTCCTGAACAGTTTGAGATTAAGTTGAGGACCTGATTCCTGGTAGAAGACAAAATCTCAACTAATTTAATTAAATGCTGTAATCAGCTTTTATTATTATTTTCAATTCCTGAATTGGGCAGCATGTAAAAATAGAGAGGTGCTAGGCTAGGCATGGCAGAACAGTTGGTTTTCACAAAATAGCTTGAAGAAGCACAAGGAAACAGCATAATAAAAAGCAGATTATTATGTTAACATCAGGTTACTTAAGGTTCTTTTTCTTGTAAGGGTTAAAACAGAGGGGACTTCCTTACCATGCAGGCTAAAACTGGCCTGTTTAGGAATTTGGCTACCATGTATCCCCTGCTTTTTTATAGATCAGATAAATAATTTAGTTTTGGTTTGGTGATGTGGAACTTTAGCATGAATGACTCCATTTTGGTTTGGCTTACTGGGGCCTAGTGGAGGAACTCAGCCCAAAACAATGGTCTTCCATAAATTTTATTTAACATGCTCTTTTAACCTTAAATACTTGAATGCGTATTTCCTAAACACAAGGACATTCTTTTATATAATCGTAGCATAATGATTAAAATTAGGAAATTAACATTGATAGAACAGTATTCTCTAATTACAGACCTGAAGTGTTACCAGTTATCCTACTAATGTTCTTTATAGCAAAATACAGCATACGTTGGTGGATACATCCCAAGACCCCTCAGTAGATGCCTGAAACCACAGATAGTACCGAATCCTATATATGCTATTTGCTTTTTTCCTATATATAAATACCTATGATAAAGTTTAATTTATAAATTAGGCATAGCAAGAGATTAACAATAATAACTAGAAATAAAATAGAACAATTTTAACAGTATGCCAACATCACTACTCATAGGCTTTGGGGTCATTATTACATAACATTATGGTTACTTGAACACAAGCACTGCAATATAGAGACAATACAGAGTCAAGCTGATAATGAGATGACTACCAAGTGACTAGTGGGTGGGTAGCATATATAGTGTGGATATGCTGGACAAAGGGAAGACTCATGACCTGGGCAGGGCAAAATGGGACAGTGTGAGATTTTATTATGCTACTCAGAATAGTGTGCAATTTAAAACTTAGGAGTTGTTTATTTCTGTATTTTTCCATTTAATATTTTCAGACCATGGTTGACAGCAGATAACCGAAGCCACAGAAAACAAAACCACAAATAAGGGTGGACTGCTATATTTTTTCGTGTTTCAAGATCCAATCTAGGATGTATACTATACTTACTTATTGCCTCTTTAATCTTTTTTATTGTGGAATACTTCCTCAGCCTTTCTATGTGTTTTATGAGCAGCTATTTTATAGAATATTCCTCAGTTTGAGTTTTAGGGAAAATTGTGAAAAACTTCGAAATGGACCAAAAGATTATCAGGTATCTTCAAAGGAAAACTAGAAGTTTTCTAGTATACCCTTTCAAATTATCCGATTTCTATGTGAGTTCTGAGGCTTTCATTGTATTCATGGATTCATGGTATTTTACAACTCTATAGGTCATATAAAACTGATAGCAATGCAAATGATTTTTTTTTTCCATAGAAATCGCAAATTGCGTCTGGTGGAATGCAACTGATTGCCCCCTGGCTGTTAATGTTTTCAATTTTTTTTGTATATATTTCTAAATGCATATTGGCCATTCCTTATTTTACTGTATATGGGTGAGACTTTGGATTCTTTTTTCTGATTGGTTATAACATCTTACCAGTTCTGTCATTAATTACTGAGATAAATAAAATCTTTAACATATGTTCATTTTATATGTCATGATGATATTTGTCAAAAGACAAAAGCACAACAAATTTAGTTTTGTTAAAGCAAATTAAATATGGCCTGAGGAGGCCTCTCTACTTCTATATTTGAGTCCTTGTGGATGAACTGCAACCTAACTTAAAAGGTAGACAAGACTGAAAACCTAACTTAAGAGGATGCTCCTGTAACAGTAGTTGATTCTTGGCCAATCCCAGCAGCCGTACTTCAACCAGTCATACACTCCTGAGTGTTCAAACTGTGTTCGAATAAGGCAAATGTGGAACTGTAAGGAATTCAGTTGTTTCTGTATGTCACTTCTGATTTCTGTGTTACTTCCCTTTTTTTGTCTATAAATTTGTTCTGACCATGAGGCATCCCTGGAGTCTCTCTGAATCTACTGTGATTCTGGGGGCTGTCCAATTCATGAATTGTTCATTGCTCAGTTAAACCCCTTTAAATTTAACTTGACTGAAGTTTTTCTTTTAACAGTTTAAAGACCTTACTTGGTGTTATTTGCAGTTCTAGAATTGGGCAGCACTTCATTCTATAAAATAGAATAAGTGTTCCAATGGGCTAAACGGAGGTTGGTTTTATAGACAAAGGGCTGAAAAAAGCAGAAAAAAGAACAAAAAGTGGATCGGTCATTTTAATGTTAATTTCCTATTAAGGGAGGAATAGGGAAAAAAATAATACAAAAATAACTGGTTGGTCAACATCAGGCTACTTAGGTTACTTTTTGTTGTTAAAGGCAGAGGGAACTTTATTGTTACGCTGACTGAGACTGGTCTGTTTGGGAAATTTGGCTATTGTCTCTCTCTCTCTCTCCTGATTTCTTGGAAAGTCAGATAACAACTTAGTTTTGGTTTGCTGATGTGGAACTTTAGTACCAGTACTACATTTTGGTTTGGTCTGTTGGGTCTAGTGCAACAGCTTAGTCTAAAACAATGGCCTCCTATAATTTTCATTTAACATACTTTAAAGAAATTTCTCCCTTAATGAGTTTGTGTAATATTTCTTCATGGTTAGATTCAGCTTATGTATTTTTAGGAGGAATACAACAAAAGTGATTTTGTTTCTTTAGTACATCATATCAAAAGGCACATGATGTATATGTCCCATCACCAATTCTGTTAACCTAAATCACTTAAGGAGGTGTCTGCTGGTTTTTCCACTG
The DNA here is from genome assembly GCF_000001405.40 of Homo sapiens. Classification (NCBI taxonomy): domain Eukaryota; kingdom Metazoa; phylum Chordata; class Mammalia; order Primates; family Hominidae; genus Homo; species Homo sapiens. The sequence goes on from NC_000015.10 coordinate 49,191,689, forward strand.
TACAGTTACTGTTTTCTCTTCTGTAACTTATAAGTATCTTTTGGTGAAAAACTTTGAGAATATATTGGTATCCTATTTCTTACCAAATTTTCATTTACTGATTTTAGCATCCATTGTTGATTCTTGCCTGAATCACTTATTACTACAATGATCTCTAAGTGGTGATTTTCTGTGTTTTTTTTTTCCATACTTTTAATTTATTAATTGGCATTCTACTGTAAGGAAATGCTTTTCCTTTTCTTCCTTTTATATCACTATGGACTCGGGTTTTTATTTTATTCTATGGATTCTAATGTTTCCATTATTTTTGTATTTATTTTGATGCTCAATTGTTTCAGGGTCAGATTTGGGCAATGGGAACCTCTTCAGGTGGGTTTCTGTGTCATTGCGACATGTCACTATCATTGAGCACTTCCTTACTTTCTGGTATAGAAAGATGTTTCAGATTTATATTGTGTTGTTTCTTTCCAGTTCTGGAATCAGCCATTTCTTTAAGGAACTGTAATTTCTTTTGAAATAAAGATCTGGGCATTAGAGATGCTTATTGCTAATATGATAGTAATTATCCCAGGCCATCTCAGCAGATAAAGCACTTTGCTTTTTTCTTTTAACATAGTATTTCTGGAAGTCGCTAGATCAACATTTCTAGAAATGATATTCTTTTAAACAGTTTCATTGCACTTCATTTTGGAAACAAGTCAGAATTTATTCAAACATTCTCCTATGTAAGAGTGTTTAGATTGTTTCCAGTATTTTGCGATTATAAACTATTCTGCAATGAATATTATATATATATGTATATATATATATATATATATATATATATATATATATATAGTTGGAGGTGTATCTTCAGGGCAAATTCTTAGATAGTGGATTGCTAGGTAAAAATTAATGACTATGTATTTTTGTTAGACAATGCCCAGTTCCCCTCTGAAAGTGTTGTACCAAATTTGTATTCCCAAAACAGTATATAATAGAAGAGTGCCTGTTTACCCAGAACCTCAACATCAGAATGCATTGTTACTTTTTAATTTTAACCATCTGATAGTATCTCAGTGTAGTTTTAATTTGTATTTCTATCTAAAAGTTAAGGCTGAACATCTTTTCATATGTTTAAGGGCCTTTTAAAAATTTTTTCTTTTAGAGACAGGTCACCCTATGTGGCCTAAGCTAGTCTCTAACTCCTGGCCTCAAGCAATCCTTCTGCCTTGGCATCCCCAAGTACTGGGATTACAGGTGTGGGCCACTGTGCCTGGCCTAGGGTCATTATGAAACTATCTTTTGTTATGAATTTTCTGTTTATACCTTTTTTTTTTTTTTTTTTTTGATGGAATCTCGCTCTGTTGCCCAGGCTGGAGTGCAGTGGTACAATCTTGGCTCACTGTAACCTCCACCTCCGGGGTTCAAGCAATTCTCCTGCTTCAGCCTCCCAAGTAGCTGGGACTGCAGGCATGTGCCACCACTCCTGGCTAATTTTTGTATTTTTAGTAGAGACAGGGTTTCACCATGTTAGCCAGGCTGGTCTCGAACTCCTGACCTCAGGCAGTCCACTCGCCTTGGCCTCCCAAAGTGCTGGGATTACAGGCGTGAGCCACCATGCCCGACCTGTTTATACCTTTTACACATTTTTCTATCAAGGCTTTGGTCTTTTTCACATGGTTTTTAAGAGGCTTTTTTTTTTTAATGTAAGGGATATTATCTCTTTATCTACAATATATGTTATTTTCTGTGCGTTGTTTTTTAAATTTTGTAGTGTTTTTGCCATAAATGTTTTAAAACATTTTTATATAGTCAACTCTATCAAATTAAAAAAATTTGCCTCTATTTTGAGTCATATTAGAAAACCTTTCCCTTAAGCCTGCATTATATTGAAATTCACTTGTGTTTTCTTCTAGTTTTCTGTAGTTTCTTTTTTACATTTAGACTCCTGATCCATTTGGAGATTATTATTGTGTATGGTGTAAGATATGGATCTAATTTTACCTTTTCCCAGAAGTCTAACCAATTGTACTAGCATTCTGTTTTTTTATTTTTTTATTTTTATTTTTTTTTTTGAGATGGAGTCTCATTCTGTTGCCCAGGCTGGAGTGCAGTGGTGCAATCTCAGCTCACGGCAACCTGTGCCTTCTGGGTTCAAGTGACTCTTCTGGCTTAGCCTCCCAAGTAGCTGGGATTACAGGCACGTGCCAACACGCCCGGCTAATTTTTTGTATTTTTAGTAGAGACGGGGTTTCACTGTGTTAGCCAGATGGTCTCGATCTCTTGACCTCGTGATCCGCCCACGTCAGCCTCCAAATGTGCTGGGATTACAGGTGTGATGTACTAGCATTCTTTATTAAAAATTTACCTTTGTGGGCTGGGTGCAGAGGCTCATGCCTGTAATCCCAGCACTTTGGGAGGCCGAGTGGGGGAGATCACGTGGTCAGGAGTTCGAGACCAGCCTGGCCAATATGGTGAAACCCCATCTCTACTAAAAATACAAAAATTATCCAGGCGTGGTGGCATGCACCTGTAGTCGCAGCTACTCGGGAGGCCGAGGCAGAAGAATTGCTTGAACCAGGGAGGCGGAGGTTGGAGTGAGTCGAGATCCGCCACTGCACTCCAGCCTAGGCAACAGAGCGAGACTACGTCTCAAAAAAAAAAAATTTACCTTTGTGTCATGATTTGAGATGCCACCATCATCATATATTAAATTTCTATTTGAATCTGTTTCTGGACATGATATTATTCCACTGAAGTCTGCTAGTCTATTTATGCACTGATATCTCACTGTTTTCATTACGGAGGCCATATAGTATGTTTTAATGTTTGGTAAGGTTACTCCTCTCTCAAAACAGGGTTTTTTTGTTTTTGTTTTTTCTTTTTTTAGTGTTTTGCCCACTATTGTTACATATTTGTTTTTCTTTTCTTTTTTTTTTTTTGAGATGGAGTTTCACTGTTATTGCCTGGGCTGGAGTGCAATGGTGCAATCTTGGCTCACCGCAACCTCTGCTTCCCAAGTTTAAGTGATTCTCCTGCCTCAGCCTCCCGAGTAGCTAGGATTACAAGCACGTGCCACCATGCCCAGCTAATTTTGTATTTATACTAGATACAGGGTTTCTCCATGTCGGTCAGGCTGGTCTTGAACTTCCTCCCTCAGGTGATCCGCCTGCCTTGGCTTCCCAAAATGCTTGGATTACAGGCATAAGCCACCGTGCCTGGCTACATATTTGTTTTTCGTAAGGTCTTTTTAGCTAACTTGTCTATCTCCATAAGAAAAGCTTATTGGTATTTTTTGGGAGATTTAGTTGAATTTGTAAATTAACTTTGGGAGAACTACATCTTTATGATGTTGTATCATCTTATCCAAAACAGGGATATCTTTTCATTTCTTATTTTTTTATTTTATTTGAGATGGAGTCTCGCTCTGTCACCTGTGCTGGAGGCTAGAGTGCAAGTGGCACGATCTTGGCTCACTGCAACCTCCGCCTCCTGGGTTGAAGTGATTCTCCTGCCTCCGCCTCCGGAGTAGCTGGGATTACAGGTGCGTGCCACCATGCTGGGCTAATTTTTTGTATTTTTAGTAGAGATGGTGTTTCACTATGTTGGCAAGGCTGGTCTGGAACTCCTGACCTCATGATCCACCCGCCTCGGCCTCCCAAAGTGCTGGGATTACAGGCATGAGCCACAGTGCCCAGCCCGTTTCTTTAAGTCTATTTGTCTTTCAAGAATGTTTAAAAACTTTTCTTAAATAGATTTTGCACGTTTATTAAGTTTGTTTGTAAGCATTTAGTGTTTTTTGGTGCTAACATTAATTATATTTTCTTTACCATTCTAGTCTCTAATTGGTTTTTGTTTTCGCATATGAAGTCTACTGATTTCTGTATATTAATCTTACATCCTGTTACCTTAGTGAATTCTTTTATTATTCAAGTTGGTTTTATCATTACTTCTCTGTGGTTTTCCAGAAATTTATTACTGACATTATAAGGCTTTCTGGGGGAGCATGGCAGGTTGCCTAAGCTGGTCCAAAACTGGTTTGAAAGAGCAGGGAAAGGAGACTGACTTGGGGTTTTTATGATGGTTAGAGGGTAGAGCCAGGGAGAGGATTTCTACATGTGGTTTGGCTGGTGGCAAAAGAGAGGGGCTTTTTTTTTTTATCCCTTTGCTTAATGTTAGGTAGAAAGGGGAAAGAGGGAGAGTTAAGGTCTAAAAGCTGGCAGTAGTCAAACATCAAAAATGGAATCAGACTATTATAGTTTCTGATATATTTGGATAGAGGTCTGCAAAGTCATTTCTTATTTAAAAAAAAGTCTTCTGTTTAGTAGTATTTTCCCTTTGTTATTTTTTTATTTTGTACATTTGTGCTTTATCCCCCATATTATTAATTCATTAGCTAATGGCTTATTTTGTTAACTTTTTTCCTAAAACCGCAGGCTTTGAATTTTTAGGTCTGCTGTTTTTCTACTCCCCATATCATTACTTTCTGTTCTTATCTTTTTTGTGTCATTCTTTTTGTTTATTTTCTAGCTTATGGAGCTGAGAATTTAGTTTCCTATTATCATTTTTCATTTTTACTGCTAAAGTGTTTAGAGCTATGGAGTTTTCTGACTGCTTTAAATGTATCCCATATATTTTTTATGAGTAGAGCTTTTAATGTTATCATTATTTTTAGATTCTATCTTTCACTTCATTTCCCCTTTCACCCAAGAGTTGTTTAAAAGACACTTAAGAAATTTGCAGGTAGGAAGACCTTTTTGTTATTTTTCTTGTTAATAATTTCTAGTTCTATTGCATTGAGTGTTGTTTGTATTATTTCTACTTTATGGAATTTACTAATGTTTCATTGTAACCAAATATATGATCAGTATTTGTGAATGTTCCATGTACTCTTGAGAAGTTTTATTGCCTATTATCAGGGTAAAATGTTTGATATATGTATACATCCATAAAATTTACTTTATCAAGTTTATTGAGTCTTTTCTCTGTGTTTTTGGACTCATTGATCTACTAAGGTGTCTTATAATCTCTTATTATTAATGTATTTCTACCTTTATTTCCTTACATTGCCTTATAGTTTTGCCTTATACAAGTAATTACTGTTTCATTTGGGATATTTCTTAACTGCCATGTCTTCATTTTGATTTGTGGCTCTCAGCATTAAGAAATATCCTTCTGGTAGGCTGAGGCAGGAGGATCACTTGAAGCCAGAAGTTTGAGACCAGCCTGGGCAACATAGTGAGACTATGCCTCTACAAAAAATTAAAAAATATTTTAGCTAGGCATGGCAGCATGCCTCTGTAGTTCTGCTGAGGCTGAGACCACAGGATTGCCTGAGCCCAGGAGTTCTAGGCTGCAGCGAGCCGTGATCATGCCACTGCCCATTGAACTTTAGCCTGGGCAACAGAGCGAGTCCCTGTCTCTCACTCTCTAAAGAAAGGTATCCTTCTATGCACATTTAATGTGTAAGCTTAAATTCTACAATTTTGATCAGGATTACTACTTGTTTTCTTATTGTTTTCATTTGCCTATAATACCTTTGCCCATTTCTTGATATTTAGTCTTTCGGAATCACCTTGTTTTAGTTATGTGTCTAGTATTCAGCATAATACATTCAGTCCTATTTTAGGAGCAAAATTGCACATCTTTATGTTTTAATAGTTGAGGCTCATTCACATTTATTAATGTGACTAATATGTTTGATTTCAGTTCTGTCATATTATTTTATACAGGTTGAGTATCCCTTATCCAAAATGTTTGAGACTAGAAGTTTTTCAGATTTCAGATTTATTGGATTTTGGAATATTTAAAGATACATAATGAGATATCTTGGGGATAGCACCCAAATCTAAACATGAAATTTATTTGTTTCATATACGCTTTATTCACATAGCATGAAGGTAGTTTTATACAATATTTTAAATAATTTTATTTATGAAAGTTTGTGTTAAATACTTAAATGTGGAATTTTCCACTTATAACGTCATGTCTGTGCTTAAAAAGCTTCAAATTTTGGAATGATTTGGATTTTGAAATTTTGAATTAGGAATGCTCAACCTGTAATTATATACTATGGTACATTTTATGTTTTTCTTTATCTACCAGATATTTTTCTTTTCTCCTTTAGTTTTGAAATTTCTGTGGTATTTAAGAAGATTTATATTTTTGTTTTATTGGTTACCTTTGTACTTATATTTTAAAACACCCTTAGAAAATAGGGGAATATTTTCTTATTTAACTTCTACTATCTGCTTTGTCAGTTTTTTTTTCCCAGTGGTGGCTGTTGAAAAGCACTAATATTTTATGTCATTCTATCTCAAATCCAGACAAATAACCTCAGTTGTTTCAACAAACTTCTCTATAAAATAGAAGAAGCTGGGCAGAGAGCAGCAAGATTTATCAACAGCATCATTAAAATTACCCAGTGCACTAACATTACTAACTATCCTGACACAAGCTAAACACTTAATTACCTACCATCTCTCATTGCTTGTGATGTATTCTTTTTTGTTGTTGTTGTTGAGATGGAGTTTTGCTCTTGTTGCCCAGGCTGGAGTGCAATGGCGCGGCCTCTGCTCACTGCAACCTCCACCTGGGCCTGTAATCCCAGCTTGTGATGTATTCTTATTCACCTGCACAGACTGGAAATGATATTGAACCCAGGAACTAAGATACAATCATAACTACCATTTATTAAACACATACTTCATGCCAGTGCTGGGCTGGACACTGTTCCAAATGACCTTATTAATCTTCCCAACAAATCTATGGGATACATGTTTCTATCCTATTTAAAGGAGAATGAGATTAATGAATTTCATCATGTGTAGAGAACAGTTTTAAGCCCAGGTCTACCTGACTGCACAGGCCCTGTTCTTTGTTTTTGTTTGTTTGTTTAATAATATCCTTGTATATGCCTGTACTATAACTTAAAAAAAATCATTGCTTTGTCAGTTTTTTTGGTATCTTTTAACTTTTACCTCTTGCCTATTTAGTAATCAATGAGCTTATTCTACTTTCCTCTTTTTCTTTCCTACACTTCACCTTTTTTTAATAGGTGGACTTTTTCTTTCTAGTAGTAGTTTTAGATTAATCTTAGTTTTGGTGGCTCCCTTCTTTTCTCTTTATTTTACTCAATTTTCCCTTCCTCCCCCTCTTCCCCTCCCCTCTCCCTCCCTCCCTCCCTCCCTCCCTTCCTTCCTTCCTCTTTCATTCTTTCCTTTTTTTCCAAAGACAAGGTCTCATGTTGCCCAGGCTAGAGTGCAGTGGCTACTCGCAGGCAGGATCTTGCCGTTGATCAGTGCGGCAGTTTTGACCTGCTCCATTTCCCTCCTAGGTTGGTTTACTTCTCCTTAGGCAACGTGATAATCCCTTGGCCCCCACAGGTCACCTTATTGAAGCCCAACTTAGTGCAGACACCTGGACAGCGTAGCGCACCACAGCCCAGAACTTCTAGGCTCAAGCGATCCTTCTGCCTTAGCCTCCAGAGTAGCTGGAACTACAGGCACACCCAGGGCGTCCGGCTTTTTTGCTTAATTTTTGTTTCACTATGTTTTGTAGTTCACTAATGTTTTGTAGTTCACTATGGTCTTCTTTTCTCCCTTCTTCTTTTTTCCCCCTATTATAGATAACTTAAAGTTTGGCATTTCGTCTTCTAGTTATACTGAAGACAAAGTTTTTGTATACTTTTATTTGTTCTTGTTTTGTTTTTTGAGGATGTATAGAGAAAGATTTAGGCAGCCGCATCTACCAGGTAGTCCAGTAGATGTATTTTGAGTGATATGCTAGCGATATCAGTTATTGTCTCCCTGCTGCAATCTTTTGTTCTCATCCACAGCCTCTGCTGAAGGAGTAAACACAAGTGACCATATTTGTAACTAAAACAAGTGACCTTATTTTTACTAAATGACCTCACCCTTTGGCCACAGATGAATTTATCTTTCCTGTATGGATACAGGACCTAAACTCTGCCAAGCTGATTATATCTTTTGAGAATTTGAACGAAAGGACACAGAAACGTAATCAGTTAGTATAGGATGCTGGAGCTGTTAAGTCTTGTAGAGTCAAGGCCACAGTGTCATGAAAACTGAAGGTATGGAGGAGCAGAAACTAAGAGGTTCACAGAAGTAGGTGGAATGCAGAGTACTCAGCAGAGAGAAGTTTATAATGGTGTCTTTGGAGCAACAAGAGAATGAGGCAGGAAGAGAGCCAAAGAAACTGGTATAAACAGTTTCTGATGACTATTCAATTCCCAAGAGACGAGCTTGAATAACTTCCAACAATATTCAACATATTTTTCTATTATTTTATTACATTTTCTTGAGGTTTTTTGGGTGTGGGTCTCTGTTTCTTAATTAATTAATTTCCTGAATATATTAGGCTTTAATAAATGTTTATCATCCTGGTGTTATTACCCAGATACAATATGATGTGGGACTACAAATAATGAGGGCTATTCACAGAATTGACTTGAGATAATTTGAGAGTATCAAGTTATTAAATATATTACAAGAATTTTGGATCTGGAAGGGACCTATGAGGAATATCTAGTTCAAATTCTCAAATTTTAGGGAAGAGAGGCCAAGAGAAAATGATTTGCCGAACTTTGACATTGAATTAGAGGTCTCATTAGAATTAGAACTGTGGTTTCCTGATACCCAGTCTAGTTTTCATTTGACTACATGTTCTGAGTTAGACAGTATAACCCCCCAAATTCATATCTACTTGAAACTGCAGAATATGACCTTATTTGGACTAGCATCTTTGCAAATGTAATGAATTAAGATGAGGTCGTACTCAATTAGAGTGGATGGACTTTAATCCAATATGACTGGTGTCCTTACAAGAAGGAAAAACAGACAGAATGCCATGTGATGACACGGCAGAGATTAGAGTAATAAAGCTGTAAGCCAAAGAACACCAAGGATTGACGGCTGCTACCAGAAGGTAGAAAGAGGCAGGGAAGAAATGATTCTCCTCTACAGCTTTCAGAGGTACTACTGACCTCTGGTTTTAGACTTCTGGCTGCAGAATTGTGATTATAAATCTCTGTTGTGTTAAGCCATCCAGTTTATAGTTCTTCGTTATGACAGCCTTAGGAAACCAAATATACTACCGCATGGTACACTTTTAATGTAAAGAGATTCTTCCCTGAATGTCACCAAAAAAGTATACAGAAACTACATTCTTCAAAAGGGAAGAAAATAGCTTTTTCTGTTGGGTATATCAATCTTAACTTTTAAATTCTTCAGTGTGCTTAGCTATACTTTTGTGCCATTTAGAGATTACAGTATTGTTCATCTTGGGATTTTCAAGGAAGTATGTCACTAGGAAATTTTGCTTTTATTCTTTTAAGGAATAATTAATGGTGGCAGGCATATGGAGTGTGTGTGTGTGTGTGTGTGTGTGTGTGTGTGTATGTATGTGTGTGTATGTTATGTTACGGATTTTCTGTTATATGATATTCTGAAATATTGTACTTTTATTTTCAGGTTACTGAAGCTAAAGGAGATGTTTAACTCCAAGTTTGGATCTATTCCCAAGTTTTATGTTCGAGCACCAGGAAGAGTCAACATAATAGGTATTTCAAAAGTTCCTTCTCTTAATTTTTTTCTTCATCCTTTGATAAGATCTAAATTTTTAAAAATATATTTCTTTCTTAATTTTTCCCAAAATAGAATATTTCACATGTATCTACTAATAGTAAGATGTGCCTTTGCATAAGGAACACACTTTACTTTTATCTTTCCCAATCCATGTTATTAGTATTGTTCATTTGTTTTTTAAATGTATTAATTTGTTGAAACCAAGTTGTTAATATTGTTTTCATAAAAAATGAAAATATTTTTCTAGGCCACAGGTTAAAATTTTAGACTGTGGTAAGTAGTTTTGATGGTTTTATATTTACTCACTGGGTTAGAGGAGCACAGGGAAACCTTAAAATTCCTTGCTACTAAAAGTGTGGTCCAGAATTTGCAGCCCTTCTAGATGAATTTATCTTTCCTTTTGTTTATCCTGTGAAGTACTTTGAATTTTACTACCTTTTAGTGGTAAATAACACAACCTTTCAACATTTTGTTTACTATCATTTTATCAATGTCCCTATATATAATAATTGACATAGTTGTACTTAGACTACATACCATTTGTATCTTTTTTTCATTTAATATATCATAAATATTTCCATGTATCTATTTCCATTTTCTGCTGGTATAACAGAATTCCACAGATGGGGTAATTTATCAACAATAGAAGTTTATTTGGCTTGTGATTCTGGAGGCAGAGAAGTTCAATATCATGGTACTCACATCTGGTGATGGCCTTCTTATTGTGTTATTCTCTTTTTTTTCTGAGATGGAGTTTTGCTCTTATTGCCCAGGCTGGTGTGCAATGGTGCAGTCTCGGCTCACTGCAACCTCTGCCTCCCGGGTTCAAGTGATTCTCCTGCCTCAGCCTCCCGAGTAGCTGGGATTACAGGCATGTGCCACCATGCCTGGCTAATTTTTTGTATTTTTAGTAGAGACAGGGTTTCTCCATGTTGGTCAGGCTGGTCTCGAACTCCCAATCTCAGGTGATCCACCTGCCTTGGCCTCCCAAAGTGCTGAGATTACAGGCGTGAGCCTCCACACCTGGCCTCTTGTGTCTGTTAACTGACCTCTCCCTACCTGCCCTTCCTGCCCTCACTACATGTTATCCTTCCCAGCCTCTAGTAACCATTAATTTATCCTCTATTTTTATGAGATCAACTCTTTTAGCCTCCATATATGAGTGAGAACATGAGGTATGTATCTTTCTGTGCCTGACTTATTTCACTTAACATAATGTCCTCTAAGCTCATCCATGTTGCTGTGAATAACAGGATTTCACTCTTTTAGGTGGCTGAATAGTATTCCATTGCACACATACACCACATTTTAAAAATCCATTCATCTGTGAATGGACATTTATGTTGATTCTGTATCTTGACTATTGTGAATAGTTTTGCAATAAACAAGAGAGCCACATATCTCTTTGACATACTGATGTCCTTTTCTTTGGATATATACCTAGTAATGGGATTGCTGGATCATATGGTGGTTCTATTTTTAGTTTTTTGAGGAGCCTTCATACTGTTTTCCATATGGCTATACTAATTTACTTTCCCACCAACAGTGTAGAAGAATTCTTATTTCTCTGCATTCTCTCTAACACTTATTATTTTTTGTCTTTTTGATAATAGTCATCCTAACTGAAGTGAGATAATATCTCCTGGTGGTTTTGATTTGCATTTTCCTGATTATTAGTGATGTTGAGCATTTGTCTATGATTGTAAGTCATTTGTATGTCTTCTTTTTAGAAATGTCTATTTAGATCATTTGCCAATTTTTATTTTATTTTATTTTATTAATTTATTTATTTTGAGACAGAGTCTCTCTCTGTTGCCCAGGCTGGAGTGCAGTGGCACGATCTGGGCTCACTGCAACCTCCACCTCCTGGGTTCGAGCAATTCTCCTGCCTCGGCCTCCCGAGTAGCTGGGACTACAGGCACGTGCCACCATGCCCAGGTAATTTTTGTATTGTTAGTAGAGATGGGGTTTCACCATGTTGGCCAGGATGGTCTTGAACTCCTGACCTCAGATGATCTGCCCACCTTGGCCTCCCAAAGTGCTGGGATTACAGGTGTGAGCCACCACACCGAGACCATTTGCCAATTTTTTAATTGGAATATTTGTTTTACTACTGTTGAGTTAAGTTTTTTATATATTCTGGAGATTAATTCCTTGTTCGGTGAATAGTTTACAAATATTTTATCCCTTTCAACAGGTTGTCTCTTCACTCTATTGGAAGGTTTCCTTTGCTGTGCAGAAGCTTTTTAGTTTGATATAATTTCATTTGTCTATTTTTGTTTCTTTGCCTGTGCTTTTATAGTCTTATTCATAAAATCTTTGCCTAGACCAATGTCTTGAAGTGTTTCCTTTATGTTTTCTTCTAGTAGTTTCATAGTTTCAGTTCTGATGTTTAAGTCTTTAATCCATTTTAAATTCATTTTTATAAATGGTGAGATATTGGGGCCTATTTTTATTCTTTTGCATATGGATATCTAGTTTTTCCATCACCATTTATTAAACAGATTGTCCTTTTCCCTATGAATGAAAGTAACTTTGTTGAAAATCATTTGGCCTTGGCCAGGCATGGTGGCTCACACTTGCAATCCCAGCACTTTAGGAAGCCGAGGAGGGTGGATCACTTGAGGTCAGGAGTTTGAAAGCAGCCTGGCCAACATCATGAAACCTCGTCTCTGCTAAAAATACAAAAATTAGCTGGGTGTGGTGGCACACACCTGTAATCCCAGCTACGCAGGGGGCTGAGGCACGAGAATCTCTTGAATCTGGGAGGCGGAGGCTGCAGTGAGCCGAGATCAAACCACTACTGCACTCCAGCAGGATTCTGTCTCAAAAAAAAAAAAAAAAAGAAAATCAGTTGGCTGTAAATACATGGATTTAGCTCTGGGTTCTCTATTCTGTTCTATTGGTCTGTATGTCTGTTTTTACGCCAAAACCATAGTATTACTGTAGCTTTGTAGTATATTTGAAGTCAGATAGTGTGATGCCTCCAGCTTTTCTTTTCTTCTTCTTCTTCTTCTTTTATTTTTTTTTTTGGCTCAGGATTGCTTTGGTTTTTTGGGGTCTTTTGTGATTCCATACAAATTTTAGAATTAATTTCTGTGAAGAATGTCATTGGTATCATACGAGGAATTGCATTGAATCTGTAGTAGTATGGTCATTTTAACAATATTAATTCTTCCAGTCCAAGAATGTGGGATGTCTTCCCACTTTTTTGTATCCTCTTCAATTTCTTTCATCAGTGTTTTATTGTTTTCATTGTACAGGTCTTTTATCACCTTGGTTAAATTTATTCCTAGATATTCATTTTTTTTAGCTATTTCAAATGGGATTGCTTGCTTGATTTCTTTTTCAGGTAGTCTGTTATTGGTGTATAGAAACACTAGTGATTTTAAAAATTTTTTCAAAGTACTTTTATTTATTATTTTAAAATCTTATTTTTCCATAAGTTATTGGGGTACAGGTGGTATTTGGTTACATGAATACATTTTTTAGTGGTGATTTGTGAGATTTTGGTGTACCCATCACCCAAGCAGCATACACTGCACTGTATTTGTAGTCTTCTATCCCGCGCTCCCCTCCCACTCTTCCTCACAAGTCCCCGATGTCCATTACCTAATTCTTATGCTTTTGCATCCTCATAGCTTAGCCCCCACATATCAGTGAGAACATACAATGTTTGGTTTTCCATTTCTGAGTTATTTAACTTAGAATAATAGTCTCCAGTCTCATCCAGGTCACTGCAAATACTGTTAATTCATTCCTTTTTATGGCTGCATAGTATTCCATTGTATATATACCACAGTTTCTTTATCTACTTGTTGATTGATGGGCATTTGGGTTGGTTCCGCGATTGGGTTGGTTCCATAATACCAATGACATATAGTGGCAATTGTGAATTGTGCCACTATAAACATGCGCGTGCACATATCTTTTTCAAATAATGACTTCTTTTCCTCTGAGTAGATACCCATTAGTGGGATTGCTGGATCAAATGGTAGTTCTACTTTTAGTTCTTTAAGGAATCTCCACACTGTTTTCCATAGCAGCTGTACTACTTTACATTCCCAACAGCAGTGTAGAAGTGTTCCCTGTTCACCACATCCACACCAACATCTACTCTTTTTTGATTTTTAGATTATGGCCATTCTTGCAGGAGTGAGGTGGTATCACATTGTGGTTTTGATTTGCATTTCCCTGATCATTAGTGATGTTGAGCATTTTTCCATATGTTTGTTGGCCATTTCTATATCTTCCTTTGAGAATTGTCTATTCGTGTCCTTAGCCCACTCTTTGAATGGGATGGTTTGTTTTTTTCTTACTGATTTGTTTGAGTTCATTGTAGATTCTGGACATTAGTCCTTTGTCAGATGTATAGACTGTGAAGATTTTCTCCAACTCTGTAGGTTGTCTTTTTACTCTGCTGACTGTTCCTTTTGCCATGCAAAAGCTCTTTAGTTTAATTAGGTCCCAGCTGTTTATCTTTGCTTTTATTGCATTTGCTTTTGGGTTCTTGGTCATGAAATCCTTGCCTAAGCCAATGTCTAGAAGGGTTTATCCAATGTTATCTGCTAGAATTTTTTTAGTTTCATATCTTAGGTTTAAGTCCTTAATCCATTTTGAGTTGATTTTTGTGTAAGGTGAGAGATGGGGATCCAGTTTCATTCTCCCACATGTGGCTAGCCAGTTATCCCCGCACAATTTGTTGAAAAGGGTGTCCTTTCCCTACTTTTTGATTTTGTTTGCTTTGTTGAAGATCAGTTGGCTATAAGTATTTGGGTTTATTTGTGCGTTCTCTATTTTGTTCCATTGGTCTACGTGCCTATTTTTATACTAGTACCACGCTGTTTTGGTTGACTATGGCCTAATGGTATAGTTTGAAATCAGGTAGTGTGGTGCCTCCAGATTTGTTTCTTTTTGCTTAGTCTTGTTTTTGCTATGCAGGCTCTTTTTTGGTTCCATATGAATTTTTATTTATTTATTTATTATTATTATACTTTTTTTAGGGTACATGTGCACAATGTGCAGGTTAGTTACATATGTATGGTTCCATATGAATTTTATAATTGTTTTTTCTAAGTCTGTGAAGAATGATGGTGGTATTTTGATGGGGACTGCATTGAATTTGTAGATTGCTTTTGGCAGTATGGTCATTTTCACAATATTGATTCTACCCATCCATGAGCATGGGATGTGTTTCCATTTGTTTGTGTTGTCTATGATTTCTTTCAGCAGTGTTTCGTAGTTTTCCTTGTAGAGGTCTTTTGACTCCTTTGTTAGGTATATTCCTGAGTATTTTATTTTATTTTTTATTTATTTATTTTTTGCAGCTATTGTAAAAGGGGTTGAGTTCTTCATTTGATTCTCTGGTCGCTGTTGGTATATAGAAGAGCTATATTTGTGTACATTAATCTTGTATCTGGAAACTTTGCTGAATTCTTTTATCAGTTCCAGGAGCTTTCTGAAGGAGTCCATAGGGTTTTCAAGGTAAACGATCGTATCATCAGCAAACAGTGACAATTTGAGTTCCTCTTTACCAATTTGAATGCCCTATATTTCTTTCTCTTGTCTGATTGCTCTGGCTAGGACCTCCAGTACCATGTTGAAAAGGAGTGGTGAGAGTGGGCATCTTAGTCTTGTCCCAGTTCTCAGAGGGAATGCTTTCAACTTTACCTCATTCAATATTATGTTGGCTGTGGGTCTGTCATAGATGGCTTTTATTACATTGAGGTATGTCCCTTTTATGTCAATTTTGCTGAGAGTCTTAATCATAAAGCTTGCTGGATTTTGTCGAATGCTTTTTCTGCATCTATTGAGATGATCATGTGATTTTTGTTTTCTATTCTGTTTATGTGGTGTATCACATTTATAGACTTGCCTATGTTAAACCATCCCTGCATCCCTGGTGTGAAACCCACTTGATCATGGTAGATTAACTTTTTGATATATTGTTGGATTTGGTTAGCTGGGATTTTGTTAAGGATTTTAGCATCTATGTTCATCAAGGATATTGAACTGTAGTTTTCTTTCTTGGTTATGTCCTTTCCTGGTTTTGATATTAGGGTGATGCTGGCTTCATAAAATGAATTCGTAAAATGAATTCGGAAAGGTTCCTTCTTTCTCTATCTTGTGGAATACTGTGAAAAGGATTGGTTTCAATTCTTCTTTGAATGTCTGATAGAGTTCTGCTGTGAATCTGTCTGGTCCTGTACTTTTTTTTTGTTGGTAATTTTTAAATTACCATTTAAATCTCACTGCTTGTGATTGGTCTGTTCAGGGTATCTAATTCTTCCTGATTTAAGCTAGGAGGGTTGTATTTTTCCAGGAATTTATCCATCTATTCTAGGTTTTCTAGTTTACTCATGTAAAGGTGTTCATAGTCGCCTTGAATGATCTTTTGTATTTCAGTGGTATCAATTGTAATATCTCCTCTTTTGTTTCTTAGTGAGGTTATTTGGATTTTCTCTCTTCTTTTCTTGGGTTAATCTTGCTAATGGTCTATCAATTTTCTTTTCTTTTTTTGAGACGGAGTCTCGCTTTTGTCACCCAGGCTGGAGTGCAGTGGTGTGATCTCAGCTCACTGCAATGTCCACCACCCAGGTTCAAGCTTCTCCTGCCTCAGCCTGAGTAGCTAGGATTACAGGCACCCACCACCATGCCCAGCTAATTTTTGTACTTTTAGTAGAGACGAGATTTCACCATGTTGGTCAGGCTGGTCTTGAACTCCTGACCTCAGGTGGTCCACCCGCCTCAGCCTCCCAAAGTGCTGGGATTACAGGCGTGAGTCACTGCGCCGGCCCAATTTTATCTTTTCAAAGACCCATCTTTTTGTTTCATTTACCTTTTGTATTTTGTTTGTTTGTTTGTTTCAATTTCACTTAGTTCTGCTCTGATATTGGTTATTTCCTTTCTTCTGCTGTGTTTGGGTTTAGTTTGTTCTTGTTTCTTTAGTTTGTTGAGGTGTGACCTTAGATTGTCTGTTTGTGCTCTTTCAGACTTTTTGATGTAGGTGTTTAGGGCTATGAACTTTCCTCTTAGCACTGCCTTAGCTGTATCCCAGAGGTTTTGATAGGTTGTGTCATTATTGTCATTCAGTTCAAAGAAGTTTTTAATTTCCATCTGGATCTCATTTTTGACTCAATGCTCATTTAGGAGCAGGTTATTTAATTTCCATGTATTTGCATGGTTTTGAAGGTTCCTTTTATAGTTGATTTCCAGTTTTATTTCATTGTAGTTTGAGAGAGTGCTTGATATAATTTCAATTTTCTTAAATTTATTAAGGCTTGTTTTGTGGCCCATCACGTGGTCTATCTTGGAGAAAGTTCCATGCCCTGTTGAAAAGGATGTGTTTTCTGTGGTTGTTGGATGAAATGCTCTGTATATATGTGTTAAGTCCATTTGTTCCAAGGTATAGGTTCAATCCATTGTTTCTTTGTTGACTTTCTGTCTTGATGACCTGTCTAGTGCTGTCAGTGGAGTATTGAAGTCCCCCACTATTATTGTGTTGCTGTCTATCTCATTTCTTAGGTCTATTAGTAATTGTTTTATAAATTTGGGAGCTCTAGTGTTAGGTGCATATATCTTTAGGATTGTGATATTTTCCTGTTGGACAAAGCCTTTTTACCATTGTATAATATCCCTCTTTGTCTCTTTTAACTGCTCTTGCTTTGAAATTTGTTTTGTCTAATATAAGAATGGCTACCTCTGCTCGCTTTGGTGTCCATTTGCATGAAATGCCTTTTTCTACCCCTTTACTTTAAGTTTATGTGAGTCCTTATGTATTAGGTGAGTCTCCTGAAGGCAGCAGATAGTTGGTTGGTTAGTCCTTATCCTTTTTGCGGTTCTCTATCTTTTAAGTGGAGCATTTGGGCCATTTACATTGAATGAAACACTAGCTATTTTTAATACTGATTTTGTATCTTGCGACTTTACTGAATTTATCAGCTCTAAAAGCTTTTTATGGTTTTTAGGTTTTTCTACGTATAAGATCATGTTGTGTACAAGTAGAGACCATCTGACTTCCTCCTTTCCAATTTGGATGCCCTTTACATTTTTCTCTTGCCTGATTGCTCTGGCTCAGACTTCCAGTACTATTTTGAATAAGAGTGGTGAAATTGGGTATGCTTGTCTTGTTCTAGTGCTTAGACAAAAAGCTTTCCATTTTTCCTCATTTGGTATGACATTAGCTATGGGTTTGTCATATATGGCCTTTATTGTGTATTGAGACATGTTCCTTCTGTACCTAGTATGTTAAGAGTTTTTATCATGAAAGAATGTTGAATTTTATCAAATGCTTTTTCTGAATTGATTGTAAAGATTATATGGGTTTTGTCCTTCATTCTGTTGATGTGATATATCGTATTTTTGGATTTGTGTATGTTGAACCCCTTCCTTGCATTTCTAGGATTAATCCCACTTGATCATGGTATATAATCTTTTTATGGGCTCTTGGGTTCATTTTGCCAACATTTTATTGAGGATTTTTGATTATATGTTCAACTGAGATATTGTCCTGTAGTTTTCTTTTTCTGTTGTGTCCTTGTTCAGTTTTGGTATCAGAATAATGCTGGCCTCATAGAATAGTTTCAAAGAATTCCCCGCCTTTCAATTTTTTTGCAAGTCTGAAAAGAATTGGTGTTAGTTCTTCTTTAAAGGTTTGGTAGAATTCATGGGTGAAGCCCTCTGGTCCTGAGCATTTCTTCGTTGGGAGACTTTTTACTGTTGCTTCAATCTTGTTACTTGTTATTGGTGCGTTCAGGTTTTCTATTTCTACCTGGTTCAATCTTCTTAGGTTTTATGTGTCCAGGAACTTATGCATGTCCTTTAGGTTTTGCAATTTGTTGGCATAATAGTTGTTCACAATAGGCTTTAATGATCCTTTGTATTTTGTGGTGTCACTTGTAATGTCTCCTTTTCTGTTTTTTTTAATTTTATTTATTTGTGTGTTCTCTTTTTCTCAGTCTAGCTAAAGATTTGCTATTATGTTTACCTTTTCATTTCATTAATTTTTGTCTCAAATTTACTTCTGCTCTGATCTTTATTATTTCTTTCCTTCTACTAATTTTGGATTTGGATTGTTTTTGCTAGAGATGTACCATTAGGTTGTTTATATGCAAAATTTCTACCTTTTTTTTTAGTGGCTGATTTATTTTATTTTATTTTATTTTATTATTATTATTTTTTTGAGATGGAGTTCTGCTCTTGTTGCCCAAGCTGGAGTGCAATGGTGCGATCTCAGCTCACTGCAATGTCTGCCTCCCAGATTCAAGTGATTTTCCTGCCTTAGCCTCCCAAGTAGCTGGGATTACAGGCACCCACCACCATGCTTGGCTAATTTTTTGTATTTTTAGTAGAGACAGGGTTTCACCACGAAGGCCAGGCTGGTCGCGAACTCCTGACCTCAGGTGATCCACCCGCCTCGGCCTCCCAGAGTGTTAGGATTACAGGCGTGAGTCGCCGTGCCTGGTCTATTTTATTTTATTTTTAACTTTCGAGATGTAGTCTCGCCCTGTTGCCCAGGCTGGAGTGTAGTGGCACGATCTTGGCTCACTGCAACCTGCACTTCCTGGACTCAAGTGATTCTTGTGCTTCAGCGTCCTGAGTAGCTGGGATTACAGGCATGTGCCACCATGCCTGGCTAATTTTTGTATTTTTACTAGAGACGGGGTTTCCCAATGTTGGCTGTCACACACACACACACTCACACACACACACACACACACACACACACACACGGCCTTTTCATTTCTACCACATGGCTGGGCTTCAATTTTTCAAACTTGTTCACTCTGCTTCCCTTTTAAATATAAATTCCAGTTTCAGGTCATTTCTTTGCTTATGCATAAGAGCATAGGTTGTTAGAAGCAGCCAGACTACATCTTGAATGCTTTGCTGCTTAGAAATTTTTTTCACCAGATATCATCACTCTCAAGTTCAAAGTTCCACAGGTCCCCAGAGCAGGGGCACAATGCCTCCAGACTCTTTGCTAAAGCATAACAAAAGTGACCTTTACTCTAGTTCTCAAAAAGTTTTGTATTTTCATCTGAGACCTCTTTAGCTGGGACTTCATTGTTCATATTATTATCAGCATTTTGGACACAACCATTCAACAAGTTTCTTGGAAGTTCCAAACTTTCCCTCATCGTCCTATCTTTTTTCTGAGCCCTCCAAACTGTTCCAACCTCTGCCACTTACCTAGTTCCAAAGGTGCTTTCACATTTTCAGGTATCTTTATAGCAATGCCCCACTTCTGATACCAATTTTCTGTATTAATCTGCTCTTGCACTGCTATAAAGAAGTATCTGAGACTGGATAATTTATTTAAAAAAAGAGGTTTAATTGGCTCACAATTTTGCAGGCTGTACAGGAAGCATGGCTGGGAAAGCCTCAGGAAACTTACAAGCATGGTGGAAGACAAAGGGGAAGGAGGCACGCCGTACATGGCTAGAGCAGGAGGACGAGAGGGAGGGGAAGTGCTATACTCTTTTAAATGATCAGATCTCATGAGAACTCTATCATGAGAACCACACTCAGGAGATTGTGTTAAGCCATTAGAAACCACCTCCATGATTCAATCAACACCCACCAGGCTTCACTTCCAGCATTAGGTATTACATTTCACCATGAGATTTGGGTGGGGACACAGATCCAAGCCATATCATATGGGTCTAGGCATTGATCCCTTTCTTCTTGGTTTTCTAATTTGTTGGTATATAGTTGCTCATAATAGTCTCTAATGATGCCTTGACTCTCTGCTATCAGTTATAATATCTTTAAAAAAAATTATCTGACTTTATTTATTTGAATCTTCTTTATTTTTTACTTTTTCTTTTTTGTTTGAAATGGAGTCTCGCTCTGTTGCCCAGGCTGGAGTGCAGTGGCGCTATCTCAACTCACTGCAACCTCCACCTCTCAGATTCAAGTGATTGTCCTGCCTCAGCCTCCCGAGTAGCTGGGATTACAGGTGTCCACGACCATGCCTGGATAATTTTTGTATTTTTAGTAGAGATGGGGTTTCACCCTGTTGGCCAGGCTGGTCTTGAACGCCTGGCCTTGTGATCTGCCCACCTTGGCCTCCCCTCCCAAAGTGCTGGGATTACAGGTGTGAGCCAGTGCACCTGGCCTCTTTTTTACTTAGTGTGGCTAAAGGTTTTTTGATTTAGTTTATGTTTGCAAAACACCAACTTTTAATTTCATTGATTTTTTTTTGTAGTTTTAAATTTCAATTTTACTTATTTTTGCTCTGATCCGAATTCTTTTCCTCTACTAATTCTGCATTTCATTTGCTTTTGCCTTTCTCATTTGTTAAGATTCATCTTTAGGTTGCTTATTTGACATATTTCTACCTTTTTGATGTAGGTGTTTATTGTTTTAAATGTGCTTTTTTGTACTGCTCTTTCTGTATCATGGAGATTTTGATCTGTTGTCTTTTCACTCCCAATTGTTTCATGAAATTTAAAAATTTCTTAATTTTTTCATTGGCCCACTGGTCATTCAGGAGCATATTTTTTACTTTCCAAGTGTTTGCTTAGTTTCCAAAGTTTTTCTTCATGTTTATTTCTAATTTTATTTCATTATGATCAGAGAAGTTACTTGATATTATTTTAACTTTTTTGAACTTTTTGAGACTTGTTTTGTGGTCTAACTTAAGATCTATCCTGGAGAATATTCTGGGCACTGATGAGAAGAATGTGTATTCTGGGGCTGTTGGATGGAATGTTTTTATAAATATCCATTTGTTCTATAGTGCAGATTAAGTCTGATGTTTCTTTGTTGATTTTCTCCCTGGATAAATACCCTAGGGCTGAAAGTGAGGTTTTGAAATCCCCAGCTATTATTCTATAGGCATCTATCCTTCTTTTTAGTTTTAATAATATTTGTTTTACATATCTGAGTGCTCCAGCATTGGGTGCACATATATTTACAATTGTTATATCCTGTTGCTGAACTGACTCCTTTGACATTATATAATGACCTTCGTCTCTTTTTATAGTTTTTATCTTGAATCCTGTTTATTTATGCATAACTACTCTTGCTCTCGTTTGGTTTTCATTTGTATGGAGTATCTTTTTCTTTTTTAAAAAATTTTACTTTAAGTTCTGGGATATAAATGCAGAATGTGTAGGTTTGATACCTAGGTATACGTGTGCCATGGTGGTTTGCTGCACCTGTCAACCCATTGTCTAGGTTTTAAGCCCCGCATGCATTAGCTATTTGTCCTAATGCTCTTCCTCCCCTTCCCCTCCACCCCACAATTGGCCCTGGTGTGTGTTCCGGAATATCTTTTTCTATTTTATTTTATTTTTTTTGGTCTGCATGTCTTTATTGATGAGGTTAGCTTATTGTTTTTGTTTTTATAATCCATTCATCCACTTTGTCTTTTATTGGGAATTTAGTCCATTTATATTCGATGTTATAGTTATAAGGTACAGACTTACTACTGCCATTTTGTTATTTATTTTCTGGTTGTTTTGTTGGTCCTCTCTTCCTTCCTTCTTGTCTTCCTTTGTGTAAAAGTGACTTTTTCTGACAATGTTTTAATTTATTATTTAAAACTTTTTTTGGGCTGGGCATGGTGCCTCACGCCTGTAATCCCAGCACGTTGGCAGGTGGAGGCGGGTGGATCATGGGGTCAGGAGATCGAGACCATCATGGCTAACACGGTGAAACCCCATCTCTACTAAAAAATAAAAAAAGATTTAGCTGGGCATGGTGGCGGGTGCCTGTAGTCCCAGCTACTCAGGAGGCTGAGGCAGGAGAATGGCATGAACCCGGGAGGTGGAGCGTGCAGTGAGCTGAGATCATGCCACTGCACTCCAGCCTGGGCGACCGAGCAAGAGTCTGTCTCAAAAACAAACAAACAAAAAAACCCAACTTTTTTTGTATCTGTTACAGGTTTTTGTTTTGTGGTTACTGTGAGGCTTGCAAATAACATAACCAATTATTTTAAGCAGATGACAGCTTAACTCTGATTACAATGAAAATAAAAAAGAAATCAGCAAAAAGAAAACAAAAAAACCCCCCAAAACTTTACCTTAACCCCATTTCTTCACTTTGTCACTTTTTTTTTTTTTTTTTGAGATGGAGTCTCACTCTGTCACCCAGGCTGGATACAGTGGCGTGATCTCGGCTCACTTCAACCTCTGCCTCCCGGGTTCAAGCGATTCTCCTGCCTCAGCCTCCCAAGTAGCTGGGACTACAGGCACCTGCCACCACACCCGGCTATTTTTTTTTTTTTTTTTGTATTTTTAGTAGAGATGGGGTTTCACCATGTTAGCCAGGATAGTCTTGATCTCCTGACCTCGTGATCTTCCTGCCTTGTCCTCCCAAAGTGCTAGGATTACAGGCTTGAGCCACCATGCCCGGCTGCTTTGTCACTTTTGATTGTCTCTGTTTATATCTTTTTATGCTCAGAAAGCTGTTTCAGTTACTATTTTTGATAGGTTTGTCTTTTAATCTTCCTACTAAGATATGAGTGTTTTAACACTATAGTTACAGTGTTAGAGTATTCTGTATTCATTCATCTGTTCATTTACCACTACCAGTGAGTTCTGTACCACCATGTGATATATATTTTTTTACATTAATGTGCTTTTCTTTCAGATTGAATAACTCTCTTTAACATTTTTTGCAAGACAGGTCTGGTGTTGTTGAAACCCCTCAGCTGTGTTTGTCTGGGAAAGTATTTCTCTTTCATGTTTGAAGGATAATTTTACTGGAAATAATATTCTAGTTCAAAAGTTGTTTTTCTTCAACACTTTGAATATGTCATCCCCCTCTCTCTTGGCCTCTAAGTTTCCTGCGGAGTTGTCTCCTACTAGACATATTGGAGCCCCTTTATATGTTCTTTGCTTCTTTTCTTTTTCTGCTTTTAGGATACTTTCTTTATCCTTGACCTTTGAGAGTTTGATTAATATATTAACTGAGTTAGTCTTATTTGGGTTGAATCCTTTTGGTGTTGTGTGATCTTCTTATACCTTAATATTTATATCTTTTCTTAGGTTTGGAAAGTTTTCTATCAGTATTTCACTGAATAAACTTTCTACCCTGATCTCTCTATCTCTACATCCTCTTTAAAGCCAATAACTCTTAGATTTGCCCCTTTTAGGCTATTTTCTAGATCTTGTAGAGAGGCTTCATTCTTTTAAAATTATTTCTCTTTTCTCTCCTCTGACTGTGTATTTTTATATAGCCTGTCTTCAGGTTCACTATTTATTTTTCTTGATCGATTCTGCTGTTGAGAGACTCTGAGACATTTTTGAGTTTGCCAGTTGAATTTTTCAGCTGCAGAATTTCTGTTTGAAATTTCAAAAACTATTTTAATCTCTTTGTTAAATTTCTCTGGTAGAATAATGAATTTCTTCCCTGTGTTATCTTTAAGTTTGTTGAGCTTCCTCAAGACAGTTCTTTTGAATTCTCTGTCTGAAAGGACATACATCTCCATCTTTCTGGGATTGGTCACTGGTGTCTTCTGTAGTTCATTTAATGAGGTCATGTTTTCCTGGATACTCTTGATGCTTGTGGACATTCATCACTTATGGGCATTGACAAATTAGATATTTATTTGTCTGTGTAGTCTGGGCTTGTTTGTACCCTTCATTCTTGAGAAGGCTTTTCATGTATTCAAATGGGATTGAGTGTGTTGTGCTCTAAGCCTGTGGTCCGTATGGGCATATCGGCACAAGGAGGTGCTCTAAGCCCAGGAATGCTGCAATTCTTCCTGACATCTAGAGGCACTGCCTTGACGAGTTTGGGTAAGGTAAAGGAGAATTCCCTGGGTTGTCAGGCAAAGTCCTCTTGATATCTTCCCTTTACTCCTCCCAGTCAGAAGTAGTCTGTCTCCATACTGGGCTGCCTAGAGCACTTCCATGGCTTCCACAGCTGGCACTGTGCTAGGTCACACCTGAAGCCTGTATAATACTGGATCTTGCCTGGTTACTGCTGATGTTTATTCAAGGCCCAAGGGATCTTTAGTGAGCAGGTGAATCCTGCCAAGACTGGGTTCTTCTCTTCAGGGCAGTGGATTCCCTCTGAATGAGAGTGGGTCCAGGAACTAAGTCCTGGAATTGACAGCTTCAGGAATCTCCTTGGTGCTTTACTTCGACTGAGCTGGTACCCAAATTGCAAGACAGTCTTCTGTACTCTTCCCACTTCTTTCCTTAAGCTAAAGGAATCTCTCCCCAAACTGCACTTCCTGGAGTTGGGTGCAGTGCGATCAGGCACTCCCCTGGCTGCCACAGCTGGTGTCACACTTGGTCACACATCACAAGTCTACTGCCTCCAAGGCCGGTGCAGTACCAGGGCTTGCCCGAGGACTGCAGTACTTGTGGCCTGACAGCCACTTAAGCTTATTCTGGGCACTAGGCCAGTTTAGTTAGCCAGAGGTGAGGTTGGTTGGGACTCAGGTTCCTCCTGCTGAGATTGAGAATTCTGTCTTGCCCAGGGCT
This sequence comes from Homo sapiens, assembly GCF_000001405.40. Classification (NCBI taxonomy): domain Eukaryota; kingdom Metazoa; phylum Chordata; class Mammalia; order Primates; family Hominidae; genus Homo; species Homo sapiens. The sequence continues at coordinate 49,216,719 of NC_000015.10, forward strand.
GATCTAAATGCCCCCTCCTTGGGTGCTAGCAGAGTTCTGCTGTTTTGTGTTTTTCTGTAACATGGCTGCACTAAGTTCCAGTGCAAAGACCCACACTCACTTCACCCTCCCTCCCCCAAACACAGTTTCTCTGTCCATGCTGGAAGGGATCCTGTAGGCAATGCAAGACTGTCTTTCCTGTCCTCTTCAATTCCTCTATCCCTGATGTTATGTTAAAACCAGGTACTGTGATTTTCAGGTACTCACCTGAATTTTCTGGGTTCTTATGAAGGTGTTTATTGCATAGATAGTTGCTCAATTTGGTGTAAGATCATGGAAGGGTTCTATTTGGCCATCTTGCTCTGCTTCCCTTTATTTTTATTTACTGTTAAAACCTGGCTCATGGTCAGTTTTTTCCTGTATGTAAACTTTCTTGAGGTGCTTTTGTTTTATATATTAGCAATGATTAAAAAAGCTTTCTCTTTTTTCTAGGAGAGCATATAGATTATTGTGGATATTCTGTTCTTCCTATGGCTGTAGAACAAGATGTGCTAATAGCTGTAGAACCTGTGAAAACGTACGCTCTCCAACTGGCCAATACAAATCCCTTGTATCCGTGAGTATTTAAAATTGTTAGTGTGTGTGTATGTATGGTTCTGTTTGTACCCAAATGAACTCTTTAGGAGACATCAAATTTGTAACAGGTCATTTAACTTATTGATATTTTGTGTCTGACATTAAAAAAATTCTAAGGCCATTATTTATTGTTCATTTTGTTCATTTGTCAATTCATTTAAGGAATATTTATCAAAGACTTATCATGTGCTAGACATAGTCTTAGATACCAGGTGATACAAAGATAAATAACTCTGTCCTTGTCCGATAGGTACTTATCATCTATTGATCTAATTATCTCCAGCAAAGTCAGGTCTGATGTTTTCCTATGTTACTATGGCACCTTCTAAGTATCTTGTCATAGCATATTATTATGCTGTATTATTATTATCTGTTTATTTACCTGTGTCACCCAGTAGACTGTAAACTCTGTGACTTCAGGCATTGTTGCCTCTCTTCTTCAATGCCCTAGCATATAAAACAGAGTCTGGTGCCTAATAGAGGTAAGTTTCTAGTACATATGCTTTATCAAGTTAACAAAGTCTTTAAAAAAAATCTTAGTTTGCTAAGATTAAAAAAGTTTACTAATGGGTATTGAATTTAATTAAATGTCTATTTAGAATTGAAGATCAGTTTTTTTAAAAATATGGTGAATTAGTCTGACGAATTTTCTAATGTTGAGCCCTTTTTGCATTTCTGGGATAAACTCTACTTGCTTCTAATGTATTATAATGGATTTGACTTGATAATTACAGAAAAAGATTTTGGCTTGTATTTGGCATATTATATGTTTGGCTTGTTCATTGGTTAGTTTATCTGCAATAACATTCATGTATTCGGAAAATATTTTTGATAAGACTCTATACCAGTTTGTGCAAGACGTAGAAGTTTTTTACTTTTATATGGAACTTACTGTAGAAGATCTTTTTTTCCTTTTCATTTCGCATGTTTGATAATATATCTTGTGTGCATTTTGGACCCTTGAAAAGCTCACATTATGTCAAGCATATTTTCGTGTCATTGTGTATGAACATTTAAAAATCGGTGCATAGTATTTTGTCATCTTGATTTAGTAAAATTTACTTAATCATTCCCACAATAATGAATATGTGGTTTCAGTTTCGTTTTTCACAAAAGTAGATCCTGAGACAGACCTGGATGAAGGTAGTATATTTGAGAAATGGTCCCAGGAGCAGTAGGAAAGAGCATGAAGAATGAGTTGGGCAATTAGAGGTGAATTATCAAGACATATAGTCCCTGCTAGAGGCAGGAGGCTTGATTCTACCAGGACCCCTAGGAAGCATGCAGTATGCCTCCTAGAATTGTCCATTTGTTTTAGCATTCATTGTGTAAGTATATCTTAATTTGTTTGTTTACCAATAATGGACATTTAGATCATTCCCAGTTTTTGCCTGTATGAATAATACTGCTACAAATATTTATGTACGAATATATGTGTGGACATATGTTTCATTTCTGTTGGGTAAATACCTATGATTGGAGTGTCTGGTTTGCCATTTATTTATTTATTGAGACAGGGTCTCACCCTGTTGCTCAGCCTGGAGTGTAGTGGGGCGATCTCAGCTCAACTCAACCTCTGCCTCCCAGGTTCAAGAGATTCTCCCACTTCAGTCTCCGGAGTAGCTGGGACTACAGGCACATGCCGTCACACCTGGCTAATTTTTGTATTTTTTGGTAGAGATGGGATTTCACCATGTTGACCAGGCTGGTCTTAAGCTACTGACCTCAAGTGATCCACCTGCATCAGCCTCCCAAAGTGCTGGGATTGCAGGTTTGAGCTACTGCATCCGTCCTGGTTTGCCTTTGATATGGTTTGGTGGTGTCCCCACCCAAATCTCATCTTGAATTTTAACTCCCACAATTCCCACGTGTCCTGGGAGGAACCTGGTAGGAGGTAATTGAATCATGGGGGCAAGTCTTTCCCATGCTGTTCTTGTGATAATGAATAAGTCTCATGAGATCTGATGGTTTTAAAAATGGGAGTTTCCCTGCACAAGCTCTCTTTTTGCCTGACACCATTGATATAAGACGTGACTTGCTCCTCCTTGCCTTCTGCCATGATTGTGAGGCTCCCGCAGCCATGTGGAACTGTAAGTTCATTAAATCTCTTGCTTTTGTAAATTGCTCAGTCTCAAGTATGTCTTTATCAGCAGCATGAAAATGAACTAATATAGCCTTTTAAAGAAATTTTCTGGCTGGGCACGGTGGTTCACGCCTGTAATCCCAGCATTTTGGGAGGCTGAGGTGGATGGATCTCTTGAGCCTGGGAGTTCGAGACCAGCCTGGGCAGCATGGCAAAAGCTTGTCTCCACTAAGAATACAAAAAAATTAGTTGGGTATTGTGGCATGCACCTGTAATCCCAGCTACTCAGGAGGCTGAGGCAGGAGAATCACTTGAACCTCGGAGGTGGAGGTTGCAGTGAGCCAAGATTGCGCCACTGCGCTCCAGCCAGGGTGACAGAGCGAGACTCTGTCTCAAAAAAAAAGATATTTTCTGCTTGCCAAAGTTGTATAATTTTACATTTTCACCAGTGGTGTTACTAACATGTCTTAAAATTTTAGCTATTCTCATAAATGTGTAGTAGCATATTTCAAGTTTTTAAATTTCTCTGATTAATGATGTTGAACATCTTTTCATCTACTTATTTGCTACCTAGATATATTCTTTGTTGAAGCGTCTTCTCAAATCATTTCCCTATTTTTGAGTTTCTTATAGATACAAGTCTTTTTTTTTTTTTTTTTTTTGAGACAGAGTCTTGTTCTGTCATTTCTGTGTTGGGACATTACAGGTCCTTTCTTCTAGGTATTTTGAAATATACAATACATGGTTGATAACTATAGTCCCCCTACTCTGCTATAGACCATTAGAACTTATTCCTTCTATCTAACCGTATGTTTTTACCTATTTGCCAACCTCTTTTTATCCCCCGTTCACTGACCATTCCTCACCTCTATTATCTATTATTCTACCCTGTACCTTCATGAGATCAGTTTTTTAAGTTCCCACATATGAGTGAGAATATCTGATGTTTGTTTTTCTGTACCTGGCTTATTCCATCCACATTGCTGCAAATGACATGATTTTATTTTTTTTATGGCTGAGTAGTATTCCATTGTGTATATATACATTTTCTTTATTTATTCATCTGTTGGTGGGCACTTAGGTTGATTCCCTATCTTTGCTATTGTGAATGGTACTGGAATAAATATGGAGTGCAGGTATCCCCTTGATATACTGATTTCTTTTCCTTTGGATAAATACGCAGTATTAGGGTTGCTGGATCATATGGTAGTTGTGTTTTTAGTGCTCTGAGAAATCTCCCTACTGTTTTGTATAATGGCTGCACTAATTACATTCTCACCAACAGTGTATAAGTGTTTCCTTTTTTCTGTGTCCTTACCAGCATCTGTTTTCTTTAGTCTTATTAGTAATAGCCATTCTAACTTGGGTAAGATGATGTCTCATTGTGGTTTTGATTTCCATTTTGCTGATGATTAGTGATGGTAAGCAGTTTTCATATACCTATCTGCCATTTGTATGTATGTCTTTGGAAAAATGTCTCTTCATGTTATTTGTCCACTTTTAAATGGGATTATTACTAGTTTTTACTATCGAGTGTTTTGAGTTCCTTGTATATTTTGGATATTAGTTCCTTGTTGGATGAATAGTTTGCAAATATTTTCTCCCATTCAACAGGTTGTCTCCCCACTCTGTTGATTGCTTCCTATGTGGGCAGAAGCTTTTTAGTTTAAAATAGTTTTATTTATCTATTTTTGTTTTATTTTTCTGTACTTTTGAGATCTTAGTCATAAAATCTTTGGCTATATCCTAAAGTGTTTCCCCTATATTTCTTTCTAGTAGTTTTATAGTTGTGGGTGTTATGTTTAAGTCTTTAACCTATCTTGGATTGAATTTTGTATATGGTGAGAAATAGGGGTTCAATTCATTCTTCTGCATATGGGTATTGAGTTTTCCCAGCACCATTTATTCAAGAGGGTGTTTGTTCCTGAATGTATTTTCTTGGTACCTTTGTTGAAAATGAGTTTGCTGGCCGAGCGTGGTGGCTCATGCCTATAATCCCTGCACTTTGGGAGGCTGAGGCAGGCAGATCACCTGAGGTCAGGAGTTTGAGACCAGCCTGGCCAACATGATGAAGCCCTGTCTCTATTAAAAATACAAAAAATTAGCTGGGTGTGGTGGTGCGTGCCTATAATCCCAGCTACTCAGGAGGCTGAGGCAGGAGAATTGCTTGAGCCCAGGAGGTGGAGGTTGCAGTGAGCCGAGATCGTGACACTGCACTCCAGCCTGGGCAACAAGAGCAAAATCTCTGTCTTGAAAAAAATAAAAAAATTAAAAAAAAAAGAAAATGAGTTTGCTGTACATACATGGATGTATTTCTGGGTTCTCCCTTCTGTCCCATTATTACTTGTGTCTGTTTTGATACCAATACCTTGCTGTTTGGGTTTTTATAGCCTTATAATATATTTTGAGGTCAGATAGCGTGACCCCTCTTGCTTTGTTCTTTTTCCTCAGGAGTGCTTTGGCTATTTGGGCTCTTTTTTTTGGTTTTATACATATTTTAGGATATTTTTCTATTTTTGTGAAAATGACAGTAGTATTTTCATAGGGATTGCATTGAATTTGTAGACTGCTTTGGGCAGTATGTTCATTTTAACAATATTAATTTTTTCCAATCCATGAACATGGGATGTCTTTTCATTTGTTTGTGTCCTCTTCAATTTCATTCATCAGTGTTTTCTAGTTTTCCTTAGAGATCTTTCATCTCCTTGGTTAAATTTATTCTTAGGTATTTTTTTTTGTAGCTATTATAAACAGCATTTCTGGCTTAATTTCTTTCTCAGCTAGTTCATTATTGATGTATTGAAATGCTGCAAATTTTTGTATGTTGGTTTTTTATACTGCAACTTTACTGAATTTATTTATTAGGTGTAAGAGTTTTTTTTAGAGTCTAGGTTTTTCTGGATATAAAATCATGTCACCTGTGAAACAGGACAATTTAACTTCCTCCATTTCAACTTGGATCCTTCTATTTTTATTCTTGCCTGATTATTCTGGCTAAAATTTCTAGTATTATGTTGACTAGGAGTAGTGATATTGGTCATCTTTTTTGGGTTCCAGGTTTTACAGGAAAGGCTTCAACTTTTCTTTATTTGATATGATGTTAGCTGTGGGTTTGTCATATGAGACTTTTATTGTGTTGTGGTATATTTATTCTATGCCTGATAATTGAGAGTTTTTATCGTGAAAGGATGTTGAATTTTATTACATGCTTTCTCTATGTCTATTGAGATGATTATGTGGTTTCTGTCCTTTATTCTACTGATGCGATGTGTCACATTTAGTGATTTGTGTTTCTTGAACAATCCTTGCATCCCTGGGATAAATCCCGCTTGATCATGGTGTTTTATCTTTTTGATGTGCTGTGGGATTCAGTTTGCGGCAATTTTGTTGAAGATTTTTACATATATGTAAATAGGGATCTTGGCCTGCAGTTTTGGTTTTTGTTACACCTTTCTCTAATTTTAGCATCAGAGTGATGCTTGCCTTTTGGGACTAGGTTAATTCCCTTCTCTTCAATTCATTGGAATTGTTTGAAGAGGATTGGTATTTGTTCTTTGTAAGTTTGGTAGAATTTTTCAGTGAAGCTGTCCAGTCTTGGGCTTTTCTTTGTTGGAAGCCTTTTCATTTTACTGTTTCAATCTTGGTACTTGTTACTAGTCTGTTTATGTTTTTTGTTTCTTCCTGATTTAATCTTGGTATGTTGTGTGTTTAGGAATTTATCAATTTCCTTTAGGTTTTCTGGTTTGTTTGTGTATAGTATAGTTGTTCATAACAGTGTCTGATAAGCTTTTGTATTTCCATGGTATCAGTTGTAATGTCCTTTTTTGATTCTGATTTTGTTTATTTGGGTCTTCTCACTTTTTTTCGTGGTTAATCTGGCTAGCAGTTTATCAATTTTGTTCTTCTTTTCAAATAATCAACTTTCCATTTTCTTGATTCTTTGTATTTTTTCAGTAAAATAATTTCAACTTTTATTTTAGATTCAGGGGTTACATGTGCAGGTTTGTTACTTGGATACATTTTGTAATGGTGATGTTTGGGGTACAGATGATCCCATCACCCAGGTAGTTAGCATAGCAGCCAATAGGCAGTTTTTCAGCCCACACTTCCTGCCTCCCTACTGCCCCCGCCATTGCTTACTAGTCCTCAGTGTCTATTGTTCCCATCTTTATGTCCCTGTGTACTCATATTTAGCTCCCACTTATAAGTGAGAACATGCAGCAGTACTTGATTTTCTTCCTGTGTTAATTTGCTTAGGACTATAGCCTCCAGCTGCATCCATGTTGTCGCAAAGGATATGATTTCATCCTTTTTATGGCTGCATAGTATTCCCTGGTGTATGTATACCACAGTTTCTTTATCCAGCCCACCATTGATGGGCACCTGCGTTGATTCCATGTGTTTGCTATGGTAAATAGTGCTTCAATGAACATATGAGTGCATGTGTCTTTTTTTTTTTAGAATAATTTATTTTCCTATGGGTATATACCCAGTAATGGGATTGCTGGGTTAAATGGTAGTTCTGTTTTAAGTTCTGTGAGGAAACTCCAAACTGCTTTCCACAGTGGCTGAACTAATTTACACTCCCACCAAGAGTGTATAAGCATTCCTTTTTCTACACAGCCTTGCCAGCATCTGTTTCTTGTTGACATTTACATAATAGCCATTCTGACTGGAGTGAGATGGTATCTCATTGTGGTTTTGATTTGCATTTGTATGTCTTCCTTTGAGAAGTGTTTGTTCATATACTTTGCCCATTTTTAAGTGGGATTATTTGTTTTTTGCTTGTTTATTTGTTTACAATGTTTACAGATTCTGATATTAGACCTTTGTCAGATGCATAGTTTGTGAATATTTTCTCTCATTTTGTGAGTTATCTGTTTACTCTGTTGATAGTTTCTTTCGCTGTGCAGAACCTCTTTAATTAGGTCTCACTTGTCAATTTTTGTTTTTATCACAGTTGCTTTTGGAGATTTAGCCATAAAATCTTGGCCAAATTCTAAGCATTTCCTAGGTTTTCTTCTAGGATTCATACAGCTTGAGGTCTTATATTTAAATCTTTTATCCATCTTGAATAAATTTTTATATATGCTGAAAGATAGGGGTCCAGTTTCATTCTACTGCATACGGCTAACCAGTTATACCAGCACCATTTATTGAATAGGGAGCCCTTCCTTCATTGCTTGTTTTTGTTGACTTTGTGGAAGATCAGATGGATGTAGGTGTTCAGCTTTATTTCTGGGTTTTCTATTCTGTTCTATAAGTCTATGTCTGTGTATCTGTTTTTGTACCAATACTATGCTGTTTTGGTTACTATAGCCTTGTAGTATAATTTGAAGTTGGGTAATGTGATAACTCCAATTTTTTTCCTTTTACTTTAGTTTTTTCACTGATTCTCCTCTGAGAGAAGTGGTGTTCTTTTAACTGTGGTTTAAATGGAGGATAGTCAATTGGCTTCATTTCTGGTTGCTTTCAGAGGGCCAAGGCTCTGTACAGGATCTTTATTTGTGGCTAGATTCTTGCCCCTGGTTTCACAAGTGATGTATATTGGCAGATTATTTTTGGTGTTTTAATTTGGGATGTGATCCAGTAAATGGTGCTTAAGAGTGGTGGCCAGCAGATAGGCTCTTAATCAGCTTCACAGCTTTTTTTGTATTTCAGTGCATTTGCAGTAGTGGTCTATAGTGGGGTAGGGGGAGACAGATGACCCTCTCAGCAGGTCTGTTCCTGAGCTTTGAGGAAGCCGCCTCTGATCACTGGCACTGATCCTGTCTTTTTCTTTAATTAGGTCTTCCGGGCTGCAGGGCTCCCTCAGGCAGAGGCTATGACCTGCAGATAGGCCACACCATTCTTGGACTGGTCCTGTAGAGCAGGGTTCCCCAATCCCTGTTACTGCTTCATGGCCTGTTCAGAAGTGGGCCACACAGCAGGAGGTGAGTGGTGGGTGAGTGAGCATTATTACCACCTGAGCTCGGTCTCCCGTCAGATCAGCAGTGGCATTAGACTGTCATGGAAGCATGAACCCTATTGTGGACTGCATGTGGGAGGGATCTAGGTTGCATGCTCCTTATGATAATCCAATGCTTGATGATCTGAGGTAGAACAGTTTCAACCTGAAACCATCCCCTCCTCCCCAACATACACCATCCATGGAAAAATTGTCTTCCACAAAACTGGTCCCTGTGCTAAAAAGGTTGGGGACTGCTGCTGTAGAGGGAGAGATGCCCTTCTCTGGTGCTGGCTTACAAGCCTCTGTGTTTCACTCCTCTCTGTCTTCTGAGGGTGTGGGCTCCTTCCCTGCTCTAGCACTGGCTACAGATCTTGGCTCAAGATTCCCAAGCTGCATGCTGCAGCCCTGAGCTGTTGGGACTGGCCCACAGCTCCATCTTTTGGCTCCCTTTGGCACAGCACCAACTGTGCTGGGGGATTCCAACTGCTTCCAGACCTCTGAGAAAGTACTCAGGCTGGCCTTTTGATAAAGCACCCATACTGGGCAGTGGAGGCTGCACTGTACTCATGTTCCTGTTAGAGCAGCTGGGCAGAGGCCTTGGAAGGGGCTGGTGGGCAGGAGTGCCTGCAGAACAGACATGCCCCATTCCCACTGGAAAGTCAGCCCTGTTCTCTTGACCCAGTGGTCAACTGGGGTTAGAGTTACTCAGAGGAAGAAGGGGAGCGTTGGGGGATGGGCACCTATGGCTGTATTCTGCTTGCGGCTGTCATGTGTGCCAAACCTCCATTCCATATAGGCTGGAGTACTTTTACTGCCTACTCTCCAGGCAGATCCCCTTGCCAGTTTAAATGTTTATGGGCGTCATAGGATCTCTTGTACCTAGGATTGGAGATCTGCAGCAAGAGTGGGTTGCCCCACTATCCCTTCACTAACCCCTCCCTCAGGAGGCTTTCAGGGCTGAGCATGAGCCCTAGCATTCAGCAACCCCACACAAGGTTCCCAGCTTCTTCTCTTTTCAGCCTCAGTGTCAGTGTTGCTTCTCTATCTACTCTTGGTGTTTTCTGTCTAAGATTTGCTCAAAGTTTATTAGTTTACTTAATTTTTAGTCTCGTTCAGTGGGAGTGGTGCTTCCTGGCTGTGTCTAGTCAGCCACCTTATCTGCTATCCCTCCAAAAGCTTTAACCCTTTATGTTTTTTTTTAGTAGCTACTTTATTTACTTCTATTCTGATCTTCATTATTTCTTTCCTTCCACTATTTTTGGGTTTTGTTTCTTATTGCTTTTCTAATTCCCTGAGATGCATAATTAGGTTGCTTATTTGAACTCTTTCTTTCTAGATGTAGGCATTCATTGCTATGATCTTCTCTGTTGGCAGTGTTTTTAGTATATTCCATAGATTTTGGTATGTTGTGTTTCAGTTCTCATTTATTTGAATAAACTTTTTGATTTCTATGTTAATTTCTTCCTTGAGCTAGTGGTCATTCAGAATAATGCTGTTAAATTTCCTTGTATTTATACAGTATCACAAGTTCCTCTTTTTATTACTATCTAATTTTAATCCATTGTATCTAAGAAGGTATTTGATACACACTGTCTAGTTTTATTCTGTTGTATCTAAGAAGATATTTGACATGATTTCCATTTTAAGAAATTTGTTGAGGCTTGTTATGTGTCCTAACATATGGTCTATCCTGGAGAATGTTTCATCTGCTGATGAGAAGAATGTATATTCTGTAGCTGCTGGATGAAATGTTTTGTAAATTTCTGTTAGGTCTATTTGGTCAGTAGTGCAGTCTAAATCCAGTGTTTCTTTTTAAATTTTCTGTTGTGATGATCTCTGTAATGTTGAGAGTGGGCTGCTGAAGTCCCCAAGTATTATTGTATTGTGCTGTCTTTCTCCCTTTAGTCATAATAATATTTGCTTTATATATCTGGGTGCTTTGTTGTTGAGTGTATATGTGTTTAGAGTTGTCATATCCTTTGCTAATTTGATCCCTTTGTCATTATATAATACCCCTCTTTGTCTATTTTTACTTTTTTTTGACTTAAAGTCTATTTTATCTGATATAAGCATGGCTATTCCTGCTTGCTTTTGGTTTCTGTTTGCATGGAATATATTTTTTTCATTCTCTTACTTTCAATATATATGTGTTTTTTTCAGATGAAAAGAGGTTTTATTTTTGTAGGGGGCTTATTATAGGGTCATGTTTTTAAATCAGTTATCCTAGTTTGTATCTTTTAATTGGAAAATTTAATCTTTTTACATTCAATGTTATTATTGATATGGGAGGGCTTATTCCTGTCATTTTGTTAATTGACTTCTGGTTGTTTTATATATCTTTTTTCTTTTTTTTATTTCTCTCTTGTTTGTTGTGGTTTGGTGGTGTTCTGTAGTGGTAACATTTGAGTCCTTTCTCTTTCTTATTCATGAGTTTGCTCTACCAGTGGGCTTTATACTTTTATGTGTTTTCCTGTTGGTGTATATATTATCCCTTTGCTTCCAGGTATAGTACTCCCTTAAGTATTGCTTGTAGGTTCAGCCCATTCATGATAAATGTGCTCAGCTTTTGTTTTTCTAGGAAAGACTTCAGTTCTCCTTCATTTATGAAGGATGATTTTGTTGAGTATAGTATCCTTGGCTGCCAGTCTTTTTCTATCTACACTTTGAATATATCATCCCATTTTCTCAGGGCCTGTATGGTTTCTGCTGAGAAATCCACTGTTGTTTTGGTGGGGCTCCTTTGTAAGTGTCTAGATGCTTTTCTTTTGCTGCTTTAAGAATTTTCTTGTTGTCTTTGACTTTTGACCACTTTGCTATAATGTGCCATGGAGAAGACCTTTTAAAGTCATATTTGTTTGGGGATCTCTGAGCTTCCTGTATCAGAATATGTAAATCTGTTACTGGACTGGGGAAGTTTTCAGCTATTATTTTGTTAAGTAGGTTTTCTATCCTTTTGGTTTTCTCTGCTTTCTTGAACACCAAAAATTCAAATATTTGGTTGCTTTATGATGCTTCATAAGTTACATAAGGTTTTTTCATTCTCTCTTATCATTTTTTCCTTATATTTGTCTGACTGTGTTATTTCAAAAGAGCTATCTTTAGGTACTGAAATTCTTTCTTCTGCTTGATCTAGTTTATTGTTGAGGCTTTCAAATGCATGTTTTATTTCATTCAGTGAATTGTTCTGTTCCAATATTTTTGTTTATTTTATGATATCCATTTGTTAAATTTCTTTTTCATATTCTAGAATTTTTTTCCGATTTCTTTGTATCTGTGTTCTCTTGTCTTTCACTGATATATATATATATATATATATATATATTTTTTTTTTTTTTTTTTTTTTTTGCGATGGAGTCTCAATCTGTTGCCCAGGCTGGAGTGCAGTGGCATGATGTTGGTTCACTACAGCCTCTGCATCCTGGGTTCAAGTGATTCTCATGTCTCAGCCTCCCGAGTAGCTGAGGATTACAGGCACCCACCACCACACCTGGCTGATTTTTGTATTTTTAGTAGAGATGGTGTTTCACCATGTTGGATGGGCTGGTCTCAAACTGCTGACCTCAAGTGATCTGCCTGCTTCAGCCTTCCAAAGTGCTGGGATTACAGGTGTGAACCACCACACCCAGCTTCACTGAGCTTTTTAAATGTCATTACTTTGAATTCTATTTCTGGAATTTAATAAATTTCTTTGTCATTGGAATCTGTTGCTGGTGAATTGTTTTGCTTCTTCCAAGTTTTTGAATTTGCTTTTATAGACAGTGACTTTTTCTCAAAGATGTACCTATGATATTGGTTGGGTTGGCATGTTGGCATTGATTCTTGGCACTTGTAGTATTGTAGTCTCTGTATAATTCCTTTGGCTATAAACAGTATCACTGGTCTCTGATTTCCTCAGTGACTTAGGATATGGTTGTTGTTGGAGACTGTGGATCCTGGCAGTTGTAGCAGTGAGCTGGGTGAGTGGCTGGGTCCTTGGACCCCTGGGTAGTTAGTGTCACCTGTGTGATGGCAGTAGCAGTAGTAGAACAACCCTCTGGCTCCAAAGCATTCTGCATTGTTGTTGGTGGCTGTATTAGGCTGGGTGAGTTGGTCCCCTGTGCCACAGGTGTTGCATGCAGGTGGAAGCTAGCTGTGGTAGTAGTAGTACGTTGGGTGGGCTCATCTTTAGGTCTCTGGGAGAGTATTCAGGTGCCAATGGTGGTAGATTGGTCACAGCCATTCTTAGTACCCTGGATTGTATGCTTAGGCATAGGGGTGGAGTCTGGCAGGGCGGGCCTATCCTCAGGCCTCCTGGTGGTGTATGCAAGTGGTAGGCAGTAGTAGAGTGAACCAAGCCACCTAGTGGAATGCCCAGGTGGTGGTGGCAGTGGCTGTGATGTGGCCCAGCTGCGGGGGAGAGTGGGGTTGCTTTTACTGGCAGCAGTCGTAGACAATTGGCTGGGGAGCATGCACTTTGGCTCCAGGTAGTGGCTGCAGGTGGGGTAGCGTTTCCTCGGGGCACTTGAAAATCCATGGTGGCTCTGCTGCTGTGAATACCAGGGTTCTGCCAGTGGCTCATGGTTTGGCCTCAGCAGTGCAATGGAAGTTGCTGTGAGTGAGGGAGTCTGTATTTAGGGCTCGTGAAAATACACAGCAGTCCCACTGCTGGGAGTATTGTAGTTATTGCCAGTGGCTTACATTTTGGCTCTGACAACAGCAGTTAGCACTCGTGGTGTCTGTGGGTAGGGGACATCAGAGAGGTTGCAAGGATGTGGAGACAGGAGCTGTTGATCCCCATGGCAGGATGCGGTCTAGTAGAGTCTGGGATCTCAGGATAGTGATGTGCAAGTTGCTTAAGACTTGGGGGTGTGTGGAACCCAGCATGAATTTCCTCTTTGGAGCAATGCCATCATGTGATTTCCAAGTAGTTCCTCTGTCAGTCGCATGGTCCTAAAGGGTTGAGGCGCTCTCCTATGGCTAGGATTGCAGGAGTCCTTGATAGTAATGTGGACCACTTGGGGTGTTTCTCTTGCCCTTTACCCACGCTGAAGAGCCTCTCCAGGCTCCCAGCTGATTCTGGCTGAGCAGGCTGCCCTGATTTCCTCTCCTTCCTTGCCTTAGGTGTTCCTTGTCACTTCTTGTTGAATTCAGTGTTCTCTCTTACATGATCTATTCTAACTATGATTGTCAACTTGTTATTTTGGTTCTTCTTTATGGAGGAGGCAAGTACCAGATGCCTACAGGCATTCTTCTGTGCCTCCGACTTCATATTTTTTTTGATGCTACTCTTATTATAAATGGTCTACCCCAGATCCAGACACACACAGGTGTCTTATAATGGTCTACCTACCCCAGGTCCAGACACACACAGGGTAGACACTGGGCAGATGTTTCTTTGAAGAACAAGTAAATGAATAAAATATGTAAGTGGAAAGTATTAATGTAATAATGGGTCATGTCTGCTCATTTTCAGGATTCTTTTCTCAGAATTCTACAAACATGGAAGTGGGGGTAGAGAAAGCAAATGGATAATGTAATGCAGGGTTGAGAATTGGTGGGAAAATGAGTGGTTTTGAACCTCAGGAAAAGGCTAGGTAGAGAGGTGAGATAGGGATGTGGGAAAGAGCAAAGATCAATAACTAATCAAAAAGCAGTTTTTTTTTGTTTTTTTCTGACAGACTTGAGCCATACTTCTAATTCTGTGGGAGCTGGCACTTTTCAGTTTGTATTAGTCCATTCTTACACTGCTATAAAGAAATACCTGAGACTGGGTAATTTATAAATAAAAGAGGTATAAATGGCTCATGATTCTCTACAGGATATACAGGAAGCATGGCTGCGGAGGCCTCAGGCAAATTACAAACATGGTGGAAAGCAAAGGAGAAGCAGGCATGTCTTACATGAGTGGAGCAGGAGGCAGAGGGCTGGGGGCAGCTACACACTTTTTACACAACCAAGTCAAGTGAGAACTGTATCACGAGAAGAGTACCAAAGGGGGAAATCCACCTCTGTGATCCAATCACTTTCCACCAGACCCCACTTCCAAAACTGGGGATTATAATTTGACATGAGATTTGGGCAGAGACACAAATCCAAACCATATTATTCTGTCCCTGGCCCCTCCCAAGTCTCAGGTACTCACATTCCAAAATTCAGTCATCCTTCTCAACAGTCCTCAGAGTCTTAACTCATTCCAGCATTAACTTACAAGTCCACAGTCCAAAATCTCATCTGAGACAAGGCAAGTCCCTTCTGCCTATAAGCCTGTAAAATAAAAAATGGGTTAGTTATTACTTCCAACATACAGTGAGGGTACAGGCACTGGGTAAATACTTCTTTTCCAAAAGGGAGAAATTAGCCAAAAGAAAGGGGCTACAGGCCCCATGTAAGTTTGAAACCCAGCAAGGGAGTCATTAAATCTTAAAGCTCCAAATAATCTCCTTTGATTCCACATCTCACTTCCAGGGCACACTGGGGCAAGGGGTGGGCTCCTAAGGTTGGGAAGCTGCACCTCTGAGGCTTTGCAAAGTAAAGCCCCTGAGGCTGCTTTCATGGGCTAGTGTTCATGCACCTGCGGCTTTTACATGTGCATGGTACAAGCTCCTGGTTGATCTACCATTCTGCAGTCTCGAAGACAATGGCCCTCTTCTCACAGCTCCACTAGGTAGTGCCCCAGTGGGGCTCTGTGTGAGGGATTCAACCCCAGATTTCCCTTCAGTACTGCCCTAGTAGAGATTCTCCATGACGGCTCTGCTCCTGCAGCAGGGTTCTGCCTAGACATTTAGGCTTTTCTACACATACTCTGAAATCTAGGCAGAGGCTCCCGAAGCCTTAACTCTTGCACTCTGAACATTGGCAGGCTAAACACCTCATAGAAACACCAAGTTTTATGGCTTGCACATTCTGAAGCAGCAGCCTGAGCTGTATCTGAAGTCCTTTCAGCCACCCCTGGAGGCAGAGGGGTCAGGATATGGGGAGCAGTGTCTTGAGCCTGTGCAGGGAAGTGGGACCCTGGTCCCTGTTCATGAAACCATTCTTCCTTCTTAGACCTACATGCCTGTGATGGAAGGAACTGCTGCAAAGGTTTCTGAAATGCTTTGAAAGTCTTTTCCCCTTTGTCTTGGCCATCAGCATTTGACTATTCTTTACTTATGCAAATTTCTGTAGCTGGCTTGAACTCCTCCTCCAAAAAGGCCTTTTCTTTTCTACCACATGGCCAGCCTTCAAATTTTTCAAACTCGTACACTTTGCTTCCCTTTTAAATATAAGTTTCAGTTTCAGGTCATTTCTTTGCTCACGCATATGAACATAGGTTGTTAGAAGCAGCAGGCTATATCTTGACTGCTTTGCTGCTTAGAAATTTCTCCTGTCAGTAACCTAAACCATCACTCTCAAGTTCAAAGTTCCACATACCCCTAGATGCCTCCAGGCTCTTTGTTAATGCATAACAAAAATGACCTTTACACTAGTTCCCAAGAAGTTCCTCATTTTCATCTGAGACCTTCTTAGCTGGGATTTCATTGTCCATATCACTATCAGGATTTTCAAAGCAACCGTTCAACAAGTCTCTAGGAAGTTACAAATTTTCCTCATCTTCCTGTCTTTTTCTCAGCCCTCCAAATTGGTCCAACCTCTACCTGTTACCCAGTTCCAAATGCAAATTCACATTTTCAGGTATCTTTATACCAATGCCCCTGTCCTTGTTACCAATTTTCCATATTAGTTCATTCTTGCACTGCTATAAAGAAATACCTGAGACTGAGTGATTTATAAGGAAAAGAGGTTTAATTGACTCACAATTCTACAGGTGTACAGGAAGCATGGCTAGGGAGGCCTCAGGAAACTTACAAGCATGGTGGAAGGCAAAGGGGAAGCAGGCATGTCTACATGGCCAGAGCCAGGAGGAAGAGAGAGAGGTGGGAAGTGCCACAGACTTTTTAAATAACCAGATCTAGTGAGAGCTCTATCATGAAAACAATACCAAAGGGGGAAATCCACCCCCATGATCCAGTCACCTCCCACCAGGTCCCACCTCCAACACTGGGGAATCACAACTTGGCATGAGATTTGGGCAGGGATGCAAATCCAAATTATATCACAGTTCTTTCTGGAACGTTGCTCATGTAGCTTCCTACATATGTGCAACTATCCTCCTCTTTTTCTCCTCATACCTGCCTACCCCCTCTGTTCATATTCCCCTCTCAAAATCTCTTTCTGTTTTTCTTTTCTTAGTGACTTTCAAGATGTCCTTTTAACTAGGAATAGAACCTGTCAGATATGCTAACATAACTGTATCTGCTTTCAAATTGTGTGACCTCTTGTTGATGGTGAGCAACATATTTTCAACTTCTGTGAGTGACAGTAGAGTAAAATTCTGATGAGCTGAAGTCAGACTACGCATTTTTGGAAAGCAGCTAAACCTCTTTGAGCCTCCAGGAAGACGTCCTCTCTCTATCAAATGCGGACTTTTAGAAATAATACTCTCTCAGCCACGTATGCCACCCAGTATTATTATCACGTGCCATTACTGTTTGGTAGTTATTTATGTTCATGTCATCTTGGCTAGATTGTGAACTTTTAAAAGGCAAGCCTTCTGCCTTTTACCTTTATATTCCCATGCATGCTTTGTATGCTTAAGTGGTTAGCCACTTAATATATTTTAAAAGAGATAATGTATCCATGTTATTGAGTTAAAATAATCCATGGAAGGCATCTATTACAATGATTGGCATATAGTAGATATTTAGTCAGTTATATTAGAGCACTCAGTCAATATGGGGAATTTTGCTTCATTTCCTCCTCTTTAATTGATTCTCCCATTTCACATACATTGTCCTTCGGCTGATTTTAGGAGCCTATTTATTTATCTGCCTATTTTTCATTTTGAAGTATTTTTTTTGACTTTCAAAGAAGACACAAGAATAGCATAAGGAAATCCCACATTCCATGGATGTATGCTTAGTATATTGTATCAAGGAGGCACAAAACATCCCTTTACTGGTGGTGTTAATTTTGATCATTTGATTAAGGTGGCATCTGTCAGATCTTTCTACCATAAAGATGCTATATTTCATGCTGTTAATAGAGAAAAACCCTAGGCTGGGTAATTATAAAGGAAAGAGGTTTAATTGACTCACAGTTCCATATGGCGGGGGAAGCCTCACAATCATGGCAGAAAGCAAATGAGGAGCAAAGTCACATCTTACATGGCAGCGGGCAAAGAGAGCATGTGCAGGGGAACTCCCCTTTGTAAAACCAGCGGATCCCATGAGACTTATTCACTATCATGACAAAAGCACAAGAAAGATCCACCCCCCATGATTCAGTTACCTACCATCAGGTCCCTCCCACAACGTGTGAGAATTATGGGAGCTACAATTCAAGATGAGATTTGAGTGGGGACACAGCCAAACCATATCAGATACTTTTTTTTTTTTTTGAGACGGAATCTTGCTCTGTCGCCCAGGCTGGGGTGCAGTGGCACGATCTCAGCTCACTGCAACCTCTACCTCCCGGGTTCAAGCGATTCTTCTGCCTCAGCCTCCTGAGTAGCTGGGACTACAGGCTCCCACCACCACACCCAGATAATTTTTGTGTTTTTAGTAGAGACAGGGTTTCACCATATTGGCCAGGCTTGTCTCGAACTCCTGAACTTGTGATCCGCCTGCCTTGGCCTCCCAAAGTGCTGAGATTAGAGGTGTGAGCTGCTGCGCCTGGCCCAGATACTATGTTTTTCCATTGTAGTTCATAAGTGTCTGGTGGGGAAATACTGTAAATATCTTGCTTCTCATCACATTTTTACTAAGTTTAGCCCAGTTTAGCCAGTTTATTAAGTTTAACAGTCCATTGATGATTGTTTCCTGAAACAAATTATCATACAGTTTACCATGTAGTGACTTTTCTATTCACATCATTCCTTCTATATCTATTAGTTAGCATTTTACCATAATAAAGAGTTTTTCTTTCCTCTTCATTTAGCTTTGTATTCATTTGTTAACTTACATTAGTATAGACTCATGGAATCTTATTTTGTTAAATTGATTATGCATCAAAATCATCATTTTGTTTATTTGTTTTTTTTTCTTAAATTGTGCAGATGGTAAAATTGGATGGGTGGCAGAGATGGCTTTGAGTACTCTTGTTTCAGTTTGGGGGTGTGCCAAACAGCAGGCCCAGAGGATAAGCATTCATGTGGTTTACACCAGTTTAACAAGGACCAACATGAAAGAGAAAATAGTTGTAGATTACTCTGAAATATATTGTTTCCTCTGTGTTTCAGGAAATAAAAAGGGTCAGTTGGAGGTAGTTTAGTCACTAAGGCCACTGCAACTTCCTCTCTTAACTCTTAGCAGCTGGAGATGTTTTGCTGTAGACACACAGTTTGAACATAAAAGGTAAAGGAGAGTCAGTATCGCTGTGTTGGCACAAGATGGCAGCAGTCATCCATTGATTTTGCAGCTCAAGGCCTACAGATTTTAAATTAATGGTGTCTTTTGTCTTCGCAGGGACTTCAGTACTAGTGCTAATAACATCCAGATTGATAAAACCAAGCCTTTGTGGCACAACTATTTCTTATGTGGACTTAAAGGAATTCAGGTAAATTGGTTTATAAGGCACTTACTACCAGTTGAGATTATCATGTGTATTCTGTCAGATTTATTTTATTTACTACATCTTTTTCATCTCCTTACAGTACTAACCGATGCTTCTGTTCTATTTTGCTAGTTTGTGTTTCAGAGAGTGGGGAAGATATGACTGTTTTGGGGTGGTGTTCACAGGGGGCAGTAGTGGTTTTTATACAGCTGGCTGTTCATAAATAGGTGCATCTGACAAACATCTGTCTGGTTTTAAAATCTTTGTTTAAACATACTTTTGAGGATATGTTTTAATACTATTATTTACATTTATACTTGGGATGTATAGGGGTATACTGTAATAGGATTTAGAGTCAGCCCAGGTTTGAATCTGGGCTCTTCTCAGCTGTGGTAATTTAACCTCTTAAGTCTCAGATTTATCCATAAAATGATGTCATTGCTATCCTGACAAAGAGTTGTTAAAAGAATTACATAAAGCTTGATGGTAGCCATTTAATAAATGGTAGCTAGTATTGTTATTGCTACTTCAGATGGGATTAAAAAAAGATATAATGAAATGTATTAGTATAAGTATTTTCCAAGAAACATTGAATAATTACTTTGAAAATCTCTAATGTTACATACAAGAACAAGAAAATAAAATGTTTTCACTCTCATAATTGAAAAAGTATCAAGGACCAAAAGAAAATTGATATTTGCTGTTTTTAGAGCCACTTTTATATTGCAATAATTATTTTAGATGTAGTGACTTGCATAGAATCATAGTAGGACAATAAGAAGTAAATTTTGCCTTTGTGAGCTAAAAGTAAACAAACAAACTGACCCATGTTTTAGAGAGCTTGTGTTCCTTACTGCCTGGCAGTCCTATCTGAAACTTTGTAATGAGCAGCTAGGACTTAGTGGCACATCCATTACAGAAATACATCAAATTTATTTCTAATGTGTAGTCCTATACTGTAACAGTGGTGGTTTTTGTTCTTAAAGTTAATGAATTCATTTCTTTCTTTCTTTTGTGTTTTCCTTTCTCTCAGACACATGGTAATAACTTACAGGAAAAGTTATTGGCAGGTTTTAAATCTTCAAATCATCTGGCTTATCATATGCATTAGTGGGAATTACAGTATTTGGAAGCATTTGCCTGGCAAATGCAATTTTAATCTTCCTTGTAACAACATGCCTTTTTGCAGCATATGGGTAAAGTGGCCTAAATAATGCATGTTGCTTTGTGTTATTTTTGAGCATTTCAGGTTTTAAAGCCTTCCTGTTTGGTTTGACAATTTATGTGCAAAAGCAAACTTATACAATGAACTTTTGGCAGAAAGGTAATTTAAATGCTAGCCTGTTCAGAAACTTTCAAATTCAAATACTAGAAAGTTTCAGAGAATAATTCACTTATATTACATTGAACATGTTATCCTTTTGGCATAGAGCTATTACAGAATGTGGCATATACCCATTTGCATTTTGAATTTGTTATACATTTTCATTTAAACATTGCATAATACGTTGTTTTTTGTTTTTGTTTTTTTGTTTTTGTTTTTGTTTTTGTTTTTTGAGACGGAGTCTTGCTCTGTCGCCCAGGCTGGAGTGTAGTGGCGTGATCTCGGCTCACTGCAACCTCTGCCCCCGGGGTTCAAGCGATTCTCCTGCCTCACCCTCCTTAGTAGCTGGGATTACAGGTGCCTGCCACCGCGCCTGGCTAATTTTTGTATTTTTAGTAGAGACGGGGTTTCACTATATTGGCCAGGCTGGTCTTGAACTCCTGACTTCGTGACCCACCCGCCTCGGCCTCCCAAAGTGCTGGGATTGCAGGTGTGAGCCACTGCGCCCGGCTGATAAGTTCTTAAGTGTGATTCCCACTCAAGACACCTGTGTTTGATCAGTTTATATTAAATATATTGTATTCTTCAATTTTTTTTTTTAAACAAGCTGTCTGATATTCTGTATGAAAGGGCATTGGCAACAGTAGAGTTTCAGTTTATAGTTTGTTTGTATATCTGGAAGGAAATTTTTAGATGACTTGAAATCAGGAAGAGAAGTACACCCAGCTAAATTTCTTCTTATTGTGGTGCGAGAATTTTGCTAGCTAGGACAGACAGACAAAAAATTAAGGAAAAAGGTCTTTTATTTGCAGAATTTTGTTGTTATTTTAGTTATTCTAGCTAGCTGATTGAAATTCTCCCTTGTATAATAGGTATGATGAAATGCATAATTAGGTAATAGTATTTCATATGTTAATCTTCAGTCATTTGAGTAATTTGCAAAGACTATGGTACTTTTTCTTGAGAAGGAGGTAGACTTGAATTTATTTGTAAACTTAAACCACAAAGGTTATGATATGATATCATCCAAAGTGTCCTAGTGTTAGAAAGTAATGTAAGTATACTAGAGCTTTCCATATTTAAATCAGAATCTGATTATTTCTTTGGGCTTTCCTATTTGTAGAAATAGAGTTTCCTCAACTTGTTTAGGGTCTGTATTCTCATTTGTGGCTGAATTCTAATTTGACTATCTTTAAAGCTACCATATGGCTAAACTGTATCTATAAACTGTAGTAAGCATCTGGATTTTCTCATGTAGCTGGCATATTAAATCACAATGACGGTTTGCTGGCTCAGGTTTCTAACTGCAGTGGAAAAGTTTTCAAACAGGATTCAGAGACCTGGGCCCTACTCTCGTCTCCCTATGTGTCATCTTGGGAAAGTTTCTTCATCTCTTGGTGCCTAGGTTTTTTCATAAGTAAAACAGAACTGAGAATGTTTGGAACTCCTTTTTTTCAGAGAACCTTCTAAAGTAAGGCACTCCTTAGAAACAAGTCACTGCTTGGGGGCTGGACTTTTATAATAACAGAATGCTGGAGTTGTGCTGCATGGAGATTTAAATTACCTCACAGATAATTGTATATTTCTTGTCCTGCTACTTGACAAATTGGATTATAATTGTTTTATATTTTTTCCATATTTGTTCAAATCAATTAATACTCAAGAAAAAGAACATTCAAGGCAATTTTATATTTTTTCCATATTCAAATCAATTAATATTCAAGAAAAAGAACATTCAAGGCAAGAAAATTAAAGGCATTTAAGGGAATTACTCTGTGGCTAAGAGTCATTAAATAAAATGTCACATATAGTCTCAACTAAATTGAATTGCATAAGTAGTTTCTATAACTATTATAAGTCTATTGATAGACTTTTGTTCTCTGGGGAATGAAAGAAGCTTTCACTACTCCTTGAATTCAATACTGAATTACTGTTGCTGTTTTTCCTTATATTCTTAGGAACACTTTGGTCTTAGTAACCTGACTGGAATGAACTGCCTGGTAGATGGAAATATCCCACCAAGTTCTGGCCTCTCCAGCTCCAGTGCTTTGGTCTGTTGTGCTGGCTTGGTGACGCTCACAGTGCTGGGAAGGAATCTATCCAAGGTAACTACCTTTGATAGGAAACCTCATAGAACCCTCTCCTAATAATCATTAGCATCCAAATCTCAAATCAGAATGCCTTCCTTGATTGAAAAACTGTCTTCTCTAAAAGGACTGCACATGTGGGCAAGCATTGTAACTTAACAAGTGATAAATCACTATAAAGTAGCTTATACCCTCCAAACAGTGAGTGAATAGATCTGTGAATAACTGTATAAAAATACATTGTATTAAATATGGGATTTGAATGTATGGATATCATTTTAGATCACCTCATTCACAAGTTAAATTTAGGGCAAGAAATTCTTCCTCTCATGGTTGAGCCTGCTTATTTTCACCCAAAACCTTAAATTAAAAATTTGACAAGTAGTGGGTTACAAGGGTAAAGACTAGGTAATAAAGGAACTGAATATGCCAGCAGATTAGTCACAGAAATAAACTTTAAAATATTGCATTACAAGACGAAATGCTTATTTAAAGGAAATATAAATTGTACAAGAGGTCAGAAAGCCTCAAGTTTATAAGTTCACATAAATCTCTGACTCTGCAGTTTAGAGCAGGTGTGCTCAGCTTTAATTAATGCTTTAGCATTCTGGTTCAAATAAAATGTTATCATAGGTTCTTTTTACCCCATGTACATATACTACCAGGTTTACGGATGGTTTGGACAGATCAAGAGAAAGGCAGCCACATGCTTAGTCTCTTTTAAGCATGTTTAAACTTTCAGTTTGAAAATTTTATGTATAGGAGGAAGGCAGAAATGAAGGAGAAAGCAAAGGTTCAGACAGAATCCTTCTTTTTAGCTGTCCTGTGTAAGTGTACATTAATTAGCCCTTAGTGAGCAATGACTGGTTGGGAGGGAAAGGGGGCTTACATATTATTATTATTTTTTGAGAAGAGAAGAAGCAAGGGACAGGAAGTCCATGTGTAAAATGTGTTTCCCCTGGTACAATTTTCAATCTGATTTGTTTATTTATTCATTTGTTTGTTCATCATTCAACCATTATTTATTTAATGGCTATTTTGTGCCAGATAATGTTCAAGGCATTGGAGATATAATAAGTATAGTCTCAACTTTCACTATGCTTATAGTCTAAAAGGGAAAAGAGACAAGTAAATAGGCAACTGCAATAGAATATAGTAAGTGGATAAGTAGTTTTCTATGGGAGCAGATATAACCCAGATTTAGAGAGCATAGGACATCTAAATGGAGACAACAAAGATTAAAGGAGTTGTAGATATTGATGGCATGATAACACTGATGACATCAGATAAGCATGTATTGGGTGGAGAGAACATCATGTGGAAATGTCCAGAGTAAAAGCAATCATGGCTTGTTGGAGTAACAAAAAAAATGTCTCAATATGGTTGAAGCATACAGCAATTTGGATAACAGAGCAGGAGATCAGTTGCTGGGCCTTGTAAACTTTGTTAAGGAATTTAGGTATCATCTTCATAGCAGTGGGAAACCATTGCAGGGTTTTAGGAAGAGGTAAGGTGATCATATCTGTATTTTAGAAAGATCTCCCTGGCTATATTACAAAGTCTGCATTTCAGGGTTTTAGCAGTAGGGAGGTGATTTGGTTTAGAGTAGTGGCAATGAGAATGGTTAGAATTAGATAGATTCAAGATCTCAGAATCAGTAGGACTTGGTCATTGATTGGGCATGGGAATGGGGAACAGCAAAGACTCAAAGATTATATCGGTGTCTGGCTGGTATGATTCATTGGAATAAGAGATATGGGGGAAAAATAGGTTTGAGTGGAAGCTGAAATGTTGAGTGTGAGGAATCTGTGGGCATACTGATGGAGTTATTTAGTATTTAGTTATGAAAAAAATATGAAGGTCAGGAGGAGATCTGGACTTGAGATGGTACATTTGAGAATCATTAGTTTATCATTGTTTTTGAAGCCATAGGAGTGGATCAAGATACCTGGTGTTGGAATATAGGTGGAAAGATAAGGAAAACTAGGACAGAGCCCCAAGAAACATGAACATTTGAGGAATGGGCATAGGAAGGGATGTCCACTGAAGGGATTGAGGAGTAGTCCAGTAAGTATGAGAAAAACCAGAAAGGTGAGGCAACAGCAAAGACAAGGAAGATAATGTTTCATGAAAGGAGTGGTAGTGTTGTCATATGCTTCTGAGAGGTTACCACAAGTTCTGAGAAGTATCCATTGAATATCACAACAAAGAAGTTGTACAAAACTTTGACAAGAGCAGTTTTAGATGGAAATGGGTTGAAGGGTCTATAAGGGGTAAGAAAGTGGTAAAGTTCAGTGGATACAAAAAGTCTGGTGATGCATAGAAAAAGATAATTTGGTATTTGGAGGAGGGTGTGAAGTCAAGGAATTCATTTCACTTTTAATGGGAGGATTGGTGAAACTTAGTTTTTCTATTTTTCTGGTGTTTTGATAATATACCTATCTAAGAAATAGGAAGGAAAGAAGATAAAGAGAAACACTTGAACCCTTAGAATTAATTCTGATTGTCTGTTTTCAAAGTCGGAAATAGCAAATACATTTTTTTATCGGAACTATCTTACTGCAGTGCCTAAGCAAAAAGGGAACAATATGTATATCCTGGCTTTCTCAGCTAGTCTAAGTTGTACTAACAATATTTACATTTTCTAAGGACTGAGCATAATTATTTGGAGAGTTTTTTTTTTTCTGGAGTGAGACAGAATCTTGAATGAAAGGAAGTCTGTAATTTGTTCAGTCTTTAATTTAAATGCCATGTGATTTTACTCTTGTAAAAATCACAGAATATAAGAATTCAAGGGACTTTAGAGATGAGCTAGTTCAAAATGCTCCTTTTACTGATGTATTAGTGTTACCATAGGAAACAAATGACATGTTAGGTATAACTGAAGAGAGTTTAATAAAGAGACTTTTACAGAGATGTGGGTAAGGTCAAGGGAACTAACTAGGAAGGGTTCTCTTGTGAAGCTGGAAGCCATTGTACTTTAGGAGCTGTGGATATAGAGTAATGTTGCCAGAAATGCAGCAAGGCAGAGAAAGAATGACACAGGTGAAAATGGCAATGAGTGGGAATAGTTGAGGGGAATTTACCATAGAGGTCAGCCTTTTGGGGTAGGGGAAGTGTGAGAATAGAGGAACAGAGGGACAACCGAAAATAACTAGCCTGTTTGATAAGGACACTAAGTCCCACAACAGATTGGTGACTAAAGCCTTTCCTATTATTTCATATCCAGTAAACCCCATTCAGTTGCAGACAACAATTACTGCAGATGGGATATAATAAGTAGATGTGGAACTTGTTAATTCATTAATATACTAAATGTTGCATATCTGAAACCAGAAAACAATATGGCTAATCACCCAGAGAATCTGGAAGCCAGAAATTATGAATCAGAATGTTACTGGTACAAGAGAGTATGATGTGGCAAAAGATCTATGAAAAAGGAAAATCTAGAGACTTCTGATTTCAGCATGTCAGAATAAGACTTACCTACTCTTTTTCTGTGTCCCTAAATTAATCTTCTTTTCTCAAAAATCATTTCCAAACAACAGGGAAAATAAGAAAAGGAAGCACAAGCTTTATCTTTGGTAAGCCAAGGAGACATAAATAACCATAAACCACAAAATACAAAGATGGAAAGTGGATAGAGGAATGTTACATGACTTAGGCGAATGGAGAAAGGTCAGAGCCAAGTGCCTGCGGAGGGAGTTGCAGATGGAAAGGCAGCTGACTCATCCCACAGCTCTCTGGCAAGGCTTAGGAAGAAAGCAGGGTAATATGGTGGGTGGGGATTTATCTGAAAGCCTTTGTGAGGACTATTTAGACCCTAAAAGGCCTCTCTTCACCTGGACCATTTCCCCCTATCTTTGCAGGAGTCTCTGGAGAAACAACCAGAGATCATTTGTACTTGGGGACACTGAGCACTGAGAAAGGCAGGACGAGAAAGACTTGAAAACTGGGAGATTAGAGGACATTCTGCATCTGAAAAATGAAATTCTTAGCTCCATTCTTCTGGTCATTACTGGCACACTGGCAACCTCACCACCCTACACTCCAGCAGGAATGTTGGAGGATCCTTCTCAAAGGAAACTTAACCATCCCAGAGATGGTTCATACAGATACTGACATTTGGTGACCCCCTTCTCCAGCTCCTCTATGACCTTGTTAGAAGCCCATTTACAAAGCTTCTAATAAGCTTTTTAGTGACTCACTCTTAAATATGATAGGGCATCAAAGTATAGTAAGATTTTGGAAGAAAACCTACAAAATGAACCAAACAAACAAAAAAAACAGAGAAAACAGGAAACTAGAGGAAACAGAGACAATGCTGAGAGCAGAAGAATCAAAGACATGATGTCCTCAGAGAGATAAAAGAAAATGTTAAGTCCTTGAAAAATAATAGTGTTACTTTTTTAAAAAAGGAACCAACGGTAAGATAGAGCTTTTGCATATTAAAAATATGACAAGACAAAATTTAGCAAAAAGATTGGAAACAGCTGGGCATGGTGGCTCATGCCTGCAATCTCAGCAGTTTGGGAGGCTAAGGCAGGAGGATCGCTTGAGGCCAGGAGTTCAAGACCAGCCTGGGCAACACAGTGAGACCTTGTCTCAAAAAAAGAGAACAGACTGGAAGAACTCTCTGATATAGTAGGGAATAAAAGAGCTGGACAATAAGAGAGAAAAACAGGAAAATTTATGGATCAATTCCAGAAATCCATCCAACTAGTAAGGAAAAACAGAAAAAACAGTTATTAGAAATTATTATTATTATTAAAAATAGAGTTGGGGCCTCTCTATGTTGCCCAGGCTGGTCTCAAACTCCTGACCTCAAGTGATCCTCCCTCATCAGCCTCTCAAAGCTCTGGGATTATAGGTGTGAGCCACTGTGTCTGTCCAGAAGATTTTTTTTTTAAAATAATATTTCTCCAAAGTGAAAATGTGAATTTGGATTGGAAGGGCTCACTGGGTGTTTGGTATAATAAATGTAAAAGGCCAAACCAAAGAATATCATCTGGAAATTTTGAAACTTGAGTGTTATAGAAAAGACACTAAAAGCTAGTTGACAGAGCAAGAGAAAAGAACGGAAAGAAATCATAATCAAAGGATCAGAAATGTAAATTAATTTCTCAAAAACAGTATTGGAAGATAAAGGCAGTTGATAAATGTCTCTAAAATATTAATAAATTTTAGTTTAGGCTATCTGTTTAAATGAATTAATCAAATGTGAGGGTATAGTAAAACATTTTCAACATGTAAAGTGTAAAAGTCTAGAGGATGTAATCCACCAAAACTAGGGAGTAAACCAAGAAAGAAGATCGCATGGGAACTAGGAAATGAGAAATCCAATATATGAGAGAGGAGTTGGGTATTTATAGAACATTGGTATTTGTAGAACATAAGGGGAATTCCAACATAACACCCATAATATCCAGCAGCTTAGAAAGCAGTGCAGATTAAAATGAGGAGAGGGAAAGATGGAACTTATAATCTTATCAGTAAAACAAAAAAAAAGCCAAAAAAACTGGTTAATCTGATATGTTCAACCATGTGGAAAATGGATTCAGAGTAATTTCACAGAGCTGTTGTAGGATATGACAAAGCTCAGCTAGATATACAAATCTAAGCAAATGAAGAAATGGGGCAATTATTAAATATAGGAAAAACAAAAAAGTTTGTAACAGAAATGAAATCAACCATTTTTTTTTGCTCATAAGTGAACAATAATCTCAGTAATTAACACAACAAATATGAATTTAAGCAAAATTTTGGGCATAACTTTATTGAGAAAGGTGGAGGAGGGTAAAGGAAAGGTGGATGTAAGAGAGCTAAAATCCTCACTTATCATAATAGGAAAGCAATAAATAATGTTTAAAATGAAACAACAGGCAATAACATTTACCAATGTTATTTGGAATTGGAAGCAAAAGCAAAGAGCCAAAAGTATTTGCCGTTGTACACATTGCATTGGGGATAGGGATGACAGAGTGAGCTAGGGGCTGCCTTTGTTGTTGTTATAAGCCTTTTACCTCTATTTAATC
Organism: Homo sapiens; assembly: GCF_000001405.40. Taxonomy (NCBI): domain Eukaryota; kingdom Metazoa; phylum Chordata; class Mammalia; order Primates; family Hominidae; genus Homo; species Homo sapiens. Next base: position 49,245,385 of record NC_000015.10, read on the forward strand.
TTTTAGATTATATGCAAATATCACTTTGGCGAAAGTAAAATAAAAGATAGAAGAACTGAATAGAATGAAAAATAAGAATGGAAATAGAATGAAAAGTAAGATGACCTGTATGACCACACCTGGGGGAACCTGAAAGATGAAGAGATGAGAAGGGATTCAATGAGTCAAGGCTAGAGATTGAGAACAGATGAGCTGTTGGAATGTGACCAAATCAATGGCCTAGGGTGAGGTCTGTTGATGGGTTTTGGGTGGAAGAATCCAAGAAAATACAGGCATCTTCCATTTAGTGGCAGTAGTCCATTCCAACAAATCAGATGTTCTGCACAAAATTATTCAGCGAGGGCCTATTTTTTTAAAATAGGAAAAAGTATAATGCATTATTCCTCAACTCAAAACCTCTAACTAATTTCCTACAATGTTACAAAAATACAGTAAAGCTTTCTTTATATAAGTCACACAGAAGTAGCATGAAAAATGTTTAAACCAATTTTCTTGAACATTAAACAATTAATATGGTTGTTAACAAGCAGTTACTTTATATAGTGATACCGGTATGTCTTCTGTATTGACACCTGGTATTTCAGTACTCTGCATACTATTTTGTTAACAATGTTGTGTTTAGGTTTTAGGGTGTAAATATGTATGTTTTCCTATATAAACACCTTTCAGAAAGTGTTGTTTTGAGAGATATGAACATTCTATGAAGTTTGGGTATCAAAAATCTTTCGCCAAGAAAATGTTAGTTGCTGAGGTGTTCTACAAGATATGCCTGTATTTTGTAAGAATGGGATTTGGGTTGCTCTGATGTCCAGTTTCTGTCTGTTCTTGGAGTTGTCCTTGGAGGCCAAGAAGAAAGGACCAAGTGCCTCTTAGGAATCTTAGAATAGAAATAGCTGGCCTACTTGGGAAACAGGTTGCAACTCTAAAAGCTAGTCTTGGGTAGTAAGGTGTGTTAGACTAGCATCTATCCACAAATTCCTCCCTCTGCTGGTGTGGGGTTGGGAGTAGATTTTGAATTCATGAGGTTGTAGACTGAGCAGGTGATATTCAGAAAACCCACTTTGGAGGATCTGGGAGGTACAGTAGAGAAGTATAGGGTTGAGCTGCATCCCCCATACTGAAGTCTAAGGAAGAGAAAACCCATATTATCTTGGTTGATGAAGACTGAAAGAGCCAGCTGGGAATAGTGGGGTAGGGGAGAATTCTTGTATGTGGATATCTCTGGCATTTTGTCAAAAACACAATTTACATGATTCTGAGTTACCCAGAATATGAATTGGACATAAAACCTTCCTTTGAGAGTTATAGTTCACTGGGGAACCTGGGGAATCTCTTAGATGGCATCAAGAATCCTGTATTGGGAAGCCCAGAATAACATGTATAATACTGGATTTGTGAGGAGTGCTTTCAAGAGAAGAAGACAGATAAACTTCCTAACCTACCACTTGAAAGCAGTGATTCAGTGGCATTTGTTGAATACCTACTATATGCCATGCGTTGTTCTAGGCACTGGAAATACAACTGTGAATAAAACCAGTGAAGTGCCCCTGCTTTTATGGAGTTTCCATATTGGCAGAAGTGATGGTATGAGAAAGATAATGAAGAGCTATACAAATAAATATATAATATCAGCTAGGCCGTAGTTAAGGGAAATTGTATATTTTATCTAGGGAGTTAGGAGAAGTTCTCTCCGAGAAGAGGACATTTGAACAGAGACCTTAGGGAGTGAGCAGCTGAGAAAGAGTGTCAGAGGGAACAGCAAGTGCAAAAGCCCTAAGGTGAAAGAGAGTTTGTCATGTCTCAGGAATAAGAGGTCCCTGTGGTTGGGGTGTGGTGAGACAGAAGCGGGGAGAGGTGGGAGGTGAGTTGAGAGAGTTGGTCAAGGGCCATGGTGTGTAGCATCTTCTTTGGCTTTCATTCTAAGCGTAATGGAAAACCTTTGGAGGGCTGTGAGCTGGGGATGGCAAGATGTGATTTACATGGATTAAGTTCTTTTACCTGGGAGTATTATACCATACCCCTGACAGTGGCAAGAGAGGAAACAATAAGAAAGAAAAGAGAAGAGAAAAAAGAAAAGAAGGAAGGAAGACAAATGGTCAATGCCCTTATGGAACTTAAATGCATATAGTGGAATAGTAACAGAAGATTTATTAACTGACCATCTATCTCATACAAAGTGTAAGGTATTTTATATGTAAATGAATAAAGAGGTTGAAATAATGTCTCCTTGGTGAAGTTAAACAGGGACAGTTTCAAGTAATTGGTGAGTTCTAAGAAAATGTTAAAGGAAGGAAAGGCTGGGAAACAAAGCACTGGGAGGGGCCCAAGGGCATTTCAGGCAGAGTGAACCCATAAGTGTATTTTAACAGTTCTCTGAGCCAGACTTAAAATATGTGTCAGCCAAGGCCTAGAAATTCTCTTGCAGCCTCATGAAATTCCTTTTAAAACTTTTTGACTACAGGGATGCTTTCTAGTTGCTTAAGTCCCTGAACAGATTTACTTAACTTCATTTCAGGGGCAAATTAGTTATATAGACAGGGGTTGATACTCTTTTCAGGGGAGTGTTTTTGAAGTTTGAAACCTGTTCTGTACTGGAGACCTCTAAGGTTCATAAACAGAGTAAGTGGAATGTTCAAAGTTCTGTGCCAAATATGTCCACATTTTCACTTTTCTGAGTTTACAAGTGCTGTTTCCTTGAGAAAGTACAAGGCTGTATTTTTCTTCACATATAGCTGCATTTCAGTGAAATATTTCTTGGCCTTCAGAATAAGACCTTGTGCCTAAAGAATAAAGACATGTCTATGTTATAAAATGAAAAGGATCTCAAAATTATATAAACTATGATTTGAATGTTTTAATAGTTTGTTACATGGTATAAGAAAAATCAGAAACCAATTTGCACTGTCACTAATTATTATGCTTAGAAGTCCACATAAGGACATTGTTTCAGTTTGCTTAGAATAACAAAACCTCATCCATATAATGGTTAAGGAAAATAGTAGTTTAAACCATTCCAGCCAGATGTTGAGTGCTAATGAACTGCAGCAGTATGGCCTCTGAAAAGATGGTAAATCCAGAATACAAGCTTTGAAAAGAATCTCTTAATTAGGTGTTGAACATGGACTGAAGCCATGTGCTCACTGGTACAAAAACCAGGAAGCTATAGTGTTAGCTCTGGGTGGCCTGTGTTTAAATGTGTTCTAAGTTTTAGGTTAATAATGTAAATACAAAACCATTCACGTAGTTTTGTCAATTAAAAGAGATCCTCTGGTTGTATCCTTTTTTAGGAGTAGGATTGGAGACTGAATCATTTCTTTAATGATTTTGAGTAGTTTGGATTCACTTGGGTGATGTGACACTAAGCTATTTGTCTTTGCAGACGTTGTTTGGGTCACTTCTGGGTTTTTTTTCCGTTTTCTTTCCTAGGCTAAATACTTGTTTACCTTTAGCGTAAACGAAGGCAAACAAGCATAATTAGGGAACAGCAGATTTGAGGAGTGTGTGTCACTGTTTGCAAGTGGTTTCAAATGAAACCACTGTTGCTACAAATTAATATGTATGCCTAGTTGTGTTTTGAACTTTTGTTGTGATCCTTAAATCGTTATTACTCAGTGACTGTGTTTCAAGGCCTCCAGATTTTGACTTGCACCCTACAATAAGTTAAGTGTTACACAGTATTCAAATAATTAACTGGAATAATGCAAGTGATATTAAGTACTACACATATGTGCATAGCCTTTACCTACTACATCAGTTGTGTGCATTGAACATAACTTAAAGATGAAAATACAAGGATAGATAACCCCCCTACCAAATTCAGAAGTGTTTCTCATTTATTTTCATGCATTTCTGTTTCACAGAGGTTATGGTAGCCATCTTGGTCAAGAGTTACCTATGCTGACTCCCAGACTAATATTTGATAGAGTAAGGAAGACAATGAAAGACTGACTTAACTTTGTCCCCTCTGTGGCCAATTTGCTCTGTAACTTGTGATAACTTCCCTATGCCTCAGTTTCTGTTTCTAAAATAAGGGTGAGAATAGTTCTTCCTTTAACTTCACAAGGATGACTCAGTTAAACTGGCTTAATACCTACAGTTCTCTGACCTTCCTGATAGGAGATTTTGATGAAGTTCAGGGAAAGAGTTTAGCAAGAAAATAGGTAAGGTAGGAAAATAAATTAGTAGTCAGGGAAGTTTTTGTAATTGTATGAAGTTTTGTTGACTGTATTGGTGGTATAAAAAGTAAAGTAGAGGTTCCTTTTCAAAGAGACTCTCCTCCCTGTCTAATTAGGAATAAATAGTACTTCTCTTAGAAGCAAAATTTATTCAAAGAGCTGTGCTAACATTCTTAAATATCTGCTAGCTCTAATAAAGAAATCAATGTACTTTATGTTCTTAGCTCCCACAATTTAGCCTAAATATTTGCCCTGGCATGCTTATACTGGTCCAAGCGGGCATTAGGTTATAGCCTGTTCCTCTTCCTTATTTGGAGGTGTTTTTACCTTTCTCAGCATTCCACAAGTTACTTCCTCCTTCCTTTGTTCTCGTCTGCCCGTGCCTCTTTTAAAAAGTTCTAAGTTGCTAGCCAATTGGGACAAATACAGAATGTGAGGTCCCGTACTAGCCAATGGAAACCGGACATAGCAGTAGGGTGGACGCGTCAGGTTATAAATGACTCTGTCTCCTTTGTTTGGTGTACTCTTGTGGTAAAACTGCTGGCGAGTGTACCCTTTCTGCAGAAAGTAAAAATGGCCTTGCTGAGGAAATTAAATTTATGTTCAAGTGCTATTTCTTTATGGCACCGGGGAACAAGCATTTCTAACAGTGGTCATGGGAAGAGTAAGGAGCCAAATCATATTGTGTGGAGAAGAAAGTGATTCAAAGAGAAAAGGTTAATAAATGAGACTGGTTAAAGCATGCACTGCAGTATTGGAGACACAAAGATTTGGAGGTTATTACTGCAAAATATGACTTTAAAGTTTTATGTTAGAATTTTCATGAGAGTAAAAGATGTCTTTTTAAAAAAATTACTGTTAAGCACCTAGATGTTTTATGCACATCAACTCTAACTTTGTGGTAGTCTTGTAAATAAGTTTTACTACTATTTCAATTTTGCAGAGGAAAATATGAGGCTCAGAGAATTTATATAATGTCACCAAAGACAAATCACATGTAACTGGAGTTGTCTGGATTCCAGCTCACATATTTTTGATCCAAAATGGATACTTTTCTATTCAGCCATGCTGCTACCTATGGTATAATGTAATTATACCATATTGTCTGATATAATCAGTATCATAGACATCGGAAAACCCTGGAGATGAGGTCCAGCCCTAACATTCTGTGATCCTTCTGATGTCCTAAAAGACAGGGAAGTAAATTATACATTTTCATGTATATAATTAATGTGAATTGGATTTTTTAAATAAGTTGACAGATTTTATACTCTTTGTCAAAGTTATAATGATATTTTTTTGAAATCCTACTATATCCAAAGCAAACGGTTGGATTCTCAGGATATAGGAAAACTTAGATACAGTCTTTGGGCCTTAGAAGTTTATAATTTCAGTAGGGAGATTAGATTAACATAAAAATGGAAATGTCATGCAAAAGTAGCATATACAAATTCTTCCAAAGAATACGAAAACAAAGAACACTTCCCAACTTGTATTATGAGGCCAGTAAAACCTTTCTGCCAAACCAAATGTGATAGCTTGATACCAAACCTGACAAGGACATCACAAGAAAAGAGAATTACAGGTCAATCTCTCTCATGACATTGGATACAAAAAATTCTGAACAAAATGTTCACAAATTTAATCTGGTAATATTATAGGCTAATACATTGTGGCCAAGATGAGTTTATTCTAAGAATTTAAGGTTGGTTTATCATTTAAAAATCAGTGTTATTTACCATATTAACAGTAAAACATGTCATCTTGATATATAAAGGAAAGAGTTTGATAAGATTTATCATGCATTCATGATAAAAACTCTTAGCAAATTAGTAGAATTCAGTATAATGACTGCCTTTGGGAATTAGGGAAGAGAAATGATTAGGTAGAGACATGAAGAGACCTTCTAGAGTGCTGGCAGAGGTTCATTACTTTTTCTTTTATTGTGGCAAGACCACTTAACATGAGATCTACCCTCTTAACAAAATTTTAAATGTATAATACATTATCATTGACTATAGGTGCAATGTTGTAGAGCAGATCTCTAGAGCTTGTCCAGCTTGTTTGACTGAAGCTTTATGCCAGTTGATTAGTAACTCCCCATCCACCTCACCCTGCACCAGCAACCATCATTCCACTCTGATTCTAAGTGCTTCATTTCTTAACCTTGATGGTGGTTACGAGGATGTTTCCTTTGTGACAAATTATTAAGCTTTATTTTTATGCTTTATATACTTTTCTCTATGTTCTGTACTTCCTAAACATAAAAAATAGCAAGACTTTCTTCAACCCTAGGATCAACCACTGTTAAAAGATTTTTAATGAATCCTTCCAGAAATACTCTATCCAATGTAATATATACATATGTTTGCCCTTTTTGTAAAACACCCAGGAAAATTTTATATATAAATATATGTATATATTGGCCCGGTGCGGTGCCTCATGCCTGTAATCCCAGCACTTTGGGAGGCAAAGGCGGGTGGATCACTTGAGGTCAGGAGTTTGAGACCACCCTGGCCAACATGGTGAAACTCTGTCTCTCCTAAAAATACAAAAAATTAGCTGGGTATGATGGTGAGCACCTGTAATCCCAGCTATCAGGAGGCTGAGGCAGGAGGATTGCTTGAACCCGGGAGGCAGAGGTTGCAGTGAGGCGAGATCGCACCATTGCACTCCAGTCTGGGTGACAGAGTAAGACTTCGTCTCAAAAAAAAAATTATACACACACACACATACACACACATCTTTCCCCTTGCTTTGCTTTTTCACTTAAAACCATAAATTGGGAATCATTCCATGTCAGCACATCTACATATACTGAATTCTCTTTAATGGCTGCCTTGTTTTCTAATATACGGTCATACTATAATGCCCAATTATAGATTTTGGTGTGATGGTAATGTTCTAAAATTGGCCTGACTATTGGACATTTCAGTTGTTTCCAGGGTTTTGTATAATATCAGTTTTAATACTTAATAATATTTCTTTATAAGGATATGCTATACTTTATTTAACTAGACCTCTATGATGGAAATGTAGGTTGTTTTCAAGTTTCCACTATTATAAAGAAGGCTCTGATGAATATTCTTGTAGACAATTATTTTCATACTTATTCACTTTTTTATTTAACATAAATCCCAGAACATAAAGTTACTGGGTTAAAAGATATGATAACTTTACTTTTGAAATACACTGCCCAATCCGGAAAGATTTTACCAGCAATGCAGCAACATTGCATGAGAGGATCTATTTTCCTACTACTGAAGTTCTATCAATCTTTTAAATCTTTCCTAATCTGAAAGATGTTGTCATGGCCATTTCTTTAATTATTAGATAGTTTAATTAGATAGTTTAAATGTTTAATCTTTTCCATGTCTTTTATTGATCACTTGCATTTTTTGATTTGGCTGTATATCAACTCAGCTCATTTTCTCCTGGAGTATTTATCAATCATCTTATTACTTTATAAGAACTCTTCATATGCTAACCATTCATCTATTATATGTTGCAAATATTTATCCCTGCTCAAACTAATTTTCTGTTTGACTTCTTTTAAACTAACAATTGTGAAGCAAAAGTCACTTTAGTCATATTTAATCACATATAGCATAGGATCATTATATGTGCATTCAATTTTATCTTCCTTGAGTTGAAAATACTCTATAATCTCTCATTTCATTTTGAAGTACTTGGACACAGGGAGCCTCATAGACTCAGGGATTTTACTTAGCATCTCTCAGGAGATCTCCACTAAATGGATCCCAGGGTTCTCTTGTCTACTACAGGTGTGACCTTTTATCTTTAGACGCTTACTCAGAGGAACCAAAACTGTGACTGATTTGCATTGTAAGCAGGAATATTTTTTCTTTCTTTCTTTTTTTTTGTGGTGAAAGCAAGTTTATTAAGCAACTAAAGGAATAAAAGAATCACTACTTCATAGGCAGAGCAGCCAGCAGGAATATTTTTTCCAATAGCATTTGTGCAGTAAGACATACACTTTTGAATCATGAATAATGTAACTTACCATCTGTTTAGCACTTGGAAAGTTTCAAAGAACTGTACCATGATCCATATGATAGGCCATTTAACTCTGTTAAGTAAGGTACAACTGCCAACTTCTTAGACCAGAGCCCTGCCTCTCAGAGACTTCCTGGAGCCTAGCTATAGGAGTGTTTACTTAGGACTCTAGACTTTATGTTATATCAAAGAGATATGGAAGATTTCACTTTTATAGTATATTAACATTGTCCCCATTTCATCTTTGGACCTTAAAACACCAAGCATCATCATCATCATCATCATCAACAACAACTACACAAAACTGTTGAGGGGCACAGTCATTGGGTGGATAGGCTTAGGTTCATTCAGCCCTTCTGGATCTTGGGTCAGCCACTGGTATTGACAATAGGGATGAATTTTCAATCTTGAAGGACATATAAATTTGTTAAGAATAAAAGAAGTGCAGTTAGTCTGGCAAATTGTAAATAACCTTAAAACTTTTCTCCCTAAAGAGAGATGATTGTATCACTTTCTTATGAGCATCTTTACAGTGCCTGACATAAAGGAGGCAAGTAATTGGATTGGGTTGAATTAGTGAACTACCTTCATCTGTAAAGCAGCCATTTTCCCCTAGTGTTAGTACTATATTTGGATGAATTAACAACTGGTTGTTAATTTTGACTGTATTTATATAAATTAAAGTGAAGCAAGACCCTGTGGAATTTATTTGTGACCATCAAAGACCATAAATCTCTTACATTTTAAGTAAGTTACAGAGAAAGTAAAATTGGTGATGAGTCCTGTGGTTACAAAGGCATTCAGAGATTATCTGATTATTTCTTCTTCTGATAAAATTATGTTATTGCTTTGTAAAATATAAGCAAAAATCTAAGCAATCAGGACTCTTTATGCTGTCAAGACCTTTTCATTGTAATGAAAGTGCTCCTTTTTATTTTTATAATTTAATTTGTATTTATATTTATTTTCATGACAAAATATTTTAATTCTCATCAGGTTTTATAAATAGTTCTTCAAATGTCACTATGGTTTAAATTTGGTGATAAAGCAGAGAATTTGGATAAAAGAAAATTTGGTGATAAAGGAAGAAATTTATTGGAAAAATTTAAAAGATGTAGATTTTTTAGGGATAGTTCACAGAAACCTATGTGTTAATGCAGGGTGCTTTTATATTTAGAAGTTTTCATTGATTTTCTTCAATTATTTGGGATAATATTGTTACCTATTGACAGCGATGTTACATCTCTCACACACACATGATTAGATGTATTGTTAATGTACCACTTAAAATTTTTTTCCAACTTTTAATTATGAGAAAATTTCAAAAGGATAGAAGAGGCAAGAATAGGCAATGAACATGTATGTCTTTCACATAGATCCTTGGAAACATTTTGCCACATTTGCTTTATCTTTCTCTCTACTTTTTTTTCTGAGCCATTTGGGAATTAATTGCGGACATCACCTCTGAGTACATCAATATTCATCCCCTCAAAGCAAGGCATTCTTTAATATGCCACACTATATCATTGGAACATTTAACATTGATATAATATTATTATCTAATATGCAGTTCATATTCAAATTTCCCAATTGTCTCAATAGTAATGTCCTTTAGAACTTCTTTTTCTTGTTCTTTTTCTTTCTTTCTTTTAATTTTTTCTGATTGAGAATTTACTTATTCAAGATAATTGAATACATTCTGGATCTGAAAAATTAAAAAGAAAGGAATTAAATACTACTCATAATAATACTCAGTTTTACCAATAATTGGATTTAATTAATATCATCATTGCATTTAGTTTTTTTTTCATTTTTTTAGTTTACTTTATTTTAGAACAGTTCCCCAGCATTTTTTTGTCTTTTATGACACTGACAATTTTGAAGCGTCCAGGCCAAATTTTTTTGTTCAAATTTCCTGAATTTGGATTTGTCAGACGGTTGCCTTATTATTAGATTGAGACTAAGGTTTTTTGCCCCAAGAATACTGTATAGGTGATGGATGTCCTTCTTGGTGAATTGCATCACATGGTTTCTGTTTCTCCAATTGTACTTAACATTATTTAATACACAGAGATAGGTAGAGATCTGCTGTCTATCAAAATAATGCCATAGTTTAGGTATGTCATATGAATTCCCCTTTATAAAGGTGGAGTTTTTGTTAATAAAAGTTCTTTAAAAGTGTATTAAAAGTGATGATAGAGACTATAACATAGTCTTCTATTACATGTTTTAATTAATAATGCATGTTTGTCAAATGAGTGAAAAATAGCAATGACTTAAAAATCACAAATTCTCAATTTTGTCAAGGAATTTCAATTCATTATTGCACTGCTATTTAAGTCTGTTCATGTTCTTCATTGTTTTGTTTAGGAAACAAAATGTACTAAGCTTGGAATAAACTGTTTGAGATGTCTAACATAAAAATAACCAAAGCAGATGTAATTTTATACTGCCACTGTGTATATAGGGTTACATTATTTCACTTGCAGTCACTTAGGGTTTGTATATATCACATTTCAGTATAATGACATGGGCAGGCTCCAAAGAAAATACCAAGCAACGCGAATTTGGTTTGACTAACAAATATTTACATGTCTTTGTGTCTGTAATTATTGTAATCTTTTAAGGGGTTTATGCTACACAGGCTTAATTCTCTAGAGCTCTGTGTTAGATTAAAAGAGGCTGATCAGTAGTATATATAACTGTAAAAATGATACTGTAGCCCGTCTAGATAAATTGGTATAAGCCAGAGCTTCTGCAGGGAACAGGTGGACTTAAGAGAGCCCTGACATGGGCAGATAGCTGCCTTTCATGTGCATGCTTTCTTATGTGTTTTAGCCTTTTCTTTCTTTCCAGATGGGTGGTGTTGATGGAACCATCATTTGATTGTTATTTGATCTTTTCAGGTTTCTCTAGTCATGTAGTTAGCACATTGGAAGCAAGAAAAGATAAACAGTACAGTCCTTTCCTCATCTATAGGAGGCAGACAGATAGTTGTATTGCTGGTACTGAACCATTCACGTATATTTGCTTACTCAGTACCATCCGTGTCAATTTGCAAGCTTTAGCCAGATGTAATTGGTTAAATAGATTCTCCCCTGTTGCCCCCTTGATTAAAGCTCCTTGGCCTGTAAGATGTCAATATCCTATTAACTTTTAACTTCACTATAGCGCTTCTTAGTTTGTATTGTAAAGATGTTTCCCTCTAGACCATCATGGGGTTTTCAAGCATAGAGACTATTTATTTTTTAAATGTTTGGATCCCCATAGACTCAAATCACAACTGATTTAGATCAGGCAGTATGGTGCCTAACTGAATTAATTAAAAAAATGTAATCTCATTTGCAACATAATTTCCTGGTGATGACATAAATAATTATTTGAGTTTTAACTTGAGATTCTATCAATTTTACAATTTGGTTTAATCCAGAGGATTTATTCATTTATCCACATTGACTGAGGAGTTATTATGTTCCAGGCAGGGTTGATCCACTGGTCTCTCTCCTGCCTCTCTTATGGCTGATGTCTATTCTGAGTTGTTGGTGTCTCTGCCACACTGGCTGGTGACTGTCATTATTAGTTTTAGGCATTTGTGCTAGTTGCTGGGTTCCGCCTAGTTGCTAATAGGCTTTGTCTGTTATATACAGACATAAATCCCATAAATTTAAGCATGTGAATTAGTAAAGTTGTCATAGTAACAGTTCTAGTAAAGACTGTTCCTCTTGGATGTCACACTTGAACCCGCTGAATTTTGTCACCTGCCTCTTACATTCTCAGATGAAGGAGTTATTACACAGGGAGGTGGTAAAGGAGCAACAGAGGCAAAGAAATGGGATGCACTCATATAATATAATTGGCTACCCAAAATGGAGATGTTTCTAAAGGCATAAATATCTCTGGATGCATGTGGAAACCTCTCTTTTATCCCTGATTGTATTCTCCTTTAGTGTAAAGAATAGGCATTACATAGCTATTATAACTAGTAAAGTTAGAGTTTTTGTTTATCAGAAATTTAAGATCAATTAAATATTTTCTAATTAAAGTGTTGTAGTTAAAAATTATAAATATTGACTGAACACAATGGCAGTGAGAATACAGTTTTCAAGTGTGAGTTTTAGCACTGAGGGCTAGTTCATGAGCTGGGTGTTCCCAAAGCCATGGGTAGAAGTAGGAAATACAGCACAACATCTTAAATGGGTGAAACTATATTTCTTAATAACCCTAGGTTTTTCCTGATCTCATTAGAAATGATTATATGTTCCTTAAAATTTTTTTAACTGTAAAAGCAATATATTCTATTTTATAAGATTATGGATTATTTTATTTAATTTTAATTATAATTGTAATAAAATAACATTTTATTTAATTTTAATTATAATTATAATAAAATAACATTTTATTTAATTAGAAATTAAAGAAAATTATCCATAATCTTATACAACCAAATATTGGACTCACAGTCACCTTAAGTATTGTGAGGAAAATAAAATCTTTGTATCTTTAAATATTACAACTCAAAGAGACTACATTTAGCTCATATGTTGATTCAATTAACAATTTTTAATAACATATCTATTTTGTGTCAGGCACTATTCCTGGCACTGGGGTAGAGCAATTACTAAAATGCAGTGCCTGCTCTCATGGAGCTTACAATTAAGTGGGGAAAGAAGGGTGATGGAAAAGAAATAAGTGAAAAGATAACCTAAAGTGTTAAAAGCCTTGAAGAAAAAGCAGGGTTTGAGATGGAGAGTGGCAGGGGGTATTAGTATATTTTAAGGAAGTAAGGGAAGTTCTGTCTGATGAGGTAACGTTTGAGCAGAGATTTTGGGATAAGGGCATTCCAGACTGAAGGAATGGTGGATATAAAGATCCTGAGGTGGTGGGATATTGATGCACTAACTATATGCTAGGCTTTTAAAATCCTAACAGTGACACAATGAAGTAGGTAATTATTATAATTTGTATTTTGCAGAGAAGGAAACTTACATGCTTTAACCACTGTGCTATACACCCACATGATGTAATAGAGCAGAGAGTTAAAGTATGTAACTCAGGTCCCAGGAGGCCAGGAAAAGTTCCCCAGAGGAGTTGCTCCTTGAATTTAGTTGTAGTGAAAAAGCAAGTAGAAAATGAGAAGGGTTTAGAATTCTGGTCTGTTTTCTCCTGTTACTATATCCCCAGAAGCACATTTATTTGGAAGCATATATATATATATATATGTGTGTGTGTGTGTGTGTGTGTGTGTGTGTGTGTGAGAGAGAGAGAGAGAGAGAGAGAGATGGTATCTCATTGTGGTTTTGATTTGCATTTCTCTGATGGCCAGTGATGGTGAGCATTTTTTCATGTGTTTTTTGGCTGCATAAATGTCTTCTTTTGAGAAGTGTCAGTTCATGTCCTTCACCCATTTTTTGATGGGGTTGTTTTTTTCTTGTAAATTTGTTTGAGTTCACTGTAGATTCTGGATATTAGCCCTTTGTCAGATGAGTAGGTTGTGAAAATTTTCTCCTATTTTGTATACATATATATATATGTATACTAAAAATTGATAAGCTATAGAGGAGATGATCATAGACCTCAGGGAAGGATAAAGTGAGTAGTTCCATTATTTATTTTATTTTATTATTATTATACTTTAAGTTTTAGGGTACATGTGCACAATGTGCAGGTTAGTTACATATGTATACATGTGCCATGCTGTTGTGCTGCACCCATTAACTCCTCATTTAGCATTAGGTATATCTCCTAAAGCTATCCATCCCCCCTCCCCCCACCCCACAACAGTTCCCCAGAGTGTGATGTTCCCCTTCCTGTGTCCATGTGTTCTCATTGTTCAGTTCCCACCTATGAGTGAGAATATGTGGTGTTTGGTTATTTGTTCTTGTGATAGTTTACTGAGAATGATGATTTCCAATTTCATCCAGGTCCCTACAAAGGACATGAACTCATCATTTTTTATGGCTGCATAGTATTCCATGGTGTATATGTGCCACATTTTCTTTTTTTTTTTTAATTATTATTATACTTTAAGTTTTAGGGTACATGTGCACAATGTGCAGGTTAGTTACATATGTATACATGTGCCATGCTGGTGCGCTGCACCCACTAACTTGTCATCTAGCATTAGGTATATCTCCCAATGCTATCCCTCCCCCCTCCCCCAACCCCACCACAGTCCCCAGAGTGTGATGTTCCCCTTCCTGTGTCCATATGTTCTCATTGTTCAATTCCCACCTATGAGTGAGAATATGTGGTGTTTGGTTTTTTTGTTCTTGCGATACTTTACTGAGAATGATGATTTCCAGTTTCATCCACGTCCCTACAAAGGATATGAACTCATCATTTTTTATGGCTGCATAGTATTCCATGGTGTATATGTGCCACATTTTCTTAATCCAGTCTATCATTGTTGGACATTTGGGTTGGTTCCAAGTCTTTGCTATTGTGAATAGTGCCGCAATAAACATACGTGTGCATGTGTCTTTATAGCAGCATGATTTATAGTCCTTTGGGTATATACCCAGTAATGGGATGGCTGGGTGAAATGGTATTTCTAGTTCTAGATCCCTGAGGAATCGCCACACAGACTTCCACAAGGTTTGAACTAGTTTACAGTCCCACCAACAGTGTAAAAGTGTTCCTATTTCTCCACATCCTCTCCAGCACCTGTTGTTTCCTGACTTTTTAATGATCGCCATTCTAACTGGTGTGAGATGGTATCTCATTGTGGTTTTGATTTGCATTCCTCTGATGGCCAATTTCATGTGTTTTTTGGCTGCATAAATGTCTTCTTTTGAGAAGTGTCTGTTCATGTCCTTCGCCCACTTTTTCATGGGGTTGTTTGTTTTTTTCTTGTAAATTTGTTTGAGTTCATTGTAGATTCTGGATATTAGCCCTTTGTCAGACGAGTAGGTTGTGAAAATTTTCTCCCATTTTGTAGGTTGCCTGTTCACTCTGATGGTAGTTTCTTTTGCTGTGCAGAAGCTCTTTAGTTTAATTAGATCCCATTTGTCAATTTTGGCTTTTGTTGCCATTGCTTTTGGTGTTTTAGACATGAAGTCCTTGCCCATGCCTATGTCCTGAATGGTAATGCCTAGGTTTTCTTCTAGGGTTTTTATGGTTTTAGGTCTAACGTTTAAGTCTTTAATCCATCTTGAATTGATTTTTGTATCAGGTGTAAGGAAGGGATCGAGTTTCAGCTTTCTACATATGGCTAGCCAGTTTTCCCAGCACCATTTATTAAATAGGGAATCCTTTCCCCATTGCTTGTTTTTCTCAGGTTTGTCAAATATCAGATAGTTGTAGATATGTGGTGTTATTTCTGAGGGCTCTGTTCTGTTCCATTGATCTATATCTCTGTTTCGGTACCAGTACCATGCTGTTTTGGTTACTGTAGCCTTGTAGTATAGTTTGAAGTCAGGTAGTGTGATGCCTCCAGCTTTGTACTTTTGGCTTAGGATTGGCTTGGCAATGCAGGCTCTTTTTTGGTTCCATATGAACTTTAAAGTAGTTTTTTCCAATTCTGTGAAGAAAGTCATTGGTAGCTTGATGGGGATGGCATTGAATCTATAAATTACCTTGGGCAGTATGGCCATTTTCATGATATTGATTCTTCCTACCCATGAGCATGGAATGTTCTTCCATTTGTTTGTATCCTCTTTTATTTCCTTGAGCAGTGGTTTGTAGTTCTCCTTGAAGAGGTCCTTCACGTCCCTTGTAAGTTGGATTCCTAGGTATTTTATTCTCTTTGAAGCAATTGTGAATGGGAGTTCACTCATGATTTAGCTGTCTGTTTGTCTGTTATTGGTGTATAAGAATGCTTGTGATTTTTGTACATTGATTTTGTATCCTGAGACTTTGCTGAAGTTGCTTATCAGCTTAAGGAGATTTTGGGCTGAGACAATGGGGTTTTCCAGATATACAATCATGTCATCCGCAAACAGGGACAATTTGACTTCCTCTTTTCCTGATTGAATACCCTTTATTTCCTTCTCCTGCCTAATTGCCCTGGCCAGAACTTCCAACACTATGTTGAATAGGAGTGGTGAGAGAGGGCATCCCTGTCTTGTGCCACTTTTCAAAGGGAATGCTTCCAGTTTTTGCCCATTCAGTATGATATTGGCTGTGGGTTTGTCATAGATAGCTCTTATTATTTTGAAATACATCCCATCAATACCTAATTTATTCAGAGTTTTTAGCATGAAGGGTTGTTGAATTTTGTCAAAGGCTTTTTCTGCATCTATTGAGATAATCATGTGGTTTTTGTCTTTGGTTCTGTTTATATGCTGGATTACATTTATTGATTTGTGTATATTGAACCAGCCTTGCATCCCAGGGATGAAGCCCACTTGATCATGGTGGGTAAGCTTTTTGATGTGCTGCTGGATTCAGTTTGCCAGTATTTTATTGAGGATTTTTGCATCAATGTTCTTCAAGGATATTGGTCTAAAATTCTCTTTTTTGGTTGTGTCTCTGCCCGGCTTTGACATCAGGATGATGCTGGCCTCATAAAATGAGTTAGGGAGGATTCCCTCTTTTTCTATTGATTGGAATATTTTCAGAAGGAATGGTACCAGTTCCTCCTTGTACCTCTGGTAGAATTCGGCTGTGAATCCATCTGGTCCTGGACTCTTTTTGGTTGGTAAGCTATTGATTATTGCCACAATTTCAGAGCCTGTTATTGGTCTTTTCAGAGATTCAACTTCTTCCTGGTTTAGTCTTGGGAGGGTGTATGTGTCGAGGAATTTATCCATTTCTTCTGGATTTTCTAGTTTATTTGCATAGAGGTGTTTGTAGTATTCTCTGATGGTAGTTTGTATTTCTGTGGGATCGGTGGTGATATCCCCTTTATCATTTTTTATTGCGTCTATTGATTCTTCTCTGTTTTCTTCTGTATTAGTCTTGCTAGCGGTCTGTCAATTTTGTTGATCCTTTCAAAAAAACCAGCTCCTGGATTCATTAATTTTTTGAAGGGTTTTTTGTGTCTCCATTTCCTTCAGTTCTGCTCTGATTTTAGTTATTTCTTGCCCTCTGCTAGCTTTTGAATGTGTTTGCTCTTGCTTTTCTAGTTCTTTTAATTGTGATGTTAGGGTGTCAATTTTGGATCTTTCCTGCTTTCTCTTGTGGGCATTTAGTGCTATAAATTTCCCTCTACACACTGCTTTGAATGCATCCCAGAGATTCTGGTATGTTGTGTCTTTGTTCTCGTTGGTTTCAAAGAACATCTTTATTTCTACCTTCATTTCATTATGTACCCAGTAGTCATTCAGGAGCAGGTTGTTCAGTTTCCATGTAGTTGAGCAGTTTTGAGTGAGATTCTTAATCCTGAGTTCTAGTTTGATTGCACTGTGGTCTGAGAGATAGTTTGTTATAATTTCTGTTCTTTTACATCTGCTGAGGAGAGCTTTACTTCCAAGTATGTGGTCAGTTTTGGAATAGGTGTGGTGTGGTGCTGAAAAAAATGTATATTCTGTTGATTTGGGGTGGAGAGTTCTGTAGATGTCTATTAGGTCCGCTTGGTGCAGAGCTGAGTTCAATTCCTGGGTATCCTTGTTGACTTTCTGTCTCGTTGATCTGTCTAATGTTGACAGTGGGGTGTTAAAGTCTCCCATTATTAATGTGTGGGAGTCTAAGTCTCTTTGTAGGTCACTCAGGACTTGCTTTATGAATCTTGGTGCTCCTGTATTGGGTGCACATATATTTAGGATAGTTAGCTCTTCTTGTTGAATTGATCCCTTTACCATTATGTAATGGCCTTCTTTGTCTCTTTTGATCTTTGTTGGTTTAAAGTCTGTTGTATCAGAGACTGGGATTGCAACCCCTGCCTTTTTTTGTTTTCCATTGGCTTGGTAGATCTTCCTCCATCCTTTTATTTTGAGCCTATGTGTGTCTCTGCACATGAGATGGGTTTCCTGAATACAGCACACTGATGGGTCTTGACTCTTTATCCAATTTGCCAGTCTGTGTCTTTTAATTGGAGCATTTAGTCCATTTACATTTAAAGTTAATATTGTTATATGTGAATTTGATCCTGTCATTATGATGTTAGCTGGTTATTTTGCTTGTTAGTTGATGCAGTTTCTTCCTAGTCTCGATGGTCTTTACATTTTGGCATGATTTTGCAGCGGCTGGTACTGGTTGTTCCTTTCCATGTTTAGTGCTTCCTTCAGGAGCTCTTGTAAGGCAGGCCTGTTGGTGAGAAAATCTCTCAGCATTTGCTTGTCTGTAAAGTATTTTATTTCTCCTTCACTTATGAAGCTTAGTTTGGCTGGATATGAAATTCTGGGTTGAAAATTCTTTTCTTTCAGAATGTTGAATATTGGCCCCCACTCTCTTCTGGCTTGTAGGGTTTCTGCCAAGAGATCCACTGTTAGTCTGATGGGCTTCCCTTTGAGGGTAACCCGACCTTTCTCTCTAGCTGTCCTTAACATTTTTTCCTTCATTTCAACTTTGGTGAATCTGACAATTATGTGTCTTGGAGTTGCTCTTCTCGAGGAGTATCTTTGTGGCGTTCTCTGGATTTCCTGAATCTGAACGTTGGCCTGCCTTGCTAGATTGGGGAAGTTCTCCTGGATAATATCCTGCAGAGTGTTTTCCAACTTGGTTCCATTCTCCCCATCACTTTCAGGTACACCAATCAGACGTAGATTTGGTCTTTTCACATAGTCCCATATTTCTTGGAGGCTTTGCTCATTTCTTTTTATTCTTTTTTCTCTAAACCTCCCTTCTCGCTTCATTTCATTCATTTCATCTTCCATCACTGATACCCTTTCTTCCAGTTGATCGCATCGGCTCCTGAGGCTTCTGCATTCTTCACGTAGTTCTCGAGCCTTGGCTTTCAGCTCCATCAGCTCCTTTAAGCGCTTCTCTGTATTGATTATTCTAGTTATACATTCGTCTAAATTTTTTTCAAAGTTTTCAACTTCTTTGCCTTTGGTTTGAATGTCCTCCCAACGTAGCTCAGAGTAATTTGATCGTCTGAAGCCTTCTTCTCTCAGCTCGTCAAAGTCATTCTCCATCCAGCTTTGTTCCATTGCTGGTGAGGAACTGCGTTCCTTTGGAGGAGGAGAGGCGCTCTGCTTTTTAGAGTTTCCAGTTTTTCTGTTCTGTTTTTTCCCCATCTTTGTGGTTTTATCTACTTTTGGTCTTTGATGATGGTGATGTACAGATGGGTTTTTGGTGTGTATGTCCTTTCTGTTTGTTAGTTTTCCTTCTAACAGACAGGACCCTCAGCTGCAGGTCTGTTGGAGTTTGCTAGAGGTCCACTCCAGACCCTGTTTGCCTGGGTACCAGCAGTGGTGGCTGTAGTACAGCGGATTTTCGTGAACCGCGAATGCTGCTGTCTGATCGTTCCTCTGGTAGTTTTGTCTCAGAGGAGTACCCAGCCGTGTGAGGTGTCAGTCTGCCCCTACTGGGGGGTGCCTCCCAGTTAGGCTGCTTGGGGGTCAGGGGTCAGGGACCCACTTGAGGAGGCAGTCTGCCCATTCTCAGATCTCCAGCTGCGTGCTGGGAGAACCACTGCTCTCTTCAAAGCTGTCAGACAGGGACATTTAAGTCTGCAGAGGTTACTGCTGTCTTTTTGTCTGTGCCCTTCCCCCAGAGGTGGAGCCTACAGAGGCAGGCAGGCCTCCTTGAGCTGTGGTGGGCTCCACCCAGTTCTAGGTTCCTGGCTGCTTTATTTACCTAAGGAAGCCTGGGCAATGGCGCGCGCCCTCCCCCAGCCTGGCTGCCGCCTTGCAGTTTGATCTTATACTGCTGTGCTAGCAATCAGCGAGGCTCCGTGGGCATAGGACCCTCTGAGCCAGGTGCAGGATATAATCTCCTGGTGTGCCGTTTTTTAAGCCCGTCGGAAAAGCGCAGTGTTGGGTTGGGAGTGATGCGATTTTCCAGGTGCTGTCTGTCACCCCTTTCTTTGACTAGGAAAGGGAACTCCCTGACCCGTTGCGCTTCCCGAGTGAGGCAATGCCTCGCCCTGTTTTGGCTCGCGCGCAGTGCGCTGCATCCACTATCCTGTGCCCACTGTCTGGCACTCCCTAGGGAGATGAACCCAGTACCTCAGATGGAAATGCAGAAATCACCCGTCTTCTGCGTCGCTCACGCTGGGAGCTGTAGAGCGGAGCTGTTCCTATTCGGCCATCTTTGCTCCTGCCCCAGTAGTTCCATGTTTTTTTAACTGAATGGAACAAAATGTTTGAAATTGTTTGAATGTTTGAATATTCTTTGGGCTTCTGTGAAGATAAAATATTCCAAAAGCGCTTGTGAGTTTTTAAGATTCTTGCTAGCAAGGAAAAATAGCCCACTCAAGCCAGCTTCATTAAAAAAGGAGTGTTTGCTTTAAGTATGTGTCCTAAAATGCGAAGGAGGGTATGTCAGTTAGCTTTTGCTGTGTAACAATTTTTTTCGAAATATAGTGGCTTAAGACTACCACCACTTGGACTGGGTTCAGCTTGACAGTAATTCTGTCTATTTTGTCTGGACTCATTAAGACATCTGATCTCAGCTGCTGGTCAAGTTGGCACTTCTGCTTCTGGATTGGCTGGCTGTCAGCCGACATGATAGGAGGCCTTGGGCCACATGTTTATCATCCTCCAGGCTAGTCCAGGCTTGTCCAAATGGAGATCTCCAGCTTCCAAGAGCAGGTGGAGGGCAAGCTCCAATGTACAAGTGCTTTTCAAGTTTCTGTTTATATCTCATATGCCTCTACCCAAATTGAGCAAAGCAAGTTTTATCCCAGATTTAATGAGTGGAGAAACAGATTTCATCTTTTGATGGGTGGAACTGCAAAGTCACATTGCAAGGGAACGGAAACAGAGAGGGGAAGAATTTGTGGTCATTTTGCAGTCTAATATAATGGAGCTGGGTTTCAGGAATGCACAGAAACCTAAGTGTCGTTAAGACTGCCTCTCTCACTTGTCTTGCTCTCTGTTTTGCTTGTCTGTTTCATTCTTCTTAATCTTCAGACCAGCTTCCTCTACTTCTCTGGTCTCCATTTTAGAAAATATGGCTGCTGACAGCTTCTATGATCATATGAGATAGACATAGATCGCTTAAAACTGACTCTTTCCCCATTGGGAAGATTTTTCTGAAGAAGGAACTCTAGAAGGGGAATCTGGTTAGTGTCTTCAGCCAGGTACCCACTCCTGGATCTATGAATGGTGATAAAGCATTTTGTTGGGTGGATGGGAGATTGGGTGTGTGTGTGAATCTGGCAATTATGAGTTATATTGTTATAACCTTGTGGTATTAATAGTTGGAGGTAGAGTGCTAAGAAGGAGGAAAAAGAGTTCAGTGTCCCCAGAAAAGTGTAGAGATGGGAAGAGGGTGGCTAGACATCTCACATGGGTCCATTACGATGAGTTTTATAACTACTGTATTAATTTCAGGGGATTGAGAGTAGTGGCTGGGACCTGGGAGGAACGAGATGATGAACTAAAAACCAGTATGGAAGGGAGGTACTTGAGCCACGTAAAGGGGTAAAGGGTGTTAAAGAAAAAAATATTCAATGATATTTGTTAAAACATGGCAAAGCAGGCTTTCTTAAGGACCATTGTGATGAGATTTTGCAATGGGAGAGAGAAATTGGGCTCAACTCTGAATACAGCATGGCCAAATGGGAAGTTATAGCCAAGGAGCAGGGTAGGAGCCAGTGAATGGGAAATTAAACATCAGGAGTAATGAGGATTCCAGCTAACCTGACCTAAAAGGATTCTTGCTGAATGCAGGCCAAGGTGATCAGTCATTACCTGGAGGATGTTGGAAGATGAGGAACCTTATCAGATATCAAGGGTGATCAGATATTGAGGGTGGGGTGTTCTCACTAAACTGATTTAGCAAGGTGAACAGATGGGCCTAGTAGCTGGTTCAGGAGCATGACTGAAGTTTGGGCAAGCAAAGAATCGTTGTCAAGGTCTTCTGTCTCCAGAGTCTCAGTCCAATGGGGAATACCAATCCCTTCAATAATGGCAGCAGTGTTTCTAGTAACAGACTGGGAAATCTGTTTGGGTATGTCTTGGATGGTTTTATCACTTAAACCCTTTTTCTTCTACACATAATGCCATTTCTGTGATAACATGTTATTTCTGTTTTACTGGAATTTTCTAGTTCTTTATTTCCTCCTTTTCATGTTGGTCATATTATAGATGTTTTGATAGTTATTGGCATATTTTTCTTGAATAAATCAGAAAAATGGAAAGAAGTAAAATCCTTACTTCTTTCATATTTTTATCAAAGAAGGAAGTTGGAAAATATTGACTATAATGAATTTTCTAGATTTTTTTTCTGTATCTCAGCACATAAACATATAAAGAAGAATGAGATAGGTTTTTCTGTTATAAAACTCTGAATGAAGCAAAAGAAAGTGATATTTCACTCTCCAAGATTTGCCAGTGTCATATAATGACTGCATAGTTCCAGGATTTTAATTTGGTACATATTCATTTATCAGGGGAAGATTTTTGTCTCTGAATATGGTGGGTTAGCAGGGAAATGGGGAGTTGACATTGTATATTCATTTGTTCATTCATTCATTTATTCAGCATTCATTTATCAACAAATAGTTTAGGTATTAGAGATACAAGGTGAACAGAATGACTCCTCCCCTCATGGAGCTTAGACTAATGGAGGAAGACTAATATTAAACAAACATACACAAATATCTGTACACAGATTGTGATAAATGTTATGAAGGAAACAGATTATGAGAGAGAACAGGGAGAACCCAATTTAAATGGGGAAGAGTAGTTTTGGGAAAGGCTTTGTGGTGTCAGTTGAGATGTAAAAGCTGAGTTGCAGGTACAAGCCAAAAATTACTCATTTTTTAAAGTCACTATGTCATATGTCAATGTAAAATGCAGAGTGTTCTAGATTGCTTTGCAGAGCTAAAACTTCAGCTATAGAAATTAGTAATATATCCACTGAAAGATGTGGATAGAAAGAATCATGAAGTAAGAGAGAAAGTGAGCAGAGCTGCAGTCTGAGGCACAGGTGGTGTAATGTAAGGACAGTGGCTGATGTTGCAGGCTGCTGTTTGGTCCAGTAGCAGGGAGCCCATTATCCACCTTGCAAAGCAGCCAGCCAGGGTTCTATCCTTACTGGTATACCTTAGAAATGATCAGAAATGATCATCTTCTTTTTCTCCCCTTCTTCTACTGTCTCTCTTTAGACAATGTTAGCATCTTTTGCTCCATGGATTGGCAGTGTGTAAAATGGATTTATTTTCTAGCAAATTACCTTACCAATTGGGTACATCTCCTGGTCTAGGTTAGTTTTTGTTCCATTAGAAATTACTTCCCTCTCCTTTGAGCCCTTCTACCAATAGTGTGCTAAACTAAATGACATTTTTATATTTACATCCAAGATAGTGATTATGCAACATCATCTGCAATATTGTTTCTATTTTTATCTAAGTTTTGTTAAGCATTGTATTTATAACATTTATAATTTGGGGGAGTGTCAGGAGTAACTATATGTAGGTACTTAAGGAATGAAAATCTGGAGAAAGAGATTACAATCATTTATTTTTCAAAGGATAGGTTTTCTAGGTCAGCTTTTTGCCTTATGGATTAGAGTGTACTTGGGCTGTGATTTGTAATTAGATTGTTCATGAAAGTTATTGGTTGTCAGCACTTCTTTTGGTTCTCCCATGGTGTGTAGCATAGAGCCGCAAATATATATTTAAAAAGTGCTGTACAAGAGATCAAATGAATCTGCCCCTGAGGTACTTCTTCCATAGGGTATATTGTGCAGTGCAAGGTCAGGGGCCTGGTAGATTGCATGGAGGGTGAAGGTGAGCTCTTGTGGTAGTCTCAACTCAGCATAGGCCTCATAAACATGGGGAGTAGAGTTGTGCCCAAGAACCCACATTTTGGAAGACAGGACAAAATGGAAATTCTCTACTGTTTCATGAAGTTTTCCTTTTACTTCCCTCTCCTATTTTGCAAAGAGCAAGGAATTTAACCCTTTTGTTTCAGCATTTCTACATACATTTTCATCTTTTGTAGAACAGAATATTTATAAATTTTTAAAATTTGGAGGAGGACAAGGAAGTATAGTTTTTCCCTAGGAATTGAAGTTAAGACGCTGCTGTCTCTGAACCCCAGAACTCAGGGGCCCTCTCCCTATGTGCATTTTTATTCCACTCACCTCCCAACTTGAGATATTAATAGGAGATCATTTTCTACCCTCTGTTACCATAGTGATCTCACTGCTTCACAAATTAGCCCTTTTCATTCTTGGACCACTCTAATCATTGGAAAGATTTTCCTTCTATTTAATCAAACTCTATCCTTTCTATCTATATATCCCCAATTGTCTCCTCCTTTTGATAGTAGAATCCTTTGAAGTTTGAAGGAACCGCTTGTGCGTCCTCTTATTCTTTCTCTAAGCCACACATCCACTGTTGTTTCAACTATTCCTTATGGAATATGGCTACTGGACCTCCTCACCATTCTTGCTCCCTCTTCTTAGAATGTACTCTTGTTTATCATCGCTCCCCTAACGTAACTATTCCTCCCATCTGCTATGTCTCAGTTTTTTATTCTATTTGTACCAAGTGCCTATTTTCTTTATGTTTAAAGTGTCTAGGAATTATACAATCCAAAATATTCAGTAAGGTTAATAAATTAGAAGTAGAAAACTAGGACAAAAGAAAAGAATAAAAACATACCAACTCTTAATTACTTAATGTAATTGTTTTGTTTAATCTTACTTACTAAGATTCCTGGAGGCCAAGGTGAAAGGGCAATAGTAAGTTATAGAGGTCTCATGATCAGAATAGAGGAATCATTCCAGTTCTTCAGAAGAGGCAGTATTTTCCCTGGGGGTGCTAAATTCTGAAATGCATTTCTCACATGGATTCTTTAGAGCACATAAAATATAATGAAAATCACCTCTGCAATGTCTGAAAACAAATGCAAGAGTGGTGTTCACATGACTCTTTCTTATAATGACCTTCAGTAGATGCTCTGAGCATAACATTTGAGCACAGTGCAGTAAAATCAATTTATTTCATGTAACAACTCTTGGAACACCCTCAGCATTTCCTGACCCTAAAGATGCTTCCCACTACATGTCAAAGTGTTTGCGAATTAACTATTGTATACATAAAACCCTTTCCCCAAGGCAAATGTGTACACTGAGATATGTATTTGGTTGACTCGGATTATGATTCATAGAGGTTCTTTCTTTCTCTTTCGTTTGCATCTATATCTGTATGATCAGATCCATATTAGGAAAATTAGCAAGTATTCTCATAGTTATTATTATGCTAGGGAAAGAAATAGTAACTAGTCATCGAATGCCCCTCTCTTCTTGTCATTCTCTAGGAGAGTCCAGATTGGTTTACCACTAGAAATCCTGCAGTTAGGACCTCAAGAGTGGGACAGGACTGTTCTGCTCAAAACACAGTATAAGGAACCCTTCCTCCAGGGAATAGGAGGGTTCCTCTATCCATGGGAAGGAACATGCAATTCCAGGACACGCTTGCCAAACCACAGAGATTGTAAGCCTGCCGCCCATCCATTATTATCATTATTTAGCATTTTTAGAAGGTTAGAGCCAAAATAAGTATTCTGCCAGCCAAAGGAGTGACACCAGCCTTTACCACAGGCATTGGAGGCCCCGCTGGTATTTAGTAGCTGTGACTTGGGTCATATTATTGTCTGATTCCATCAGGCCGGCCAGGCTCCTGCCTCCTGTTGGCTTTCCCCAACAACTTTTTTTTAGGCAGTTTTTTCTCCCCTCTTCTCCTCTTCCCAGTAGTAGTTACTTTGGTATGTGTTTGCTGACTATTCCCTCCAACTCCCACCCTGTGTTTTCTAAGAATTTAAACAATGAAAGGGATTCAGTCAATTGTGCTAGTGAGAGATAAGTATGCAGGGAAGGCTTTGGGGGCTCCTGAATTTTGGGATCCTGGTCTACTCCTGAAACCTTTCCCTGAGAGATAAAGTATAGTATTATGCTTAAAAGCATAGAACCAAGACTCTGAGCTCAAATTCTGGCTTTGCCACTTACTAGCTGAATGATCTTGGGCAGTTTATTTAACCTCTCTATGCTTCAGTTTCTTCATTATAAAATGGATTTGAAACTCCCTCCCTCACGGATTTGAAACTAGATAGAACACAAAAAGTGCTTAGAACAGTGTCTGAGGCATTGTGTTAGCTGGCATTACAATTATTGGGCTACAGAAATCATACCAAGCTATTAGCCCTATATTGAGATCACTCTGGGTTGCGAAACAATTAAGAACATTGGGATCTTTGGGAGGAAACTATTTGGGAATTGTGTTTGGAAATGGATAATGGCAAAGCCCTCCAAGCCTCAGGCCATCCAGCAACGTACACGTTTTTTAACTTGAAGAGAAAATGGAGGAACATTTTGATGAATCAGAAATGTCTGCCTCCTAGAACTTATGGTCAACTTAATTGTTCATTCTAATGAAAAGGAGTTTCAGTTCAGATATGCATAAATTGTGCTCCATTGGCTCACCAGGGCCCAATTTTGGGCACAGCCTGTTTCCTGAAGCAGAATGACAAGGTAGCTTGGTGGACTTTTGAGCCAGGCCTTTCTGGCTTTGAATCTTATTTTAGGTCAGCTTATTGACCTTTTTGAGCCTCAATTTCCTTCTCTATGAAATAGAGAAGTTACAATTCTATAAAAAGTTATAATTCTTTTTCTGGGTTGTTTTGTAAATTAAATAAGATGTACAAAATACCCTGCACAGTGTCTAGCCCTAGAAGACATTTGGTATTTGTCAGCTTTCTTCACTTTTTTGTTAATATTCTTTCCCAATTTGTTTAATTTATCAAGAAAGCCTTGTCATGTAGGAAATCATTTAAAGAGCTGTTTCAGATTTAATATGCATGCAGATCACCTGGGGATCTTGTTAAGTTGCAGATTCTGATTCAGTAGGTCTGGGATGGAGCATGAGATTGTGCACGTTTAACCAGTTCCCGGGTGACATCAATGCTGCGTGTGAAGACTGCACTTGGAGTAGCAGAGTATACTGTACTCTTTTCTCCCTTTGCATCTCATTATTACCTTTTAGATTCATGTTAATATTTTAACAGTTTTACCACACACATTTGCACATCCAGAGTCATCATCTGGAGAAATATCCAAGGTTGTACATTGTTAGGTACTAATAAGATTCCTCCTCATGCAGTACAGGCCGTGATGGTTGAGGTCTAGAAGAAACCTATCATAGACATTTCCCCAGGATTCCCATGGGCCTAGGATCCCAAAGTGTTTGAATAAAATACTTTGCTCCAGCCTGATTGTTGAAGGTCCCTTCTCAGAATCTGGGTCCCTCTGTGACTTGGATTGCAGATCAGTTAGGTTAAGGAAGTGGTCTTTGTCTTTCTCTTGTCGACAAGTCTGGAGGGAGCCACTGGAAGACTGTGCTTCTGCCCTCACTGAGCACCTGAGATATTTTTAGAGCCCCATGTCCCAACTACTAGCTTTCTCCAGGTTCATTAGATCACGTTCTCTCCACTGTACACAGATAGAAGAGTGTACTGTTGTCCTTTTGTGATACACACTTTCTGAGCCCATTGAGCTTTTATAGGAACATACGAATATCCAGCCCTAAGAACTAAAAACAAGCTATGTGTGAAAAAAGCATGAGTGCTTAATGCAAACTCTGAGTGCTTAATGCAAACTCTGTGGTGTTTCTACATTTTTGCAGATTTCTTAGATTGACTTTGGAGAAACCTCCTCACTGTTGTTGTTTTTTTCTAGTTTCTGCTTATTTTGATATTTAAACTCCTTCCTTTCTTTCCTGTATTATTTACAGGAACTTTTCAGCCTGAACCATCAGGGTCATTTGCATCTGCTGTGCCCAGTTTGGGAATTGGCTGTCTTTGTCCTCAGGCAACTTTTCTTGAAGTAAAAAATGCGAAAGTTGCTAATTCCTTTGCATTACATCTCTTAAGTTAGAGATGTGAAGAAGAAATAATAGCCTCCTTCTTGAAAAAAAAATATTAGAACAGGCTTTTTTTTTTTTCCCTTACAAAGTGTCTGTAAGTTAGAGCTTGTTCATCAGCCATGTTTCAAAACAAAGCAAGTCTGCTTCAGTCTCTTTTAGAGTTATCTTGGTGCCATTTCATGGAGAACTTCTCTGTCCTGGATGGGCTCTACCTAATATGTTTGCCAACTTGGGGAAGAATTTGAAAATAGCCCCAGGTAATAACCTAGAAATTTTGAAAGTTAGGGTGGAGAAGGATTATAGAGGGAGAAAATAGAGAAAATATTTGAGGTAAAGTCAGAGGAGCCATTAATGTTTTTACTTTATCTAGATGAAACAGTCAGGGTTGTAACAGAAAACAGATGGCACACTCAATGCTGAAGGACAGTTTATTTCACTAGGACTGTTTACAAAGATGTGGGTTTAGGGGACACCCAGGACTAGTTGTAGCTGTGCTGTTGCTGCCCTTGGGCCTGAAGGTACCCTCGACAGGGAGAGACATCACTTTACTCTCCCTCCCTTCCCCATTTCCTGCCAGAGTCCTCTGTTAGAAGAACCTGATGGGAAGCAGAGAGCACCGGAGCCTGTTGATGCACAATTATGCATTGCTTAACAATGGGGTAATGGACTGAGAAATGTGCTGTTAGGTGATTTTGTCATTGTGTCAACATCATAGAGTGTACTAACACAAACCTAGATGGTGTAGCCTACTACACACCTAGTCTATATGGTACAGCCTATTGCTTCTAGGCTATAGAACCAGTACAGCATATTACTGTACTGAATACTATAGGCAGTTGTAACACAATGGTAAGTATTTGTGTAGCTAAACATAAAAAAGGTAAAGTAAAAATATGGTTTAAAAGAAAAAATCATACAGTTATATTGGGCATTTATTATGAATGGACCTTGCAGGACTGGCAGTTGCTCTGGGTGAGTCTGTGAGTGGTGAGTGAATGTGAAGGCGCAGGACATGACTGTACACTACTGTAGACTTTATCAACACTGTCCATGTAGGCTACACTAAATTTATATAAAAATGTTTTCCTTCAGTAATAAACTAACCTTAGCTTGCTGTAACTTTCTTACTTTATAAACTTAAAATTAAAAAAAATTTTTGACTCTTGTAATAACACTTAGCTTGAAACACAAACACATTGTATAGCTGTACAAAGTGTTTCTTTATATCCTTATTCTGTGAGCTCTTTTCTATTTTTAAAATTTTTTAATTTTTTAACGTTTTAAACTTTTAGTTTTTTTGTTAAAAACTAAAACAGAGTCAGGATCATCAATATCACTGTGTTCCACCTCCACCTCTTGTCCTACTGGAAGGTCTTCAGGGGCAATAACATGGATGGAGCTGTCATCTCCTGTGATAACAGTGCCTTCTTCTGGCATACCTCCCGAAGACCTGTCTTGAGACTGTTTTACAGTTAACTTTTTTTTTTAATAAGTAGAAGACATATGCTCTAAAATAATGATAAAAAGTATAATAAATATGTACACCAGTAGCATAGTCATTTATTACCAAGTATTATGTACTGTGCATAATCATACATACTACACTTTTATATGACTGGCAGTGCAGTAGGTTTGTTTACATCAACATCACCACAAATGTAATGTGATGTTACAACAGCTCTGAGCTATGGTGTCACTAGGTGATAGGAATTGTTCAGTTCCGTTTTACTCTTATGAGACCACTCCAAAATGCTTTTGTGCAGCACATGACTGTAGTTCATCCTGGGCAGCCTTCTGGGGCAGATAGCAGGATGAAGGCAAGTGGACAGATCTGGAGAGGCAAACAGAAGCTGTCACTCCAGGTTTACATTTTCTTTTGGAAGACTTGTTCACCTAAAGACACTATCAATATTGTGAGCTCCTTGAGGGCAGACACTGGCCTATTCACTTATCTGTTAGGTCACTATTTAAATGATTGTTGAATGAATGAATGGGTCTGTTTATTTCCTTCCTTTCTCTTGACTTGCACTTATGGCAGCTGACTATAACAGTATAATTTTGTCTTGGTTAGAGCCTTGTGTTCTGAATAGTTAGGCTTCCCATAGGCATGGTTAACTAACTCAGCGAAACATTCCTTCCAGTGTAATTCAGCTTTTAACAATCTCATTATTAAAACTGCTAAACAAAAACAGGTCACTGTATTAATATCTTGAGTCTTTTGTATTATTATTATTGTTTTTTTGTGGATATCCAGGTTTAGCGAGGCATAACATTCATGAATCTTTCGCCCTTCTCAGTGCTAATCAGTTAGATTTAATTAGATTCTCTATTAAATTGAACCCTGTTATTTCATTTCTCCTCTTACCTGGAGTTCCACTGGCATGCAGATGGATAAACTTTAATTTAGGAAGCCCACAAGGCTTTTGTTTCCTACCCAGGCTGCTTCAAGAGAACCACACAAAGGGCTAAAGTAGCTTCATTAACTATCTTTAGTAGCTTTAAAAGAAGATCTGTAAATAATGTCAGGTGTCTCCTAACTGTCCAGAGGGCAGAAGTCTGAATAGACACCAGCTTATTGGTTACACACTTTGGCAAAGTTTCCCATGCAGTCAAATTGTCTTCCCTAATGATTCTCAGTCATTAGGGTTTTGAAAGAAGGGATAGAGAGCAAAATGTCACAAGTGACTAGTTTGGAAGTCCCTGGGTTTCTTGTGGTGCTCAAGTGTAAGAGCAAAAGAAAATACATGGTAGAGACGGGAGTGAACCCCTTCTTCATTAGAGCTTTGCTGATCTAGCTTGAGGGTTTTCAGGTTGTGTGTTTGTGTTTGTGGGGTACAGTGGAAAAGCCTTAGAATCACTTAGCCATCAGGTAGAAATATGCCTTTGTCCTTTGCTAAAGAGAATGGTGTTCCTGAATTCATTTTGATCTATCCATGAAGTTAGCTTCCAGTATGCTTCTTTTCTTTATGCTTTTGATAATGTTCTTTTGATAGCTACTCCTTATTCTCATGAAATCTATTGAGATTTTACATAATTTAAGTAGGTATGGAGTATTGATTCAGTGTCTTTGCAAGTCACTCTGTCTGATTATAATCCTTGGAGGACATTTTATGGTTCTATTTTCAGTGTCCCAAAGGACAGACAGAAAAAGCATGAATAGACTCACTCACATGTCTCCCTCACATCATCCATAATGACAGCATTCTCTGCTTCCTTTTACAGTGTAGTGCTGTTAAGGCACCAGATCCCTTCATTAATGGTTCTCTGAGTTCAGGTCATGCTATCTCTGGCTTAGGCCATGGGCCTAGCTAATTTATTTATTAATTATTTATTATTTCTTTGATTTCTGTGGGCCTAATTTTTGTTTACCATCAGAAGAATGCAAGCTTTTTTCTTAATAGAATCTGAGGTTTTTTTTTTTTTTTTTTGGTTTTTGTTTTTTTAACCTTTTGTTTCTAGTTTCTTTTTTTCTTTTCTTTTTTTTTTTTTTTTTGAGACAGAGTCTCGCTCTGTCCCGCCTGCAGGCTGGAGTGCAGTGGCGCAATCTCGGCTCACTGCAAGCTCCGCCTCCTGGGTTCACGCCATTCTCCTGCCTCAGCCACTCGAGTAGGGCGCCCGCCAACACGCCCGGCTAATTTTTGTATTTTTTTTTTTTTTTTTTTTTTTTTTTTTTTTTTTTTTTTTTTTTTTTTGAGACGGAGTCTCGCTCTGTCGCCCAGGCTGGAGTGCAGTGGCGGGATCTCGGCTCACTGCAAGCTCCGCCTCCCGGGTTCACGCCATTCTCCTGCCTCAGCCTCCCAAGTAGCTGGGACTACAGGCGCCCGCCACTACGCCCGGCTAATTTTTTGTATTTTTAGTAGAGACGGGGTTTCACCGTTTTAGCCGGGATGGTCTCGATCTCCTGACCTCGTGATCCGCCCGCCTCGGCCTCCCAAAGTGCTGGGATGACAGGCGTGAGCCACCGCACCCAGCTGTTTCTAGTTTCTTTATATATCATAACCATTTAGGATTTGACCTTTCTGGCCGGGCGCGGTGGCTCACGCCTGTTATCCCAGCACTTTGGGAGGCCGAGGCGGGCGGATCACGAGGTCAGGAGATTGAGACCATCCTGGCTAACACAGTGAAACCCCGTCTCTACTAAAAATACAAAAATTAGCCGGGCGTGTTGGCGGGCGCCTGTAGTCCCAGCTACTCGGGTGGCTGAGGCAGGAGAATGGCGTGAACCCGGGAGGCGGAGCTTGCAGTGAGCCGAGATTGAGCCACTGCACTCCAGCCTGCGGACAGAGTGAGACTCCGTCTCAAACAAACGAACAAACAAAAAAGGATTTGACCTTTCTGCTTATGGTACTGGGGTGAAGAGGTAGGGCCGCTGGGGAAACCAGCTGGTGGGCCTGCAGTTGAATATTTTACTACAGGCATGTTTTATTTTGTGAGTAGAGACTCCCTGCCCCTGTAAGTAGACCCAAATGCTTTAAATCGGGCATAGGGCTGGGTGCGGTGGCTCACGCCTGTAATCCCAGCACTTTGGGAGGCCGAGGCGGGCAGATCACGAGGTCAGGAGATCAAGACCATCCTGGCTAACACGGTGAAACCCCGTCTCTACTAAAAATACAAAAATTAGCCTGGCGTGGTGGCGGGCGCCTGTAGTCCCAGCTACTGGGGAGGCTGAGGCAGGAGAATGGCGTGAACCCGGGAGGCGGAGCTTGCAGTGAGCCGAGATCGCACCACTGTACTCCAGCCCGGGCGACAGAGCTAGACACTGACTCAAAAAAACAAAAACAAAAATAAAACACAATTGGACATATATTTTCCTGTTTGCCTCAGGCTTCATTACTCCTTAATGTTGAATTGGCTGTTTTAGAGGAATCCAGATTCTTTAAATTCTCTTTCCCTGAACACTTAAAAAATGGTCTTGTATTCTATAGTAATTATAACTTGTCTTTACATTTGGCTTGGGACTTGGCTGCTTTTTTATGTAAATCAGATGATTCCTTATTCATCATGTAAAGATAACACCAACTGTGTAGTACTTTAGAGCACTATAAGGTGCTTTTATTTGAAGTTTTAAACTTTAGTTTCTTGGATCATTACAATAATCCTGTGGCTAGGGAGGTGGGTATTTTTCTCCTTATTATGGATAGGAGGTAATATATGGTGGTGGTTAAGATTATGGGTGCTGGAGTCAGATCATTTGAGTTTGGATTATATCTTTAATAATTACTAGCCTAGTCTCAGCTAATAAACCCACTCAGTTTCCTAATCTGTAAGCCACAGAGACCTATTTTATAGGTGTATTAGTCCGTTATCACACTGCTGTGAAGAAATACTTGATACTGGGTAATTTTTAAAGGAAAGAGATGTAATTGACTCACAGTTCCACATTGCTGGGGCAGCCTCAGGAAACTTACAATCATGGCAGAAGGCAAAGGAGAAGCAGGTACTTTCTTCACAGGGCGGCAGGGCGGAGTGAGTGCAGGCAGGGGAAATGCCAGACACTTATAAAATCATCAGATCTCCCGAGACTCACTCACTATCATGAGAACAGCATGAGGGAAACCAACCCTGTGATCCAATTACCTCCACCTGGTCCTGCCCTTGACACGTAGGGATTATGGGGATTACAATTCAAGATGAGCTTTTGGGTGGGGACACAGCCAAACCATATCAGTAGGGTTGTGTGAGAAATAAATAATTCAGGCAAAGCAATTAGAACACTACCTAGCACATAATAAGTGCTCAATAAACCTTAACTACTAAAACTATTAGCATTGTTAATAGAATATGAATACATGGAAAAAATAATTAATAAGCATAAATTTCTCAAACTTCTCAATGTTCTGGTTTTTTCCTCTTAAGAGGGAGGATACTTAAATTTTGGTGAATCTCATTTGTCTTTTCATATCCCTTTGAGGTAGTGAAAAATAGATTACATCATCTCCATTTTGCAGGGACTGGTTGAAGTCCAGTGAGAAAAGAATACAGGCTTTGGAGTCAGGTGAGGTTCAAATCCTGGCACTTCCACTTCTGGTTATATATCTCTAAACCTCATTTTTCTCATGTCTATAATGGGGATAAGCAGAACTTTGTTTGGAGGTTTGAAGGAGATAATGCTTACAAAAGAAATAATGCAAGGTACTTAGTATACTTACCACATACTGTGACTCAGTAAATGTGGCTGTTATTGCTGTTGAGGGGAGGGGACTTTTTACACTGGCCCAGGGTCACAGTTAGTTGGGCACCCAGGTTCCATCATCTCTTACATAATGATGAATGTACTGCTTCATCTGGGTATGTTGTTTCTCTACATTTTAAATCCAAGTGTTTTGATCTTTTGGTTACTAATTTATTTTTAATGTACATATTATGGACACTGGCTCTGTGTGTCAGCAGACTATGAACAATGCCTATTGCATCAAAATCCTAAGTTTACCTCATGTCACAAGACAAAAGTTAATGTTAGTGAATCCACATGACCAACAAGGAATATGACACTTGCAGAATCTGTCAGATGGTGTTTGGGCAGCTATTCTCAGAAATTGAAAGCAGCAGGTGTTTATTAATATTTACTATGTGTTCGGCATTATGTGAAGTAGGGGACACAAAAGAAACACCATACTTTATTCATCTCTCACAAGAAACAGATGTGATAGAAACATGAAACAATTAACAATTAAGGAGCAATAATAACACTGTGATTCACAGACATGTAGATAAAAAGACAAGTAGAGCCACACTTAAAGCATATTCAATACATGATAATAGAGTTATTAACAGGGAGTGCTGAGGAGGAGTTATGTGGTATGTATGCATATGGGTGGTGGTGCAGGTTCCACGGCAAGGTGCTGCTTGAATTGTTGACTAGTTGGGAATGCGGTGGGGAGTATTGAGTGAAGAGAATGGAAAATCATATTTGTAAAGACAATGAGATGTGAAAGAGCCTGCGGTAGTAAAGAACAGCATTTGTTTAGTATCCCTCATGGCTGGAGCTTAGGATTTACAGGAGGAGTGGTGGGAGAGCAGGCTGGAGAAGTGCACTAGGGTTAAGTCATTAAAGACCTTGTGTACCATGCTGTAGAGTATGAGCATTAAGGTGTTGGCAACCAAGCAGGCAAGAGATGATTATATCAGTTTTTCAGAATAATTATTCTAGAAACATCATATAGTAAAACAGAAATAAGGGCCCGAATAAAGTCTTACAATAAATTAAACTGAATAGATGAATGAATGAATAGTAGTGTGAGTATTAGACGATACTAACTTAAATGTTTTAGGAGTTTAGAAAAAGGGGACACCATGATGGGAATAATATTCGAAGAAGACTCCATGATGAAGAAAGATTTTTTATTTTTTTATTTTTTTTTGAGAAGGGGTCTTACTCTGTCACCAGGCTGGAGTGCAGTGGTGCAACCTCGGCTCACTGCAACCTCCGCTGCCCAGGTTCAAGAGACTCTCCTGCCTCAGCCTCCTGAGTAGCTGTGACTACGGGCATGCACCACAATGCCCAGCTAATTTTTGTATTTTTAGTAGAGATGGGGTTTCGCCATGTTGGCCAGGATGGTCTTGATCTCTTGACCTCGTGATCCGCCCACCTCGGCCTCCCAAAGTGCTGGGATTACAGGCGTAAGCCACAGTGCTGGGCCATGAAGAAAGATTTGAGTGGTCAGCCCAGGGATTTATCTATAGTAGCTAGCCAATAAACTGGATATTGGACAAAAGTACAATTTATACAGGACAGAAGACAGGAAGTAATACCAAGTTGCATAAACATGTGTGAAGTGGTCAAAGAGACAAATCTAACTGGATAAGAATGGTAAATGATACAATTTCGTATGCATAATGGTCCCAGATTTTGGAAGCCTTCGAAATGCCTGGTTGAGGCGTTTAGATTTATTTCTTAATCAATAGGAAGCCATTAAAGATTCTTAAACAGATATTTCAAGATTTTCAGTTTGGGTTAGAACATCTTGGTTGGAGGAAGATGAGCCTGATGAGATGACACCAGTTCTGATTCTTACATTTAATGGAAATGCCAGAGAGACTTCATTACTTTTGGACAGGAAAATAAAGTTTAATGACCCCACTTTGGTTATGGGTAGACTGTGGAATAGTAGTTCACTGTTGGGAGACAAAGGAAGCTGAGGCAAAAATGAATGATTGCCCATATGAGATTTTCAGTGATACCAGTCTAGGGAAGGATAGAGTAAATAGAAAGATGGTAGAAACTGCTTGCTCTGTGGAGACTATTAGGGATGGCGAAAACATAGTGTGCACGGTCAATATCTTATTCCATACCCATAGCAGACATTGTTAATTGATTTTGGTATATTTTCCTATAGTCTGGAGCCCTTTTTAATGCAGTGCTCCAGGCAGGCTACTATTAGTTGATCAGAGTTGGTGCTGGAATTCAAACCTGTTTGTCATGCCTGTAGTAAGAAATGAATGAGAAATGGGTTATGACTACTCACAGTACAAATCAGTTTTTACCTTTCCAGGTGGAACTTGCAGAAATCTGTGCCAAGAGTGAGCGTTACATTGGCACTGAAGGAGGAGGCATGGACCAGTCTATATCATTTCTTGCAGAAGAAGGAACTGTAGGTAGCATTCCAAGTAGGAACCATTCAGAAATTCCTAGTGGGAAAATTTACATGGAGAAGAAGGCCCTGAGAGCCCCAGGATGCTTGGTTATGGACAGCCTACTATATTAGGCTCTATTGTAGGATATTATTTCCCAACTGCTTGTAACTCAAGGCTGCCACCAGTTAATCTACTCTATTTCATGTTGATTGCCTTTCTCTTACGCTTCCAGAATGATACTCAGGTCTGTTTTTCTCATGTGTCTAGCTTTTTCCCCTCTTCTATTTTTCTTCATTGTTAAGATGAGCTTTCTCAATTCCCTAGTTATTGGAACCTCATTTCCTGCTCCTATCCTAAATCACTTCATCTCATGCATTTTTATAATCTCTTGTTGGTTTTAAACCCAAATCATAGTTCTCTTACCACATATATTCACAGTCCCTCTTTTTATAATTTACTCTTTGGTATCATTTTTCCTGTCAACATTTTTGGGGCTTCAGTGGTGGGAAAAAGAATGTTGCCAGTAAGCCAGGAATGAATTCCTTAGCTGGATACCGCTTCCCCTTGGCTATCAACTCCTTTAGGCAGAGCAGAGGTTTTAGTTGTTGCTCATAAGCTGCTCATTTCCAAAATAGAGCAAACATTTCTTTAAAACATTTTCTTAGTTTTTCATCAGATTCCTACAGGCTTGGCTATTTTCCAAGAACACCTGGATTCCTTCTTAGTAAGAATATTTGTTATTGATTCCCCTAAGCCAAAGACATGAGGCATGAGGAAATTTGTTTTAATACTAAGAAAATACTTTGGGTGTTTTGGATGAGACGCAACAGGCAGACATGAGGGCCAGAGTCCTGATGTTAATGTAAGTTAGCTATAGAGTCTGAACACAGTCTAAGTTCTTTGGGCTTACAAAACACTTCACCATCTGACCCCTGCTTTACCCTTCTATCCTAACCTCTCACCACTTCTCACCCCTCAAACTGTAAGCTCTAACCAAATTTCCATGCCCGTAGCTCCATTAACATTCCATGTTGTTTTTTGCCCCTGGACTTGCCTAAGTTCTTCCCTCTTCTTGACATGCTTTTTGAGGAAAGAAACCCTCTGTCTGCCCTACTTTTTTCATCTTTTAGAACTCAGTTTAGATTTCTCTTTTTCAACTGAGTGGAACCTACAGTAGGCTGTACTGATGAGATGCTTCAGCTATGTATCCATATAGCATCTGTGCTTTGCTACCATTGTAACACAACTTGGAAAGGTATTTGTCTGTCTACTAGACTGTCTTTCCCACTTGATTGCGGGCTCTATGAGAGGAATGACAGTGTCTTTCCTGTTCACTGTTGTATTTCCAGTGCCTAGTACAGCGCCTGGAGGTCAATAAGTAATATTTGAATGAATGAATGCATTTTTGACAAAACACTTTAAGATAAATACATAAACACTTGAACATTTTCTGCATTCTAATAAATTATATTTCTCCTTTCATTTTTCTTCTAACAGGCCAAGTTGATAGAATTTAGTCCTCTGAGGGCAACCGATGTAAAACTCCCAAGTGGAGCAGTGTTTGTGATTGCCAACAGTTGTGTGGAGATGAATAAGGCAGCAACTTCCCATTTCAATATCAGGGTGATGGAGTGTCGGCTGGCTGCGAAGGTATGAACTTGGCAGGCTAGTGAAACTTGAAGTAGGGTTTTTCTTGTCTTTATTTTCATTGTTCTCTATTACTTTATCTCTTTCCCCAAATTTTAGGGCAACATTCTGACTGCACAGCATTCCAACTGAAGGTCTTTGGGTACAGAGAAATCTGATTTCTAACTCAGAAGACAGATGAACCAGTTGAGTCTTCTGGGGT
This sequence comes from Homo sapiens, assembly GCF_000001405.40. NCBI lineage: Eukaryota > Metazoa > Chordata > Mammalia > Primates > Hominidae > Homo > Homo sapiens. The sequence continues at coordinate 49,283,918 of NC_000015.10, forward strand.
GGCACTGGGAAGAAAAGGGCAGCTTATATATGTGAAGCAGAATTATAGGTTAGGTCTATGGGTGGAGAAAGATAGTTGGGGACAATTGATGGGAATGACCACAGCTGGTCTTGTTTCCTCAACAAAAGTGATGGCAGCCTCACCCCTCCTGGTCCTCTAAGATGCAGTTTTTTTATTGGGTTATCATTCGTTACTCCAAAAATACAGGATTGGTGAAGTCCCCCCAGACCCCGTACCCAGAAAGAAGATTTTTACATGTCTACTAGGGAAACACAAACCAGCAGGGAGTCTTGGAAGTCTCTCTTTAGAAAACTGCCACAGTTAAACCTTAAATCTATTTAGGTAGTATTCATTGACTAGCTATTGTAGTTCTAGCGGCATGAAGATATACAAAGGGACATAGGACATGGGACTAGAGAGAGTGGACAGTAGAGTTAAGAGTTCAAGTTAAGGGATTATGAAACAGGAAATGGTTAATATGTGATCAGATAGTAAGTAATCCAGTGATCCAACAAGTGACACAGTAATTAAATATTATAAATAATCCAGAATAGCTCATAATACGACTAGAAAGTTGGAGAGAGGACTGAGGCTGGAGGCTAGGAAGTGGATTCTGGGTCAGGAGCTCCACTGTGCTTTCTTCCACTCTTGCTTTGATCTCCTGATGGATACTGATGGATATCACCTAAGACTTATGATCAACCTTTACCAGGTCTTAAATACAGCCTGAAATCTATTTTCTCAGTAGTAATAATTTCATACCTTCTTTACTTCTCTCAAATACCCATTACTTGATTCAGCCTAACTTCCAAAAGTGATTTTCTCCCATATTTCATGTTGGAAATAGATGTGGTCACATAGACTTTGGCTTCCTGTCATCATATCTGTATGTCTCTCTATATCTGCATCTCCTGTCAAAGCCAGCCCTTCCATGTGTGGCTGCAGGGAACTCACTCCATCTTTAACTTGTTCCTCGCCTCTATTTCTCTACTAAATCCTTTCTATCAGACTCCACCTATTCTAGTATTTTGTATTAGAAAAGTCTACCCTAAGCCTCACAACTCTCTCCATCTACTATTTCTATTTCTACTTTTTCATTCTCTTCACAGCTAAACTTCTCAAAAATTGCTTTATATATGTTATCTTTACTCCTCTACCTCCCTCTTATTCCTTAATTTACTAAAATCTCACTTCTGCGTTCTCCACAATGTTGAATTTGCTCTTTCTTAGGCCACCAAAGGTTTTTTCATTGGTAAATCCAGTGGATGCTTTTCAGTCTTCATCTTATTTCTCATTGTTATTTCTTATCTTTCAACAGAGTTAACCAGTCTTTCCCTCTTGAAATATTCTCTTCCTTAGGTTTCCAGTATACTTCACTTCCTGTTTTTTCTTTTCCCCCTTATATTTTTGTTGCTATTTCTTTTTAGTTTTAGCCATTCCCTCCACCGACCCACCCTGGGCAGGGATGAAGGGATGGCAGGAATTCACTCCTCCTCCCACAGATGTTTAAATGTTGGTGTTCTTCAAGGCCTTGGCCTTGGTCGTCTTCTTCTTTCTAGTGGTCTTTCTTCTGTTGGTCTCATGCCCTCAGCTTCAACTTCCATCTCTATGATGATGACTTCCTAATAAACATCTTCAACTAAGGCTTTCTTGGTTGAGCTCCAAACCTCTATATCCCATGCCTTATTGACCATCTTTACTTGAATGAATCATAGACCTCTCAAACTGAGCATGTTGAAATTGAACTCAGTCTTTCACAGACCTTATATTTTTCCATCGGTCCCATCATCACTTATTGACTATCACATTAGCCTTCTCACTGTTCCTTAAATTCATGCTCATCTCTTTCCCAATCATTCTTTAAATAACAGCATGACGGCTTAGAAATTTAAATCTGAGCAATTTAAATTCCCCTGCTTAATACCTTTCAAAAGCTTCCTATTTCGTTGGAATAAAGTAAAAGGTCCATATCACGACCTGGAGAGCCACCATATCTGAGACCTGTGCACCTCATCCTCTTCATCTCTTAGCATCACCTGCTTTCCTTACACTCCAGCCATGAGACTCATTCTCATCTCAGAGACTTTGCACCTGCCCAGGACATTCTTCCTTCAGCCCTCTTTGAAGTCTTAGTCTAAATGTCCCTCAAGGAAGCCTTCCCTGACTTCCTTACTCCTAGACTAAGTTAGAGCCCCCTTTATATTTTGAAGCACTTCATTTTTCAGTTATGGCACTTATCACAATCATTTATTTAATGTCTGTCTCTTCTTTCAGATTCAGTTTTACCTGAGAGCTGAGGCTGTGTTTGTCTTGTTAACTCTTATATCCCTAATGCTTGATGTGATGCTTAAGCTGAAGAGACACAGGATAAACATTTGTTCAATAGATGAATGACAACTCCCTGTATCACCTGCTCTGTAGTTTATTTTGCACAATTTCACAGTTTTTTACAAGTACCTATTGTATGCTTAGCACTGGCCTAGATCCTGTGGAGGTGTGTAAAGTATAGTTTTCCCTTGTTACTGACTTAGCACTTCTCCTCTTACTTCTATCCTCTGAGGTTGGGAAATTCAGGAAATTAGAGATATACTGAACGAGGAAAATAAAAGCTTTTTGTTTCTGGAATATTTGGGGGGCATACATTTTTTGAAAAATTATGATTTAAATGTTTTGAATTTTTAATTTACTTATTAAGATAGTGTCTAAAAATAATGTAATAGAAGTGCTTTAACATTGAACTCTTCATAGTATTTGATCAGTGCATATGTGCAGAGAAACAGTTCTGTAAACTTTTTAATATCAAGGGTTCAATGAACTTTTTTTCTTTTACGACACACTTCCTTTTTCAGGAGATGGAAGAAATTAGTGTCTTATTTGTTTGAGGGCTTAGTCTTGTTGACCTTTTATCTTGAGGTTGATGAGTAAGTGTTGCCTTCCTAAGGAGACCTCAAACATACACAACATTGTTTTCAAAGTTTTATCACGAAATTAGATATCCTCTACCAGATCCATAGGTGAGCTGAAACAAGTATTAGACATGTAAAATCAGTTCATGTTGTGACTACTCTCCCAAAGATACAAGAAGAAAATGATGGATAAAATTGTAGTGCTGAGTCTCTGTAGTAAAAGTTATTGGGATGTGGGAATGTTTTTTGAGAGTTAACTAGAAAAAGGGCATCTCCTTTGGAAGCAGTAGTAGCTGAAGATCTTAATCCACTGCAGAACCTCCTGTTCTTGAGGATGTTTTCTCAGTTTAACTGCGTAACCCCATATGCATTTTAGAGGTACTTTGGTCAGCAAAATTGGCATCTGAATTTGGCTTTTTGCTACACACTCCTCCCAATTGACGTAGATAAACACACTGTTTTAAATACTCTGAATTTTTCTCTTTTAAAATGTGGAAGAAAGAAAAATGAAAGACTTTATCAAGATGGAAAATGTTTTCTAAATCATGTTGCTGCAAATCACTAAAATCCCAGGTTTTATACAAAAGGGAAATGAAGATAAAACTGCTAATGTGCACTTTACTCAGAGATATTGATATTAGGAATATGCTTTTGCTTAGGAATATAGGCTGGAATTCTACTAAGCATATTTTCTTTGCAATATGGTTCTATTCTTCCATTTTTGGCAACATGTGAATGAATATAATTATTGTTTGAAGATGGTCTCATTAAATAAATAACCTCTCATGTAAAAAGTTTAAAAAAAAGCTTATCTCAATCTGACCAAACTTTCTGTTTTCCAACAACAATAATGAAGTGTCAGTTGAAGAATGGCTAATCAAGATAGTTTTGAAAATGAGACTGAGACTGATCAGCTAGGGCTCCACATGGCAAAGTTGTAATGAAGAACATTTATTTTTCCTTTCTTCCTATTTTTCTCAGATCCTTTTTTGAAAATGAGTACCTTTTTTTAATCAAGTTAACACAGAGAAGTACACTAAACCAGTAAAGACAATTTTTCTTTGTTTTGCATTAATGCTAGCAATTTCTTCTATTCTCAACTTCTTTCTCATCTTGTTTCTCTGTCTCTGTCTCTTTCTCTCCATCAGCTTTCAAAAGCTAATTCATGCAAATTCATAAAAAGTCAGAGCCTTGTAGAGCATTTGACTAAAATTAAAAATTTTTCAAAGCAAACTCGAGATTTATAATTACTACTTGTATAAATGATATCTTAATGAAGCACATTTTTATGATAAAGTAGCCAAGGATCTTTAGTAGGTACAACATTTTTCATATTTTACACACATTTGGGGCTTAAATGTTTCCAGAAGTGCTTTTCTTATACAGTATCCCTTAGTTATGTTGAAGAATAAAATGTGTGATACCCATGATAAGTATTATGGGAAGTCAGGTAGGGAAGAGAAATTATACTGTTGCTTTTTGCATACCCTGAGCTCCTTGTGGCAACATGAGAAGCAGTGAAAGAGAGAGTTTCATATGTTCCTTTGACACTTCAAGGAAAATTTACAGTGATTCTTTACAGGGCCTGTCTGGTCAGGGGCCATCAGTCACCCAGTTTTTCAGCTCCTTTCATTTAGTAGTTGGTATGAAACTTATTCTTTGTCTGGTGATAGAATGGGAGGAGAAGTTGGCATAATAGTCTCAGGGTTTTGGCAGTTTCCTTGAATTTGAGCAGAGAAAAACCAAATACTCAAGAATGTAGCCAATTTCACGCAGCCAGTTGATTCAATAGTGCATACTCTGCCAAGACTCTGGCATGGAGTATTCAGGCAATGGTGAGTCCGAGCTGCATGGCAGAGGACATACATACTGGGGAATAGGGGTAATGTGTTTAGTGGAACCAGATTGTGGCAGGACCTTCAGTGCTATGCTCAGCCTTACCCAGGCTTGGCTTTGAAAGCAGTGGTTGTTAGCAAGGTATTTTAGAAATATTAATATGACAGCAGGAGCTTTTGCCTTGGTTGAAGAGAAGTAGGTACTAGAGTATCAGTGAGGATGGGATAAAAAGGGAGAGATGTGAGAGAAGCTCTGACTGGACCTAGTAAGGGTTGGGTACAGGCTCTCTGTGATTGGATTTTTGTTTTCCTTCTGGCATATACTTCATTACTTTGAGGAAGTTTTCCTTGACTACCTCCTGACCTCAGTTAGGTGAAACACTCTTTTATGTGCTCTTACCATGTCCTGTATTTTTCTATTATAGCAGTTTATCATAATTGGATTAAGTTCTTTATGATAAATGTAGTTTTAATTTAACCTCTGTCTTTTCTGGTGGGCTGTGAGCTGCACGTGGTCAGGAGCCATGTGTGCCTTACTCACTGCTGTCTGCCTGGAGCCTGGGAAGTAATAGGCACTCAGTAGACACTCACTGTGAGCAGATGCACATGAATGAAGGAAATGAAGAAAAGGTGTTGAGTCAATAAGGGCTGCAGCTTCAAGGTGCAATGGTTGGTGAAAAGCATAGTGCTGCCATTGATAGGTTTTGAGAAGGCAGGATGGACTAGAAGTTGACTAAAAAGTAGGAGATGATGAGAATTCTTCATGAATATCTTAACACTTTCTCTACCATACCCTCTTACCAGAAGACCCAGGGAGTCTCAGACCAAGAACAGAGGGCTTAGTATTTTTGTTTGTGTCTGGGACAACCTGAAAGTGCTAGGGAGTTAATATCCTTGAGAGCCACCTCAATCAGTGGTAACTGGGAGTTATTGGGTAAATACTTTGGCTTTCTTGCCCATGGTGGGACATGACTGAGCTTTACACATACAGGTTCCTGAGAACCTGTGATTTGAAGCTCAGCGGGCCCAGACTCACCTGCCAATATCAGTACACCTCATATTGGCGTCTTTTCCTGTTTCACTTTCCATTCCTCTCTTAATGCTTCTTAGGATCACCTTCCCCTCAAATTCTTACCCTCAAATTTTTGTCACAGGGCCTGCGTCTGAGAGAAACCAACCTAAAACAGAGTTTTAGCACCATTTATCAGTGCCTCTTTCCATGACTGTGGACAAAGCACTTGTTGCCTGCTTTTTTGTCCACAGAGCATGGAACAGAGCTCAGGAACCTCTCAGAAGTGGTATCTGATAGGAATACTTAATGTTTGCCATGGTGAAAAGAAAGTGGTGAATGTGGACAAAGAACTGCCTTCTCTTATTTCCCCACCCTACTACTGAGTGAGAAAGTTGTGACAAAATAACCTATAGCCCTGACTTATAGCCCTGCTTCACAAATGTGAAGGAGGCCAGTCACCTGGGCCACAAGTGCCTCCATGAAGCTCTGTCTTTGAACAATGGTGATCTTATCCACCCATTTCCTTCATCTGAAAGTCATCTTTCTGTTTTTCAAGCCAAATTTCAAAGGGCTTAAGAGGCTTTTCTATTTGACTCCCTCAATGTAGTGTAATTCAACAGCTCACGGGCTGTGCAGCTGTCATTGAGGGCATATGGTAGATTTCATCCTTAATTGAAATACACACCAAATTGGCTGTGTGGATTCTCCAGCTGAGGGCTCACTGGACAACTGGTGTCACAGTAAAGTGGGATATTGCTGGAGTGAATGTGAACTCTATGTTAGTGCCTCAATCTGCAGAAGAGCACATCAGGAGGCTGCCTTTGAAAACTGAATCTTGTGGGCTGTAGCCATCCCTTGCAGACTTTCTCCCCACACATCACTGGCCCAGTTTTCTTGGATCAAGTGCCTGGGGCAATGTGACTGGTTCAAGAGAGAATGGGAATGGGAACTTGGAGATTACTGTGGACTGAAAGCTTCTTAGGAAGAGCCCACTGTCATCTCTTGGGGGCAGTTCTGTGATGTTTTTCTTTTTTTGTTTGGAAGGAACCCATTTATCAAAGTGTTTTTAAATTACTGGAATGTTCACTTCTAGCACAGATCTAGGTTTGTGTTTTGAAATGCGTTTCTAAGACTTGATCGGTGATTTTAATTCATGTGGGTAACATGATATAGTTATCATGCATACCTCATTGAGAACGTGGCCTAGGGGCAGCAAGAAAGAGTTATAAGACCTGGATTCAGTTTCCAACTCTGTTATTAACTAGTTGAGTTACTTTGTTTTTTTGTTTTGTTTTGTTTTTTTGAGACCGAGTCTCACTTCATCACCCAGGCCGGAGCACAGTGGCATGACTTCCGCTCACTGCAACCTCTGCCTCCTGGGTTCAAGCAATTTTCATTCCTCAGCCTCCTGAGTAGCTGGGATGTCAGGCACATGCCACCACGCCCAGCTAATTTTTGTATTTTTAGTAGAGACAAGGTTTCGCCATTTTTTTTTTTTGCTTTTTGTTTTTTGTTTTAAATGACACCATGTTCCATGAAATAATTGAACCGAAAATCATAGTTCTATTGTTTTGTTTCCCAGTTTGGCCTTAAAATCATTAACTCATTTCAAATATACGAGCCAGGGTTTTAAAAAGAGGATTAAATTAATATAAGAACTTCTGTTATTAACATTCTTCAGAAGTCAGTGGCTGTAACCAGAGTACAATAGTCTTTTGGTAAACCCCGCTTCCTGTCAAAAAGAGAAAATCATCAACATAATGGAAGAGTAAATCAGATGCACATTTTCTTGAAGACTGATTTCCCCTTCTCTTGTTTCTTTTTGCTGCTTAAAATGCCCCTCTGTCTTCACACCCAGGCAATGAATATTGTAGACCTCAGGATAAGAGAAATCCTCACTGTTTTGATTGCCACCTACTCTGATATTGCTTGGGGAGAATGACAGAAATATATTCTGGATTGGGGTTCCCATGGGTGGTTACAGATTTGGTTTGTACTTAACCCGCACTGTCAGATTGAGGAGGTACCTCAGGATGCAGTTAGAAGCCAAACTCTTTTTCTTGAGGGTAGAGGAACATATAGCTCTACTACCACCAGTGACCTAATGAAGTGCTTCCCATAAAGTCACCAATGAGGTTTTCATTTCAAATTTAGGACTTTACCCCAAATGCCCATATAATGCCATTTTCAAAGAGACATATAGTAAACAGGAAGTACCCTAATTGGATGTACAGTATCCTCTCAGGACCCAGGTCACATGAGATTTAAGTAGTTTTCTCTTGACTTCCTAGGGAGGAATGCAGTAGGCATGAACTGAATAAGGATAAAAGAGTAAAATTATTCAAAGAAACAGCCCTGAGGGAAAGTGGTGACAGGCCAAAAAAAAAATCAGTGAGAGATTAGTTGTGTGTGTTTGCGTGTGTGTGTGTGTGTTTCAGGACAAATACCTACCTAGTCTGTGAGTGTAATACAGACATGTTTAATTCCAGGCATCTGAAGCCAGTATGCATTTCCAAGTAATGGTGGGAAAGTTGGATAGGTTGAAAGGAAAACAACAACAAAACAAAAAACAGCTTAACGTTGAATCTGGCTAATTAAAATAGTACACATCAAATTCTGAATCAAAACTGACCATTATCTTGATTTGAATTTGCAGCTCCTGGCTAAATACAAAAGCTTGCAATGGGACAAAGTACTGAGGCTGGAGGAGGTGCAGGCTAAACTAGGGATTAGTCTAGAAGAAATGCTGTTGGTCACAGAAGATGCCCTTCATCCTGAACCCTATAACCCTGAGGAGATCTGCAGGTGTCTGGGAATTAGCCTGGAGGAACTCCGAACCCAAATCCTGAGTCCAAACACTCAAGATGGTGAGTTGGCTGGAGAAAGTATGATATATGTTATTCCCTCACTTACAGCTGGAAGGTTTCAATTTCTCCACTGGTTTTAGAGAATACTTGAGGGAATTTGGAGACTGTGTTTTGGCAAGCTTAATTATTTAGAATCTTAGCTTCATAAATGTATTCATTCATTCTTTCATTCACCACTATGCTGGGTAGGCAAGGGTGAATGAGACATGATTCCTGTCTTCCAGGGGCTTATAATTCAGTAAGCTTCTCTTTTTTATCTTTTTTTTCCCTTATCCATTTTTTTCTGGTTATTATGCTACTTGTATAAAAAATGGACTAAGTTAGAGAACTGCTCTAACTCTGTGAAACAATACTCGGAACACTATAAAGTGTTCACGTCTTAGGTTGAAACTTGTGGCCTACTTTAGTGTGGAAGCTTATTTCTATTTGTGGTCTGCTTTCAATTAACTTTATTTTTATACCAATAACATCAGAAACTGAGATGAAGCCCAGGTAAATGTTGCAGGCACAGGATGGAGTCTTGGGCTGGCTTGTTCCTCTTAGACTAGAGGTTATCTATTTGTGACAAATCAGTACTGGGGGCAAGGACATCTAGTTAAGATCCAGTTGCCCTTAGCGGATGGTTATGGGGGATGAGTAGGAGATTAATACAAACATCAGCCTCAGGGACCCATTTCTGTCTCATTCAGTTCAGTTCTACAACTGGTTGTTGAGTTGCTACTGTAGATTTACCCACAAAGTAATGTCTTAAAGGCTGGAAGTACTGAAAACTTTGGGATGAGATAAGGGAATCATTTGGAAGTAGGGATTGGGTTTTAGTTTCTAACACTGTCGATCCAATTTAATTTGATGAAGCTTGATTGAGTCTTTAGAACCAGAATAAGCAAACTATGGCCTACTGGCCAAATCAGGCCTGCCATCTGTTTTTATAAAATAAACTTTTACTACAACACGGCCATGTATTAGCTATGGCTGCCTTTGCACTATAAGAGTTGAGTAGTTGTGATAGAGATTAAATAGTCCACAAAACCTAAAATATTTACTATATGGTTCTTTGCAGAAAATGTTTGCTGGCTCTCGTTCCAGAAAGGCAGTAGACTAAAGTTTACCTTAGTTTTGCCATGAAAATAGGCGTAACAGGAATGCCTCTAAGAATAATCTGTATAATGTGCTAAGAATAATGCTTGGTAGCAGAGGTACTAATAGAGTGATGAGTGTGGTGATGGAGTTGTACTTGGGTCTAGGGAGACCAGAAAACAAAGAAGTCAAAGCCAGCTTAAGGCCGGGTGCAGGGGCTCATGCCTGTAATTCCAGCACTTTGGGAAGCCGAGGTGGGTGGATCACTTGAGGCCAGGAGTTCGAGACCAGCCTGGCCAACATAGTAAAACCCTGCCTCTACCAGAAACACAAAAATAAGCCAGGCATGGTGGCAAGCACCTGTAATCCCAGCTAGTCAGGTGGCTGAGGCATGAGAATTTTTTGAATCCAGGAGACAGAGGTTGCAGTAAGCTGACATTGTGCCACTGCACTCCAGGGGGAGACCCTGTCTCAAATAAATAAATAAATAAATAAATAAATAAATAAATAAATAAGACCCTGTCTCAAATAAATAAATAAATAAATAAATAAATAAATAAATAAATAAATAAGCAAGCAAGCAAGCTAGCCAGCTTAACTAAGGAGTTAGCAACCAGCCAAAAGTTAAATAATAAATAGGTATTTCCTAGGTAGGCAAACAGTCAGAAAGAATTCCAGTCTGACAAAACAGTAGATACAGAGGCAGAAAGAAGTGAGAGAAGATTATATGTCCAGGGAACTACAGATAGTTGAGTGTTTCTTGAAAATAATGTACATAGTAGAGAATGATACAGTATCAGGCCAAGGTTGTGGACAGACCCAGATCACCAAAGGCCTTATTAAATAATTTGTGTGTGTGTGTTGTATAGGTAATGTGGGAGGTAATCAATATTTATTGAATGAAGAAGTTGGGTAAGGTATTGGATAGGGAGAGGTTCAGGGGAATTGCCTTTCTCCTTTGACCTGAGATATTGATTTCTTTAACAAATCGTATTGACTTCTGTGGACTGGAAATTGTGCTAGATGCTGGGATACAAAGATAATCAGGACACAGTCTCTACTTTATAGTGACTTAGTGTCTAATTGGGGGAGAGTGCCATACAACAATCACAATAAATAATACCTGCTATAATAAAGGTATTTATCAAGAACCCTAAGAGTATGGAGGGAAAAGTGGCTCAGGTCCTGTAGATGGTGGTTCAATTTTGAGCTGGATCCTTAGAGAAAGTTATGAATTTCCTAGACTTAGAGAGATTACCAGCCTTTCCAGGTGGAGAGTAGAGCTTGAATGAAGACAAAGTAGCACAAGGAGTCGAGTACTGGAGAACATGCACCAAGAGGTATTGTGTGCAGTATGAGTTAGAAGACAAAAAGACTGCCTAAAAGGATGCCAATTAGGAAACTATTGCTCTATACTCTATACTGAATGAGAAGAGCCTGAAGTAGGATAGATGGCTCAACTGGTAGATTCTCAAGACTGTAAAATAGAATTCAGTTGCAATTGGCAATTGCTGGTATCTAGGAGTGAAGGAAAGAAGAAAGAGAAGAAGGAGGGGAAGGAGGGAGAGGAAGAAGGAAGAAAGGAAGGGAAGAAGAAAAGAAATATAAGGTAAATAAATCCAAGGTATGGATAACTGGGAAAGTTAGGAAATTATAGTATTGAAGTGATTTTGGCAGTAAGATGACAAGCTCATTTCTCTCTCTCTCTCTCTCTCTATCTATATATATATATAGATAGATAGATAGATTCATCTATCTATCATTGAATTTGTCTGGTGTGATAGCAAGATATCTAAATAGAGATGTAAAACAGGTAAAGATCCAAATGATATAATAATTAGATTTGGGGGTTATTGTTGAAAAGGTGAGAAAGTCTTAATAGACATTGAAAATGTTGACTATGAAATGATTTTAAAAGAGTCATTTCATGGTGTCACTTAGTTCAGAAGCCTTCAGAGGCTTACCATTACCTAATTGCCTGAGCTCTTCTAGTCCTGTCTTAACTAAGTTCTGTCCTGTGTCCCTTTTGAGCCCATACTTGCCTGTGTGGACAGTGTTACCTTGGTTGGACCATTCCACTTACTAATTGGAAGCTTGGTCTTCCCTCTGGGCTTTTAATCCTAAATACCACTGTGCTTTTATAAATGAATTTTCTCCCTTTTCTGAAATGCAGTTTCTACCTGTCTTAAAAGCTTAATATAATTCTTATCTTCTGCTTATGCTTCTTAATCCACAACCTATTCTCTTGCTCTGTATCCATCTTCCTTTCTTTCTGCATCTGCCTGTCTTCCTTTCTTTTAGATTTTTTTTGAATAAGTAAATTTCCCAGAATGCTTTGGAAAATACAAAGAGCAATTTGCTTATCAAACAACATGTATTGCTCTCTCTCTGCCTCTCTATGTATATATTCATAAGCTTTTCCTCCTGAAGAATAATGACTTCATGGTTTTTGTAAAAATGAGGCATGCTTCATCTTATTTCTTTTTTTCCAGAACTTTTATTTATTTTCTTTTTCAACTTAATTTTAGGTTCAGGGCATACACACTAGGTTTCTTACATGTGTAAATTGCATGTTTCTGGGGTTTGGTGTACACATGATTTTATCACCCAGGTAGTGAGCATAGTATCCAAAGGGTAGTGTTTTGACTCTCACTCTCCTACCACTGGCCATCCTCAAGTAGGCCCTGGTGTGTACTTTTCCTTTCTTTGTCACCATATGTACTCAGTGTTTACCTCCCACTTACAATTGAGAACATATGGTATTTTGTTTTCTGTTCCTGCATTAATTTGTTTAGGATAATGTCCCTCAGCTGCATCCATGTTGCTACACAGGACATTATTTCATTCCTTTTTATGGCAGCATAGTATTCCACAGTGTATTTGCACCACGTTTTCTTTATCCAGTCAACTGTTGGGCATCTAGTTTGATTCCATATCTTTGCTATTGTGAATAGTGCTGCAGTGAATATATAAGTGCATGTGTCTTTTTCTTTTTTTTTTTTTAAGACAGAGTTTCACTCTGTAGCCTAGGCTGGAGTGCAGTGATGCGATCTTGGCTCACTGAAACCTCTGCCTCCCTGGTTCAAGAGATTCTCCTGCCACAGCCTCCCGAGTAGCTGGGGTTATAGGCACCTGCCACTACGCCCAGCTAATTTTTTGTATTTTTAGTAGAGACAGGGTTTCACCATGTTGGCCAGGCTGGTCTCGAACTCCTGACCTCGTGATTCACCCGCCTTGGCCTCTCAAAGTGTTGGGATTACAGGCGTGAGCCACTGCACCTGTCCACATGTGTCTTTTTGGTAGAATGATTTATATTCATTTGGGTATATACCCAGTAATGGGATTGCTGAGTTGAATGGTAGTTCTGTTTTAAGTTCTTTGAGAAATCTCCAAACTGTTTTCCACAATGGCTGAATTAATTTACGTTCTCACTAGCAGTGTATAAACATTCCCTTTTCTTGGCAAACTTGGCAACATCTGTTGTTTTATGACTTTTTAGTAATAGCCATTCTGACTGGTGTGAGATGATATCTCATTATGGTTTTAATATGCATTTCTGTAATGATTAGATATTGAGCATTTTTTATATGCTTGTTGGCCATGTGTATGTCTTTTTTTGAGAAGTATCTGTCCATGTCCTTTGCCCATTTTTTAATGGAGTTATTTGTTTCTTGCTTGTTGATTTGTTTACCTTTTTCATAGATTCTGGATATTAGACATTTGTAAGATGCATAGTTTGCAAAAATTTTATCCTATCTCTGTAGGTTGTCTGTTTACTCTGTTGACAGTTTCTTTTGCTGTACAGAAGCTCTTTAGTTTATGTCTCACTTGTCAATTTTTGTTTTTGTTGCAATTGCTTTTAGAGATTTCATCATGAAATCTTTGTCAAGTTCTATGTTCAGAACTGCATATACTGGCTGTTTTTTCTAGAATTTTTATAGTTTTAAGTCACACATTTAAGTTTTTAATCTACCTTGAGTTGATTTTTGTATATGGTAAAAGGAAGGGGTCCAGTTTCCATTTTCTGTGTATGAATAGCCACCTATCCCAGTACCATTTATTGAATAGGGAGTCATTTCTCCATTGGTTATTTTTGTTGACTTCGTCAAAGATCAGATGGCTGTAGGTGTATGGATTTATTTCTGAGTTTTCTATTCTGTTGCATCAGTCTATGTGTCTGTTGTTTTATGCTGTTTTGGTTACTGTAGCCTTGTAGTATAGTTTAAAGTTGGGTGGTATAATGGCTCCAGCTCTGTTCTTTTTCCTTAGGATTGCTTTGGCTATTTGGGCCCATTTTTTATTTGAATTTTTGAATTTTTTTTTTTCTAATTCTGTGAGAAATGACATTGGTAGTTTGATAGGAAAAGCATTGAATCTGTAAATTGCCTTGGGCAGTATGGCCATTTTGATAATATTGATTCTTCAAACCCATGAGCATGGAAAGTTTTCCCATTTGTTTGTGTTGTCTCTGATTTCTTTCAGCCATGTTTTGTAATTCTTATTGTAGAGATCTTTCACCTCCTTGGTTAACTATATTCCTAAGTATTTCATTCTTTTTGTGGCTATTGTGAATGGTATTGTGTTTTTGATTTGGCTCTTAGCTTGGACATTACTGGTGTATAAAAATACTACTGATTTTTGTACATGGATTTTGTATCCTGAAACTTTACTGAAGTTATTTGTCAGTTCCACGAGCCTTTGGGCAGAGACTATGGGGTTTTCTAGGTATAGTATCATATTGTCAGTGTAGAGAGATAGTTTGACTTCCTATTTTCCTACTTGGATGCATTTTATTTCTTTCTCTTGCCTGATTGCTGTGGCTAGGACCTCCAATACTATGTTGAATAGGTGAGAATGGGAATCCTTGTTTTGTTCTGGTTCTCAGGGGAATGCCTCTAGCTTTTGCCTGTTTAGTATGATGTTGACTGTGGGTTTGTTATAGATGGCTCTTATTATTTTGAGGTATGTTCCTTTGATGCCCAGTTTGTTGGTAGTTTTTAACATAAGGAGTTCTTGAATTTTATTGAAAGTCTTTATTTCTATTGAGATGATCATATGGTTTTTGTTTAATTCTGTTTATGTTGTGAATCACACCTATTGATTTGCCTATGTTGAACTAACCTTTGCATCCAAGGAATGAAGGCTGCTTGATAGTGGTGGACTAGCTTTGTGATGTACTGCTGGATTCAATTTCCTAGTTTTTGCTGAATAGTTTTGCATCTATATTCATCAGGGATATTGGCCTGAAGTTTTCTTTTTTTGTTGTGTCTTTGCCAGGTTTTGGTATTGGAATCATGCTGGCCTTATAGAATGAGTTAGGCAGGTGTCCCTCTTCTTCAATTTTTGGAATAATTCCAGTAGGATTGCTAACAGGTCTTCTTTATATGTTTGGTAGAATTTGGCTGTGAATCCATCTGCTCCAGGGCTTTTTCTGGTTGGTAGATTTTTTATTATTGATTCAATTTTAGAACTTTTTATTTGTCTGTTCAGGAATTCAGTTTCTTCCTGGTTCAGTTCCTGGAGTTTATTCATTTCTTTTAGGTTTTCTAGTTTGAGTGCACAGAGGTGTCCACAATAGTGTCTGAGGGTTTTTTGTATTTCTCTGAGGTCAGTGGTGATATCACCTTTGTCATTTCTGATTATGTTTATGTGGATCTTCTCCCTTTTTTCTTTATTAACTAGGCAGCAGTCTGTCAATCTTATTTATTCATTCAAAGAACTAGTTTTGGTTTCGTTGATCTTTTGTATGGATTTTTATGTCTCAATTTCATTTGGTTCAGCTCTGATTTTGGTTGTTTCCTTTCTTCTGCTAGCTTTGTGGTTGGTTTGCTATTGTTTTCCTAGTTCCTTTAGGTGTGATGTTTGGTTATTAATTTGAGATCTTTCTAATGTTTTGATGTAGGTGTTCAGTGCTATAAATTTCCTCTTAACACTACTTTAGCTGTGCCCTACAAATTCTGATATATATTTGTTTTCATTAGTTTTACAGAATTAATTTCATTGCCTTAATATCCTTCTTTACCTAAAAGTTATTCAGGAGCAAGTTGTTTAGTTTTCATGGGATTGTATGGTTTTGAGAGATCTTCTTGGTATTGCTTTCTTTCTTTCTTTCTTTCTTTCTTTTCTTTCTTTCTTTCTTTCTTTCTTTCTTTCTTTCTTTCTTTCTTTCTTTCTTTCTTTCGTGCTGTAGTCTGAGAGCGTGATTGGTATGATTTTTTTTTTAATTTGTTGAGAATTACTTTATGGCTGGGCATGTGGTCAGTCTTATAATACGTGCCATGTGCAGATGAGAAGAATGTATATTCTGTTGTTGTTGGGTGGAGTATTCTATAGATATCTGTTAGGTCCATTTGGTCAAGTGCTGAGTTTAAGTCCCTAATATCTTTGTTAGTTTTCTGCCTGGATGATCTGTCAGTAGGGTGTTAATGTCTCCCACTATTATTGTTTGGTTATCTAAGTCTCTTTGTGGGTCTCTAAGAACTTGGTTTTATAAATCTGGGTGCTCTAATGTTGGGTGAATATATATTTAGGACAGTTAAGTCATCTTGCTGAATTGAACCCTTTATCATTATGTAATGCCCATTTTTGACCTTTTTGATCATTGTTAGCTTTAAATCTGTTTTGTCTGAAATAAGAATAGCAACCCCTGCTCTTTTTGTCTTCTGTTTGCTTGATAGATCTTTCTCCATCCCTTTACTTTGAGCCTACATGTGTCATTGCATGTGAGATGAGTCTCTTCAAGACAGCATGCAGTTGATTCTTGCTTCTTTATCCCACTCATCACTCTGTGTCTTTTAAGTGGGGCATTTAACCTGTTTAAATTCCAAGCTAATATTGACATTTGAGGGTTTGATCTTGTCATTGCTTTGTTAGCTGGTTGTTTTGTAGCATTGATTATATAATTGCTTTATAGTTGATATGGTTTGGCTGTGTCCCCACCCAAATCTTATCTTGAATTGTAGTTCCCATAATCCCGACATGTCATGGGAGAGATCCTGGGAGGTAATTGAATCACGGTGCCAGTTATCCCCATGCTGCTGTTTTCATGATTGTGAGTGAGTTCTCTTGAGAACTGATGGTTTTATAAGGGGCTTTTCCAACCTTCACTTGGCACTTCTCCTTGCTGCCACCATGTGAAGAAGGATATGTTTGCTTCTCATTCCGCCATGATTATAAGTTCCTGAGGCCTCCCCAGCCATGCTGAACTTTGTCAATTAAACCTCTTTCCTTTATAAATTACTCAGTCTCAGGTATGTCCTTATTGGCAGCAAGAGAACGGACTAATACAGTAGTGTTGGTGGGCTATGTACTTAAATGTGTTTTGTGGTGGCAGGTACCAGTTTTTTGTTTCCATGTTTAACACTTCCTTAAGGATCTTTTGTAAGGCAGGTCCGATGGTAATGAATTCCCTTAGGCTTTGCTTGTCTGAAAAGGATTTTATTTCCTCTTCACTTACAAAACTTGTTTGTCTGGATATGAAACTCTTGGTTGGAATTTCTTTTTTTTAAGGATGTTAACCTTGAGGTGACAGTGTAGGGAGAGATGTTCAAATCAAGCAGTGGCTTGAAGCTTCTGTTAAACTAGCCAGACTTCCAAAGGCCCATGCGCAGTTCTTATTTTCTGTTTCCAAATTTCTAATAATTAGATTTAGAAATGCTCAGTGGCCATTCAAATTAAACACACACAAAGCAAAATCCTTCAATCCTTTAGATGTTGTTTAGAAACTTTTAGGAATAGTTTCAGGCTTATTTGCCAGGCCTTACCCACAGGTAGGAATTGTCTAAGGGTGTGGTAGAGTGGTCTGGAGTCTTGGAGCCTCAGGGGCCAGACTTAATTGGGAGGGATGTTTCCCATGGTGTGACCCAAGAAGAAAATTTGAAGCTGTGGTCAGGGTAAGGAGAGATAGGCAGATGTATCAAGCGTATAACTCAAGAACACACATTGGAGGACAGAAGAATTTCTGAGAAGGTAAATGGGCAGTGAAGTAGAGAGAATGGGTCAGTTGGTTTAGATTCTAGCTTAAAAAAAAAAAGGAATTTGTTGGGAGCATTTCTTTTGGGAGTGTCCAAACTGCTCTGGGTTGGGGTGGCCCAGCTGCTTAGCCACACTGTGCTGGGGTAGACCCAAATTTCATTACTTCAGTTATCAACTTTGCCTGTGACCACATGCTGACAAAGTGCTGGTCAGTTCCTGACTCATTTGTTTGCCTTGTATGATCTCCAGAGTCATGGGTGATAATCATGACTTTTAATAAAGAACAAAGCCCTGATGTAGATTGCTTTTTAGGAAGACACCTAGAGTCAATGGTAAAGAAAAAAAGAACAAAACAACTTGTTATACACTTTATAGTTCCCACGTGACCATTTACACACACCTTCTAATTTGAATCTCACAACAACCCTGGGGCACAGGGTTATCTGCATTTCACAGATGAAGAAACAGAGGTGAGAGAATTTAGTGATTTGTCAAGACCACATAGGTGGTACGAGCTGGAGCCGGACTCCAAATCCTAGTCTTCTAACTTAATCCAGTACTTTTTCTGCCATCACTTTTTAAATCTTGGCACACTTATAAGCTGCCCTTAGCAATCCTGCACCAATTACGGGAGGTGATATCAGTATTTTGACTTTGCTTGGCTCTAATTTTTTCTTGAGACTAAGGAGTAATGATAAAGATAGGTAGCTTTATGTCCAAAGAGTTTCCTTTATGGCTATTTCCCATTCTAGTGTTTTGGCCTTAGAAGAGATAAGACTGTGTGGCATCTAGAAGCTTGCTTTATTTAAGGAACAACTCAACTTGGCCATAATATGCATAAGCTGTTGTGTTCTAGAAGAGCCATGAGAAGTGCTATGGAATTTTCACGTTTAATAAAAATGCAGTTCTCATAGATTATCTTGGTTAAGTCTAAGAAGATTAGTTTGTTTTTATCTAATAAAAAGTATAAAGGTGCTTTACAATGTAAAAAGGGTCAGTTGTTTAGTAATTTAAATGTCCAGTTGAGGGTTCTCAATTATGAAGGAAATTGATTTAAATGTAGCTTATAAGATATCAAGCACTAAACTCTGTGATCTCAACAGATTCCATTGTTCTTCTTGTAAATGTTTTGGAAGAAAAGTTTTCCATAGAAAGCTAGACGAAACTCCAAAGGAAGTTTTAGACCCTTCTAGAGTTTACAGATGTTGGTTGAACAGAAATCCTTAAAATCTGTGAGATGGACTTCTAATGAGAAAGCCAATAAAATGGGTCCTTTGGTTTTGTCTATTGTTTTTGTTTTTATGAGAAAAATAATAGACTGTTGTAAAACAAAGTATAAAAGAATAAATCAAATAATAATGATTTTTCTTTCACACAAAAGATATTATTCTTTAAGTTGTTTTGGAAGTCAAGTTTGCAGAAAATTTGCTTTCATTAGTCCTTTTTTCTTTCTCTCTCTGCCTGGTCACTTCCTTTTGCCCATCAGCTTCTATTGACTTCTCAGTTGTCTGGCTGTGGAGGACAGGTTCATGCCAGGAATAAAGGTTCCTACCTTGTTTCCTAGGGAAAAAAAATGGGCTTACCTGATATCGCAGATAACCAGGAAATTCCACTTCCTCTTTCAGATGTGTGCGTGATATGTCCCTATTCATTGGTTCACCTTCCCCCTTCAAAACTAAAAATGAATGTGAACATACCTTATTAAGTAGGATTTTTAAAGGCACGGCATCATAAAACTTGCAACTTCTGTAGGAAGAGCCTAGGACATGTGTTGGAATCACACCAGTGATTTGTGTTGTGTGTTGGTCAGCTTCTCAGCCGCTGGTAGGTAGGTCAGTACTCACAGTGTGACTCTTGTCCCACAAGGCTAATGGTGACCATGGTTCTGGCTTCTGAGGCCAGCAGAGAAGTAACAATGTGCATGAACTGCCGTGGCACCAGCTGCTCCTATGTAGACCTTTGAAGCATGAAAAATACATGTCTCTCATCATTCTTAGTATATTTACTTATTTGCTCATTTTCCCTGTATGTACCTGGTTTCCTGACCCTGCCAACTATCTTCTTCACTCCAGCTGCCTCCTTGGCCTTGGCATCACTGGCCTCCTTGGTCTCCTCAGCTCTGACCACCACCTTGGTCCAGCCTTGCAGGCCTCTTTGTTTCTGACCCTGTAGTTCCTGTACATCTCCTCAGCCCCAGCTGCTTCTTTGGCTCTAGCCTTGCTGGTCTTCTCATTTGTGGCTGCCTCAAGGGGAAGGAAGGGAAGAAAAGGAAAGGAAAATGTATAATTTCTAAACTTGTAAATATATGTATTTAAGTCTAAGGAAATGTTACTCAGTATTCCCTTTGCTTAAATTTATCATGGATGTATCTCTGTCTTTCAGGAGTGAAATTATCAAAGGATCAGCTGTGAAGTTATTAGATACTATGTTTTGAGTAGAATGAGGCTTCTGCAGATATAAGGACATCTCATTGTCTCCTCTGTCACTCCTCTGCTGGTTTGGAAACATCTATAGGAAAGCATCTTCTATAGTCATCATCAACCTAAGAGGCCAACATCTTGCCATCCTATTTTCCTTTTTTGCTACTTATGCTTTCATTTTTACATTTTGTAGGTTTCCACATAAGTAAGTGTTCTCTTTGTATACAAAGCAGCTTTTCTTATGGTGAAATTCATTTATTTTGGTCAAAGTGATTGTCCTGTACTGGTAAGCTCAAACTGATTGTGCTTCAGTAACAAACAATTTCAAAGTCTCAGTGGCTTGACCAAGCAAAAGTTTATTTCTTACTCACTCTTTATATCTAACATAAGTCAGCAAAAGAGTTTGTTCATCTAAGACACTTATGGAGCTGGGCTCAGAGGGCTCCATCTCAACACGTTTGTCCACAATCATGGCAGGAGGAAGGTAATGTTGTTAATTGCTCTCTGGCTCTTAACATCTGCCAGAGTGACTGGCATCACCCCTATGCTCATTCGATTGGCCAAAGCCAGTCAGATGGATGTGATGAACTTCAGTGAGGGTGAGGTAGTACAGTCTTAATATGTGTGAGGATAGCTGGAATATTTGGAAGCAGCCTAATGACAACTGTACTTTCCCATGTTGAGTGGCTATGAGTCTCATCCCATCAAATCTTGGTGATACCAATGAGAACCAATTTACTTTCTCATATACAAATACGAAGTTGACATTTTTTCCAAACATCTGGGACAATGAATATTGCTCTTGATCAAATTTCAAGTTATTTTCATTTAAGAATTAGACAGACATACTGTGATCTCTTTTTATGTTACACATTTCTCTCATACTGGCATTTTATCTGCACATGATCTGGTGAAAGCTTACTTGGTAATGATGGCTTGTCACTTTCTTCCCTGTCTTGCAGAGTTCATGGTCTCTTTTCAGGAGCCAGTCATTCTAATATCCTAGTTCAAGAAAACATCTTCTTCTGTTTATTAGTTGTTCAATTTCTGTAGTCCTTTTTCAAAGTACTTAGCTTCAGGTGGAAGAAAGTTTCCTAATAATTTCTAAATTAGAAATTGTATGCTATTTTCTACCTACTGTGCCATTTGTTTCCAGGAGAGTCAGCTGAGGCGAGTAACTGTGGATGGATCTAGTGCCTTTTTGCAGGTTATTGCCAAATATTAATAGTAATGACAACAAAAATAATGACCTATTGTATGTGTATAGACACTAACAGTTTAACCATATGAGATCTCATTTGATCATCATTCATGTGGCAGGTTTCAGACGAAAATATGACAGGCCACCACTCTATATTCAGGGTAGAGACGCTCCATAGTTTTTTAGAAAATGTTTGAGGAAGATGGTTTCTTGTTTTGTCTTTAGAAAGGATTAGAATGGGAGAGACCACAAAGATTAACACCCTTAGTCCATTAGGACTTCTCTAATATTGGGAAACCCTTATTCTGTCAAGGGCCACTGATGGAACAGTAAAAAAGACCAGAGACCACCTACATAGGAAAGCAATATAATTTAGTCTTTTAATGAGAAGTTATAAAATGTTCCAAGAAGAAGCAATATAAAAGTCTACTTAATTAACACAAGAAATAGCAAGATACATGCTTCATTTCTCTATTTTAGCCTAAAAAGGGAAGGGGGACAGAGAGGATGAAGATCACAAGGGAAAGAGTCATATGAATAAAGAAAACAGGAAAGAGAATCTGATAAAGGGGGGAAGGTTGCTTATGGAAAAGCACATAAACACAAATGCAGAGAAACCACAAACAAACACACCTGTGTGCATTCACTTCCCAACTGGCTTCCGGAGAACTACATAAGCACATTTGTAATCATGGAGTGCTGTGAAATAGCAGCATCTTGATTTATTCTTTCAGGGTATTGCCAGTTATAGTGTAAACACCTTGAGAATAGGAACATCTCTAGATGTTTGTGAAAGTGAAAGATTTTTATCTTCTTAATGCTGCACTGCATTTTGGAAAGTTCAGGTATAGTGTAGGTGTATTGTCCTTCAATAGGAAGTTCGGAGAAGGGCCACATTTGGCACATGATTCAGAGCTCCCTCACTTTCAGTCACCCCAGGTCACTCTTCCTGTTCTGCTCCAGTACCTACCTTCCAAAAGCAAACTCCGGACAACAGCCTATGTAATCTAGTAGGGCCATTTTACATGCCAGATAGCATAGTTTCATACTTGCTTAAACTGTTGACGTAATCTGTTCACTGACTACTTTTTCATCATTTTGGGAAATAAATAACATAAGTAGAGATAGATTTTTATTCCTTTATCAACAAATGTTTGAGAACCAGCTATTTAAGCACTGTGCTAGGTACTGTGTATTAGAAGTCAGTAAGGCCAGCATAATCCTTATTATTATTTAATTTTGTGGGAAGACAACAATAAAATAATAACTAAAGTGTTCTAATAGAAATATGCTTATTTCACAGGTAAGCACTAATTTTTCTTTTGCCTCTCTTTCACCCCTTTTTATTCCCTTATGTATTTTTCCTGTAATTCAATTAATAGAAGAAATCTAGGATAAGAGCTTATTCCCTTTCATGTAAAAATACCAGGCCAGGCCAGCCCTAGGCAAGCATGACCATGTTTCTCATAGTCCTTCTTGCAGCTCTGCATTGACCACGATTCCTTCTTAACTCTCTAGGTTCCTTTTTAAATGGCTTGAAATTGTTTCCTCTTTTCACATTTTGCAAGAATGAAGTTTTAGGGAAGTTCTGGAAAATTAATGGGAAAGTAATTCCCTCAAGAGAGTGAGACACAAAAATGTGGCTCATCCAGGGAGCAGCTTCAGATTCTTCCCTTGCTAATAAGATGAGAGCAAGATGATGTGTATTGAGAACCTGCCATATTCAAGACACTCTATTAGGTTCCAAGGGGGCTATAAAGATAAAGAGGGCACAGTCCCTGCCCTCCAGAAGCAGTATATGGTAACTATAATTAGAAAGGAACACAAAGTAATTAAAGAAGTGTGCCGAGATGGGAGGTATGGATGCCTCTGACTGTTATGTTTTTGGAGAGTTTTGTGAAAGAGGTGGCATCCAGGCTGATACTGAAAGAGATGTGGGGATTGCAGAATCGGACTGGGTAGGATGCTGATGCAGCATCTTCATTCTGGTACTCTGCATGCTGCCAGTGGACAGGCAATGATGGTGCGGGGCAGGTATCTCAAGTCAACGGGGAGAGGATAGTGTCACAACCATACCATTTGGGGGACTGTTGATGTTTCTTGATGAATTGAAATACGGGGGCTTTCATTTGTTGGGCAATGGAAAAATACGCTAGATTTCGATGCAATGAAATATTCACAAATGCCACAATCAAAATGGCAATTTGGGAAGTTTGTTATGGTATGTATGAGCAGGTTGATTAGAGGGGAGAGGGATACCAGTTAGAAGGTAGTGCAATGGTACAGACATGGGATGATAAGAATCCAAACTACAAAGGTAGAGGGTAGAATGGAAAGAAGAGAGTGATGGGCTCTGTCTTGTAATGTGTATGACCCTGGAGTTATTTACAGAAGCTTAGCATATGCCAGCGTGTAAAATGCAGGTGAGGGTGACTACAGTGGAGTGAGGCAAAGGTTTTGATCAGCGGAGTAAAATGTACTATGGAACAGACCTTGAAGGCTCTTGCTACTTTGGAAATCTGAGAAAGGGAAGCCATAAACATGAGGAGCACTGTTACTCTCCATAAAACAGCATTATGCTGTTGATTTTCAAATATTCACAAATGCTTCTTGGAATGTACTTTTCCATGGATTAGTGTGTTTTATGTTGAAAGTGCATTTTTTTTCATCAGCGAGTTTGCTTTTAAAATCAGGTAAAGATATTTTCCCTTTAAATGTAAAATGCTAATTTAATTTAGTCTTTGCAGCATGGGAATGGGATACTAATGTGGCTGAAAACAGCAGTTTATTTTTTGTGGGTTTGACCATTTCAGAAGTTTAACATTTTTAAAAAATATTATCACTAGGAAAATAAATTTGAAACCACATTCCAGCTTCAATGAGGATTATTCAAGTGTTTTTCAATTATATTGCTTAAATGCTCCAAAGAGTCTTTGCCTCAGAGCACGGACTTTTTATTATGACTTCACTGCAAAGGGAAACAGAGGACTCTGTTCTGGGTTCTGAAGTGGTTTTCCTCATCCATCTCTGGATTGCTCTTCTTGGAAACCAACTTTTGGTTTAGCCTAGTGGAGCTTTCTATTTGTTAGAGAAATTGACCAGTAATGTGTAGTTATATGATTGTGCATAGCCAGCTACAGCCACAACTACTTTTAGCCCCTCACTCAAACAGTGGGAAAATATTCTAGGGTATGAAAGTCTCAGAAAGATTAATTATACACGTACATGATAAAGATTTCCAGTTATCTCAGACCAGCATATTTATTCTTTATGATTAATTATCCTGAGATAGTCTTCATTCAAGGTAATGAAATATTCTTAAAATACTTATTGCTTTTTAGCTTGATAGCTGAAAACCAATGCTCTGCATTCTTCTGTATTTATAAACCTTTATGCAGTTTGGTGATATGAGGCTACGTGGAGAAACTCGCTGCATAAAGAATGAGGGAGATGATGGTCCAGCTCTCCCTTGCAGTCATCAGCTGACGTCCAGAACTGCATTCAGGCCTGGGAACCACCCTTCAAGAAGGGCATACACAGACTAAAGTGTATTTGGAAGAATAAACAGGTGAAGGAGACTGGAAATTTGATCATGTTGGAACTTGGAAGGTTGCTCTGGAGAGAAGACTCAAATAGTTGTGGTATTTCACTGCTGCAGTGGGCAGATGGCAGCAGCCATAGTTTTGGCTACCTAGCATCTGGGCCCCTTTTCCATCTCAGGGAAATCTGCTGTGTGTATGTTGGTGATGGAGAAGGTCTTGCATTCTATGGTAGAAGCTGAAGGGTCAGATTTGTCTCTTTTGAGTCACTTGACATCTGCATGTGGACAAGGGTACTAGGCTTCTTCTGGTGTCCGGGCACTTGTTTATGGCTGGGGCTTTGAGTCTAACAGGCATAGGTCAGTTGATAAAGTGTCTAGATTCCAATGTCATATCCAGACTGCTCTTGTGGAATGATTTTGGCAGTGTTCTTCACTGGCTGCTTCCCTTAGCTTCTAACCACTTCCCACCTGGTTTCACGTTCTAATAGAGAATGGAAATATATAATCCTAAAAGATTTTGTGAGCTTCTCAATATCTTCAAAACAAGTTTCTTTTTTGCTTAAGGTAGTTGGTGTAGGTTTCTGTTGTTTACAAACAAGAATGCTGACTGATATAATTACTAAAAACATAATGATTTCTTATTTCTAACTGGAATTATTTTATTTTTTACTATTTAGTGAATTTTTTCTTTAATTTTTAGTTAACATATGACAATTGTGCATATTTATAGGGTACAGAGTGATATTTCAATATAGGTATACAAATGTGTAATGATCAAGTCAAGATAATTAGGCTATACATGACCTCAAACATTTAGCATGTCTTTGTGTTGGGAACATTCAGAATCCTCTTTTCTAGTTGCTTGGGTTTTTTTTTTGTTTTTTTTTGAGATGGAGTTTCATTCTTGTTGCCCAGGCTGGAGTGCAATGGCATGATCTTGGCTCCCTGCAACCTCTGCTTCCCGGGTTCAAGCAATTCTCATGCCTCGGCCTCCTGAGTAGCTGGGATTACAGGCATGCCCCACGACGCCCGGCTAATTTTGTATTTTTAGTAGAGACAGGTTTCTCCATGTTGGTCAGGCTGGTCTCGAACTCCCGACCTCAGGTGATCCACCCAAAGTGCTGGGATTACAGGCATGAGCCACTGTGCTGGACCTCTTCTAGTTTTTTTGAACATGTATAATAAATTCTTGTTAACTGTAGTCACTCTACAGTGCTATAGGACACTAGAACTTATTCCTCCTATCTAGCTACAATTTTGTAATCATTCTCTTCCTACTTGCCTTCCCCCACTACCCTTCCTGGCCTCTAGTAACTATAATTCTATTCTTTACTTCCATGAGCTCAGTTATTTTTAGCTCCTGCAGATGGGTAGGATCATGTGGTTTTTAATCTCTCTGTGCCTGATTTATCTCACATAACATAATGCCTTCTAGGTTTATCCATATTTCTGCTAATGACAGGATTTCATTCTTTTTTATTGTTCAATAGTACTCTATTATGTGTACATGCCACATTTTCTTTATTCATTCATCTGTTGGTGAACATTTAGGTTGATCCTATATCTTGGCTATTGTGAATAGTGCTGCAATAAACATGGGGTACAGATAGCCCTTTGATATACTGATTTTCTTTCTTTTGGATAAATACCCAGTAATGAGATTGATGAATCATATGGTAGTTCTATTTTTAGTTTTTTTAGAAACCTCTATACTGTTTTCCATAATGGCTGTACTAATTTACATTCGCACCAACAGTGTAGAAGAGTTCCCTTTTCTCTGCATCCTCACCATCACTTGTTATTTTTTTGTCTTTTTGATAGTAGCCATTCTAACTGGGTGAGACGATACCTCATGGTGGTTTTGATTTGCATTTCCCTGATGATTAGTGATGTTAAGCATTTTTTCATATTCCTGTTGGCCATTTATATGTCTTCTTTTGAGAAATCTCTATTCAGACCCTTTGCCTATTTTTTAATTGGATTTTTTGTTGTTGTTGTTGTTGAGTTGTTTGAGTTCTTTGTATATTCTGGATATTAGTTCCTTGTTAGATGAATAGTTTGCAGGTATTCTCTCCCATTCTGCAAGTTGTCTCTTCACTCTATTGATAGGTTTCCTTTGCTGTGTAGAATCTTTTTAGTTTCATGTTGTCCTATTTGTCTATTTTTGTTGTTGTCACTGGTGATTTTTGTTGTCTTACGCATAAGTTCTTTGCCTATACCAGTGTCCTGAAGCATTTCCCCTGTGTTCTCTTCTAGTAGTTTTATAGTTTTGGGTTTTACATTTAAGTCTTTAATCCATCTTAAGTTGATTTTTTTATATGGTGAGAGACAGGAGTCTATTTGTCTTCTTCTGCATATAAATATCCAGTTTTCTCAGCACCATTTATTGACAAGCGTATCCTTTCCTCAATCTAACTGGAATTTTTAACCAGGATTCAACAATAGCTTTATGGAATCTGTGTGTATGTTGTGTTATATGCAGTATTTTGGTTATTTGTTCATTCACATGGGGGAGAGAGTCCATTGTTTTATTTACTTCTCAAAAGGTTCTGTAATCCCTAAAGGGCCAAGAACCACTTATCTGCAGGATACAATTTAAACATCTTAGCATGACATACAAAGTCCTCATTATCTGGCTGGCCTCAGCCCATTGCTTTGATTTTCTCTCCTGTTACATTCTCTGTTGCTTCTATTTCTTTATCCTCTTTTCATGCTCCAGTAGTCAAAGTACTTTGTTTCTCTAAAAGCACCTAATGGTTTATAATCTCGACGTCTTTGCTCTTAACGTTCTTTCTGCCCAACCCTTTTCTTTGCTTCTTATCCCACCATTTCATTGGTTTGCTGAACACCTACTCATCTATTTAGACTTCACTGGTTTAATTCCTATGTGGATGTAATGATTACTGTGCTATATCCTCTTGGATATATCCGTATTGTACTTTATATTCTGATTTCAGCATTGCTGGCAGCCCATGTTAAGCTAGCAGCTTGTATGAGTGCCTCTTCTTTGTAGCCATTGTGCGTTCTCCAAAGTCACTAAGGCAGATGTGTTACCCAGGCACATCTTTGTGGAGAAGTTAACCCTTCTAGGGGGAAACACTCAAACAATGAGAATGTGAATGGGTCAATGCCCCAGGCTTCCCATTGCCTGTGGGCCAATGGTAGGCACATTCGACATGACTCTTCAGAGAGATCCCTGAGAGATTGGGCCGGGGGCTGTCCACACAGTTAATCTGCTCATTAAGCCCCCTTTATTGGCTTGCTTTCTTTCCTGAATCACTTTTCTTCCTCTTTCACTCCTGCTTTCTAGATTACTGCTCCCTGCATCCAAGTCTTTATCTCAAGCTCTACTCTCAGGTGCATCTAGATCCAGACACCCTCTTGACTGTGTGCATCTATTTTAGCTGTGAGATGCTGCTTTAGCATCTCTTGCCCTTTGTTGATCTCATTTAATGATTTCTTTCTAGTAGACTATTACTTGTGGGGCGTAAACAGCTTATCTTATTGTGATGTGAGTGGGCACCATCCAACTGGCTGCCAGTATGGGTAGAACAAAGCAGGTAGAAGAAGGGAGATAGGTTTTGCTGAGTCTTCTTGCTCTCTTTCTCTTCCTGTGTCAGATGCTTGTTTCCTCTCCTCAGGAAGGACATCAGATTCTATGTTCTTCAGCCTTGGAATCTGGGACTTAAACCAGCAGCCTTCTGGGGGCCCTAGGGCCTTTGGCTTCAGACTGAGGGCTGCACTGTTGGCTTCTCTGGTTTTGAGGTTCTCAGACTTGGACTGAGTCATACTACTGTCCTCTCTCCCTCCCCAGCTTAGAGACAGCCTATCAAGGAGACTTCTCCTTGTGATTATATCAGCCAATTCTCCCTCTTTTGTATACCTATATATCCTGTTGTTTGTGTCTCACTGGAGAACCCTGATTAGTACACTTATTCATTATTGGTCCCTAAGCAGGTACATAGTGGACCCTCAACAATGTGTAAAAGGCACAGTGCATGAGAGCTGTCTTCAGATATCTGAAGGGTTACCTTGTGTTTACATATGTCTGGGGAACAGAACCAAGACCAAAGAGTAGAAGTTACAGGAAGACAGATTATAATTCAATACATTGTTTATCAGTGCACCTATGGGAGGTGATATTTGATAGCAACAGTAACAGTGGCTCATTATGGCATGATGACCCACTCAGGGAAGATATTTGCCCACTCTTCTGCTGAGAAGTCCTATTATAGAAAGTTTTATAGAACAAGGACCACAAGCACATACCTGCAAGGACCAGGCTGGCATATAAACTAGTGAGGCAGGCTAAGTGTCACATAGTTGGGAATGGTGAGAACTGTGTGGAATAAAGTGTGTGTACCCTGACTCAAAGGGGTAGGTACTCCTTAGCTCCAGCCAACAGTTGCTAGACAGTAATGCAGATCCAGCACTGTCAGACCTTCCAGTTTTCCAAAAGTAAGTAGAAATCCAGATTCTTAGGTAAATCTTCCAATATAAAGACATTTGAGTCAAGAAGGCATCACCGTGGCTGGCTATGGCACATGGGTTGTTTGTAATCTTTGTGTAGTGGATGTAGCTGAGGATGCTAAAGCCTCAGATGTGAGGATAGCTTTCTAGAGAGCCAGATTCTGGTCAGCTTGCTCTCTTCAGGCCCATGAACACACTCTGCCTGTTCCCACCTTGGGCCTTTGGCCATCCTCTCTTCACAGAAGGGACACTGTGTGGCTCAGGCCCCTCTCCTGTGACATCTCCCACTACTGGTCCTTCCCCAGCAAGCCCTGTCTTCTTGGTGCACCTTCAGCATTTCCAGCACTCAGATGTCTGCTGCAATTGCTCACTGTCTAGTAGTGTCATAGTTTGTCTTATCTGTGTAACTAAGTTATAAGTTCCCTTAATGCAGAGGTTCTACTTCATGTGGCTTTCCTGTCATTTGGAGCACAGTATTGGGTGCATAGCAGGTGCTCAATAAGAACTGTTGGTTAACTTTTGCTAGATGACTATCATACTCAGTGCTTATGGCATCCCTCTTAGTAGAAGATGAGGTAATAAAGAAGAGGCCACCAGCTCTTGCATGGAGAACTTAAAATTAAATCAGTGAAGCTCTTTCAGATGACTCAGTGCTTTTGGCATTGCTCTTAGCAGAAGATGAGGTAATAAAGAAGAGGCCACTAGCCCTTGCATGCATAGGTTAAATTTAAATCAGTGGGACTCTTTCAGAGATGAAATAGACATGTCCTCTATCTACTGTTGACCTGCTGTCCTCAGAGCTTAAAGTGGCGCTCAGTGTGCCTCACCTGTCAAAGGCTTTCCCTCACCATTTCCCACCAGAGATCCAATAAAATAACCAATTATGTGTGCCCTGATTTAGATTCCTTGATTAGAGATGGGTTCTGATCATAAACTATGTAACCATCTTTTAAAGGAAAACGTTAATAGGCAACTCTTTGTTACAAAGATTGCCTAAAAGAAAAACTAATTTTAACTGTTTACAATTATCCATTTTTATATTCTTTCTCTTTTATTTGAAACAGATTTTGTTTTAGAAATCTCTTTTCTCTCACATCTGTAAAGCAAAATACAATATAAACAATTCTCAGTCATCTGTGATAATGAATATTAGGGTATACTTTGGGCACTGAAGTTTACTAATTGTTTCCAAACTTTATTTTAGCAAACTTTCCCCACTTTTTGGTGAGGATGCTAGTGAGTATAAATTGTTAAAATAGTATGTCTCCTTTATATTCCATATTGTACTTGTCTCACTACTGTTTATTTAGCCTAGTTTCAGTGCAGTTTTGTTACAAGGAGAAGGATTTGAATTATGCATTCAACAAACATTTATTGAACCCCTACTAAGTGCCAGATCCTATTTTAGCTGCTAGAGATAGTTATGAAGAAACTAGACAAGGCCCTTGCTTTCTTGGAGCTGAGCTTCCATTGGTGGGAGACAACCACAAACCAATGAACAAATGAACACACAGGAAAATATTGGATGGTGATAGGTGTTGGGAGCATAAAATAGAATGGAGAAAATATGTATGTGTGTGGGCTACTCCAGATTGGAGTTGAGTCTCTTCAAAGCTGTGACATCTGAGTGTTGAACCACAAGAAGGAACCAGCCATGTGAAGATCTTGGGGAAGAGCATTTCAGGACAACAAAACAGCTACTGCCAAGGGCCTGTCACAGGAGCCACATGGTGTGCTGGAAGCACAGCTCGGAGGCTGGGCAGAAGGAATTTAGCCAATATAATTTATTATACAAGCCAAAATTATTAGCAACAAAATGAAATATTTATTTTGCAGTTTAAGTATATATAGCCATGAACATTTAGATTTCAGAATTTGTGCCATGATTTCATGACTAGATTCAGTAATTATTTAAGATTCACATTGGAGAAAATCAGTGTTCTGAAGACTATGACGTATATCCCGCTTTGAAGTTTTGGATTTTTCTTGAATAGGATAGGCCATTAACAATATTGGAGGAAAATATCATCTAGTGTTATATTCTTAAATTGAATTTGCCTTGGAAGTAATCATGCATGCAATGAACATAGTAAGAAACAGCTTCTTTCATCCTTTAATGTAATAATTGCTCCCAAGGATTACAAGAGCTTATAGACAGCTGGAACATCCAGCTATAATGTTAGCTGGACAGGGAAGAAAGTTGTTATGGATAAAGCTTCAGATTTTCTTGGATTTTTTGGTATCTGTATAACAGAGACCTGATGAGTTGCCAGCACATAACAAGCCAGAACCCTGGATCCAGAGAGCATTTGTGACATTCAGCCAACACAGAACTGCTTTCCCACCCAAAGGGTGGTCTCCAAATCTGTTGTAGCTTTTGGCAAGATTTTTATATCACAATTGAAAACAGATGCCCTTTCTGCCCTTTCCCTTGTTGTCTGAGTTACTACCGTTCAAGAGATTGCAAGCCATGGCAATCTCTCATGCACCTTCAGAATGCCCAGCAAGAGTCCTCGTTAGACATTCCTATTCAGAAGTCCTGCTGTGACACACTTCCTCTGCAAGAAGAGAACAGATTCAGGAAGGTGCCAGGATTGTGAGGTTCTGGTAGTCTGCAGGGTGTACTGTGAATGCTTTTTGTCAAAATCAAAGCACCAGTCCTGGGTTTAATAGAAAACATCTCTCTGGATAGTTTCTATTTTAAAATATTT
The DNA here is from genome assembly GCF_000001405.40 of Homo sapiens. Lineage (NCBI taxonomy): Eukaryota > Metazoa > Chordata > Mammalia > Primates > Hominidae > Homo > Homo sapiens. The sequence goes on from NC_000015.10 coordinate 49,315,932, forward strand.
AATCCTAAAATAAAATATTTAATCCTAAAGAAATATGTAATCCTAAAGGAAAACCAAAGTGTACTCTCCCTGATGGACTATATTGAGTTTTATTACAGGATATGGCCCTAAAATGTGCTTGGATGGGATATTGAAAATCCAGAGTATCAAAAATCACTAAACTACTAAATTCTTGATTGACTAAAAGAGACTTATTAGACATAACAACTGAATATAATGTGTGGAATTTGTTTGGATCTTGGTGTAAACCAGTTGAAATGTAAACTGGTGGACAATTGGGAAAATTTAAATATGGACTGAATATCAGGCAATATTAAGGAACCACTGGTAATTTTGTTAGGTGTGATAATGATATAGTGGTTATCTACGAAAGTAAGAGTTATAAGGACAGTGCTGTGGAGGGGAAAAATGAAACCTGAAACTTTAATAAGATTTATTGGTTCAAACACCACATGTTCTCACTCGTAGCTGGGAATTGAACAATGAGAACACATGGACACAGGGAGGGGAACATCACACATGGGGGCCTGTAGTGGGGTGGGGGTAGGGGGGAGGGATAGCATTAGGAGATATACCTAATGTAAATGACGAGTTAATGGGTACAGCACACCAACATGGCACATGTATACATATGTAACAAACCTGCACGTTGTGCACATGTACCCTAGAGCTCAAAGTATAATACAAATAAATAAATAAATAAACAAGAAAAATCAAGGGCAAAAAAAAAATTATTGGCTCATTAGTAGAAATGTAAAAGTGCTTCAGAAAAAGTAATCATAGTTTAGGGGAGAGGAACCTAGGGGCAGACCCAGGAGGAGAGAAAGTCATGTAGAAAAGGAGATTTTGAAGGATGTTCAGTGTCCTTCAGTGGAAAGACACTGCCAGCTCTAAATGGCTCTGCAAGGGAGGAGCCGGGGAATAAATCCTCTGACATCACTCTCTTCCCTCCCATCTATTGCTGATCTTTTCCTGCTCTCAAATCTAGATGGCAAGGGACTCACTGGTGTAGTCTATACAGGTCAGCCTTTGGGGCTGATAGTAGGGTGGAAAAGGGCAGAGAGTAGGACTGGGGTGTAAACAAAAGCTACCAGTAACAGCATCTTCTTTACAAAGTATAACAATATGGGGGGAATGTTGAAGGATAGATACTTTTGGAAGAAGCCCTTCATAGAATTATAAAATGTTAGGGCTGGGAGTATCCTGAGAAGTGATTCTCAACCTCATTTTAGAGGTGAGGAAATAAAGGGAGCATTATACAGGTAGCAATTTGTGTACAGCTAGTTGTCACAGATCTGTTAAGAAATTACAGACTTTTTGATATGAACAGACACTTCTCAGAAGAAGACATTTATGCGGCCAAAAAACGTGAAAAAAAGTGCATCATCACTGGTCATTAGAGAAATGCAAATCAAAACCACAATGAGATACCATCTCACACCAGTTAGAAAGGCGGTTATTAAAAAGTCAGGAAGCAATAGATGCTGGAGAGGATGTGGAGAAATAGGAATGCTTTTACACTGTTGTTGGGAATGTAAATTAGTTCAACCATTGTGGAAGACAGTGTGGCGATTCCTCAAGGATCTTGAACTAGAAAGACCATTTGACCCAGCAATCCCATTACTGGGTATATACCCAAAGGACTATAAATCATTCTACTATAAAGACACATGCACACATATGTTTATTGCAGCACTATTCACAATAGCAAAGACTTGGAACCAACCCAAATGCCCATCAATGATAGATTGGATAAAGAAAATGTGGCACATATACACCATGGAATAATATGCAGCCATAAAAAAGGATGAGTTCGTGTCCTTTACAGGGACATGGATGAAGCTGGAAACTATCATTCTCAGCAAACTAACACAGGAGCAGAAAACCAAACACCACATGTTCTCACTCATAAGTGGGAGTTGAACAATGGACACATGGACACAGGGAAAGGGGAACAACACATACTGGGGCCTGTCAGTGGGTTGGGAGCTAGGGGAGGGATAGCATTAGGAGAAATACCTAATAGAGATGACGGGTTGATGGGTGCAGCAAACCACCATGGCATGGTATATCTATGTAACAAACCTGCACATTCTGCACATGTATCCCAGAATTTAAAGTAAAATTAAAAAAAAAAATTATAGACTTTTTGATTTTCAGCCCTGTCTCTTTCCCCTAGGCCTGGGAATTTTCATAAATTTTCCAAAATTTTCCCAGACCCACCACACCAGCTCAGCAACTGTTCAGCATGGGTGAAAATGGTAAGGAAGTCTCAGTTGTTATTCACAGGAATGTGTAAGCATTATAGACATAGCCATTGCAATATACCATGTTTCTGTAGCTGAAATTACAGTGTCACTGTGGGTAATCTGGAAAATACATATATGTGTCAAAAGGAAAATAAAATCACCCATAATGGACCACAGAGATAACTAATATTAACATTTTCGTGCTTTCCTATCAGTTTTTTAAATTAAAATATACATAAATATGTGTATGCAAAATTAGTATCAGTTGTACATATAGTTTTGTAGGTTGTTTTTTCACTTAATAATGAATAATTTCCTATATATCAAATTGCCTTAGAATCTGAGTTTTGATAGCAGTAATATTTCAAAAATGAATATAGCATAATTTTTAAAAGTCCTCTGTTATTAGATATTTGTTTCTTATTTTCTTCTATGATAAATAATGCTGCAATATATATATATAGGTACATATATAAACATTATATATCCCATATAAATAATTGTGTTTATCTGGGACATATAATATTTTTATTTAAAAAATTGCCACCATAAGAATTTCCAGTGGTCCTTTCTGTTGGGGCAGAGTGGAAAGAACATGGCTCTAGGGCCAGGCATCCCTGATCTGTTTGGCTTCCGCCACATTCTGGATGTGTGTCCTTAAGCATGTCACTTCACTCTATTGAGCCTCCTTCTCTTTTCTGTTAACAGGGATCATACTGCACATCCCTCAGTGCTGTGATGAGAACTTTATGAGGTAGTACTTTTCTTTCTTTCTTTTTTTTTTTTTTGAGACGGAGTCGTGCTCTATCGCCCAGGCTGGAGTGCAACGGCGTGATCTCAGCTCACTGCAACCTCTGCCTCCCAGGTTCAAGCAATTCTCCCACTTCAGTCTCTCAAATAGCTGGGATTACATGCACCCACCATCATCATGCCCAGGTAATTTTTGTACTTTTAGTAGAGATGGGTTTTCACCATGTTGGTCAGGCTGGTCTTGAACTCCTGACCTCAGATGATCCACCTGCCTCGGCCTCCCAAAGTGCTGGGATTACGGATGTGAGCTACCGCGCCTGGCCTACACAAAGTAGTATTTTAAAGTGTTTGGCATGTAGGGTGTACTCATTACATGTTAGGTCTGTCTTCATTTGGGATGGATTAGATTGCACACAAGTATATGCACATGTGTGTTGAGTGAAGTGAAGGAAATATAGTTACAAGATTTTATTCAGTATCAAGAAAAAAGTAAACCTGACTTGCCGATAGACACATTTCAATTGAAAGAATCCTTTCAGCAAGAGAGACCTATTGAAGTTTAAGATACTGATAATGAAAACAGAAATGAAAGTCTTTAAAAGTGTATTTTTCTTTATACTGGGTTGTCCAGTAACTATTCCTAACCTCCTTCCCCATCCTCTTCCTTCCTCAGTGCTCATCTTCAAACTCTATCAGCGGGCAAAGCATGTGTACAGCGAGGCTGCGCGAGTGCTCCAGTTTAAGAAGATATGTGAAGAAGCACCTGAAAACATGGTCCAGCTGCTGGGAGAGTTGATGAACCAGAGCCACATGAGCTGCCGGGACATGTATGAGTGCAGCTGCCCCGAGCTGGATCAGCTGGTGGACATCTGTCGGTGAGGCAGCCTGGTGGGGGCCAAGGGATGCCATCAAATAATATTGTTTAAATTAATGGAAAAAAATGCAACATTTCATAATCTACGGGAATGAAGATCATTCCCCACTTCCTATATGAGGAGTCTCTGATGATACAGAGCTACACTTGTTCCCTTCTAAATACCTGTAGGATGAAAGATTTGCTACCTGGCTCCATGATTTTATGAGGCTCTGGGTTTGGAGTCAGTTTGGAGTCAGCTCTTTACATCATGAGAAAGACCTTTCCGTCTTTGGATGATTAGGCCTTTCAGGATGGTAACTTTGCTCAGAGCTGGGCCCTGTTAACTTTCTTATGATATGTTTTATTATACTGCTGCTCTGCCAGAAACTCCTGTCCAGTGTCCTAATTAAGTTTAGTAGTTCTACTCAGAAGAAGGGAGAAAACTGACAGAGGATCTCAAGCTTGATGGGAGCATGTGGGGAGATTTGCTGAAGGAATCACCCAGAAAGCCAGCATTTCCTGCCTTCTAGGTTTAGTTTAGGCAGTTTGAGGAAATAAAGGCTGAAGAAAGCCCAGGTGATACATGGTTAATAGAGGCAGAAATGTAAAGAGGACAACTCTTTCACAAAGCCTAAAATCAGCTTTCCTAAAATTGTGAAAGAATGGAGATAACAGAGTTAGTCCTCTTACCCAGGAAGGAGCTCAGTGACCCTGGGAGAACTGAAACTGGGAAAGTTCTCAAACGCTAGATGTTACTTCACTGTGAGAACACAATGCTACACTACAATTAGTAATGGAAATGTAATTAACCACTTGGCACTTGTGGCTTGCCTCAGTCATTGCCACACTCCCAGCCTGAAAAGTTTAAACCAAGTAACTCCAGTGATCACAAATGGCCTGGGTAATCCAGCTTGTCAAAAGACTTGAACACAGCATTGATGAAGATCACTCTGCTGACATGTTTGCTCACTCATTTCCAAAAGCCTTCCCCAGCTTGTTTCATTTTAAGTACCCTTTTCTGAAAATATCAAGGGCCTAGTATATGGAAGGGACAAATATTGTTCAGTTCTGGAAATAAGAGGAAGTGGAATTATTTCTGCAGAGATCAGGAAGAAATGTCTTTGCCTGGAAGGAAGTGGGATGGTTGGAATCCCACCTGAAAAGCTGCGGAAGGGCATTTGCCAGCTTCCTGGAATTCTCTAATAAACTTTCTCTTCCTAGAGTGGTCAACCTGTACTTGTTTTCATGGAGCTTACATTCTCGTGGGGAAAGAGAGAAATGACAATTAAAAATAATTTGAATGGTAGTGATAAGTGCTATGGAAAAAAATGAGAAGGAATAGAGACTACAGGTTTGGGTGGGTACTCTTTCTGTGGAGTGGTTGAAGAAGGTCACTCTGACGAAGAGATCTTTGAGCAGAGGCCTGAAGGAGGTGAATAAATGAGAACAGCAAATGCATAGGCCCTGAGGTGGATACTTGGCTGTCAGGTGTGAGGCTCAGCAGGATCAGCATGGCAGAGGGCCAGGAAGGAAGGAGAGGTAGTAGATGAAGTAAGGAAGGAAGTGGGGAGCCACACCATATAGGCCGTGTAGGCCATCGGAAGGCTTCTGGCTTTGAGAAGAGAAAGGGGGCAATGGAAATGCTAGGCAATTCTATGCCAAATATGCCTGCAAGGAAGACTTAGATAATTGCTGTGTGGGTATAAGAGAGAAATCAAGACGACTCCTGGGTTTTTGTCCTGAGAAACTTTCCTTGTGCCTCTAAAAGCCACATTTTTGAAAAGCACACTTCACCACTGTAGGTAAGAGTTATCTTAGAGTACCATAAAATATTAGATCAGGAAGGGGTCTTAGAGATCCAGGAAGGCACTAAGAGATGAAATAATTTGAGTAAGTTTCACATATGAGTTCATTGGAAAGCCTGGCTCCCAATCCAATGATTTTGCCACACGTGCCTCTCCCCTTGGGTTATACTAAGATGTGATTACACTTAAATGTGGGTCATACATACGTGTGTGTACGTGTGTGTTTGTAACCTATTTTCATCTCCTAGCTTTGAAGCTTTATGATGGAGGCCTTTGTTGTCATAGTTTCCAGCATTTGAACATTAAGCAAAGTCATGTTGAGCAGGAACGTAATGTGTAGAGTAGGATGAAAAGTGGGCTGGAAGTGAGGAAGCTTGGATTCCGACTCTCTTTTCATTCTGAGCTCTGTGAGCTGGAACTGTTGCTTCGCTTTGTGTTCTCCATTGGCTTTTTCTGTTCTAGCAGTCTACAGACCTATACATTTAAAAAATATGGTTCTAGTGAAAAAGCTTATGGCTATGTCTTAAATGGGTTTGGAAGAGTACCTTTTATTTATCTTTTCATTTTGTTTGTTTTTGGAAAATCCTTTCTTAATGGCAGCTAAAGTGTTTCATTTTCATTTGCTGTATTTATTTTCTGAGAAAAATTCAGTTCTGTGAAAAATTCAGGAGCTCCATCACTTTTTCATGATTGTTTTGTTTGGAAAGCCAATTGCTAAGTATCAAAGTTATTTTCTACTTATTCGATAACCATATAGGGTCCAAGTTTTCCATATTGAAAGATTATCTTCTGGCTTGTTGGCCAGAATAGTTGTCTGGTCCTTAAAGCTTCTTATATAATTAATTTTTTCTTTGCTGTCACTGTGACCAGCAGATAATATTCTTCAAATGTTTCAGTTGGCTGCAAGTTACTGAAAGGTCCTAAGTGGCAGAGCAACCTCAGAGGAGGATAGCCCCAGGGGAATTAAGTTGATGCAGGCATTATGTCCTTCCCTCCTTCAATCAATACATATTTTCACATGGGTATCTTTGTACCGTGTGAAATTGCAGTCTATTCTCTACTTTCAAAAGCTGTGACTTTCTCTTGCCGGGCCCAATTGCTCACACCTGTAATCCCAGCACTTTGGGAGGCCAAGGCGGGCAGATCATGAGGTCAGGAGATCGAGATCATCCTGGCTAACACGGTGAAACCCCATCTCTATTAAAAATACAAAAAATTAGCCGAGCGTGGCGGCATGCGCCTGTAGTCCCAGCTACTCGGGAGGCTGAGGCGGGAGAATGGCGTGAACCCGGGAGGCAGAGCTTGCAGTGAGCCGAGATCGCAACACTGCCCTCCAGCCTGTGGGACAGAGCAAGACTCCATCTCAGGTAAAAAAAAAAAAAAAAGAAAAAAAAAAAAAGATGTCTGGAAAGTAATGAGGCAAGAAGGAGGGGTTCAGAAGAATGCAGAAATTAGTGGGAATAAGATAAAGGATGGATAAAGGATGGGGAAGACAGACGGTACAAGAGTAGCAGGTAGTAACATGGGGAAAGGTTCGAATGAACAGTGGAGCTACTTGTAAGCCCTAGTTCCTTCTGAAGCCTTGTGACTGTCTCACTGGGTCAGGCAGAGAAGGTGTTGGACATACTGGAAGGGGTCCTGGCAAGGCCTGGTGTGAGCCACTGGTGCCACAGACACAACCTCTAGCAAAGTATTGCTTTGTTTAAAAACCACCACCACCTCCACAATTACCCTGCCACCATTAAAAATGTTAACATCAGTAGGGAAGGTGTGACTAAGACTGGGCAGCCTGAGCAGGTTGCTTGTTTTCCCCAAAAGAGGGAGGAGGAGGGAAGCTGAAATGGGTTCAAGGAGGAGCACTGCCAAAAATAATCTTTACATCACCCTCCCTGGTCCACTTATGGCACTTCAAAATTCCTTTAGTGTTTCTGAAGGGCTTCTTGGAAACTATTTGTATGAAAAGACAACTAATTGAGTGAGTAAATTAACGGCTTGAATACCTAGAATACCTAAGTTGCTATACACAAGCAGAAAATCTTACAGTGATCTGAGCTAGACTGAATTAAAAAGGCATCTCCTACTTAGCATATAGGACAATGTATAGAACAACTTTGTGACCCAAGTGGAGAGAAGGGGGGTTGGGAAAGAGCACCACTGCTAGCTGTCTTTTTCAGTTGAACCTTTTCCTGCTCTTCAAGAGAAAATCAGTTTAGAATCTAAAGAAAGGAGCAGGGAGGATGAAGGAAACTATACTTACAGAGTGAGGCTTTTTTAAAAAATTAAATTAATGTTAGAACTTAAATTATATGAAACAAAGTAAATAATGAAGGAAAAAGATAATGTTTGCTGAATTATAAAGTATCTTTTGTAGCCAAACAAAATGTAAACAGAAAGAAATGACTAAATTTTAAGTAGAATTTACTGGAGAACACAAAACAATTTTGAAACCAAGTCAGTTATATGTGAGACAGCTCATTCACTATTGGTTCCCTCGTTTTACTTAAGACAAAATGGTTAATGCCTTTTGTTTTTGTTTTGACACTTGTTGAAGTTAGAGAGGATTAATTGCTGCATTATCGCCCAAGCTATTAAGGGAGATGAATGACAAATTTTAGTGGATCAACTATGATTACAAAAGTTAATTTACTTTGTCTTCCTCAGAAGTCTTTCTGCAATGTATTCCATGGTGAGGCTGCTCAGCCTCTCGCATCCATTCTTCAACAAGGTCATAATGGGGAAGAATGAAGTGCAAATCCATTGTTGCATGCTCTTTCCCCATGACCTTAAGTGCTAACATGCATACCCTGTCAAAAAAAAAAAAAGAGGGAGGGAGCCATTTCACCTCCCCTTAGGGGTTCACTTCTCTTTGGGCCTCTTTGACTTATGAATATACATGCCATTTGCAGGACCCAAACCCACTGCTCTTCAATGGCCTTTAAGTGGCTTACATTTCTAAAGTAGACATGTGGGCATATTTTCTTATCCTTTCTCATTTGAACACTGAAGGCTGTGGTTTCTTGACTGTAAAGCAATTTGAAGGCACGGTGTCTAACCTGGCTGTAAAAATCATAGAAACTGCTAGAAGTTCCCTTACCTGTGACTCTTGCCATTTCCCAGAGAGCAGAAGCTAGAAGTCTTCTCAAGTAAAAAAATACACTGCTGACTGCTTATATTATATATAATTTTTAAAATATTTTAAGGGAAATATCGTAGTCCAGCAGCCATTTATTAGAACCTAGAATTTCTAGAATTGTGCTGGGCTGGGGTCAGAGAGATGGATGTGACCTGTTCCTAAATTCTAGATTTCCTGAAATAATTTATTTCATATCCATTTGTATAATATATATTTACTTATTTAGAAAGAAATGACACAGAATTTAAATACAAGGCATAATTTCTTACCTTCCCTCTTTTTCAAGTGTGTAGTGCAGTTGGGTCTCCTGGATCTCCTCCCCACCCTCTCCATTGCTCTGTATCTTGCAACTTAGTAAGTGCTTTATGGTCGAATTAGTTCACTTAAAAGTAGGAAATTTGACTTTGGCTATATTGGGTGCCTGGATAGTTAATTCTGTGAATACACAAGGATCAAAGAGTAACATTCCTCATAATCTCCATCCCTCATCTGCCCTAGCCTTTGCCATCGTGCTTTATAAAGTAGAGGCTGCCTTTGTTGCTTTAACAAACCCTTCTACATTATTCCCAATCTAGTCATCACAATCATCAAAGTGGGATCCGAGGGATTTTAGGGTTTTGGTTTTTGTAATTCTTGTATTGCCTCTCTGATGTGCAATAGCTCAGGAGATATATTTTTAATGTTTTATTGTTCTTCCAGAAAAAGGCGCAAACATGAAAAGTTCACTAAACACCCTTGGTTCACTTACTTTTCTTTCTTAATTTAAAGGGTATATCGGTCTCCTAACTTTCGGTCTTCTCAGAATTTCTATGGCATATGCCAAAGGGCCTATTAAGTACCAGCAGGGAACACTGCAGACAGACCTTTCTGCCTTTATAAGTGTATACAGCTGCGCAGGCTGCTGACCAGCTGCTGGGGCAGCCCTGACTTGTGATCAGATGTGCCACTGACTTGGGGGCAGAAGGCTATTTCTAATAGCACTTATCATTCTTTATTTGGGAAATTTGAGCCCTGATTTCAGACCATGTGATTGATGCAATTCAGTCCATTTTCATCTGTAGCAGGCAGGGTGGTGACAGAGCAGCTCTGGAGACTCAGTAGCAAATATCTTTACCTACAAAGACTTCCAGCTTCTGCTCCCTGGAAACTAGTAAAAGTCTCAGGAAAATAGACCTCTGGCCCAGTTCCTATAGGTTTTACAGCCAGATTAAAAATAATACTCTGTTTGCTTTAGGTTCAATTTTGAAAAACCACAGCTTTCAAAAACTGTTCAAATGAGAAAGTATAATAAAATATGCCTTTTAGAAGTTGGATTGAGGACCCTTAAAGACTTGATAACTTGAGTCCAGCAAAACGGCATATTTTAGATCTTAGAAAATCAAGTAAGAAGGCACAGTATTCTTCTCTAGACCATGTCATGGCTGGCTTTAATGCCCATATTTTAGGGTCTTCCAGAGACACTTCAGTGACACCTCAGTTTTCCCCAGCATCTTCCACAGTAAGAGTTTGATACGACTGCATATGACAACCATTTTTTTTTTTTTTTTTTTTTTTGAGATGGAGTCTCACTGTGTCACGCAGGCTGGAGTGCAGCGGTGCAATCTCGGCTCACTGCAACCTCCACCTCCTGGGTTCAAGCAGTTCTCTGCTTCAGCCTCCTGAGTAGCTGGGATTACAGGTGTGCACCCGGCTAATTTTTGTATTTTTAGTAGAGACGGGGTTTCACCATGTTGGTCAGGCTGGTCTCAAACTCCTGACTTCATGATCTGCCTGCCTTGGCCTCCCAAAGTGCTGGGATTACAGGCGTGAGCCACTGCACCCGGCATGACAACCATTTTTTAAATCCAACAAACTGCAAACAGGCCCTTTGCCAACCTAGAAATTTAGAATAATCCAAGGATCCCAAGGTCAGAGAAATTTTTTAGCCTGGATGATGGGATTTCAGGCTTAGTCACTGGGCCATAAATTGAATGTTAAAGGGATAGGAGGAGATCAGTGATGTTTATTTGTTTGTAAGCATTTTTTTTCTTTCTTAAATACCTATGTTCATTTGAAAAGCGTATTTTAATATATATAATAAAGCAGATGATAAAAAGAAATCAACTGAGAAGAATCACTGACAGGAAAATCAATTACTGACATGCAGTAATTCTGATGTTCTAGAGTAGAGGTAGTATTCTATTGATATGTCCAGGAAGTAAAATATCTCATTTAGATTGAAAAAAAGAGACAAAATTGTGCTAAATTAATCATAGAGCCTTTAATCCACTAGTAATTTGGAGTGAATTTTATTAAGAAGAATTAATTGTAAGTACATGTTAACTTTCGTGTCAGGATAAATTGCATCTTTTAAAGCTAAGTGATCTGTGTACATTGTGATAGGGCCTTTCACTTTGGTTGAAATCTTAGGTTTGAAACTGTGCCTGGTTTACAGTAACTAAAATTAACTCTAGCTGTGTGGTCCTTTATATAGTTGTTGTCATCCCAATCAGATATATCTCATCTGATGTCAACTTCTGAGTCCAATAATCAGACTAGCTCCAGAAGGCACAGGGAAGGTGGTGTGGACCTCTAGGGACTGCCCTCTGCTTTGTGGAAAGGCTTGGTTAATTTTCCATTAGAGATTCAACCAACCACCGACCCAACCTGGAGTTTAATAACACGCTTTTTGTTGATAAGTTTATTCAGTGAACTAGGCTATCTGTTCTAGGGGACTGATTCTTCTTTGAAACAGCCCGGCCTTAAGAATGCAGCTGAAATAGCCATTGGGGAAAACTTGTATAAGACTGTACATTTTAAATTTTGATTTGTCCTCATTTGGAGTGACCTTCTGATTCAGGGTTGCCTACATTTCTTTTACCATTGCCTGTTTTATCTTAACGCCTCCTTCCTGATTTACGTGTAAGCTTGCTATACAACTCTTCAAGTGGCTACTTTATGGAATCAATATTACAGTGGGTTATTGCCAGTCATGAAATGGGAGGAGTACTGTTGACTTACCACTTGGAGTCAAAACCAGGGACTAGATTTAGATACAATGAAAAAATTCCAAATCACTCTCTGAAACAGTATAAATGTCTTAATGTCCTAAAATGTTTGATGACACCTAAAAACCCCGCATGTATTTTCTTCTTAGAACTTAGATAGGCTATGTGTTCTACAAACACCAAGCAAATCCCTTGTATTTTCATTTATAGGTTCTAATATTTTTTTCCTCACTGTTTTAGGAAGTTTGGGGCTCAAGGGTCACGACTTACTGGAGCAGGATGGGGAGGCTGCACAGTATCAATGGTACCTGCGGACAAGCTGCCCAGCTTTCTAGCAAATGTGCACAAAGCTTATTACCAGAGGAGTGATGGAAGCTTAGCACCGGAGAAGCAAAGTTTGTTTGCTACCAAACCTGGAGGTGGGGCTTTGGTTTTGCTTGAGGCCTGAAAAAATGTAAAAAGTCTGAGAGAAACTACTTAGGGCACTTAGGAATTGGCAGGACTTTCTGTGCCACAGTAAATTAATCTTCCTTCTGTTTTGTATTATGATGAACGGTTGCTATTATATCAAGATATATTTTCAAAGAAATGGTTGAAAGCTCTCTATGCTTCATAATGATTCTTTTTCCATCTTAAAATATGGTTTTACTATTAAGAGCCAAGATCATGCTTGGACAGATCTTTTAAGAATAACTTACTGAGATTTATTGATTTGAAGATTTTAAAGATGAATGGTAAAACACACTCTTAATACTGATTACATGGATTGGACTTGAATTAAATATATTGTTACAATTAAACTGATACCACTGAATTGTATGCATTATTCTTGAATAGAGTTCATTTCTGGTTTCTCTTAGTATTCTTCTTCCTCAAAGTTGTAGTTGTCTGTTGATGATGGTGATGATGATGATGATGACGATAGTGATGCCACACATTCTCTCTCAATTTCAGCTTCGGAACGCTATGAAAATAATACATGATTAAAGTTTCACAGATCTTCTTGGACATTGTATAATTGAATTTGAATGTGAGATTTCTCCAGTTATCAAGAGACTAAGGATTTTTTTTTTTTTTTGACAAAAGGAGGATACAGGAAGAAAATTCAGACTCATTTGAATATTTGTAAACCATGTAATATATAAATAACCACTTTCAATTCTTTTGGCCCTGAGCTATCTCCATTACTTAATAGAAAAACTTAGATAAAAAACACTTTAAGACTCTTCTATTCACATTGAAATAAAGAATTATCTAGATGATAATTCAGATAATTCAGTTTGTTCATAGAATTACTTTCTTATCACTCTTTTTCTACTACTTTTTCTCAAATACCTCTCTAATCCAAGAGGCACTTCCAAGAAATTCCACACATTCCTTATATCCCTTTTTTGCTTGTCTAGCAAAGCTTGTTTGTATATATGCACCCCATTGTAAAGCAGGTATGCAGGTATGTGGGTGAAAGTGACTATGAAAAGACTTAATGAATTCTGGGATTTGTAATGGTATTGATGGGTATCTCTGTATGTATATCAAGAGTGGGCAGAAATGTTTGGCTGGTGATGGCAAATGACTGGCTTTCTCTTGTGGATGGACTATAGGAAGCACTTTCTGAATTATGTAATGATTTGGACCAAAAAGTATTTTGCTGAAATACTCAGGTAATTGAGATAGCAATGGTTTTATGGCATGAATTATCCAAAAAAATATCAGAATTACTTATTATTCTGTGATTTCATTAGCTCATTAATGTTTAACTCACAGATTGGGCATCACCATCTAGAATTTCAGTTTAAGGGAGGCCTGCGCAAAGCTAGTTTTATTTCTTAAAGGATAACAGTCATACATAGAATACTAGGAAAGCCAATATTCTATTTAAAAATAAACTTCTGATGCATTTTCATTCTTAGCAGAAAGGTAAATGCTTGAGAAAGCTTGAGTCAAATTTGTTAAAAGAATTTTGAGTTCTATAAATCCAAAAATCTGAAACCTGAATTTATTTAAATTTATAATCCTTTATTTTTTAATACCGTGCCATTTTCCACAAAGGATTTGTGGTTGGTATATAATTCTTTAAAGATACCTGGATCAGTGTAAAAAAAAAAAAAAAAAGGCACCTGTCATTGTTTTGCTGTTCCATTTACAATTTTCACCAGGTGATTTCTTCTTCACAAAAGGTGAGTAAAAATTTCCAATGTGCACTCTTCTTTGGGGGACACACATGGTCATTCTAAGCGAGGGATCTATTCTATATTTGTTTTGATTTCTCTCGATAAAAAGAACTATGTTTCAGTCTTACTATCACTGTGTGGTATCTAGATATTATGAGAGATGCTAAACTTACCTGGAAGGGATAGGGCCGGGGCCATTAGAAAAAAGATCATGCAGTAAATGGACTTTGAGCATGGCCCTAAAAGATGAGTAGAGTTTAAAAGCTGTGGAGTGCACACTGCAGATGAGCAAAGCCTATGGGTATAGGCAAACATGGTGTGTGTAGGAGGCTCAGTGAGAGTGAAGGCTTTGCTTTGGTATGTAGTGAAGAATAAGATTGACTACACTGGCTGGAGCTAGCTTTTGAAGAGTCAAATCCAGGCAGCATTTAGATCAGGGGTTATAGCCCAGCAGCCCATGGGCCACATCTGGTCTGCAGATGTATATAGTTTGGCCCACAGAATGACTAAAAACTTGGGCTCCAAATCAGGAGATTGTACAAGCAGTATCAGATATTCTGGATTACTCAGAATCTGGATTACTGAGTGGTGGAATATCTGATACTACTTGTCCAACATTTCTACAGGGCATCAATGAACTAGGGCTGAGATAGTAGCTGCCTTGTTAGATGAGGCATGGCTATCCAGTGCGCTACAGTTTCCACAACTGCTTGTATAATAGTTTCCCTGACACTCAAATCATTTACCACTTACCAGCTGAGGTCACTTGCCCTTTATCAGGACACTTGCACTGTTGTTTTCCTATTCTAATTAGGTATTTCTCTGTGCCCATGTCCCTATCAATAGTAGGGAAGATAGACCAAAAAAAAAAAAAAAGAGAGAAAGAATGAATATTTTTGTGTGTGGATGTAAAAAATAGTCCTTAGCTGGGAGTGGTGGCATGTGCCTGCTGTCCCAGCTACTCAGGAGGCTGAGGCAGGAGGATCACTTGAGCTGAGGACTTCAAAGCTACAGTGAGCCATGACTGCAGCACTGCACTCCAGCCTGGGAGACAGGTGACAGAGTGAGACCCTGTTTCAACAACAACAACAAAAATGAATAGTCCTGTTTGCTTATTATACTGTCCTGTTTGTATATTATACAACACCCAGGTGTTTCACTCTTTCTATCACTTTTCTGCCCCATGTAGGAATTTGATTTGATCCATTTTTGACATTATACTAGCAGCCAATGGGATTGCTCTAGATTTTTGAATGGAAGCCTTGACATGCTGAAAGTAAAAGGCTCTCCTCTATCCCTGACCTCCAATTGTCCAGCATTCAGACATATTGTACACTAGTCTCTACATGTTCTTGTCTGTTGGGAGAGAAGAAGCCCTTCAGACTTAACAAGAATGCCCATAAGTAAAGAGAAGCAAAAGAGAAGATGACAAGGAAAATCAGAAAGATGGAACAGGCTCCTTTCTTTTCTTTCTTTCTCATACTTGAGTCCTGTTTAGAACCTTATCATATTCTGCCTTGATAATTGAGGGCAGGGACCATTCATCTAACACAGCTGTTGGTACCCAATATGATTTTGTTGAATTATTAATGAAAAACTTACAATTTTAAACATCAGTGATTATTAGTTTGTAATTCTAACTGCATTTGGAGCTTTTCAGTTACATAAACTGTTCCTGGTCAGAAGCTGGAAATGGGGAATGTGAACATGAGTTGTCACTAAATATGTAAAACAGATTTTCTTACATGTGCATGTAGATGATTAAGTAACAAGAATGTATCCTCTCCTGCCACTGTAATTTGGGTGTGCCACCATACATTGCTTATGAAATATTGTCCAGTCTATATAAAAGAAGCTAGAGAGAGAATTCTCAATTATTTTCAGAAAGAAAACCTACCAGTTTATGTAGGAACTTCTCAAAGTCCTGTTTCACTTCATGAGGTTTCTTGGTAGCCTTTGCTTGGAGTCTAATCATGGAATAAAGAAAATCAGTAACCAAACTAATTGTCCTTATATTGACACCATCTAAATAGCCAACATTTATTAAGAATTTAATATGCTGGGCATTCGTCAAGCACTTTACATATATTAATTCAATTACCCTTAAAACTTCTGAAGTAGGTACTCCTATTATCCTATTTTATAAATGAGGAAACAGGCTGAGATAGGTTCAGACACCCACCCCCGCTGCATGTGCACACGTGCCACACACACACACACACACACACACACACACATCCACAACAGTCATACACTTAGCAAGGAGACAGTCTGAACCCAAGCACTGTGACTCAAGCCTTCAGTTCCACCCACTGTGTGGTTCTCATCCCAGCAGTGGCACATCCTCTTCAGTTAGATGGTTTACACAGTATTGCTTTAACTGATTCCACTCATAAGGCTCTAGCCCAGACTTTAAGGAGTGACAGTGGGGAGAGAAGAGTAAAAGAGACTGGCAAGGTAGAGACACAGGAAAGAAAGAGAGGGAGATGGAAAAGGCCAGTGGGTGACAGCGCTTACTAGACTGTAAGCTCATTGTGAGCAGGGATCCAGGAATCTCATGATATCTGTCACCAAGTATTCATTCAAGAAATATTTATGAAGGACTTGAATGGTTGAAATCAGGAAGCAGCAGGAACCTTTCCAGAGATCTAAGAATGAGGGGAGAAGCAATGGTAGCTAGGCAAGGAAGGATAGAAACTTGAGAGAAGGAGAAACATTAGTAAAAGTAACACAGATGAGGAAGAGAAACGGAATAAAGGATATATAAGACTATTAATTTCACTGGCAATTTTCAAGTGAAATATTTAAAAACTATTTTTCCATGAAATTGGCAGGAAGTAAAATTTTCTGCAAATCCCAAATACATGTTGCTGAAGCAGCAAGTTTAGATGAGCTATTTAACCCCTTGCCAGGCCTAGCCAAGGTTTCTTCAGCAGTTAGACTAGTGCACCCCTGAAGGCAGAGTGGGATTACTTAGTCGGAGGTTCTCTTGCATTTGTGCTCTGTGACTGGTACATGCCCCCTCACTCATTCTCTCTCTGCTTGTTTTGTCTTCTCAAGCTGAGTTTCCTCCTTGCTGATTGCTCTTTAGGCTTCACATTTTTCCTTCCATGCCAGTCTCAAATCTGGCTCTTAGTTTCTCAGTAACACCTTCTTAGAATCTCCTTGAACTGCACAGTATCCTTAGAATCTGTCTCATCTCACTAAGTTAAAATCACTCCCTCTTCCAAGTCACTCTTTTAGTTTACAATCTCCCCTCTTTAAAAAAAATTAAGTTTTATTGAGATATGTTACATACCATAAAATTGACCCATTAAAGTGTACAGTTCAGTGGTTTTAGTACATTCATGAAGTTTTATAACATTACTAATCCTCCCTCTTTCTGATTGCCTTTCCTCTCATGAGTATCTCTTTTGAAGATTACAAATG
This sequence comes from Homo sapiens, assembly GCF_000001405.40. Taxonomy (NCBI): domain Eukaryota; kingdom Metazoa; phylum Chordata; class Mammalia; order Primates; family Hominidae; genus Homo; species Homo sapiens. The sequence goes on from NC_000015.10 coordinate 49,333,312, forward strand.
GAAGCTCATACATTGTGCCTATAACTTTAACAAGCACGTGAGATTTATATATCCAAATATGTATGTTTCAACAATGTGCCATTGCATTAATCATATTTGAATACTTCTTGTGAGTTACTCTGAGAATTGTCCTACATTCTTCTGCATATTCTCAGTGGTGAAAATTCTTGTCCTATGTGGATTTGATTTTTGGAAACTTGTAAGAGTCACCCGGAATGGAACCTTGTAACAGGTGTTGTGAAGCAGAAAGCTGGGTGATAAAGTTTTTGGTGAAAAGTGAGATAAGATCCTAAAGTAGTGGGTTGAAATTTTCTGATGTGACTGGAAAACTAGCTTTATAAGTTCTAAAATAGTATTTAGAAGTGTGAAGTGTGACTGGCACAAAGTTATAGTCTCCCTAGGGGGCTTGTCTGAAGGGCTGAACTTGTCTGATACTTCTTATTCTGCACGTGCTTACGGGTGTGTTGGAAGAAGTAGGTTAATCTCAATACTTTATAGTTGTTCTTCCTATAGTTTAATTTATAAAATAAATGAGCCCAATTTTTCTTGCTTCATTGAGGAAAAATGTTTATATGCATAGAGGAAGAAGGGAAATAAAAAACTAGCCCAATAGAGACCAGCTAAATCTGTTGTTTTTCTAGTTTACAACTTCCATAGGATGGGGAAGGCTTATAGGTTTATTTTGAAAAGGACTTGAGCTTAAGTCCTATGGCTGGAGAGTAAAAATAGATGATGATAATGTTTAGCAATTAATTAGCAGAGTAGATGATTTTGTGATTAAAGAAAGTTAAAATGTTACTCCAGATTAACTGTTAACTAGAAAACTTTTGCAGTTTTGTGGTTTTATGTAACATCTCTTCAATTAAAGATGATCTTAAGCACTACCAAGCTGAATAAGAGACAAACCTATCAAGCTCCTTGTCAATTCTTTCCTGCTGCTGTTTTAGAAGTTTTATTTCTTCATTAATTCTGAGCTTTTCCCTATAAAGTTAAAGTTTGAAGTTAAATTTTAAAATAATGCAGGCATTACTAATTGGGAAAGAATAAATCAACAATTTACTGATATACACGTGTTAGTAAAAGCCCTCTACAAACCAATTCATTCCCTCCCTATGCACTATTTAGTGTAAAGAACCCCTCAGCACATTCCCTGTTACAAACATATGCCAAAGGTATCACCCACAACACCTGAGTACAGCTGGACTCCACCTTCTGCTACCACAGGGGCCCTCTAGAAAGGTGTCCATCCGTTTTTCCCACTAAGCACAGGAAGTCTAAGGGATATGTGTGTGTGGACGTACACATGCGTCTGTGGGTGGGTGGGCAGGAGACGGGAATGGGGACCCTTGGAAAGCAGGGGCGCAGGCTTTTAGATCTGCCCGCTGGATAGGACATAACTGGTGGTCCTCCATTTACTTCTCTTGGAGGTGCTCCTTGGACAGCAGGAGGCACCCAAAAGGGAGGATCATCCTTTCTCCCCTTAAAGGCAATGACATCTCAAGGCAGTAACCTTGACAGCATGGATAGAAGAACTGGACCCTGCCCATTTGTTCTTGTAAAAATTGATGGATATTCTCTCATTAACCCATTCCTAGCTTCCTAGCACATAAGATTACCATGACTGACCACAAGCAATTATTTTATAAATTATTATGAATAACTGCAAATGTTCCCCCAAGAAAACATTTCAGGAAGGACTTTGCTGTCTTGATTTCCTTGCTTGACACCAGCCCAGCTGCCACCCCAGCTCCAGGGAATTCCTTCCACTGCAGGGAATTTTTCTGCTAGTCTTCCAGGGCTTATCTTTGTAAATGGACGATACTCCAGTCTCCATTCCCTGGAGCTCTTGCCTCTTCCTGTTGGGGTGCACCCCTCCAGTCACACCAAGCAAAGCTTCCTTCCTTTCTTCTGTCCCTCTCACTTGCCATGGCTCCATGGTTACAACATACACCCTTGACACTTACCTGAAAAGAATCTCTGAGTCTATAAGATGCTCAGACATGACTCTCCTCATCATTAAGGAACTTAGTTTAGATGATTTCTCTGATTGTTTCCAGTTCTAAAAAAGTATTATTTTATATTTAACAATAGTATAGCATCAACTTACATCCTAAAATCCTTTTGGTTCCTTGCAAATTGTCTTTTTGCCTCCTTTATAACATCACGGTATGTTGGAGCAGGTAGTGTGCTAGGCTTATTATTAAGGAATGATTTTCAATTAGGAACATTTGGGAAGTAAACAGTACCCTTCACAGAGGAACCAAGGGGACCGTGTGACCTTCACTTTTCAGTAATGAAGAGTCTCAAGTATAAACATGAATATTATGTCTGGAGTTACACTCAGAGGACTGAAAGAAGAAAACATCACTTTAAACTTGTGTCCCATTATCTCAACCACAGCAACCATAGGGCACTATGATTTAATAGTTTCATAAATCCTGTAATTACCTTTTGTATGTGTTTGTTTTAAAAGCAGCAACTTGTTAAAGGTAAATATTAAAAATTACCAAAATATTAAAAATGTACCAAAATTCATTTTTTTCTTATTTATTCATTTTCGAGACAGGGTCTTGCTTTGTCACCCAGGCTGGAGTGTGGTAACATGATCATAGTTCACTGTGACCTCAAACTCCTGGGCTCAAAGGAATCCTCCTGCCTCAGCTTCCTGAGTAGTAGACAGTTTCTCGCTATCTTGCCCAGACTGGTCTTGAACTTCAAACTCCTGGGCTCTAGCAATCCTCCTGCCTTGGCCTCCCAAAGTATTGGGATTACAGGTGTGAGCCACCACACCCAGCTTTCATTTTTACATATACTGAGAACCTTAAAGACTCTTTAATTCTAAGAGGCTTTGGGGGCAACTGGCAGCATGCGTGGCTGCCTCAGTTAGCCTGGCTTCTGCCATCTTCCCAGAAGAAAGGTGGTAATCAGAATGTCCAAGTATGTTGCTAATGAAGCTGGATTCCTCTGTCCTGTCTGTTTCTGGTGCAGTCTGTGGATATGTCCTAACCTTGGCCTTAACCCATGCCTGATCTGGCAAAACAGACACTTCCCTTTGAAGTGGCAATTGGCCAGTATTGGCCAATATTAGCAAGGAGACAGCTCCTCAGCTTGTGTTAAATGAAGACCTTAGCCTCAGTGTTACACTAGGAGCTCTTAAACCTCTGCCATCACTAAGATATAGGGGATGAACTGTCCTCTTACAGCCCCACTCCCATTGTGAAACAAACTTCAGTATTACCTTTCTCTGAATATAGTTTGCCCATTTTTAGAAAACTTTATTTTCCATTTCAAGGCTGTTCCTGATGCTCATTTTATTTATTTTTCACTAAGTATTTTATTCAATTTATTTAAATAATTTATTTATTTTTCCCTTGGTAAGTACTTTCTAAAAAATAATTTCAACTTTTATTTTAGATCCAGGGGTTACATGGGCAGGTTTGATACATGGGTATATTTCACGATATTGAGGTTTGGGGTCTGAATGATCCTGTCATCCAGGTAGTGAGCACAGAACATGATAGATAGTTTTTCAACACTTGCTCCCCTCCCTTCCCTTCTCTTACAGTATGCAGTGTCTATTGTTGACACGTTTATGTCCATGAGTACCCAATATTTAGCTCCCACTTACAGTTAGAACATGTGGTATTTGGTGTTATTTACTTAGGATAATGGCCTCCATCTGCATTCATGTTGCTGCAAAGGACATGAGTTTGTCCTTTATTTATGACTATGTAGAATTCCATGGTGTATATGTACCACATTTTCTTTATCCAGTCTGCTGTTGATGGGGATCTACGTTGATTCCATGTCTTTGCTATTGTGAATAGTGCTGCAATGAACATATGAGTACATATGTCTTTTTGGTGGAATAATTTATTTTTCTTTTGAGTATATACCCAGTAATGGGACTGCTGGGTTGAACGGTAGTTCTGTTTTAAGTTCTTTGAGAAATCTCAACTACTTTTGACAGTGGCTGAACTAATTTACGTTCCCACCAACAATGTATAAGCTTTCCTTTTCTCTGCAGCCCCATCAGCATCTATTGTTTTTTGACTTTTTAATAATAGTCATCCTGACTGGAGTGAGATGATATCTCATTGTGGTTTTCGTTTGCATTTCTCTGCTGACGAGTGATGCTAAGCATTTTTGCATATGTTTGTTGGACACTTGCAATGTCTGTTCATATCATTTACCCACTTTTTTTTTTTTTTTTTTTTTTTTTTTAGTATTATACTTTAAGTTCTGGGATACATGTGCAGAACATGCAGGTTTGTTACATAGGTATACATGTGCCATGGTGGTTTGCTGCACTCATCAACCTGTCATCTACATTAGGTATTTCTCCTAATGCTATCCCTCCCACAGCCCCACCCCCTCAACAGGCCCCCTGATGTTCCTGTCCCTGAATCCATGTGTTCTCATTGTTCAATTCCCACTTATGAGTGAGAACATGCAATGTTTGGTTTTCTGTTCTTGTGTTAGTTTGCTGAGAATGATGGTTTCCAGCTTCATCCATGTCCCTGCAATGTTTTTTATGGCTGCATAGTATTCCATGGTGTGTATGTGCCACATTTTCTTTATCCAGTCTATCACTGATGGACATTTGGGTTGGTTCCAAGTCTTCGCTATTGTGAACACTGCCGCAATAAACATACGTGTGCATGTGTCTTTATAGTAGAATGATTTATAATCCTTTGTGTATATACCCAGTAATGGGATTGCTGGGTCAAATGGTATTTCTCATTCTAGAGCCTTGAGGAATTGCCACATTGTCTTCCATTGTTGTGTCTTTTAATTGGGGGCATTTAGCCCATTTACATTTAAGGTTAATATTGTTATGTGTGAACTGGATCCTGCCATTATGATGCTATCTGGTTGTTTTGCCCGTTAATTATGTAGTTTCTTTATAGCATTGATGGTCTTTACAATTTGGTATGTTTTTGCAGTGCCTGGTACCGGTTGTTCCTTTCCATGTTTAGTGCTTCTTTCAGCTCTTGGAGGGCAGGCCTGGTGGTGACAAAATCTCTCAGCATTTCCTTGTCTGTAAAGATTTTATTTCTCCTTCACTTATGAAGCTTAGTTTGGCTGGATATGAAATTCTGGGTTGAAAATTCTTTTCTTTAAGAATGTTGAATATTGGCTCCCAATCTCTTCTGGTTTGTAGGGTTTCTGCAGAGAGATCCGCTGTTAGTCTGGTGGGCTTCCCTTTGTGGGTAACCCAACCTTTCTCTCTGGCTGCCCTTAACATTTTTTCCTTCATTTCAACCTTGGTGAATCTGACAATTATGTGTCTTGGGGTTGCTCTTTTTGAGGAGTATCTTTGTGGTGTTCTCTGTATTTCCTGAATTTGAATGTTGGCCTGCCTTGCTAGGTTGGGGAAGTTCTCCTGGATAATATCCTGAAGAGTGTTTTCCAACTTGGTTCCATACTCTCCATCACTTTCAGGTACACCAATCAATTGTAGATTTGGTCTTTTCACATAGTCCCATATTTGTTGGAGGCTTTGTTCGTTTCTTTTCATTCTTTTTTTCTCTAATCTTGTCTTCTTGCTTTACTTCATTGAGTTGATTTTCAGTCTCTGATATCCTTTCTACCGCTTGATCAATTCAGCTATTGATACTTGTGTATGCTTCACGAAGTTCTCATGCTGTGTTTTTCAGCTCCGTCAGGTCACTTATGTTCTTCTCTAAACTGGTTATCCTAGTTAGCAATTCATCTAACCTTTTTTCAAGGTTCTTAGCTTGCTTGCATTGGGTCAGAACATAACTCCTTTAGCTCGCAGGAGTTTGTTATTACCCACCTTCTGAAGCCTACTTCTGTCAGTTTGTCAAACTTATTCTCTGTCCAGTTTTGTTCCCTTGCTGGCAAGGAGTTGTGATTCTTTAGCAGAGAAGAGGCATTCTGGTTTTTGGAATTTTCAGTCTTTTTGCGCTGGTTTCTCCCCATCTTCATGGATTTATGTACCTTTGGCCTTTGAAGTTGGTGACCTTTGGATGGGGTCTCTGAGTGGACATCCTTTTTGTTGATGTTGATATTATTCCTTTCTGTTTGTTAGTTTTCCTTCTAACAGTCAGGCCCCTCTGCTGCAGGTCTGCTGTAGGTCCGCCCCAGACCCTGTTTGCCTGGGTATCACTGGCAGAGGCTGCACAACAGTAAAGATTGCTGCCTGTTCCTTCCTCTGGAAGCTTCGTCCCAGAGGGGCACCCGCCAGATGCCAGCCAGAGCTCTCCTGTAGGAGGTGTCTGTTGGCCCCTACTGGGAGGTGCCTCCCAGTCAGGATACCCAGGTGTCAGGGACCCACTTGAGAAGGTAGGCTGTCCCTTATCAGAGCTCTAACGCTGTGCTGGGAGATCCGCTGCTGTCTTTAGAGCTGCCAAGTATGGACGTTTAAGTTTGCTGAAGCTGTGCCTACAACCGCCCCTTGCCCCACGTGCTCTGTCCCAGGTAGGTGGGGGTTTTATCTATAAGTCCCTGATTGGGGCTGGTGCCTTTTTTTCAGAGATGCCCTGCCCGTAGAGGAATGAATCTAGAGAGGCAGCAGCGGCCTTGCTGAGCTGCGGTGGGCTCCACCCAGTTCGAACTTCCTGGAGGCTTTGTTTACACTGTGCGGGTAAAACTGCCTACTCAAGCCTCAGCAATGGTGGACACCCCTCCCCCCACCAAGCTTGAGGGTCCCAGGTTGAGCTCAGACTGCTGTGCTGGCACGAGAATTTCAAGCCAGTGGATCTTAACTTGCTGGGCTCAGTGGGGGTGGGACCCGCTGAGCCAGACCACTTGGCTCCCTGGCTTCTGCCCCCTTTCCAGGGGAGTGAACTGTTCTGTCTCACTGGTGTTCCAGGTGCCACTGGGGTATGAAAGAAAACTCCTGTGGCTAGCTTGGTGTCTACCCAAACAGCCGCCCAGTTTTGTGCTGGAAACCCAGGGCCCTGGTGGTATAGGCTCCAGAGGGGATTCCTGGTCTGCAGGTTGCGAAGACCATGGGAAAAGCGCAGTATCTGGGCTGGAGTACACGGTACAGTCCCTAATGGCTTCCCTTGGGTGGGAGAGGGAGTTCCCCGGCCCCTTGTGCTTCCTGGGTGAGGCAGTGCCCCGCCCCCCCCCTCCCCCCCCCGCTTTGCCTCGCCCTCCTTGGGCTGCACCCACTGTCCAACCAGTCCCAATGAGATGAACCAGGTACCTCAGTTGGAAATGCAGAAGTCACCTGTCTTCTGTGTCAATCTTGCTGGAAGCTGCAGACCAGCGCTTTTCCTATTAGGCCATCTTGCCAGCAAAGTCCTTGCCCACTTTTTAATGGGGCTATTTATTATTTGCTTGTTCAGTTCTTTAAGTTCCTTACAGATTCTGGATATAAGAACTTTGTTGGATGCATAGTTTGTGAATATTTTCTCCCATTCTGTAGATTGTTTATTGACTACGTTGATGTTTTATATTGCTGTGCAGAAGCTCTTTAGTTTAATTAGGTCCCACTTGTCAATTTTTGTTTTTGTTGCATTTGTTTTTGGGGACTTAGTCACAGATTATTTCTCAATGCCAATGTACAGAATGGTGTTTTCTAGGTTTTCTTCTAGGATTCTTATAGTGTAAAGTCTTACATTTAAATATTTAATCCATTTTGAGTTAATTTTTGTATATGATGAAAGGAAAGGGTCCAGTTCCAATCTTTGGCATATGGCTGGCCAGCTATCCCAGTACCATTTATTGAGTAGGAAGTCCTTTCCCCATTGCTTGTTTTTGTTGACTTTTTTGGAGATCACATAGTTATAGGTGTGTGGCTTTATTTCTGAGTTCTCTATTCTGTTTCATCAGTCTATGTGTCTGTTGTTGTACCAGTACCATGCTGTTTGGGTTACTGTAGCCTTGTAGTATAGTTTGAAGTTGGGTAATATGATGCCTTCAGCTTTGTTCTTTTTGCTTAGGATTTTTTTTGGCTATTTGGGCTGTTTTGGTTTTAGAATAGTTTTTTTCTAATTCTGTGAAAAATTACATTGGTAATTGGATAGAAATAGCATTGAATCTGTAAATTGCTTTGGGTAGTATGGCAAGTTTAACAATATTGATTCTTCCAACCCATGAGCATAGGATGTTTTTTCATTTGTTTGTGTCACCTATGATTTCTTTCCACAGAATTTTCTAGTTTTCTTTGTAGAGATCTTGCACCTCCTGGGTTAGATGTACCTGTGATTACAGGTGTGTGCCACCATGCCTAATTTTTGTATTTTTAGTAGAGATGAGGTTTCACCATGTTGCCCAGGCTGGTCTCAAACTCTTGAGCTCAACTGATTTGCTTACTTCAATCTCCCAAAGTACTGGGATTACAGGCTTGAGCCACTGTGTCTGGCTGAGATCTTTCTAACTTTTTGAGGTAAGCATTAGTGCTATAAACTTTTGTCTTAACATGGTTTTTGCTGCATCCCAGAGATTTTGGTATGTTCTGGTTCTGTTTTCATTTCTTTTAAATATTTTTTTCCTTTCTGCCTTAATTTCATTGTTTACAGTCAGGCAGGGGCAATTTGTTTGATTTTCATTCAATTGTGTGGTTTTGGGAAATCTTTTTGGTATTGATACCTATTTTTATTCCAAGAGTATGGTTGATAAGAGTTTGGTTTTTTTGAATTTATCAAAACTGCTTTATGGCCGAGCATGTGGTTAATATTAGAGCATGTTCTGTGTGCAGATGATAGCAATGTATTTTCTGTGGTTGATGGGTGAAGTATTTTGTAGGTATCTCTTATGTCCTATTGGTTAAGTGTCTAAATCAAGTCCTGAGTTTTTTTGTTGGGTTCTGCCTCGATGATCTGCATTATGTTGTCAGTACGGTGTTGAAGTTCCCCGTCCCATTATTGTGTGACTATTTCTTTTTGTATGTGTAAAAGTAGTTGTTTTATGAATCTGGGTGATCCAATGCTGGGTGCATATATATTTAGGATAGTTAAGTTTCCTGGTTGAATTGAACTTTTTATCATTATGTAATACCCTTTGTCTTTTTTTGACTGTTGTTGGTTTAAAGTCTGTTTTATCTGGTATAAGAATAGTGACTCCTGCTCTTTTTTGTTTTCCATTTATGTGATAGAACTTTCTCCAGTCCTTTAATTTGAGCCTAGGGGTGGGTGTTGTTACTTGTAAAAAGGGTCTCTTGAAGACAGCAGATGGACTGATCTTGTTCTTTTATCCAACTTGCAACTCTGTGCCTTTTCAATGGAGCATTTAGACTGTTTACATTCAAGGTTATAATTAATATGTGAGGCTTTGGTGCTATCGTGAAGTTGTTAGCTGGTTGCTTTGTAGTTTCTATTGTGTCATTGGTTTATAGTATCTGTGGCTATATATTCAAGGGTGTTTCTGTGGTAGAAGGTATCCTCCTTTGTCTTCCCTTTTAGAACTCCCTTAAAGATCTCTTATGAGACAGGTCTAGTGGCAATGAATTCCCTTAGTGCTTGCGTGTCTGGAAGATTTTATTTCTCCTTGCTTATGAAGCTTAGTTTGGTGGGATATTAAATTCTTGGTTAGAATTTCTTTTCTTTAAGAATGCTGAAAATAGGCCCCCAATCTCTCCTGGCTTATAAGGTTTTTGCTGAGAAGTCTGCTGTAGCCTGAAGGTGTTCCCTTTATCTGGCCTTTTTCTCTAGCTGCTTTTAAGATTTTTTCTTTAGCACTGACCTTGGAAAGTCTGGTGAGTATATGCCTTGGTGATGTTCATTTTGTATAGTATCTCACAGGTGTTCTCTGAATTTCTTGAATCTGGTTGTCTACCTCTCTAACAAGATAACAAGATTAGGGACACTTTTTGAATTATTCCTTCAAATATGTTTTCTGTGTTGTATACTTTTTCTCCTCTCTCAGGAATGCCAATAATTTATAGGTTTGGTCACTTTACATAATCCCATATTTCTCAAAGATTTTGTTTATTTTTCTTAATTCTTTTTTTAATTTTTTGTCAGACTTGGTTATTTTGAAAGACTGGTCTTCAAGCTCTGAGGTTTTTTCTTCTGCTTGGAACAGTCTATTGATAAAACTTTCAAATGTGTTTTGAAAATTTCAGTTGAGTTTTTGAATTCCAGAAGCTCTGATTGATTTCCTAAGATGTGTATCTCTTACTTCATTTCCTGAATTGATTTAGGAGTTTCTTTGTGTTGACTTTCAACACACTCTAGTGCCTGTGTTTAAGGCTGTTGAGCAAGATGGAAGAGTGACTGTATTTTCACTTACATGAAAATAGCTCTACCCAATACGATTTTATTTGTTGCCTGGCAGAGGCCATCCCAGGAAGTTTCTTCCCAGTTAAGGCCTCATTTTGGGATGAGATTTGTTTCCATTGTGTTCCTGAGGGCAACTCATTTTACTCCAGGAGAGAAATGTAATAGTGATGTAGGTTGTATTCAAACAGTAACTAACTGAATGGCCAATTTATCCACTGGAATTTCCTGCTTTCAACTTATTGTTCTGGCAACCTGTAGTCTGAAAGACAGCATTGTCTTCAGGCATCACATGATATCCATGAGATCTGATCATACTACACAAATTACCCTGCATTCAGGAATCTCCTACATGATATTGCTGGAATAAGTGTCCATATGAACTACAGTTTTGCTGATATGAATTAATTCTGCATGGTATTATTTAAAAATAAAACATCCTTAGGCTGAATCCAGGTTACTTTCAAATTTTGGCTTTGAGATTTCATTCTGCATAGTAATATTTTTTATCATTTAATAAACATTCAACATTAACACATTAGTCCTCAAATCTAAAAGGAAAGTAGTGGAAGCCTCATTTTAAATAATTGAAGCAGCGAAAACTAAACCTTATGAAATCTCATATTGATGAATGTTTCAGCATGACTTAAAAATATGATTGTACAAAGAATATTATAGAAGCATTAATGTAATCAAAAGAAAGAAAATTATCATAATCCCATTCTCCAAAAAATAAAAATTATTTTCATTTTTCTGTGTCTTTTCATCTGTTACATACAAATACATATTTTACAATATTGTTATAATGGTATGGTTGCTTTCTTTACCCAACATACTATCATAATTTATGCATTCAAGTTTTATAATAATTATTTTAATGTTTGCAAAAGGTTACACTGAATGTACATACCTAAGGTGCTCTATTTCTCTGGTAATATAGCATGGTACTAACTTTATTGTGTTTCTTTATGTGAAATCACTAGTTTCTCCTCTCATCCCCAATTGTGTGTTCCAATATGACACTTTCCCCACAAGAGCCTAGCGAGGGAGGACTGTAACTCTTTTATCTGAAATCCCTCTGAATTCGAAGGAAAGATAGCCCTGGTCTTGCTTAGCTTGGACTTGGAGCAATACACATAATTGAAAATAGAGGTGGTGGTCCTGCTCATTACATAAACAAGAAGTCTGCAATCTCAGTTATGCCAGGTTTCCATCTTTAGCTTTTTTCCCCACTTTGGCTGTCACAGACTGTGAAGGAGTCTGGCAGCCTTCAAATAAAAGGTTCAGCAATCTTCCTGAAATGACTGAAACTTGAAGATATCAAGTTACTTTTAATGCCCGTCTTACTCCCTCCTGCTACATCAAGTGACTGAACATCTAAAATCTTTTCTGAGTAAAAGCTGCAGAAAATTGAATATTATTCTTCTTGTAGAATGATTAATACAACCAATGATACACTTTTTCTAAAGTATAAATGGTGTTGAGCTGCTTAAACTTTATTTGCATACAGCTATTACCTGCTACTATTTAATTTCTTCCTCAGAGTGCCTGTTAGAACTTCAAAGATTTTATTCTTCTACAAAGTTATTGTGCTCTCTTGAGTATCATTTCCATGATTATTTGTGAGGGAGGTGATGTATTTGTCACTTTGAACAAATTTTGGATTTTCTTTGACTTGTACATTTATTATATACTATTGGTATTGAAATCAAGAATTATGTTTTATTTCTTATAAATTATTAATTTTGAACATATGACTTTATTGAAATGAACTGGGTAGACATACGTTCCTCATAAAGTCATTCTAATTGTAAAATTTGGTCATGGTTGTACATTTGTGCTGTATAATGAAGTGCTGGGCTGCATGATGTTGGTGTTGACTGAAATCTTAGCATTTTCTTGTACAACTCAGTGGTGATGGTTTTCAGTAGATTTCTGTTGAAGTGTGTTAATGAATATCTTAACTTTTATTCTTTTTAGACACTTATAACTATAAATTTTTTCCGAATTAGATAAAACAGAATACTTAGACCATATACATTATGAACAATGGTTATATTCTACTCCTTGGGGATGAATGTGGCAACATGTTTTTCAATTCCACCATCTGAATTGGCCTCATACTTTATATTCCCATGCACTGCTATATGGTAAGCCACTGAATGGAAGATTCACTTGGGGACAAATAAAATAGTCCTTTTCTGGGACTTCACAACAGTGGTTGGGATGTAACAAACTAAGACCTTCTCAACTCAGGACTCTGGGGTCTTTCATCTCCCTTTATAATCACAGAATATTAGAGAAACAAAGGGTTTTGGAAATTGTAGGATCCAATTTAATTAGATTAGAAATGAAGAAACTGAAGCTTCTAGAAGTGAAGTACCTTGCCTTTGAGAGATTGAGTGTGTGTGAGAGACTCAGGAAAAGAATGGCCCAGGGGCAAATTTCGTACTTATCTGCCAAAAGTATTGTCCTAGAATTGAAACCAAGAGGTTAATTTGATCAGGTCTGCCTGCCCTGCTTGCTTTTGGTCACTTGCTTTTGTTATTTTTTTTTTTTTTCCTTTTTCCATGAAGCTGAAAGCCATGCTGCTGAACACGAAACTTAACCTTTACTGGCTGCTTGATAGATACCATCCATAGTTCACCAAAACAACACTTCCGTTGTTTTTCAGAAACTTGGGCCAGCTCCTGTCCAATTCAAACTGGTTGAGACCACCAGCCCTTGAGCTGGGCCTGCGCAAGTGCGCAACAAATGGCCTTTTGACCATGGAGGGCCAAAAACTCTACCCTCAGGTTGTGCTAACACGATTTTCTATACATATGTCCTACAAAATGCTATGAAGCCTGACTATGCTTGCACAGAATGAACCTGTTACTTCATTTTCCCCATTGCCAATCACCTTTCCCCACACCTAAGGCCACCCCCATTTCCCTAACCCAAAAATATCCCTAAGCCTTATTTTAGGGGAAGTAGATGTGAGAGCTGTTCTCCTGCCTCCTTGCTTGGCAGCTTTGCCAATAAATCTTTTCTCTTTTGCAAAACCTGTGTCACAGTGATTGATTCACTGTGCATGGGCAGAACAGACCTGGACCTCGGTGATAACAGAATGAAGCTTCAGGAGGCTTTGCTGTCTATCTTGTATCCCTTAGAGATAGTCTTTGGATTATCCTCAGAGTTGTTTCTGAGCATCTCAGGCTTAAGGCGAAAGTGCCCATTATACACATAATGCTAATTGTATAACAAGTAAAAGGAAGCTAGGCAGCAAGCTGTGGCCAGAATCTCCTACTTTATACACTAGAATGCACTTAGTTCTTAATCCTAAAAACTACATTCTTGAAATAAGCTTATTAGCATGTGGCCTAAACTGATCTTAGAGCAGTTATATTCTGTTTAATGTTTACCTTTGCCTATAAGTAAAATATTTTAATGTTAGATTTGTAGTTTACCCAACATCCATGTATCAAAAACATTTTTTAAAAGGTTATAAGCACATGTGACTTACTCTATAGGAAATAACATCATTGTTGGAATCTTACCCAGATTCTAAATGGCCTAGAATTATATGTAAAATAGGATTGCAGTTCTAGTAAGTTTCACTATTTAATACATCATTATCAGCAGTTTTGTAGTATACTCAGGAAATTGAGGGAAGGGCTATTGAAAACATTAACACTTATTCAAGTAAAATAATTCAACAAAATTGCCAGGACTTGTATTAGGCATGGAGACACAAAAATAAGTAGAGACATGGTGTTTTGCCCTTAAGAAATTAGTAAGAATAAGAAGTGACAACATTTTTGAAGTAGGAGACAGAAGAACTATAAAATTTAGGAATAAAGACTGTAACAGCTTAGTGATCTATGCTTTTAGTGCAGGGTTGTTTAAAAGTAGATGAAGGTGCTTCTCCTTTCTACTATAGCATTCTATGTATAGGACAGATTATTGATGACCCTATTTCCCTGTCTTTGCTATTAGATTGCTTAGCACCCTCATACTAGTATCAGTGCTGGTATGTAACAGGTATTTGGTAAAACAAACAGTAAATGTTTACTGTTCTTTGCATACTGAACGAGTATTCTTATTGGTATCTAGGTGCAGTTGAGTTATAGATTTCATCCTGAGAAGCTTAGTTATTATCATAAAGTTAATTAGTTTTTGCTACTTTGTTAAAGAAGTCAGAGAAGTATTGATAACCTTCAATGAAAACTTCCATTAAAATGGATAACATTGGCCAGGCATGGTGGCTCACGCCAGTAATCTCAACACTTTGGGAGGCTAAGGTGGGTGGATCACCTGAGGTCAGGAGTTCAAGACCAGCCTGGCCAACATGGTGAAACCCCGTCTCTACTAAAAATATACAAATTAGCTGGGCGTGGTGGCAGATGCCTGTAGTCCCAGCTACTCGGGAGGCTGAGGCAGGAGAATTGTTTGATCTTGGGAGGTGGAGGCTGCAGTGAGCTGAGATTGCACCATTGCACTCCAGCCTGGGTGACAAGAGCAAAACTCTGTCTCAAAAAAAAAAAAAAAAAAAAAAAGGCTAACATAAAAAGTGTTAGTGCTTCAAATGATCAGCTTTAGTTATCTGGAAAATTTAATTATGGGCCACAGATCACTCCCTGATAAGGCTGGATAAACAAGTTGTTGATTTACAGAAATTCCAGCATTTTTATAATTTATGTCCTTTAACAGAGACAGCTCCAAGGGTTGCTTTGAAGGACTTTGGCTATTCCCATTATTTTCAATCACCCCTCTACCCTCCACAAAGCTATTCCAAATAAATATACAAACTTCGGGTTTGCTTTGCAAATACATGTTCAAGACAAGTTCCCTAGCTCTCTGCTTGAAACTTAATTGAATATCTAAGTCCTTCATATAAAGATAGAACTTCTGGAACTCCCACTTTGAAATTTGATATATCACTAAAAAAACAGAAAACAGACACATGTGAGGCAACCACCAAAAGGAGCCAATTTCGTTTTTCCTTCAATAAACAGGACTTTAGCTCTAAACTAGAATATAGGTTTCTACTTTCTGAAATTTTGGAGCACCTCACAGAATCACTCGGAGCCAGAGGCTGGAAGTGATTTTTGTGGGGCAAATGCATGGTAATAGAGTAGGTTTTGTTTACTTTCTCCTTTGTCTGCCCACCTCCTAAGAGAGAAGTAGGTTGGGTGAACACAAAATTATTATCTGATCAATATTTACTTGAGGTATTGCTTTTGAGTCCTAAATTCCAAGCATTCAAAAGGTTTGGCTTTTCCACCTGATTTTATTGACCAACAATATTTATAGCAAGAAGGCTTTTACCCCAGCCTTTGATATTCACTTAAACTATTTGAAAATGAAGTTTTCTTCTCTTATTTGATACAAATGTGGCTTTACCACATTTCTCCTAAATTGAACAAACCAACCTATTACTAACTCTCCAGAATGAGAATTCATATTTCCCCCCTTATTCTTCCGTTGAGTCATGTTTATAATCTAAAGCCCAAATTGTGCTTTAAAAAATGATGTAACTCACTCCCTGGAACCTGATTACCTAAAGCAACTGAAGTCTTTTATTTAATTCACTAGTTAGTGTTAATAACAAGTTGGTGAATTGTAGTCTGTATCTTGTATATTTTATTAAAAGAAAATCCCTAACTAGAACTTAAACTGAGTTTGTAAGAAAAAATAGCCAGATATTACAATTTTTTAATTGTCTCTGGCTCAAGGTGGCTGACAATACTTACAATACTCATACTCATTCATGTGAAACAAAACTCCTTTGTTCATCAAGTTCTTATAAAAATTATTAATTTCATTTTCATTTTAAAACTCATCCTCCCCCTCTTAACTGGCAGAGTTTATAAAAGGAATAAACTAGCAATTTACTCATCAAAGTTTAGAACAGCTTCAAGTGTAAGCCATCAAAAATAAAATAAAATGTCTTTCTCTAAGAGCAAAATTTAAATACTTGATATATCCTTTATTTTACTATGCCTTGCCAATATTTTTATGCTTATTCTCTATTACATAAGTTTTAAATGTATTTTTAAAAATCTGAAATTGGTTCCTTTATGGAATCCCTGGGAGTCAAGTAGGGGAGTTATTAGGTTATTTTAGGTATTTGATATATGGTAGCATCAAAGGGAATTGAGCAGAGATTCACTGATCAGAAATATTCTAACTGTAAAAAGGCAATTGCAGACTTTTATACAGAGGTAGGTTACCAATAGTCATTGACCTCTACTGACTTCTGGGCTTATACAGAGAGTGACTAGCTTTTTTCTATGGGTTGAAGCCATGTGTATGGACCAAAACTCTGCATGATGCTGACAGTATTTTTCTGTAAGCAAAAACGATAAAAAACAAAACAAAACAAAACACAAAATAACCCGAAACTAGAATGAAAGGGGAAAAAAAATCCAACCAAAACAAAATGAGAGGGAGAATTTAAGAATTTAGATGGGAAATTAACTTTGTTGGTAACTTTGTTGGATGGATGAATAAGGTAATATGTAAACTCTTAAGCCCCTAAACTTCTAAAATTAGAAGGCTGCACGTGACAAAGTAAAATACAGTTCTGTATGTGTTGGCTTTCTGATATCCCTAGGTGGTATATCAATTTCTATAAAATAAATTAAACTTTTCTTCTTACTCAAGGCAGTGTTGTTCATAGTACTTTCTGTGACAATGGAAATGTCTGACATTTGCATTGTCCAATAGTCACATATGGTTAATGAGCACTTAAAATGTGGCGAGTGTATCAGATTAACTGAATTTCTACTTATACTTAATTTCATTAATTTAAATGACCACACATGGCTAGTGGCTACCATACTGGACAGTGCAGGTCTAGAATGATGACAAACATCATAAATACCTGTGTGCACATACTTATATTTCTTTAAATTTTGCTCTAAATAATCTATATTGCATTTTGGGTAATGTAAAAGTATCATTGACTGGATCACATACTAATTCTCGATCTGTTAAACACTGTTAAGTTTTTACTGGGAGATGCTACCAAGGTTATAAGAATAGTGGGGGAAAGCAAATAGTTTAAACTGTCTTTTATGGGCTAGTTCCACAAAACTGAGCTTAAAAGTAAGAACAAATGGTTCATCTCTTAAAACAACAGATTCAGAACCCCTATGAGGGTACTGTGATTTGCCTTTTCCCGTAATCTAATTTTTGACCTTGGTGGGTCTTCCTGCACCATTTGCCTTTTATAATCCCTAACACACAGGAAGCTTCTCTCTTATTTGCTCCAAGGTGAATATGACTTTTCCTTTCCTAACAGTGCTCTCTAAGATATGCGAGCCAAAGACAAAGTGAGCTGGGCCAATGGTAGGGATAAATGGGAGTGAATAAGTACAAAGGAGAGACTGCTGATAGGCTCATCCTAATCCACTGCATGGAACAGCTTTCCCCGTGTGCATCACATTCCCCCTTAAAAGCACGTTGTTAAGGCCACCATGTACCACTGAGCACATATATGCTACACAGTTCTTAGAGGGACCACACTGGCCAGTGCATAACCTACTCAACCATACGCTGTGGTTTGAGCTCTACAATCAATGAATTTTTCTCATTCTTTCCTATATAAACTATCCATTGTGTAGATCATTTAGTTTTGTTAGCCTTGTTTGCACTTATTTGAATTCAGGTAGTAGAGAAATAAGAACTGCATAGGCACAGTGTGTGATTATACACTGTGCTTCTATACAAATAAAATATTTTCAGTTTCAAATGTCTTCCACACAATGCAAAAATGACTACTAGCTATGGAATTGTTAGTTTAATTCAGTACTTAGCCACTCCTTTTAGATCATGTTAAAGTCTTTCCTGGAAGATACGGAAAGAAGATACGGCCAATTCCGCCCAAACTCTGGAGCATGCAACTCCAAGTCATGACAGCAAATGAGATCTTACCATAGGACAATGTTGATTTTTTTCTAAAACATGTAATTCCCATATAGTTTTTAAAAATCTGCTTCCATCTAATCGACTATTGGAGATCTACAAGAAAAGTAGTGAGCAATCAATGGATTGTTTTCTCTGTAATGGTGAGAACTGAAACTAACACATACACCGTCCCAAGTTGGGTTTTCCGGAAAGCGGACCTAAAGACAAAGATCAGCGTGTAGGAGGCTTATTTGAGTGCTCTTGGAATCAATACCTGTGGTTTCAAGGGAATAAAGTAACATTGGACAGACAGAAAAGTTGAACCCTGATAACAGTCCCAATGGATGTCTCAGCTGACCCTATAAGGGAGGTCTGAAGCTCAGATGACCCTTCAGAATTGTTCTGAATTGGGGCTAAGGAGCCAGATCTTTGTACATCACCTTAGTCAGTGGATGTGGGCTAGCTTGGGAAGGGAATATGGTTTAGTTGTCTATTGCTATATAACAAACAACCTCAAAAACTTAGGGGCATAAAGCAACTCTAATTTATATTATTACCTCTGTAGTTCTAGGTGTTGACTGAGCTCAGCTAGGCTGTTCTAAGATGGAGTCTATCATGTAGTTGAGGTCAGTTGTTGACTGGGACTGGAGCCATCTCAAAGATTTCCTCATTTATGTGTCTGGGGCTGATACTTGCTGTGGCTCATCCTCAGCTGTGACTGCTAACTGGAACACAGACTCTCCATATGGTCTGAACTTGTTACTCATATAGCAGCTAGTTCCAAGAGCAAGCATCCCAAAAGCAAGAGTGAAACAGGCAGAAGCTGTAAAGCCATTTAGTACCTTGTCTCGAAGTCACAAAGTCAAACTCTAATGGTTGAGGAATTACAAAAGACTGTTCAAACTCAAGGGCAGTGAACATTGATGCTATCTCTTGATGGAAGAATTGGTGAGGTCACATTGTAACAGGAGCATGTGGGAAGGGCAATATTGTTATGGCCTCTTGAAAAATATAATCTGCCATAGGACTTATGTTAAGTAAGTCCACTATCAGCAGCTGAGGAAATCCTTGTAGGGTATTGGTAGCCAAGGGCCTTCTGCCTTCAGTATCATCCCACCCCAGCAGCTGAAGGATGTCTTTTATTTTTCTTTATCTAGGCTTCAGAGCGCCTACCATATGTATTTTCCTATTCTGTGTTATGCATAATTTTTTTGTCCCTATGTTTAACAATATTGAGAGTAAGCAAAAATAACTTAGTTACTTGCTCCAGAACATCCTTTTCCCTAAAGATAAGACAGTGAACAAATTAAAATAGCTTGGTCATCACAGCGCACTTCAAGACCCTTGGTCCACTGGTCCCTCCAATCCAAAATTATAATATCAAAACCTCTACCCAATCCCAAGCAGTTCCCTATCTTGCAAAGCCTGCCTCAAAAATCACCTACCTCAGTCCTTAAAACCCCATAATATCCTCCTGGAATTTCTTGGTTTTGAGACATTCCTAAAGCTCTGTTACACTGGTGTTCTGTCTTACTGCAGTGTATTAAACTTAGCTTTGCTTGGTCAACAGGTTATTCTGGTAGTCTTTTAGGGGACTATGCACAGACAATGGCAAAAACAGTGTCTAAGCATTCTTTCTCTTAGTGTAGCTTCAGAAGAACTTGGTTCTATGGTGAGTTGATGAAATGAGAACGTCATCATTTCAGGGAAAAATGGAAATAGTTGCCAATTCAGCCACTGATAGTGTGGAAAGTCAAATTCCTCCAACAAAATCATAGGGACTTGAAATTTATTTAGTCCAATTCATCTGCTTAATATGAATGGAGAAGAGGCTCAAATTTGGGCTCAAATTAGAGTAAAATTTTTTCCTATACTGCTGAAGAGTCCTCTTCAGTGCAATCAAGGGTTTTATGTTTCCTCTCTGATCCTCATCTTCCTCTTCCCTTCGCCTGTTTGGGATCACACTGTGTCTCTGTTTTTCCTCTTTTCAGACAATTAGAGGAAATATCAATTCTCCATCATATTTTGGCAGAGGAAGTCTTTTATCTCTACGTTGCCACAGGATTTTTAGGCCTGTATGTTTTGAACAAAAATATACTTTTAAGATAGCTCACATTTCATCAAGTTAACGTGTGCTTTCCATTATCTGAAAAATCTCATTAACAGATAATTTTATGACATTGACACCCAATTTTTGAAGTTGAAGGAAAATAAGGGTTTTTTTTTTTTTTTGTAAAATCTCATAAATAATAGAACAAACTTTCTTGCAGTATAGGCTTTCCTATTCACTTCGCCCAGAGTATTTTAGAAGGACTGAGGGAAAAAAGATATTTTACCTTGTATATATTGGAAAAATAACTAGATGGGAGGGTTCTGGATTAGTTGTTTTTTTCAGATATTTGTATTTCAGCTAATTTATCCTTTTAAAAATGTGATTGCATTACTAGGTTCTTACCATATGTTAATTAAGTAGTCAATGACTTGAAATGAAAAATACAATTGATAGTTACTTTAGTAATAACTTACAAGTTGTTATTCACATATTGGTTAATGGGAAAAATGTGTGTTCATGTGATGAAGATTATTGGAAATCATTATATAAATAATGGTAAAAAGAATACAGAGCTGGTGACACTTCTGGAGTCTCAGAGTTCTTTTTTTCACTGTTGACAATTTTCTTCTCCCACATCACAGATAATTCACAACAGATTATTTCTTTATATAGCTTTTATTTTTATGCTAGGATAAATGCTGATATATCCCACATTATTTTCAATTGTTGAGTTTAAACAAGTCATTCCTGAACACTATTTACATGTTTAAAAAGTCTGTGTATGGGGAGGAGCCAAGATGGCCGAATAGGAACAGCTCCGGTCTACAGCTCCCAGCGTGAGCGACGCAGAAGACGGGTGATTTCTGCATTTCCATCTGAGGTACCGGGTTCATCTCACTAGGGAGTGCCAGACAGTGGGCGCAGGTCAGTGGGTGCGCGCACCGTGCGTGAGCCGAAGCAGGGCGAGGCATTGCCTCACTTGGGAAGCGCAAGGGGTCAGGGAGTTCCCTTTCCGAGTCAAAGAAAGGGGTGACGGACGGCACCTGGAAAATCGTGTCACTCCCACCTGAATACTGCACTTTTCCGACCGGCTTAAAAAACGGCGCACCACGAGATTATATCCCGCACCTGGCTGGAAGGGTCCTACGCCCACGGAGTCTCGCTGATTGCTAGCACAGCAGTCTGAGATCAAACTGCAAGGTGGGCTGGGGGAGGGGCGCCCGCCATTGCCCAGGCTTGATTAGGTAAACAAAACAGTCGGGAAGCTCGAACTGGGTGGAGCCCACCACAGCTCAAGGAGGCCTGCCTGCCTCTGTAGGCTCCACCTCTGGGGGCAGGGCACAGACAAACAAAAAGACAGCAGTAACCTCTGCAGACTTAAATGTCCCTGTCTGACAGCTTTGAAGAGAGCAGTGGTTCTCCCAGCATGCAGCTGGAGATCTGAGAACGGGCAGACTGCCTCCTCAAGTGGGTCCCTGACCCCTGACCCTCGAGCAGCCTAACTGGGAGGCACCCCCCAGCAGGGGCACACTGACACCTCACACGGCAGGGTACTCCAACAGACCTGCAGCTGAGGGTCCTCTCTGTTAGAAGGAAAACTAACAAACAGAAAGGACATCCACACCAAAAACCCATCTGTACATCACCATCATCAAAGACCAAAAGTAGATAAAACCACAAAGATGGGGAAAAAACAGAACAGAAAAACTGGAAACTCTAAAAAGCAGAGCGCCTCTCCTCCTCCAAAGGAACGCAGTTCCTCACCAGCAAAGGAACAAAGCTGGATGGAGAATGACTTTGAAGAGCTCAGAGAAGAAGGCTTCAGACTATCAAATTACTCTGAGCTACGGGAGGACATTCAAACCAAAGGCAAAGAAGTTGAAAACTTTGAAAAAAATTTAGCAGTATGTATAACTAGAATAACCAATACAGAGAACTGCCTAAAGGAGCTAATGGAGCTGAAAACCAAGGCTCGAGAACTACGTGAAGAATGCAGAAGCCTCAGGAGCCGATGCGATCAACTGGAAGAAAGGGTATCAGCGATGGAAGATGAAATGAATGAAATGAAGCAAGAAGGGAAGTTTAGAGAAAAAAGAATAAAAAGAAATGAGCAAAGCCTCCAAGAAATATGGGGCTATGTGAAAAGACCAAATCTACGTCTGACTGGTGTACCTGAAAGTGATGGGGAGAATGGAACCAAGTTGGAAAACACTCTGCAGGATATTATCCAGGAGAACTTCCCCAATCTAGCAAGGCAGGCCAACGTTCAGATTCAGGAAATACAGAGAACACCACAAAGATACTCCTCGAGAAGAGCAACTCCAAGACACATAATTGTCAGATTCACCAAAGTTGAAATGAAGGAAAAAATGTTAAGGGCAGCTAGAGAGAAAGGTCGGGTCACCCTCAAAGGGAAGCCCATCAGACTAACAGTGGATCTCTCGGCAGAAACCCTACAAGCCAGAAGAGAGTGGGGGCCAATATTCAACATTCTTAAAGAAAAGAATTTTCAACCCAGAATTTCATATCCAGCCAAACTAAGCTTCATAAGTGAAGGAGAAATAAAATACTTTACAGACAAGCAAATGCTGAGAGATTTTCTCACCAACAGGCCTGCCTTACAAGAGCTCCTGAAGGAAGCACTAAACATGGAAAGGAACAACCGGTACCAGCCGCTGTAAAATCATGCCAAAATGTAAAGACCATCGAGACTAGGAAGAAACTGCATCAACTAACGAGCAAAATAACCAGCTAACATCATAATGACAGGATCAAATTCACACATAACAATTTAAATGTAAATGGACTAAATGCTCCAATTAAAAGACACAGACTGGCAAATTGGATAAAGAGTCAAGACCCATCAGTGTGCTGTATTCAGGAAACCCATCTCATGTGCAGAGACACACATAGGCTCAAAATAAAAGGATGGAGGAAGATCTACCAAGCCAATGGAAAACAAAAAAAGGCAGGGGTTGCAATCCCAGTCTCTGATACAACAGACTTTAAACCAACAAAGATCAAAAGAGACAAAGAAGGCCATTACATAATGGTAAAGGGATCAATTCAACAAGAAGAGCTAACTATCCTAAATATATATGCACCCAATACAGGAGCACCAAGATTCATAAAGCAAGTCCTGAGTGACCTACAAAGAGACTTAGACTCCCACACATTAATAATGGGAGACTTTAACACCCCACTGTCAACATTAGACAGATCAACGAGACAGAAAGTCAACAAGGATACCCAGGAATTGAACTCAGCTCTGCACCAAGCGGACCTAATAGACATCTACAGAACTCTCCACCCCAAATCAACAGAATATACATTTTTTTCAGCACCACACCACACCTATTCCAAAATTGACCACATACTTGGAAGTAAAGCTCTCCTCAGCAAATGTAAAAGAACAGAAATTATAACAAACTATCTCTCAGACCACAGTGCAATCAAACTAGAACTCAGGATTAAGAATCTCACTCAAAACCGCTCCACTACATGGAAACTGAACAACCTGCTCCTGAATGACTACTGGGTACATAACGAAATGAAGGCAGAAATAAAGATGCTCTTTGAAACCAACGAGAACAAAGACACAACATACCAGAATCTCTGGGATGCATTCAAAGCAGTGTGTAGAGGGAAATTTATAGCACTAAATGCCCACAAGAGAAGGCAGGAAAGATCCAAAATTGACACCCTAACATCACAATTAAAAGAACTAGAAAAGCAAGAGCAAACACATTCAAAAGCTAGCAGAAGGCAAGAAATAACTAAAATCAGAGCAGAACTGAAGGAAATAGAGACACAAAAAACCCTTCAAAAAATTAGTGAATCCAGGAGCTGGTTTTTTGAAAGGATCAACAAAATTGATAGACCGCTAGCAAGACTAATAAAGAAAAAAAGAGAGAAGAATCAAATAGACGCAATAAAAAATGATAAAGGGGATATCACCACCGATCCCACAGAAATACAAACTACCATCAGAGAATACTACAAACACCTCTATGCAAATAAACTAGAAAATCTAGAAGAAATAATGGATAAATTCCTCGACACATACACTCTCCCAAGACTAAACCAGGAAGAAGTTGAATCTCTGAACAGACCAATAACAGGAGCTGAAATTGTGGCAATAATCAATAGCTTACCAACCAAAAAGAGTCCAGGACCAGATGGATTCACAGCCGAATTCTACCAGAGGTACAAGGAGGAACTGGTACCATTCCTTCTGAAACTATTCCAATCAATAGAAAAAGAGGGAATCCTCCCTAACTCATTTATGAGGCCAGCATCATTCTGATACCAAAGCCAAGCAGAGACACAACAAAAAAAGAGAATTTTAGACCAATATCCTTGATGAACATTGATGCAAAAATCCTCAATAAAATACTGGCAAAACAAATCCAGCAGCCCATCAAAAAGCTTATCCACCATGATCAAGTGGGCTTCATCCCTGGGATGCAAGGCTGGTTCAATATACACAAATCAATAAATGTAATCCAGCATATAAACAGAGCCAAAGACAAAAACCACATGATTATCTCAATAGATGCAGAAAAAGCCTTTGACAAAATTCAACAACCCTTCATGCTAAAAGCTATCAATAAATTAGGTATTGATGGGACGTATTTCAAAATAATAAGAGCTATCTATGACAAACCCACAGCCAATATCATACTGAATGGGCAAAAACTGGAAGCATTCCCTTTGAAAAGTGGCACAAGACAGGGATGCCCTCCTCACCACTCCTATTCAACATAGTGTTGGAAGTTCTGGCCAGGGCAATTAGGCAGGAGAAGGAAATAAAGGGTATTCAATTAGGAAAAGAGGAAGTCAAATTGTCCCTGTTTGCAGACGACATGATTGTGTATGTAGAAAACCCCATTGTCTCAGCCCAAAATCTCCTTAAGCTGATAAGCAACTTCAGCAAAGTCTCAGGATACAAAATCAATGTACAAAAATCACAAGCATTCTTATACACCAACAACAGACAAACAGAGAGCCAAATCATGAGTGAACTCCCATTCACAATTGCTTCAAAGAGAATAAAATACCTAGGAATCCAACTTACAAGGGATATGAAGGACCTCTTCAAGGAGAACTACAAACCACTGCTCAAGGAAATAAAAGAGGATACAAACAAATGGAAGAACATTCCATGCTCATGGGTAGGAAGAATCAATATCGTGAAAATGGCCATACAGCCCAAGGTAATTTACAGATTCAATGCCATCCCCATCAAGCTACCAATGACTTTCTTCACAGAATTGGAAAAAACTACTTTAAAGTTCATATGGAACCAAAAAAGAGCCTGCATCGCCAAGTCAAACTTAAGCCAGAAGAACAAAGCTGGAGACATCACACTACCTGACTTCAAACTATACTACAAGGCTACAGTAACCAAAACAGCATGGTACTGGTACCAAAACAGAGATATAGATCAATGGAACAGAACAGAGCCCTCAGAAATAACGCCGCATATCTACAACTATCTGATCTTTGACAAACCTGAGAAAAACAAGCAATGGGGAAAGGATTCCCTATTTAATAAATGGTGCTGGGAAAACTGGCTAGCCATATGTATAAAGCTGAAACTCGATCCCTTCCTTACACCTTATACAAAAATCAATTCAAGATAGATTAAAGACTTAAACGTTAGACCTAAAACCATAAAAACCCTAGAAGAAAACCTAGGCATTACCATTCAGGACATAGGCATGGGCAAGGACTTCATGTCTAAAACACCAAAAGCAACGGCAACAAAAGACAAAATTGACAAATGGGATCTAATTAAACTAAAGAGCTTCTGCACAGCAAAAGAAACTACCATCAGAGTGAACAGGCAACCTACAGAATGGGAGAAAATTTTCGCAACCTACTCATCTGACAAAGGGCTAATATCCAGAATCTACAATAAACTCAAACAAATTTACAAGAAAAAAACAAACAACCCCATCAAATAGTGGGCGAAGGACATGAACAGACACTTCTCAAAAGAAGACATTTATGCAGCCAAAAAACACATGAAAAAATGCTCATCATCACTGGCCGTCAGAGAAATGCAAATCAAAACCACAATGAGATACCATCTCACACCAGTTAGAATGGCAATCATTAAAAAGTCAGGAAACAACAGGTGCTGGAGAGGATGTGGAGAAATAGGAACACTTTTACACTGTTGGTGGGACTGTAAACTAGTTCAACCCTTGTGGAAGTCAGTGTGGCGATTCCTCAGGGATCTAGAACTGGAAGTACCATTTGACCCAGCCATCCCATTACTGGGTATATACCCAAAGGACTATAAATCATGCTGCTATAAAGACACATGCACATGTATGTTTATTGCGTCATTATTCACAATAGCAAAGACTTGGAACCAACCCAAATGTCCAAAAATGATAGACTGGATTAAGAAAATGTGGCACATATACACCATGGAATACTACGCAGCCATAAAAAATTATGAGTTCATGTCCTTTGTATGGACATGGATGAAATTGGAAATCATCATTCTCAGTAAACTATCGCAAGAACAAAAAACCAAACACCGCATATTCTCACTCATAGGTGGGAATTCAACAATGAGATCACATGGACACAGGAAGGGGAATATCACACTCTGGGGACTGTTGTGGGGTGGGGGGAGGGGGGAGGGATAGCATCAGGAGATATACCTAATGCTGGATGACAAGTTAGTGGGTGCAGCGCACCAGCATGGCACATGTATACATATGTAACTAACCTGCACAATGTGCACATGTACCCTAAAACTTATAGTATAAGGAAAAAAAAAAAAAGTCTGTGTATGCATGTGTGATAGTGGGAGCATGTGTTTATAGTAACATTGTACTCATTATGACACTGCATTGAGTTCAGATTTTTCTAAACTGCAACAAAATGTGAATGTTTAAAACTCATGTTAGCAATACAGATATGGCTTATACACTTTTCTTTTTAACGAGACCCATACAGACTACACCAACATTTTGGCTCTGAGTTTTCAATTTTTTAAATAATTTGCATTTTGCATGTTAAAAAAATTATTAAATTTTTGGGTATTCTTTGGTTAGCTTAGTCTCAACACATAAAGGGCTTGAGGTGGCTTATAAAAACATAGACAAAGTATGAAGGGAGAATTAGCAGCTCTAAATACATTTTATCCAAGATTCTGCAGTTTAAAGATATACCATGCATTCAGCTCTAAATCCTAGACATCAAAGTTTTTCTCCTGTTTTACTCATAATTCAAATATCAAGTGACCAAGTTTTTAATAAAACTCCAAAGATCATCCAAAAATTATATTTAAATGTTCTGCTAATGAATTAGTGTACATTAACTAGTAAACAAGTTTATCATCCTTATAAATAAATATACATTTAAAATCATGTCAGAAGACATAAGCACTCCTGTGATGTGAAATTTCATTGACTCCCTCCAGTCCTCTCCATACATACCTCCAGTCTACTCAGTGTTTACATGTGAATCCTTACACATAGACAATAATGTCATCCTCCCTCTTGTGATTTAGGCAAATCACTCCTTATCAATAGAAATATTACCTGTGGGGTTGCGGAATAGGGAGGTTTTGGTTAAAGAGGACAAAGTTTCAGTTAGGAGGGATAAATGATAAGTATTTAAGGTGATGAATATGTTAGCTTGATTCAGTCATTCCACAATGTATACATATATCATAACATCACTTTTTACCCCATAAATATATACAATTATAATTTGTCAATTAAAAAATTAATTTAAAAAACTTAAAAAATATTACCTATGATGCAAATTTTTTTTTAACTTTTATTTTAGGTTCAGGGGTACATGTGGAGGTTTGTTACATAGGTAAATTGATGTTACAGGGATTTGTTGTACTGATTATTTCACCACTCAGGTAATAAGCATAATACCCAGTAGGCAGTTTTTTGATCCTCACCCTCCTCCTTCCCTCCTCCCTCAAGTAGGTCCTGGTGTCTGTTATTCCCTTCTTTGTGTCCACATGTACTCAATGTTTAGCTCCTACTTATTAGTGAGAACATGTGGTTTTAGTTTTCTGTCCCTGCATTAGTTCACTTAGGTTAATGGCCTCCAGCTCCATTCATATTGCTGCAAAGGACATGATCTTGTTAGTTTTTATGGCTGCACAGTATTCCCTGGTGTATATGTACCACGTTTTCTTTACCTAGTCCTGTTGATGGGCATCTAGGTTGAATTCCTTATCTTTACTATTGTGAATAGTGTTGCAATGAGCATACGCGTGAATGTATCTTTCTGGTAGAAAGATTTATATTCCTTTGGGTATATACTCAGTAATAGTATTGCTGAGTTGAATGGTAATTCTGCTTTCAGTTCTTTGAGAAATTGCCAAACTGCTTTCCACAACGGTTGAACTAATTTACATTCCCACCAGCAGTGTATAAGCATTCCTTTTCTCTGCAACCTCTCCAGAATCTGTTATTTTTTGACTTTTCCATAGTAGCCATTCTAACTGGTCTGAGATGGTATCTCATCGTGGCTTTGATTTGCATTTCTCTTATGATTAGTGATGTTGAGCATTTTTTCATATGCTTGTGGGTTACGTGTATGTCTTCTTTTGAAATGTGTTCATTCATGTCTTTTGCC
Source organism: Homo sapiens (assembly GCF_000001405.40). Lineage (NCBI taxonomy): Eukaryota > Metazoa > Chordata > Mammalia > Primates > Hominidae > Homo > Homo sapiens. The sequence goes on from NC_000015.10 coordinate 49,362,076, forward strand.
CACTTCTTAATGGGTTTGTTTGCTGTGTGCTTGTTGATTTAAGTTCCTTATTAACATAGTTTGGCTCTGTGTCCCCACCCAAATCTCATGTTGAATTGTAATCCCCATGTGTTGGGGGAGGGTCCTGGTGGGAGGTGATTGGATCATGGGAGTGGATTTCCCTCCTGCTGTTTTCATGATAGTGAAAGTTCTCATGAGATACGCTGGCTTAAAAGTGTATGGCACTTCCCCCTTCACTCTCCTACCACCACGTGAAGAAGGTTCTTGCTTCCCCTTCACATTCTGCTGTGATTGTAAGTTTCCTGAGGCTCCCCAGTCATGCTTCCTGTTAAACCTGCAGAACTGTGAGTCAGTTAAATCTCTTTTCTTCATAAATTATCCAGGTTCAGGTAGTTCTTTATAGCAGCATGAAAACCGACTAATACACTTATAGATTCTGGACATTGGATCTTTGTCACATGCATAGTTTGCAAATATTTCTACCCATTCTGTAGGCTGTCTGTTTACTCTGTTGATAGGTCTTTTGCTGCGCAGAAGGTCTTTAGTTTAATTAGGTTTCATCTGTCAATTTTTGTTTTTCTTGCAATTGCTTTTGGCATCTTTATCATGAAATCTTTGCCATTTCCTACGTTCAGAATGGTATGTCCTAGGTTATCTTCCAGAGTTTTTTTAATAGGTTTAGGTCTTACACTTAAGTCTTTCATCCATCTTAAGTTGATTTTTGTATGTCGTGTATGGAAGGGGTCCAGTTTCAATCTTCTGCATATAGCTAGCCAGTTTCCCAGCACCATTTATTGAATAGGGAGTCCTTTCCCTATTACTTGTTTTGTCAACTTTGTCAAAGGTTAGATGGTAGTAGGTGTGCAGCATTATTTCTGAGCTGTCTCTTCTGTTCCATACGTCTTTGTGTCTGCTTTCATATCAGTGCCATGCTGTTTTGGTTACTGTAGCCTTGTAGTGGAATCTGAATTTGGGTAACATGATTCCTCCAGCTTTGTCCTTTTTGCTTAAGATTGTCTTGGCTGTTCAAGCTCTTTTTTGGTTCAACATAAATTTTAATATAGTTTTTCCTAATTATGTGAAGAATGTCATTGGTAGTTTGATAGGAATAGCATTGAATCTGTAAATTGCTTTGGGCAGTATGGCCATTTAAATGGTATTGATTCTTTATATCCACAATCATTGAATGTTCTTCCACTTGTTTGTGTCATCTCTGATTTCTTTGAGCAATGTTTTGTAATTCTTGTTGTAGAGATCTTTTGCTTACATGGTTAGCTGTATTCCTAGGTATTTTATTCTTTTTGTGGCTATTGGCATTGGGATTGCAGACTTGATTTGATTCTCAGCTTGGATGTTGTTGGTATATGGGAATGCTATTGATTTTTGTACATTGATTTTGTATCCTGAAACTTTGCTGAAGTTGTTTATCAGCTTAAGGAGCTTTTGGGCAGAGACGATTGGTTTTGCTACATATAGGATCATATTGTCTATAAACAAGGATAGTTTAACTTCCTCTGTTCTTATTTGAATGCCTTTTACTTCTTTCTCTTGTCTGATTGCTCTGGCCAGGACTTCCAATACTATGTTGAATAGGAGTGTTGAGAGTGGGTATCCTTGTCTTGTTCTGGTTTCCAAGGTGAATACTTCCAGCTTTTGATGATGTTTGCTGTGGGTTTGTCATAGATGGCTCTTATTATTTTGAAGTATGTTCCTTCAATGTCTAGTTTGTTGAGGGTTTTTTATCATGAAGGGATGTTGAATTGTATCAAAAGCCTATTCTGCATGTATTGAGATAATCTTATGGGTCTGTTTTTAGTTCTGTTTAATGTGATGAATCACATTTATTGATTTGCACATGTTGCATGAACCTTGTGTCCAAGAGGTAAAGCCTACTTTGTCATGGTGGATTTGCTTTTTGACATGCTGCTGGATTCCGTTCGCTAGTATTTTGTTGAGAATTTTTGCATCTATGTTCATCAAGAATATTGGCCAGATGTTTTCTTTTTTTATTGTGTCTATGCCAGGTTTTGATATTAGGATGATGCTGGCCTCAGAATGAGTTAGGAAAGAGTCCCTCCTCCTCAATGTTTTGGAATAGTTTCAGTAGGAATGGTACCAGCTCTTCTTTATATATCTGGTGGAATTCAGCTGTGAATCCATCTAGTCCTGGGCTTTTTCTGGTTGGTAGGCTTTTTATTTCTGATACAATTTCAGAACTTGTTATTGGTCTGTTCAGGGATTCAGTTTATTCCTAGTTCAATCTTAGTAGGTTGTATGTTCCAGGAATTTATCCATTTCTTGTAGGTTTTCTAGCTTGTGTGCATAGAGATGTTCATAGTAGTCTTGGAGGTTGTTTTGTATTTCTGTGGGGTTGGTGGCAATGTCTTGTCATTTCTGATTGTGTTTATTTCTATATATTATGTTTCTCTACAGCTGAAAAAATGTTCTTAATATAATACACATGCAGTCTGAAGTAATTTCAGTTCTCAAGTTTATGAAAGGATTGGGTTTTAAAAAAACATACTACAAAAATATGCACTTACATTTATTCCAAAATTTTATATTTCTAACCTCTGCAGTGATAAAAGGTCCAAATTTTCACCGTTGAACTGCCTTCTTGCATGGTCTTAAACAGTTATTTCTATAAAGCAGATAAAATTTGCATAATTATTTACAGTAAAACCCATTCAGAAACTCACTTTGATAGTAATACTTTTATCTACCATTAGAGTTGGAAGAAACATTTGAGTAAAAAAGCATAGGGATGGGTCAAGGCATTTTTTTTTTTAAGAAAAATATACTCTATGTAATACATCTTGGAAACTACACAGACCATATCCTTTTATTTAATGTGAAGGCACAACTTTAACATTAAAAGCAAAGCATTTTAATTATTTATGATGTAACTGTCAGTACCAGCTCATAAAAATATATATTTGCAAACATATCATTGAAGACTTTCAGATTGTCAATTCAAAAATCAATTTAAAAAGTCAAAGTCTATTTGTAGAAAATCAATGACACATTATAGCAGTTCCACATAATATTATTGCTGGACAATCTGTTCACCAGACATCACAGGGTTTTCTTCGTTTTTTGCATAATACAGATGGTCCATCATCTGATAGCTGTTACCTTTCCAGAACTTTTTCATTTCCTTACATTTCCAGGCAACAACTGAGGCAATAATAAGTGTGCAAGTTACTAAATAGAGGAGAGCAGGTTGCCCCTTTTTCATCAGCACCAGAACAACAAATGTAAGTATCATGCCAATAGCATAGGCAACTGTAGAGGAAACATAGTATATATACGAAGAACCAGTCTAAACATCAACTCTTCTACAGTACGCAAGCAACAGGCCTGTACAATAATGTCTCCAAAGCCCAATATTGAAACAGGCATGATGCACACACTCATTACTGAGAAACAGATCAGCTTTGGTACTCTGATGACTACTGGCAATGTTTCAGTATTTTCAAAAGGTCCAGCTGCAAGTTTAACCATGATACTCTCACCATTCTTTGTGATGAATGGTGTTATGAAAACAAAAAATACATCATAGAGGAGGAGAAGGCCTAGAAGTATCACACATGACTTGAAGCTGGCCAACTTCAGTGTTTTAATTAAATTCAGACAGAAAGCAATCTCCAAGATATCTTGTAAAATCCAAGCCCACCTGTCTTCATTTTGAAACACAGCCCAAACAATAGCTATTGCTATGCACAGTCCAGAGAGAAACATAAGTCTCACTTCCATGCTTTTGCCGCGACACTCAATTGTGCATTGTCCATATGGCATCTTATGAATTAGTGCAGCAAGAGAGTTGTACAGACTCATTGCTGATACTATGCAGAAAATTGCTATCATAACATAAACTAACCATTTGTGGAAGAAATAAAGTAAGACCATCATAACACAGTAGATGACTACAAATATTACAACTGTAAGAGGACTAAAAGTTAGATATTCTTCCTTTTTTTTCCCTCATTTATCTATCTTCAGTTGTCACTGCTTTCAAGTTTTCCAATTCAACTAGTCCACTCCAGTATCCACCTAATGCCACAGTGAACACAGCAATTACAAAAATAACCACCATAGTATAATCAAAGTTAGGCCACGATGGAGAACACATTTTCACAGTAATGTTATTTCCTAGAGTCTGCTTCATATCTATAAAGTCTTTGTCACTTATAAATGCAATCAGTATTTTCACATCAGGAAATTCAGATCTGTTACCTGAGGTAGGAAATAGGATACTGTTATTGACAACCAACATTGCTTCAGCACCTCTTTTCTGTGCATTTCTGGTGTTTTCAAGAAAATGGCAGCTGCCCCATTGCACCACAACTGCTTTGTTCTTTATGTCAACAGGAGGAACATCAGAAAGGTTGCATAGTGGTGCGGAAGTCAGATTCATCAAACTAATGGAAGTTGCATTTTCTAGGGTACTTGGAAGAGCTGACCAATGGGGGTTATAAAGCATGCAGTAGTCCTTGGATGTGCCATTTCCAGACGCATGCAAGATTGCTTCCTGAGCGGCTGTCAGCTGGAGCAGGAAGCCCCAGAGCAGGGCGGCCGTGGCAGGGGACAGCCGCCGCTGCGGCCCCATCGGACTGGTGGGTGGCGGGTGGGGTGGCGCGGCGCGGCTCACTAGGTGGGGTAGGCTGGGAGTCCCGCCACTGCGCTGCCTCCGTGGCGGGGGCGGCCGGGCTAGGCTGGGATCGCCGCTGCTGCAGGGGCCGCCACTGCAGCCCACACTCTAATTTAGTGGCTAGTGTTCTAATTCCTTTGGGATTCATCTGAGTCCTTAATGAGGACTGGGCCAAGAAAAGTTATACTGAAGATAGGACTGTAAAAAACAGAACTCTGGGCCCTACCCCTGCTTCAACCAAAGAGCTCCGATTTTAATTTATTTTTTATTTTACACATAAAAATAAATTTTTTAATGTGTAAAAAATGTTCTGATAAATTTTCATTTGAACAAAGAATTCCACAGCTAAAACATGCCTAAAACTCTCTTTGGAGAAGGCTAGAAGCCCATGCCTCATAATTCTGACAAATGTTTGAAACCAGTCACTGAACAGTAAAGTTGCAAAGATAGCCTTTTATCAGAGAACCAAATATACTAGTTTTAAAAGTTCTTTGGGTTAATGTTTGTTTTATTTTTCTTACATGCAAAATCATAGCATTAGATCTAATAAAGAAAAGCCAAACATACTACCAAAGTTTTAAGCATAAGTAAATATTAATACTAAACAGAAGCATTGATAAAACATGCATTCAATTTGTTTCTCAATTGAGACATTCAGTGAAATGTTTTGAATATTATTTTTGAAAGAAATTATATTAAAGCAAAGCTTTAAAAAGGATATGGTTCCTGGAATATCTTAGTGAGTTTAATCTTGGTTTTCTTAGGTGCTTTGGAAATACCAGCCAGCTCATGCATCTTAAGATAATATAAAATCAATGGACTCTGACCTCCAAAATTGAAGAGAACACGATTAAACTCTGGACCAGTACTACTATAGTGCGACTGTAAGAGGAAGAAAATAATCAAGACAACGATTACTTTTGTGTTTCTAAAAAACTGTGAATAAAATATAACTTCATATTTAGCATAAAGTTACCATTTGATATATTAAAATAAAGGAAATTCTACAAAGCATCTTCTTAATTAGAGGAATTTACCAAAGTATGAGTCTATAAGTACATGCAGTAAGGCTCTTCTACTCTTTTGAGTTATCATCAGACTTGCATATAGGCAATAGACATTATTCAGTCTTAAGAACAGAAAAAAAAAAAAAAAAATGAAGAAAATGAACAAAGCCAGGAAAAGGCATAGGAAAAATATCTGAACAAATGATGGTCTCAATTTTCAAAATTTATGAAAAACACATCCAAGAAGTTCAGCAATTTCTAAGTAGAATAAATTCACACCTAGCACATCCCAGACAAAGTTTTTTAAAATAAAGACAAGGAGAAAAACCTCAAAAGCAAGAGTAAGCAACTCATATATAGGGGAACTTTAAAAGGATTAATAACTAACTTCTTATCATAACAAAACAGGCCAGAAGGCAGTGGGATAGCATAGAGGTGCTGATGGAAAAAAAAAAACCTGTTGACCAAAAATTCTATGTCAAGAATACAATAACCATAAATATAATTACTCCAAGATTCTATTATTCCCTTCTTATGGCAGAAATGTCAGTATAGCAACTACTAATATTTTAAGTTTTCCTCAATCTTTGTAATACCATTATGAAAGATTTTTTATTGATTCCACTTACTGTGGGGAAATAAAATTTTGTTTTCATTTGCTTTTATTGATACAAAAAGTTCTCTTGAATTTCTTTTGCTTATGGTCACTTTTTTATTCTATAGGTTTTTGCAAAAAATATGTTTCAGAATTCCTAGCAGCTACAGAACCATTTCAAATAATGGGACTATCATAATCAATAGCAATTCTTTGCTAGTAAAAAGTTAATGTCAATATCAGACATGTTTTCTATGATGTAAATCACTCCTTCATTTTAAGCTCCCATGATAATTCACATTGGGTTACGTATAGCTCAATCTTCAAAATGTATGCAAAACTAGCCCAAGCTCAGTTTAGATTTTTAAAAAATTTGCCTGTCTAGATAGTTGTTTTGCAACACTCTTCCTGTTTCTTTCTTGGGTACTATAAGATAAACATTCTATCTTACTAAAATTCTAGAAATAGACATTTCTGTTATTTTTCTGCAGTTATCAGTTATTAAGTTAAGAAAATCACAGTTTGCAGCCCTTTTTCCTCTATAAGAGTTCATGGTTTTTAAGAGTACTTCAGCCAGGTAAGAGGCAAATAGGTATTAAATGCAATCCCGTGGTGTTGTTTTTGTTTTGTTTTTGTTTGTTTGTTTGTTTTTATTTTTTTGAGACGGAGTCTCGCTCTGGAGTGCAGTAGCGTGATCTTGGCTCACTGCAAGCTCTGCCTCCCGGGTTCACGCCATTCTCCTGCCTCAGCCTTCCGAGTAGCTGGGACTACAGGCGTCCACCACCACGCCTGGCTAATTTTTTTATTTTTAGTAGAGACGGGGTATCACCGTGTTAGCCAGGATGGTTTTGATCTCCTGACCTCGAGATCCGCCCACCTCGGCCTCCCAAAGTGCTGGGATTACAGGCGTGAGCCACTGCACCCGGCCTGGTGTTTTGGTTTTTAAAGCAGAATGTCGCAAGTTGACCAAAAACCTCTTGCTAGGGACATTCCAAATAGCCAAACCAATGAGCAGAAACCCTAATGTTTCCATTCATCCCATGAAAGATAATAGCAGAAATTTGTCAGAGCACTTTAAGATTCCATGAAACAAGACTTTTATTGTCAAGTCAACCTAGCCTAAATTCAAAGAATCAAGCAACTCCATAAACTTAAGAATGATCATAAAGGATGAAATAGAAAGTCCAAGGGGTGATTTGGGTACCTAATTTCTCAGAAAATTTATTAAAGGATAATTGCTACAATAAGTAAAAAGCTAAACATTGATTTTTGAGGCTTGAATATGTGTTCTGCCAATGCTCATACCCAGTGTCACTTTCAGGGACTAGAAACCCACAGGCACCCATTTAGCATGTGGACAACTTCGGTGCCTGGAAAATTTTTCATCTTGAGCTGAAATCTATATCCCTGTATCTTTCACTTATTTATTGGCAAAACTTATACTTTTTTTGAGCCATACAGAAAAACTCTAATTCTGCTTTCCTACAGTAGCTCTCTACATATTTGAAAACAGTTATTATGGCCTTCAGAGTCTTTTCCTTCCAGAAGAAATACTTATAAATAGTTTGGCCATTGCTGAAGCAATATGATTTCAGAGCTCTTCATAATTAGGTTTAGATGAGGTTGTCAATGATGGAATTGGAGTCTTTATAAGAAGAAGAAGAGACCAGAGCTCACTCTCTCTGCCATATGAGGACACAACAAGGAAGAGGCCATCTGCAAGGCAGGAAGAGAGCCTTCACCAGAAAACCAAATTGGCTGGCTCCTTGATCTTGGATTTCCCATACTCCAGAACTATGAGAAATGAATTTCTGTTGTTTAAGCTACCCAGTCCATGGTATTTTGTTCTGGCAGTCCAAGCTGACTAGTACAATGGGACAGGGCAAAAAATGCAGCAATGTGCTATACTACTAAAGATGTATTTCCAATTTCTATCTGTTAGCAGCATCCTCTGAAAAAGGTTGTTTAATCTGTTACAAACCCATGTGTTAGCTACTAAACAAAGTACGAGAGACCATTTTTAGTGTTTGCTGAAGACCAGATATACAATTTTTATTACTTATCTCTGATTTCTAAATCTGGCAATATTGCCCCAAAGGAAATGGAGTGACATTGTCATTGATTCAAAATTGACTTCTATACATCACCAGTTAATATCTGAAGTGCCTGCAAACCATCCTTAGCCTCACTGTGAAGGTCAGAATAAAGTAGGAAGATATTTTATTAAACTTGGGTTATTAAATACCGGGAAAAACATAAATACTGACTTTCAGAAAGTGGTTTTTATATAGGCATAATTTTTAATTTTAAATAAATTATCTTATCAGACTGGATAAGATGATGTAGACAAAATTTTAACAATAAAGACTGTAACCAACTTAAAATCTAATTGTCTAACAAATTAAGATATCAAATTCAGAATTTCAGGTCAATAATCTCATCAAATTTTGGCTAAGGCAACACATGGTGGTGAGTACATGAAATCTCTACCTGCAAGGCACCTTCAAGAATGTCGAGAAACTAAGCATTCAAGACTCAAGAGTAACAGTATCTACATGTGGTCAATTATTCTAGGACCATGGCTTAAGAAGTAAGGACAGGTCAACTATTGTTGATACTCCTTTGAAGTTTTGCCTGCAGCTTTGCTGCTTATTAAGATCATATTCATGTGCAAACACCAGATGGAGCCTTTGTATGTCAACCAAAGGAGAAACAGTGACAAGACATGTTGTGAGGAAAAAAGATAAATATTATGATATTTTTCATTAGAAATGGGGATATTTTCAGAAGAAAATAAAACTTTTTAATATTAAGATTAAACCTCAAACAAATCTCTTTTGACCATTAAATTCTTTTCCAAAATATATGGTAAGAATGTAGTAACCAGCATTGCCTATGTACAGCACAGTCAATTGCAAATATATTGCAAATTAAACAAGTAAGAAATTTTTTCATAATTATTATACTCCAAACCTTTGTTGCTAGTCTTGATAATCTTGATTCTTCCTTGGATATGGGCAACGTATATGCTCTTGGGTTGTTCAGAATCTTTATAATATTGAAGTCGATACCTAAAACAGAAAATAAAATACTTTTTAAAATTCTGGTATTTTTTTCCTTCACAGAAAAAGCATGATACCTCTTTCGCCTTTTAACAATGCACCCTAAACATGGAGAAAGGCAAACATGGATAAAGAGTGTTAAGACATTGTTACAACTTGTCCCAAAGAGGAAATAAATATTTCATATTTTTACTCAATAGGGCTTTATTATTATTGTAAATATTCATTTATAAATAAATGAAATAAAATTCACTTATAAATAAATGAAATAAAATTCACTAATAAATAAATGAAATAAAATTCACTTATAAATAAATGAAATAAAATTCACTTATAAATAAATAATGAAATAAAATTCACTTATAAATAAATGAAATAAAATTCACTTATAAATAAATGAAATAAAATTCACTTATAAATAAATGAAATAAAATTCACTTATAAATAAATGAAATAAAATTCACTTATAAATAAATGAAATAAAATTCACTTATAAATAAATGAAATAAAATTCACTTATAAATAATGAAATAAAATTCACTTATAAATAAATGAAATAAAATTCACTTATAAATAAATGAAATAAAATTCACTTATAAATAAATGAAATAAAATTCACTTATAAATCAATGAAATAAAATTCACTTATAAATCAATGAAATAAAATTCACTTATAAATCAATGAAATAAAATTCATTTATAAATAAATGAAATAAAATTCATTTATAAATAAATGAAATAAAATTCATTTATAAATAAATGAAATAAAATTCATTTATAAATAAATGAAATAAAATTCACTTATAAATAAATGAAATAAAATTCACTTATAAATAAATGAAATAAAATTCACTTATAAATAAATGAAATAAAATTCACTTATAAATAAATGAAATAAAATTCATTTATTTACATTATGTCATCCTCGCAAACCATTCAGTGAGCTAAGAAACATTTTCCATAATTTACAGTTGAGAAGACTAAAGTGCAAGTTCTATGACTTGTTTAAGCTACTATTTACTAAGTAGTAGAAGGAGAGGACATAAATTGGGTCTTTTGCTTCTAAGTCCAAAGCAATGACCCTCTAATTAAATGCAATAAGCAACCTGGGCCTCTGCCTGTCAGAGTCCTGTTTTTCCATATTCTGACAATACACCCAGATAAGAGGAGACTTGGTGACCTTTCCTTTCAACTGGCATGAATATGCATGAGGGTACAGAGGGATTCGTGCCACTTCTTAAAGGAAAAGAGAGCCATGTGATTTAATCAGGTATGTCAATCAGCCTAAAAGCAGAAGCTAGGTATTAAGTGTATCTTAACATCTGAGAAAAAAGGTGATCTGAGAGGTTTGTTCTAGACTCTGGCACTGATTATCAGTTACCAGGTAGACTAATCAGATCTAGTGATTGTAATGTTGATGACAAACCTTTTAAGAGTTAAAGAAAGTTACTTGGGTTGATTTTTGACATTAGACATTAGGAAATATTAGGCATTAGCTTGAAATACTAAAGGCAGGTAAGCATTTATGTCCACCAGGGATTAAAGAATTGGTTAGCAAGGAACTTACATTTAAACATTTTGAGTAGAAAGAATATTAGATTTAGAATTAGAATGGGCAAGAAAAGTAATAAACCATATTTTTTTCTTCAAAATTTGCTCAATTTTGAAAATTCTTAAATACACATATAATACTTAATATATATGATATTACTTAATTTCTAGTCTTCTATGAACCAGTATCATTAAAAAAATAAAAGAACCTCTCCATGTTCACTGTACACACAATAAAAAGTTTACTTTTCAAATCACCTGAGCTTAATTGTGGAATTGCTACTTAACAGATAGTAGTATACATTAATATGAGGCAAGGTGTCTAAGCTGGGAGTAAGGCAATGGCAAAATAGTAAAGCAAAACAATTTAAGGAGAAAAACAGTCAAATAAAAATTGCAAAGAAACTCATCTACATATGATGACTAATCAATAACATTAAAATGCCTATATTTATTAGCTTTTTTTCCTCTAACCCATTGATTAGTTTTAGGGAAAAATGTTAATATTCCCCCAAATTATAGTTTTAGTGCTTCTTCTGTTCTCAGCATCTCTGAAAGCTTGGGAATATTACCTGAAAATCCAAAAATGACTCTATCTGATAAAACTATAATAAAATGTCTTAACTGTTCTTACTAAGTCTCCAGAAATTTCACTAGTGAAAAAATGTTCCAGTCTTCCTCCACTTTCATTGGGAAAATTTCATTTCCATAATTATCCCCTATTTATTTTAGAGATGTTATCCCCTCTAAAAGGGAGACATGTAAGTAAGTATGGTTATTGCTATCCACTTTTACAGTTTTTATTCTAACAGTCTTCCTGAAATGCAAATAACTCCTATATGTTGGAAAAATTAAAGAAAGGTCAAGTGTAGGTCACAAATATTAATACAATAATTGACTAAACTATACAAACAGAAAAAGTATTGCTGATAGATACACTTTAGAATATATGTAATTAAAATCAGAACTACTCTCAGAAAGAGACTTTTAATCTTGTATTGAAATGCAAGTTAATTCAAGAAAAGGCCTCATACCTGCATTAAAAGACAGACAAATGATGTAATATTTAACTTGTTTTAAGTTAAAATGCTAAAAGATACAAGTATCATTTTCCATGATTCCTGATTTGGGTAACTGGTTTTTCCATTAACCAACCACACCAGATAAAAGCTCTACTTTATAAAGATAGTTGGTATCAAAGCAAGAATTTTTGAGGCTAGATTACTTCAAGATCAGATCTTTCAGAGTCATTTACAAAGAGAATACCTGAGACCCAAGCCTGATATAATTTTACAGTCGACTTTTAAATCCTGTAAATGGTCAGAATTCCCGAGATTTTTAGTTGTTCCAATGAAGTCTAGGAAGGAATCCAATAAGCCTCATAAATAAGAACTATAGAATGCACCAAAATAGCACAGTAATAATAATTTTAGAAGCTCAAGAGTTGGAATGTACCTTGGAGAGAGGGGTAGAAAAGAAATGCCAGGAGAAATAGAGAAAATATAGGTATCCATTAGGCAAAATGTATGTGATCTTAGCAAATAAAAAATAAAATGTGAATGCAATTTTGTCCAATAATATAGGAAAATGATGAGTATTTCAAATAAACTATTGCATATTCATGAGTTTTTGAGACTGAGTCTCGCTCTGTTGCCCAGGCTGGAGTGCAGTGGTGCCATCTAGGCTCCGCCTCCCAGGTTCAAGCGATTCTCCTGCCTCAGCCTCCTGAGTATTGAGATTACAGGTGTTCACCACCATGGCCAGCTGATTTTTACTATTTTTAGTAGAGACTGGGTTTGACCATGTTGGTCAGGCTGGTCTCGAACTCCTGACCTCAAAAGATCCTCCTACCTTGGCTTCCCAAAGTGGTAGGATTACAGGCGTGAGCCACCATGCCCGGCCTCATGAGTATATTCTTAATGTCTTATTGTGTGTATTTTCTGATCATGCTTCTCTGACTGTTTCAGATCTTTATATGCATACTTCCAAGTCCTTTCAATCTGATCATCTGCAGGCCCAGTCATTGGTTTGTATATATATTAAATCTCAAATGAGTTATATCTCTCTACATACCTACTTACAGATCCATCCTCCCACCTCTCTGTGTGAAATTCATGGTTCAAATTGGCAAACTGAAAGATTAAGGACCTTCTCAATGCTCTAAATTAGAATTGCTTCTCCAAGTAATGTTAACATAATATACATAATTATAAATAACTTCACAGAGAGATTATACAGTCCAAGTGTTTATACATATACTTTGTTAACTATGAAGTGTATACTTATGTAGATCGCTAGCATCGTTAGGTTTCACTAACTCTGCACCAAATTTAGTATATCCAAAAACATGAAAATTTTTTATGTTATAATAAATTAGTGATTCATATCACACTTGGTTCCCAAGGAAAGTGCCATCTTATTATTACTTTATTTTGGCATTTTTGGGAGTTACTTTTATCCATTATTTCTTACTATGAATTATATTTGTATCTCTAAGGACCAAATCATTGCTCAGGCAAGTTATAGATGCAAGACACAAGTTATTATTTTTAAAGCATTTCTATTTTTTTTTATAAGAACCAAAGTGACAAGTATCTGAATAAGAAACTGATGTATTTAAGGCTCTGTGGAGCCAAACATTACATATGTTTTATAAAAGAGTAGCTTTTAAGCTTAAGATTTGATCAAAGGTGCTGGTGAAGAAACTTATTGACCCATTTAAAAATCTTTCCTATAGAATGAAAAACATTTTTTAAAAATCCACCACTAAATGGGTTCACAGGCAAAACTTAGAGCATACCGTCTGATAAATTACTTTTCCCATGATATGTAAATTTATCTACACAAGAACTTTTAGGATGATATAAAATTGAGACTAATTTAATTGTATGTGGAGTACAAACTATGCTTATTGAGAATAATAAAATTAGAAGGAATTGAGACTATCTTTATTTTATAACCAAACCTTGACAGTCTTGACTGGTACTGTCATAAAAATTCTTAACCATCTTTGTATTAGTGATTGTTTGAACTTATTATTGATGTGTTCCTCCTTTGTATTAGTGATTGTGTGAACTTATTATTGATATGTGTTCCTCATTGAAACCATGTTTCCACAGTTCCATATCTAAAAATGTCCCATAAAAGAGAAGGCCAGGAAAATTTGCAATACTTTGTGTGAAAAGAGAGATAAATGAAGTTCAATTTATTTATTTTTAATTTTGTTGCTTTTTTGGTGTCATATCTAAGACTCATTCCTAAATCAAGGTCACGAAGAGTTACTCCTGTTTTCTCTGAGATTTTTATATTTTTAGCTATTATATTTAAGTATATAATCCATTTTGAGTTAAATTTTGTATATTGTGTGAGGTACAAGTCCAACTTTATTCTTTTGTAGGTGAATACCCCAGTTGTCACAGCAGTGCTGAAAAAATCATTCTTTTTACATTGAATGGTCTCAACATTCTTCTAGAAAATCAATGACCCATGAATGTGAGATTTATTACTGGACTCTCCAGTCTATTTCATTTACCTATATGTTTACCCTTATGCCAGTACCACATTGTCTTGATTAATGTGGCTTTGTAGCAAGTTTTGAGATCAGGAATTGTGAGTCTTCCAACCTTGTTCTTCCTTTCTCAACAGTGATTTGGTTATTCTTGTTCCCTTGCATTTCCATATGAATTTCTATACCATTCTCAAAACAGGTAGCTAGAATTTAATAGGCATTGTGTTGCATTTGTAGACCATTTTGGGGAGTATTGTATTAACAATATTAAATATTCCAATACATTAGCATGGGAGGTTTTTTCATTCATTTAGGTCTTCTATACTTTCTTTCAATACTGGTTTGTAATTTTCAGTGGATAAGCCTTATCTTATCCACTTTTGCTAATCTATTCCTAAGTATCTTATTTGTTTTCATGGTATTGTAAATGGGGTGGTTTTCTTTTCTATTAAAAATGTACAATTAAGTTATTATTGACTATAGTCACCCTGTTGTGCTATCAAATACTAGGTCTTATTCATTTTTTCTAGCTACTTTTTTTTATTGTCTCCATTAATCATCCCAACTTCTTCCCCAGCCTGCCACTACCCTTCCAGCCTCTGGTAACCATCCTTCTAGTCTCTATGTCCATGAGTTCAATTGTTTTAATTTTTAGATCCCATAAATAATTGAGAACATGCAATGTTTGTCTTTCTGTGCCTGGCTTATTTCACTCCAGTTTCTTCCATGTTGTTGCAAATGCCTGGACCTTACTCTTTTTATGGCTGAATAGTACTCCATTGTGTATATGTACACATTTTCTTATTCTTTCATCTATTGATGGACATTTAGGTTGCTTCCAAATCTTAGCTATTGTGAACAGTGCTGCAACATACAGGAGTACAGATATTTCTTTGATATACTGATTTCCTTTCTTTTGGGGGTACATATCCAGCAGTGAGATTACTAGATTATATGGTAGCTCAATTTTTAGTTTTTTGAGGAAACTCCAAACTGTTTTCCATAGTGGCTGTACTAATTTACATTTCCACAAACAGTGTATGAGGGTTCCCTTTTCTCCATATCCTTGCCTATTATTGCCTGTCTTTTGGAAATAAACCATTTCAAGTGGGGTGAGATGGTATCTCGCAGTTTTGATTTGCATTTCTCTGATGATCAATAATGTTGAGCACTTTTTCATATGCCTGTTTGCCATTTGTACGTCTTCTTTTGAGAAATGTCTATTCAAGCCTTTTGCTCATTTGTTGACTAGATTATTCAATTCTTTTCCCATAGAGTTACTTGAGCTCCTTATATACCCTGGTTATTAATCCCTTGTCAGATAAGTAGTTTGCAAATATTTTCTGCCATTCTGTGGGTTGTCTCTTCACTTTGTTGATTGTATCCTCTGCTGTACAGAAGCTTTTTAACTTGATGTGATCACATCTGTCAATGTTGCCTTTGATTGTCTGTGTTTGTGGGGTGTTGCTCAAAAAAATGTCACTTAGACCAATGTCCTGGAGAGTTTCCCTGATGTTTTCTTGCAGTAGTTTTGTAGTTTGAAGTTTCAGATGTAAGTCTTTATTTCATTTTGATTTCATTTTGTCTATGACAAGAGATAGCGGTGTAGTTTCAGTCTTCTGAATATGGAGATCTAGTTTTCTCAGCATCACTTGTTGAAGAGACTGTCTTTTCCCTAATGTATGTTCTTGGCACTTTTGTTAAAAATGAGTTCACTGTAGGTGTGTGGGTTTGTTTCTGGGTTCTATATTCTGTTCCATTGGTCTGTGTGTCTGTTTTTATGCCAGTACCATGCTGTTTTGGTTCCTCTAGTTTTGCTCTTTTTGCTTAGGATAGCTTTGGTTTTTCTTGGTGTTCTTTTAGGATTTTTTTTTTCTATTTCTGTAAAGAATATCATTGGTATTTTGATAGGGATAGCATTGAATCTGTAGATTGCTTTGGTTAGTATGAACATGTTAACAATATTGATTATTCCAATCTGTGAACATTGAATATTTTTCCAATATTTCTATTTTTTGATGTCCTCTTCAATGTATTTCATCAGTGTTTTATAGTTTTCATTATAGAGTTCCTTCACTTCTTTGATAATTCCTAGGTATTTAATTTTATGTGTGACTATTGTAAATGGGTTACTTTTAAGATTTCTTATTCAGATTGTTCACCGTTGGCATATAGATGTGCTACTGATTTTTGTTTGTTGATTTTGTATCCTGA
This sequence comes from Homo sapiens, assembly GCF_000001405.40. NCBI lineage: Eukaryota > Metazoa > Chordata > Mammalia > Primates > Hominidae > Homo > Homo sapiens. The sequence goes on from NC_000015.10 coordinate 49,378,664, forward strand.
AGCTTTACTGAATTTATCAGTTCTAATAGCTTTCTTGTGGAGTCTTTAGGTTTTTCCAAATATAAGATAAACTCATCTGCAGATAACAATCATTTGACTTCTTCCTTTCCAATTTGGATGCCCTTTATTTCTTTCTCTTGTCTGATTGCTCTAGCTAGGACTTCCAGTACTATGTTGAATAACAGAGGTGAAAGTGGGCATCAATGTCATGCTCTAGATCTTAGAGCTTTTAGTTTTTCCTCACTCAATATAATACTAGATGTGGGTCTGTTGTATATGGCTTTTATTATGTTGAGGTATGTTCCTGCTATTCCCAGTTTTTTGAGGGTTTTTATCTTGAAGGGATGTTAAACTTTATCAAATGCTTTTTCAGCATCAATTGAAAGGATCATATCATTTTTATCTTTCATTTTGTTGATATGATGTATTACATTGATCGATTTGCATATGTTGAACCATCCCTGCATCCCTGGAATAAATCCCACTTGGATCTGATGAATAATCTTTCTAATGTATTGTTTAATTTCTAATGTATTGTTTGCTAGTGTTTTCTTCAGGGTTTTCACATCAATATTAATCAGAGATATTGGTCTGTAGTTTTCTTTTTTTGATGTGTCTTTATCTGGTTTTGGTATCAGGGTAATACTGGCCTTGTAGAGTAAATTTGGAAGTATTCCCTCCTTCTCTAGTTTTTGATTTTGAGTAGGATTGGTGTTAGTTCTTTAAATGTTTGCTAGAATTCAGCTATGAGATCCTGGGCTTTTCTTTACCAGGAGACTTTTTGTTAGGACTTTGATCTCAATATTTGTTATTCATCTGTTGAGGTTTTGGATTTATTTATGGTTCAATCTTGGTAGGTTGTATGTGTCTAGAAATTTGATTTTCCAATGTATTGCCATATATTTGCTCACAGTAGCCACTGATGATCCTTTCAGTTTCTGTGGTATCAGTTGTATTGCTTCCTTTTTCATTTCTAATTTTATTTATTTGTATTTGGATGATTTTAGACATAATCCAGCAGAATCCTCTGGATTACAAGGTAGAGACTCTTTTCTCACCCCTTACTTTCTCCCAAACAGGGTTTCTTTCTCCATTCTGAGCCACCTGAAGCTGGAGCTGGAGTGACACATGTACCACTGTGGCCACCACCACTATGATTGTACTGGGTCAGACCTGAAGCCGGCACAGCACTGGGTCTTGCTCAAGGCCGGCTGTAACCACTCCCTGGCTACTGCCTATGTTTGCTCAAGGCCCCAGGGCTTTACAATCAGCTGGTGGCAAAGCCATCCTGGCCTATTTCCTACCCTTCAGGGTGTTGAGGTACCCCAGGCCCTGGGTGGGTCCAGAGGTGCCATCCAGGAGTCAGGAACTAGTGTCAAAAACCTTAGAAGTCTAACTGGTATTCTATTGTATTACAGCTGAGCTGGCACTCAAACCACAGGACCTCTCTTTCTTCCCCTTTCCAAAGGCAGAGGCGCCTCACCCCATAGCCACTGACACCCCAGGCCATGGGGAGTACTGCCAGACTACTACCTAAGTTCCCTTAAGGCCCACAAGCTCTTCAGTCAGTTTGTGGTGAATGCTGCCTGGCCTGGGCCTCACCCTTCAGGGCGGCGTGCTCCCCTCTGTCCAAGGGCAGGTCCAGAAATGCTGTCCAAGAGTCAAATCCTGGAACTGGGGACCCCAAGAGCCCACGTGGTGCTCTGCCCTGCCATGGCTTTGCTGGTACCTAAGGTGAAGACAAAGTCCTCTTTACCTTTCCCTCTGCTTTTCTCAAGCAGGAGTTTTGCGTTGATTAAAAAAAAATATATTTAATAAAATGTAATATTCATTCCAAATGAAACACTAAGTAAACCCATAAAAGAAGGTTATGTCTCTAACATGCTAAAGAAATCATCTTGAAATAAAAATTCAAAATATTACTTAAATGCAGAATAATTTGATGCATGCCATTAAAATCAGGGACAAAGTTTGGATTCTTTCTATGGTAGTTATGTAAATTGGCTCATTTAACATCCACTTCAAAGTCCTTTACTTTTTTTTCTACTTTATTTTTTTTCTGCCCTTTATTTTTTTCTACTCAAGCTAAACACTTGAGCTACTTAACTCCTCTGAATTGGATTTGATTTGATTTAATTGGCCCCTTGTGACACAGCTGTGGTCAATGAAATGTCGGCAGAAGCCCCTTGTGTTAGTCCATTCTTGCATTGCTGTAAAGAAACACCTGAGGCTGGGTAACTAATAAAGAAAATAGGTTTAATTGGATTATGGTTCTGCGGGATGTACAAGAAACATAGTGCCAGCATCTGCTTCTGGTGCACGCCTCAGGGAGATTACAATCGTGGTAAAAGGCAAAGGAGGAGCCCATGTGTCATCTGGTGAGAAACGAAGCAAGAGCAAGGGGGAGGGGAGGTGTCATGCATTTTTAAACAACTGATCAACTGATCTCACAGGAACTCAGAGCAACAGCTCACTCATCACCACAGGGATGGTGGTAAGCCATTCATGAAGGATCTGCCCCCGCCTCCTGGTCCAAGTATCTCCCTCTAGGCCCATCTCCAACACTGGGGATTATATCTCAACATTAGATTTGGAGGGCACACATATCCAAATCATATCACCCCTGGGGAAGGTTTTATTTCCTAAATAAAAAGGCAAAACCTGATAAAGAAAAGGCTTACTATATGCCTGGTGTCCTTTCTCTTTTGTCCTGTGTGGCTGGAATGCCAGGAGATACAGCAATTATCTTGTGACAATATAAAAGTAACATGCTAAGGATGCTGAAGCAGGAGGACATAAGAAACATGGTTCCTTGGTGACATCCATGAGAAGTAATAGCTACCTTTATATTTCTTCTCATGTAAAAATTATTTTTTGTTATGTAAAATATTAACTCTTTACTTGCTTCAGTGATATTTATAAGGTACTTTGTATTTGCCAGTAGCTGAAATTTTAGTAGATATTCCCACCATCACAACTGTTATTTAACACTGCTCTGTAAATCCTAACCAATGCAGTAAGCCAATAAAAATAAATAAGAGGTGTAAATATTAGAATGAGGAAGACAACACTAATTGTTTTTTGTTTTTACACGTGATATTATGGTCTTCCAAGCAAACACAAGATAATCATTTTAATAAGCATTGTTAAGTAGGAGAGTTTAGTTGCAAATTACAAATACATAAAAATTTATCACTGTTATAAATGTCAGCAGTTGACCAGTTAGACAATAAAATATTTTAAAATCTCATGCCTAATTTTAAAATATGTGAAATATGTAGGAAGAAATTATTTAAGAAATGTTTAGGACCTAGATGCAGAACATTACAAACTAAAGATACACATGATATTTCTAAATGTATAGAATAAAAATTATGAAGGTATAAGTTCTCCCCCAAATAAATTATAAATATTAAATACAATTCTAAACAATCTATATATGATTGTTTGGTGGGGAGGGGAACAGGGCAAACTTATTCTAAAGTGCAAATTAAAAATTTTAGTATAGGTACAATATGCAGGAAGTAGTGAAAAAAGTCATGATAGAAGAATTATACTGTCAGATATTAAAATGTATAAAACAATAATGATTGAAATAATATGGTGTGGACATAAAATTAGGTATTGCAATCATTAGGGAAGAGTAACATAATTTATAGTTTCAAGCAAATATTAATGCGTTTACTATTTAGCAAATGTGACGTTCCTAATCATTAAGAAAAGATGAATCATTGAATAAAAAGAAATAAGGCAAATGTTAACTGTTTAGGAAAAAGTAAATTTGATCTCTACCACACCACATATTGAAATGAAATTTCTTTCCCTTTTTTTCTTATTCTCCCCATATTCATGTAGAAATGACTTGTCCACTTACAAAGGTACCTAAATACTGCAAAAGTAGCATGCAATTTAAGTGTAATGAAAGGACAGAGAAAAGCAGAAGTGGCAACAAAATGGGCCAGGAATCATTCTCAAAATGCATATTGTTTTTAACAGCTAACTTAATAAACAAGGACATCTTATTCATTACACTCTTCACAGTGTCTATGAGATAAAAAAGAACAATCACTGTGAAGATTCCCAGCTAGCTATTCTTGTTACTAGGGTAAGATGGAGCTCTCCTTTTTTATGGAGGCCTTATAAAGAAAAGACTCTATGGGTAGCTGATAAAGGTTTTGAGAATATCTTTACCATAATGAGAATGAAATTCACAACCTTTTAAAAAGCAACAATCATAGGTAGATGCTGAGTACAATTTTAAAAAGCCATTAAACTCAGAAGCAAGGTTTAAGTTCTCATTGTGGTAGAAATGTAAATCGGTTCATTTAACATTTACTTCAATCTCCTTGTCTTTTTTTCCTACTTTGTGCTGTCGTGCATAAACATTTTGAGGTGTTCCATTCTTGTGTAATCTTAGCTCCCTAACAAAGAATAAACAGTTGATGGATTGGAAAATTAAATCTGGATTAAAAAAAGCAGAACAATATATAAACTAGAAAAAATATATGTATAGGTGGTGGAGAAGTCTACAAAAGATGAGATTACACAGTAAAACATTAATATACAGGCATATCTTGTTTAACTGCACTTTATTGTACTTCACAGATATTGCTTTTTTACAAATGGAATGTTCACGGAACTCTGTGTAGAGCAAGTCTGTTGTTGCCATTTTTCCAACACCTGTGTTCACTTCCTGTCTCTGTGTCAGCATTTTTTAGCAGTAAACTATTTTTAAATTAAGGTATGCACTTTTTATTAGACAAAATGCTATTATACCCTTAAGAGACTACAATATAGTATAAACATAACTTTTATATACACTGGGAAACCAAAACATTTGTATGACTCACTTTGTTGCAATATTTGTTTTATTGCAATGGTCTTACACAAAGCCTGCAATATCTCTGAGGTATGCCTATATTTTATTATGTAAAAATTCAAAAGTCCTGCTAGGCAAAAAGTACAGTCCCACAAAATGAAAACTGGCAAAAAATATTTCTAACAGAATGACAGATGAAACAAAAACCTCAGTAGATAACAGATGACGGACATAAGAAGTAAGTTATAAAAAAGGAATACGATTGGCAAATAATTTTTTAATTTCACCAGAAACTAAAGCAATCAAAGAAATGCTGATATGCTATTTAAAGACAAACAAAGAAAAAGATAATGTGCCAGGTTGTTGAGACTCATAATCTCACGTGCTAATGATGGGCCATAGTTTTCTCTACCATTTGTCATTCTCCCCCCAAATACAGGAGACACCTGGCTTTGAATGAGGAGCCAGCAGCTTCTGTTTCTTGTTTTAACATCCCAATGTGTTCCTCACTGGGACTGAGGGAAAAAGTATTCCAAAGTTACTTCTGTCCTCCTAAGGAATTCTCTTGATTCCTCAACATTCCTCTTTGCCATGTTTTATAGGTTCAAGGTGGGTTAATATCCTGCAAGGTAGGACTTCTCTTTAGGATGTACCTATTAATGTCATCAGCCTTTAAGAATTCAGAAGAAACTAGAACAGAAACAGCCTCATTTTAACATCCATTACACAGTTCAAGCCGATTTGTGTTACAACCAAAAAAACTTTGACTAAGAAACTTGTATGAACTCCTCAATTTCTCAAGGGTATTTTACTCTTTGAGCACTAGTAGCAAAAACTGCTATATATTATCACTCATTCTATCCATATTCATTCATTACAAAAGTGCCTACTGAGTGTTAATTATGCTCAATGCCTGGAATACAAGGATGAAGACAGGGCTCACTGTCTGTGGGGATGGGGTGGGGACGAGTCTCAGATGTATTCTTAGGTAGCTGCAATGCAACATAATAGCTCTATAGCATAAAAACAATAGGGAAGTGCCACAGGAACACAGCGATCCTCTTAGTTGTTGATCACTTGGGAATTTCAAGGAATTGGAAAACATTCTTGTGTGTGTGACTTTCCTACCAACAGAATTAAACAGTCATATTATACCAGATTGGCATTGTTTTCATTCTGCTACTCAAAGTATAAATAAGCTGTGGCACAAAAATGCCTTATAAACTGTTCTGCTGTGACTAGTAATAGTTAAGATTATAGATCCAAGATTTAAAATGACAACAATATGTACTAAAGTATTAATAATTCCCTTAAATATTTCTCCTTATCTTATTTTCTTGCTGTGTTTTATATGTTCTTTATAATTACTTTGACAAGATTTTTAATTGATTGGGACATTTATTGGAACAATATTTTATATGTATGATTCAATACATACTATTCTGTTTTTCAGACCATGGCTCCAGTTTTTTTCCATGAAAAACATTTCAATTATATTCAAAGTGAATGGCCCACCAATGGCAGAGAATTTCAGGACCTTGCTCTTCCTGTAAAACGTGCTCTAATAGCATTTGAGTCTTCTCTGAAGGTATCTCCTAAGACAATGTCACTCAAGGGTTTTGGAGGTTTGGAGAAAGGTTTGGCAAGGTTTCTTATCAGGGCAGGTTTTCTCCTCTCCTATTTATTAGGAGAGTGGATCTAACTCCATCTTGACCAATTGTTTAAAGTACATTCATGTAACCTTAACCTGCATTTCTGATGCAGAGTAGTATATTAGTTAAGCACATAGGCTTTGGAGTCAGACGGACACAAATTTAAATGCCAGCTTTGCCATTTGTTGATTAAGTGACCTTAGGCAAATTAATTCCTTTAAGCCTGTTTCCTCAAACATAATTTGGAGATTATAATAATTACCTTATAAACTTGGTAAGTGGATAAAATGAGAATATATATGCAAAAACACAGTGTCTGGCATATTGTAAAGGTTGTATAAATGGTAATCAATATTGTTATTAATAAAAGGGGTTCTAAGCCTTAAAACAAAAGCCCAATACGCACCAAAATAGAACCTCTTGAAAGCTTAAAACTCACTGGGTCTATAAAACAGTAACACAATGAAAAAAAAAAAAACTAGGTAATAACATGATGAAGAGAACAGCACCTTACATCTCAATATTAATGTTGACTGTAAAAGGCCTAAATACTCCACTTAAAAGATACAGAATGGCAGAATGGATAAAAAAATCACAATAGAAATATCTACTTCAAGAGACTCACCTAACATGGAAAGATTCAAATAAACTCAAGGTAAAAGTGTGTAAAAAGGTATTCCATGCAAATGGAAACCAAAAGTGAGCAGGAGTAGCTATTCTTTTATCAGACAAAACAGACTTCAAAGCAACAACACTAAAAAAAGAAAGACAGTCCCTATTATATTGATAAAAGGATCAATTCAACAAGAAGAGATTACAATCCTAAATTTATATGTACCAAACACTGAAGCATCTACATTTATAAAACAATCACTATTAGACCTAAGAAATGAGATTGACAGCAAAACAATAATAGTGGGAGACTTCAGTGTGCCACTGACAGCACTAGCAGATCTTCAACACAGAAAGTCAACAGAGGAACAGTGGACTTAAATGACATGCTAGAACAAATGAACTTAAAGATATTTACAGATCATGCTACCCAAGATTTCCAGAATACACATTCTTCTCATGAGCACGTGGAACATTCTCCAAGACAGACCATATAATAGGCCATAAAACAAATCTCAATAAATTAAAAAAAAAAATCAAAATTATATCAAGTATCTTCTCAGGCCACAGTGGAATAAAGCTAGAAATCAACTCCAAAAGGAACCCTCAAAACTATACAAATACATGGAAATTAAATAAGCTGCTTCTGACTGATATCTGGGTTAACAATGAAATCAAGATGGAAATTTAAAAATTATTTGAATTGAATGATGATAATGACCCAAGTTATCAAAACCTCTGGAATACAGCAAAAGCAGTGCTTAGAGGAAAGTTTATAGTGCTAAATGCCTACATCAAGAAGTCTGAAAGTGCCCAAATTGATGACCTAATGTCACACCTCAAGGAACTAGAGAAACGAGAACAGACTAAACCTGAAGCTAGAAGAAAAGAAATAACACAGATCAGAGCAGAACTAAATAAAATTCAAACAAACAAAACAATACAAAAGATCAATGAAACAAAAAGCTGGTTCTTTGAAAAAAATAAACAAAACTGATAGACCATTAGCTAGATTAACCAAGAAGAGGGAAGATCCAAATAAGCTCAATTAGAAATGAAACTGGAGACATTACAACCAACACCACAGAATTACAGAAACAATCATTCAAGACTATTATGAACACCTTTATGTGCACAAACTAGAAAACCTAGAGGAAATGGATGAATTCCTGGAAACATACAATCCTCCTAGATTAAATCAGGAATAGAAACCTTGAAAAGACTAATAAGAAGCAGTGAGATTGAATCAGTAATTTAAAAATTGTCAACAAAATAAAAGCCCAGGACCAGATGGATTCACACCTGAATTCTATCAGACATTCAAAGAATTGGTACTAATCCTACTGAAACTATTCCAAAAGATTGAGAAGGAAGGAATCCTCCCTAAATCATTCTATGAAGCTAGTATCATTCTGATACCAAATCCAGGAAAAGACACAACAAAAAAAGAAAACTACCGATCAATTTTCCTTATGAACATAGATTCAAAAATCCCCCCCAAAATACTAGCTAAACAAATCCCACAGGATATCAAAAAGGTAATTCATCATGGTCAAGTGGGTTTCATCCCAGGGATGCTGGGATGGTTTAATATACGCAAGTCAGTAAGTGTAATACATCACATAAACAGAATTAAAAACAAAAACTATATTATTATCCCAATAGATGCAGAAAAAGCATTTGATAAACTACAGCATCCCTTTATAAGAACCAGGCATAGAAGGCACCTATATCAAAATAATAAAATCCATATATGACAAACCCATAGCCAACATCTTACTGAATGGGGAAAAGTTGTAAGCATTTCCCCTGAGAACAGAAACAAGACAAAGATGATCACTTTCACCACTCCTGTTCAACATAGTTCTGCAAGTGCTATCCAGACCAATCAGGCAAGAGAAAGAAATAAGGGACATTGAAACTGGAAAAGAGGAAGTCCAACTATCACTGTTTGCAGATGATATGACTGTGTACCTAGAACATCCTAAGTACTCCTCCAAAAGACTCTTAGATTTAATAAACGAATTCAGTAAAGTCTCAGGTTTCAAAGTCAATGTACAACAATATCATTGTTGATGTATAGCATCAAGCTGAGAATCAGATCAAGAACGTGATCTCTTTTATAAGAGCTGCAAAAAGGAAAAAATAAATAAAATACCTACGAATATATTTAACTATGGAGGTGAAAGATCTCTACAAGGAGGACTACAAGACACTGCTGAAAGAAATTATAGATGACAGAAACAAATGAAAACACATTTCATGCTCATGGATTGGAAGAATCAATATTGTGCAAATGATCATACTGCCCAAAGGAATCTACAGATTTAATACAATTCCCATGAAAATACCAACATTGTTTTTCACAAAATTAGAAAGAACAATCCTAAAATTCATATGGAACCAAAAAAGAGCCCAAATAGCCATAGAAATCCTACGCAAAAAGAACAAATTTGGAGGCATCACATTACCGGACTTCAAATTATACTATAAGCCTGCAGTTACTAAAACAGCATGATACTGATACAAAAGTGGGCACCTAGACCAAAGGAACAGAATAGAGAACCCAGAAATCAAGCCAAATACTTACAGCCAACTGACCTTCAATAAAGTACACAAAAATATAAGTTAGGGAATTGATATCATTTATTACATTAAATGGTGCTAGGAAAACTGCCAAGCCACACATTGAAGAATGAAACTGGATTCCTATCTCTCACCTTATACAAAAATCAACTCAAGATGAATCAATGAGTCAAATATAGGACCTGAAACTATACAAATTCTAGAAGACAACGTTGGAAAAACTCTTCTAGACACTGACCTAGGCAAAGAATTTATAACAAAGATCCCAAAAGCAAATATAACAAAAACAAAAATAAACAAATGAGACCTAATTAAACTAAAAACCTTCTGCACAACAAAAGAAATAATTGACAGAGTAAACAGAAAACCCACAGAATGGGAGAAAATATTTGCAAACTACACATCCGAAAAAGGACTAGTATCCAGAATGTACAAGGAACTCAAACAAATTACCAAGAAAAAATACAAATAATTCCATTAAAAAGTGGGCAAAGGACATGAATAGACATTTCTTAAAAGAAGATATACAAATGGTCAATAAATATATGAAAAAGTCCTCAACATCAGTAATCACCAGGGAAGTGCAAATTAAAACCACAATGAGATATCACAATGAATTCTGAAAGAATGGCCATTATTAATAAAAAGTCAAAAAACAATAGAGGTTGGCATGGATGTGGGAAAAAGGGAACACTTATTCACTATTGGTGGGAATGTAAATTAGTACAACCTCTATGGAAAACTGTAATGAAGGTCCCTTGAGGAATTAAATATAGAACTACCATTTGATCCAGCAATCCCACTGTGGGGTATCTACCCAAAGAAAGAAGTCATTATATGAAAAAGACACTTGCCCATGTATGTTTATAGCAGCACAATTCACAATTGCAAAGATGTAGAACCAACCTAAGTACCCATCAACTAATGATGGGATAAAGAAAATGTGGCACATACACACCATGGACTACTCAGCCATTCAAAGGAAATTACCTCTTTTGCAGCAACTTAGATGGAGCTGGAGGCCATTATTCTAAGTGAAGTAACACAGGAGTGGAAAACTGAAAACCATATGTTCTCACTTTTAAGTGGGAGCTAAGCTACCAGTATGCAAAGGCATACAGAGTGATATAATAGATTTTAGAGACTCAGAGCCGGGAGGGTGAGAGGAGGGCTAGAGATACAAAACTACACATTAGGTAAAATGTATGCTACTTGGGTGATGGGTGCACTAAAATCTCAGAATTCAGCACTATGTAATTCATCCATCCATGTAAAAAAAAAACCATTGTACCTCAAAAGCTATTGAATTTTTAAAAAGAAGAAAAAAGTATTGTTATTAATATTATTTCTTAAGGGATATAAATGCAAACTCACTATTAGTTCATACATATAAAAGCTTTGTTGAGAGAATATATATTTAGGAGTAACTTTTATCCCTTTCTTTAGGAAAGCTGAAACAATTCCTGAATTAAGGTAGACCAATAAAGAGCTATGTATCAGAACTGATTTTTCCTAGCCACTGGTAGAACCATTTTTACCAGCTTTTGCCTTGTCTTTATGCCCTTGGTCAACATCGTGCAATGTCATAGACTCAGTTCTGGCCGTATTTTCTATGTCAACATAACTCATTACTTTACGCAGTGCTTCTCTATGGAGAGTGTGGTAATCAGTTGGGCTGTTCAGAAATATTCACCTTTTCATCCTTCCAAGGCACAAGGTTGGACTGCAAACTGTCTTTAAGTTCATTGAAGATAAGTATGAACACGGGGCTTGCTCTGGGAAATGAAATGAAGAAATTTGAGCTCAAATGAAATGTGTCTTTTCCGAGTGGAAGCTTTAAGAACCACTATACGGGCCACCCAATTCTCTTCCACCTGCTGCACTGATTATAAATGAGATGAAGTCTCCTTTGGCTTGTATGTATGAGTTACTGTGGTAGATAGAGACCCCATCTTATATGCAATGGACACACAGTGTGAGTGAAAAATAAGCCTTTGTCAGCATAAGCCACTAAGATTTTACTAATGTTTGTCACTATAGCATAATTCTGTCTATCCTGTTTGATATAGGGATCCACAAGAAAAAAATACTATTTGTTCTTAGTATAAGGAATAGGTGTACTTGATGTGCACATTGTTTTGTTTTTGGATACTTCCCAATTATCCAAAGTGGCATTGTCATTTACTCTGCCTTGACAGACAGAATGCTCAGAGCCAATCTAATTCATGGGCCAAGTCTAGCAAAAGTAAAAGGTTTTTCAACAGAATTTCACATTCTAACCTCATTTCAGGCTTTTATCCTCCCTCCTATCTCACTTTTTGAATCCTCTTTTCCTTATCTGCTTATTTAAAATGTTATTTTATGCTGTTGTATTCAACATGTTTATGTACAGCTATGTAAAATAAACCTTATGTGAAAAAATGGGCATATACATAATTAAATACATATACAAATATACTGTCCATTCTTTTAATACTAACAAAAACTTTAAACATGTGACAACCAGTATGAACTGACCTATGTGCTTTGCCATACCTTTCAGTTATCCCTTCCTTGAAACAGCCTAACAACCGAGACACTGCTATTAACCTGGTATCTCCATTGGAAAGAACTGTCCTTAGGAAGACCATGGGATGAAGATTCAGGACTAGTTCTAGTTTAAATTTTTCAGACTACATATGTAGTTTCCGGCAACTCACTTTCCAATTGGGTCTCAACTTTTTCATTTGTAAAAGTGAGGAGTTTCAAAAAATTTAATTTATATTCAAATTATGTCCTTTATTTTAGATTATATGAATTAAGACATGAGGAGATAGATCAAATTAATCTACCTCTATTAAGCAGGAAAAAAACCACAAATATTTCTCCAGCCTAAATCAGCTATTTGCCATTTATTCATTTATTCACACATTTCTTTAAGAAATATCTCTTGTAGTAAGACAGAACAGAGACCCCTCTTAGGGGCCTGCTGGGACACCTCAAGCATGAAAATAAGGGAAAAGGCTTGAGTCCCTTCAAGAGAAATTCCAGGCATATAGCTAGCCTCGAGAAGTAAATCAGCAACTCAATAAGCAAGAAGGACAAGATGTTTGGTTCCCTATAGAAACTAAAGATGACACATGTCCCTGAGTTGTTTTTCAGAAACCCAGACCCCCATCAGATGGAAAAGGCCAACCACAGTCACACAGACTTCAGATAAAGGGAATATGAAATCTGATTGCTCTTCTTTGTTCTAAATTTTTTCCTGACGGGCCTGGAGAGAGTAATGCCCACAGGTCAAACCTCAACATTCCCTTCTGATGACCCCAAGTTTTTAAACAAAGCCTTGACTTCCTTAAGCAATTGCAAATCAAAGAATCTCTGAATCCACCTATGACCTGTGAGCCCCCACTTCAAGATAGCCTGCCATTTTGGGCCAAACCAATGTATTAATATAACCTCCAAGTATTGATTTACAATTTTGACTGTAACTTCTGCTTTCCTAAAAAGAGGTGTCTCTGCTTTTAAGAGCCCTTGCTTATAGGCCATTGGGGAGGCCAGCTCTTAAGGATTAGCTGCCCAATTCTCCTTGCTTGGCACCCTGCAAATAAATGCCCTCCTTACTCTTACTGCAAACGTTGGTGTGGGTATTTGGCTTTACTGTGCCAGGCAAGCAGACCCACATGTGGTTTAGTAACAGTAGACAACGAGAAAAACACTGCAAGTTTCAAGACAAGTAAAGAATACAGCCTTTAACAGTCAATTATGACCAAATGAGATGATAAAACATATTACAGGTCATACTTGTGGAAAAATTCAACATCTATTATAAATTTAATATGAGATAAAGGGGCAAATATATTGCATCAGAAATGAAACTTCTAGGATGCAAAAGAGACTGTGAACTGAACACCATCAGAAACTTCATTTGCAAGAAACTAACAGAATTTATGGAGGGCTTGAATTAGTACCTTGGAGAAGGATTGAGTTCTAGTAAAACATAATCTAAGAATCAATTTTATTTTTTAAATAATTGGTGCCACTATACTACAGTGGAATGTGCATGGGGAAGGACCTGCAAAAGATGTCTGTGCGATGAGGATGCAAAAGAGACTGTGCAATGAGGTAGTCAGTGAAGTCTTACTTAAAAACTGATTAGATTTGCATGGGTTCAAACATGGAAAATGAATTCAGGCAGTGGAGTGTATATAAAAGTGAGGTTGAGTAACAAGGCAAGACAATGAACAGACCACCCTGAGTGTCCTTACTTTAAGAACGTGAAGAAGACAAAGAGCAAAGGACATTAAGATGGAGTGGTTATCCAAGTGTAAGAAGCTTTTAAAAATGCATCTGTCAAGAAATAATGCGTTGAACTCAAATCTTTGAGGATGATTGAAATAACTGGTGGGTAATTATAAGTTCATTTAAATATTATAGTTGCTTAATGAATGACATGAGTGATGTGGCTTTACCCCTTAAGTCATAAGCTCTTAATGAGCCTAATTATTTCAAATGGTCATAGACTTAATTTCCCCACAGATTATTTGTAATGGAGAAAGGTAACATGATAGTCTATTGGAAGATTTTGAATTGGAAGAGAGAATTTTGAAATGTTTGCCAAGGGCTTGCTTGAAACTTTTTGTTAACTGAGTGTAGTTTTTTGTAATAGCAACAGGAATGGACCAATCCTACCACTATGAAAATCATGAAGAAAAGAGGAGCAAAGGAGTACATAGTTACCTGTTACTGTAGAAGTATAAAGTGGAGTATTTTTAATTTAAACATTTAAAACCTTGAAATAATGCAATCAAAGTGATAACAAAATTTATGTTTTGGTGAGTGAGGTCAGTGTATGTACACTTTATTTGAAATGCAGGTTTCTTTCAAAATGTGGGGAGAGGGCTCAAATGTGAAAGAGAGAAAACTTTCATGAGAGTTCAATGTGTTTTCCTCTTAGTGTAAATGGAGGGTGCTGTGGTTCACCCATATCATTTCCTCTTTGTTTGGAGCCATTGTGCTCTAATGGGAAAAATGCTAGCAGAAGTCTTAATGACGTAGTGTCAGTTCCCTACCCTTTCACTAAAATATTTCCATCGGAATGTTTACTGTAAGTCAGACTTCTGCACTGAACAAAAAACTAAAATTTAATTCCATTATTTTAAAAAATAAATTATAGGCTCTCAAATTTTTTCCACAGGTGGGTTCCCAATCTTCACCACTAACAATATGCCTTAAAATAAGTCCATATACCAAGATCAAATCTGCAAAATTTTGTTCTGTTGTTAATTAAACCAAGTCCTTTCTCAGTGAATGAGAAATTAACAGTTAAAATGAATGAATACAATAAGGATTGGCTCTTACAAGGCTGGTCATTCCAAATTCTTTGATCTGGCTACCACCAAGCTCCTACCCTGACTACTGCGACTAACTGAATCCAAACTTAATCAAATCAATCACACCAAAAGAAGGAACACCATCAGAAACTTCATTTGCAAGAAACAAACAGAATTTATGGAGGGCTTGAATTAGTACCTTGGAGAAGGACTGAGTTCTAGTAAAACATAATCTAAGAACCAATTTTATTTTTTAAATAATTGGTGCCACTATACTATAGTGGAATGTGCATGGGGAAGGACAGACTGGTATACAGGAGTGTTCTTTAAATGTCAAACAGCATAAGAAACACTTGAGAATCTTTTTAAAATGCATCCCTTTTTTGGATTAATTAGGTCTGGGGCCCAATAACATCACAGGTATTGGTGATGATACTGATCTGTGGAATCACCTTTGAGTAACAAGGGGATAGAGAACACAGAGCTAGAACAGTCCTTCTCTAATGATTTGACTTTGAAGCTTTCCCCCCAGCTGTAAAATGATACCATCAACACCAGTTCATAGGATAATTGGAGGAGTAAATGAAGATATATTTGTGAAATGCTAGGAAAAGCTGACCTTAGGTAGGAGCAAAAAAGGGAAAGCAGAGAATATGGTACATAGTGCTGGTAATTGGGTAGATGTGGTGGTGGGAATTTGTGGAGGTTCTCATTGCTTTAAATTTCTAATTGAAGTAGAAAACAAAGTCACCATCTGAGATTGAAGATGGGGAGGTAGTGCTGGAGAGTTGAAGAGAAATAAAGGTGGAAGTAGTTGTCTAGGTGCATGGGAGAAATAAAGTAATAGGGAATGCAGTAGGATTGTCTGACAGAATTAAGGCCGATTTGAGTTATATAATTATGAATTTAAAATGAGACTATTCGGCATGGTTGTATAATTTCTGTATACAGTTAGCTGCACAAATTCAGGTGTGGAGAATTATCTTTAATTAGGTTTGCGGCTTTTTCAGTGAACTGAAAAGGAAGAATTGCAAAAGAGTTGAAGGTGAGTGCAAATAAATAACTATAATGATTAGCCATGTTTAATTTAGGTAAGGAAGAAAGGACTTCAGTGAGTTAGGAGCAGTAGGAAGGTAATAAAGTCTATATATTGCTGAGATTTCATTTATGACAGTATGTGGAAAATGTTTGTAATTGTTCCATTTGTACCTTCACTTGAAAAGAATGTATAGTCTTGACTGTTGAATGCAGTGTCTAATACACACACACAAACACACACACGCATGCCAAACTTACAAATGTTCTCCTAATAAATATTCTTTAACAATTCTTTGTCAGAGTTAACTACTGTTATTTAAGAGAGGAGGATTAAAATATTATATTGTTGTTACGGATTTGTCAGTTAATCCATGAGAGTCTGAACATTTTTGCTTTATATATTTCTAGCCAATATTTTTGGTACACACATATTAATACTTACCAATGTCTTCTTCCTTAAATTTTAATTTATTCTATATGAATATTACCATGTTAGCTTTCTTTTGGTAAATAGTTACATGGTATTTTCTTTTTCTATTGCTTTGTTTTCAACTTTTCTAGGGGGTTTTAAGGTTTTTTTTGTAAGAAGAATAAAGATGGTTTAAAAAAATCACTTTTGCTTCTCAGTAAGATATAGTAGTTCTTGTAGGCAATGTTTCCACTTCAATAATGAGAAAAAAGTAGAGATATTACAAAAATGCTATTTTAAGGACACTGGAAACAACGGGCAAGGGAGAGGCTAAAATTCTAGAGGGAAGAGTCCTATGTGAGCTGTCACTCTCAGTTATTTTCATCCCTTGAAAGCATCTACGGATTCTGAGTACTGCTGAGAATCAGGGTTAGCATAGGCAGAAGTACATTACTATGGAAGAGATGAACCATCAGAACTTTGGACAATTATGCAGGCAGTTATAAAAATTTAAAGCAGCATCACATACATGGCAGCTAATTTTTACCACAGGATATTTGCTGAGTTATGTGGTGTTTTGAAAGGCTGAGGCAGGGCTGGGTCAGAAACTTCTGAAGTCTCTATGATGTCTTTTACAGTTCTTACAGCGACTACGAGGCAGTCTTGCAAATACCTGGTTGGTCTTCTCATCAAGACATATATTAAATTTTGAAGATGTGTGGTATCGAAGTTTAAAGAGTTAAACTCAACACATTCAAAGGATAGAATTGAATCTCTCTAAATTTTCATGGCTGAGGATTCAGAAACTTCCAGGTTCTTAATTTAAGGCCCATGAATGCCATGTCCAAAGAACAGAGGAGAACAAAATGTGGGTTAATCTTACCAAAACTGGGGGCGAGGAGCCAAGATGGCCAAATAGGAACAGCTCCGGTCTACAGCTCCCAGCGTGAGCGACGCAGAAGATGGTGATTTCTGCATTTCCATCTGAGGTACCAGGTTCATCTCACTAGGGAGTGCCAGACAGTGGGCGCAGGTCAGTGGGTGTGCTCACCGTGTGCGAGCCGAAGCAGGGCGAGGCATTGCCTCACTTGGGAAGCGCAAGGGGTCAGGGAGTTCCCTTTCCGAGTCAAAGAAAGGGGTGACGGACGGCACCTGGAAAATCGTGTCACTCCCACCTGAATACTGTGCTTTTCTGACGGGCTTAAAAAGCGGCGCACCACGAGATTATATCCCACACCTGGCTCGGAGGGTCCTACGCCCACGGAGTCTCGCTGATTGCTAGCACAGCAGTCTGAGATCAAACTGCAAGGCGGCAGCGAGGCTGGGGGAGGGGCGCCCGCCATTGCCCAGGCTTGATTAGGTAAACAAAGCAGCCGGGAAGCTCGAACTGGGTGGAGCCCACCACAGCTCAAGGAGGCCTGCCTGCCTCTGTAGGCTCCACCTCTGGGGGCAGGGCACAGACAAACAAAAAGACAACAGTAACCTCTGCAGACTTAAATGTCCCTGTCTGACAGCTTTGAAGAGAGCAGTGGTTCTCCCAGCACCCAGCTGGAGATCTGAGAACGGGCAGACTGCCTCCTCAAGTGGGTCCCTGACCCCTGACCCCCGAGCAGCCTAACTGGGAGGCACCCCCCAGCAGGGGCACACTGACACCTCACACGGCAGGGTACTCCAACAGACCTGCGGCTGAGGGTCCTGTCTGTTAGAAGGAAAACTAACAAACAGAAAGGACATCCACACCAAAAACCCATCTGTACATCACCATTATCAAAGACCAAAAGTAGATAAAACCACAAAGATGGGGAAAAAACAGAACAGAAAAACTGGAAACTCTAAAAAGCAGAGCGCCTCTCCTCCTTCAAAGGAACGCAGTTCCCCACCAGCAACAGAACAAAGCTGGATGGAGAATGATTTTGACGAGCTGAGAGAAGAAGGCTTCAGATGATCAAATTACTCTGAGCTACGGGAGGACATTCAAACCAAAGGCAAAGAAGTTGAAAACCTTGAAAAAAATTTAGAAGAATGTATAATTAGAATAACGAATACAGAGAAGTGCTTAAAGGAGCTGATGGAGCTGAACACCAAGGCTTGAGAACAACGTGAAGAATGCAGAAGCCTCAGGAGCCGACGCGATCAACTAGAAGAAAGGGTATCAGCCATGGAAGATGAAATGAATGAAATGAAGCAAGAAGGGAAGTTTAGAGAAAAAAGAATAAAAGGAAATGAGCAAAGCCTCCAAGAAATATGGGGGCTATGTGAAAAGACCAAATCTACGTCTGACTGGTGTACCTGAAAGTGATGGGGAGAATGGAACCAAGTTGGAAAACACTCTGCAGGATATTATCCAGGAGAACTTCCCCAATCTAGCAAGGCAGGCCAACGTTCAGATTCAGGAAATACAGAGAACACCACAAAGATACTCCTCGAGAAGAGCAACTCCAAGACACATAATTGTCAGATTCACCAAAGTTGAAATGAAGGAAAAAATGTTAAGGGCAGCTAGAGAGAAAGGTCGGGTCACCCTCAAAGGGAAGTCCATCAGACTAACAGCGGATCTCTTGGCAGAAACCCTACAAGCCAGAAGAGAGTGGGGGCCAATATTCAAAATTTTAAAGAAAAGAATTTTCAACCCAGAATTTCATATCCAGCCAAACTAAGCTTCATAAGTGAAGGAGAAATAAAATACTTTACAGACAAGCAAATGCTGAGACATTTTGTCACCACCAGGCCTGCCCTAAAAGAGCTTCTGAAGGAAGTGCTAAACACGGAAAGGAACCACCGGTACCAGCAGCTGCAAAACCATGCCAAAATGTAAAGACCATCAAGACTAGGAAGAAACTGCATCAACTAACCAGCAAAATAACCAGCTAACATCATAATGACAGGATCAAATTCACACATAACAACATTAACTTTAAATGTAAATGGACTAAATGCTCCAATTAAAAGACACAGACTGGCAAATTGGATAAAGAGTCAAGACCCAACAGTGTGCTGTATTCAGGAAACCCATCTCACATGCAGAGACACACATAGGCTCAAAATAAAAGGTTGGAGGAAGATCTACCAAGCCAATGGAAAACAAAAAAAGGCAGGGGTTGCAATCCCAGTCTCTGATACAACAGACTTTAAACCAACAAAGATCAAGAGAGACAAAGAAGGCCATTACATAATGGTAAAGGGATCAATTCAACAAGAAGAGCTAACTATCCTAAATATATATGCACCCAATACAGGAGCACCAAGATTCATAAAGCAAGTCCTGAGTGACCTACAAAGAGACTTAGACTCCCACACATTAATAATGGGAGACTTTAACACCCCACTGTCAACATTAGACAGATCAACGAGACAGAAAGTCAACAAGGATACCCAGGAATTGAACTCAGCTCTGCACCAAGCAGACCTAATAGATATCTACAGAACTCTCCACCCCAAATCAACAGAATATACATTTTTTTCAGCACCACACCACACCTATTCCAAAATTGACCACATACTTGGAAGTAAAGCTCTCCTCAGCAAATGTAAAAGAACAGAAATTATAACAAACTATCTCTCAGACCACAGTGCAATCAAACTAGAACTCAGGATTAAGAATCTCACTCAAAACCGCTCAACTACATGGAAACTGAACAACCTGCTCCTGAATGACTACTGGGTACATAACGAAATGAAGGCAGAAATAAAGATGTTCTTTGAAACCAACGAGAACAAAGACACAACATACCAGAATCTCTGGGACGCATTCAAAGCAGTGTGTAGACGGAAATTTATAGCACTAAATGCCCACAAGAGAAGGCAGGAAAGATCCAAAATTGACACCCTAACATCACAATTAAAAGAACTAGAAAAGCAAGAGCAAACACATTCAAAAGCTAGCAGAAGGCAAGAAATAACTAAAATCAGAGCAGAACTGAAGGAAATAGAGACACAAAAAACCCTTCAAAAAATTAGTGAATCCAGGAGCTGGTTTTTTGAAAGGATCAACAAAATTGATAGACCGCTAGCAAGACTAATAAAGAAAAAAAGAGAGAAGAATCAAGTAGACGCAATAAAAAATGATAAAGGGGATATCACCACCGATCCCACAGAAATACAAACTACCATCAGAGAATACTACAAACACCTCTATGCAAATAAACTAGAAAATCTAGAAGAAATGGATAAATTCCTCAACACATACACTCTCCCAAGACTAAACCAGGAAGAAGTTGAATCTCTGAATAGACCAATAACAGGATCTGAAATTGTAGCAATAATCAATAGCTTACCAACCAAAAAGAGTCCAGGACCAGATGGATTCACAGCCGAATTCTACCAGAGGTACAAGGAGGAACTGGTACCATTCCTTCTGAAAATATTCCAATCAATAGAAAAAGAGGGAATCCTCCCTAACTCATTTTATGAGGCCAGCATCATTCTGATACCAAAGCCAGGCAGAGACACAACAAAAAAAGAGAATTTTAGACCAATATCCTTGATGAACATTGATGCAAAAATCCTCAATAAAATACTGGCAAAACAAATCCAGCAGCCCATCAAAAAGCTTATCCACCATGATCAAGTGGGCTTCATCCCTGGGATGCAAGGCTGGTTCAATATACACAAATCAATAAATGTAATCCAGCATATAAACAGAGCCAAAGACAAAAACCGCATGATTATCTCAATAGATGCAGAAAAAGCCTTTGACAAAATTCAACAACCCTTCATGCTAAAAACTCTCAATAAATTAGGTATTGATGGGACGTATTTCAAAATAATAAGAGCTATCTATGACAAACCCACAGCCAATATCATACTGAATGGGCAAAAACTGGAAGCATTCCCTTTGAAAAGTGGCACAAGACAGGGATGCCCTCTCTCACCACTCCTATTCAACATAGTGTTGGAAGTTCTGGCCAGGGCAATTAGGCAGGAGAAGGAAATAAAGGGTATTCAATTAGGAAAAGAGGAAGTCAAATTGTCCCTGTTTGCAGACGACATGATTGTATATCTAGAAAACCCCATTGTCTCAGCCCAAAATCTCCTTAAGCTGATAAGCAACTTCAGCAAAGTCTCAGGATACAAAATCAATGTACAAAAATCACAAGCATTCTTATACACCAACAACAGACAAACAGAGAGCCAAATCATGAGTGAACTCCCATTCACAATTGCTTCAAAGAGAATAAAATACCTAGGAATCCAACTTACAAGGGATGTGAAGGATCTCTTCAAGGAGAACTACAAACCACTGCTCAAGGAAATAAAAGAGGATACAAACAAATGGAAGAACATTCCATGCTCATGGGTAGGAAGAATCAATATCGTGAAAATGGCCATACTGCCCAAGGTAATTTACAGATTCAATGCCATCCCCATCAAGCTACCAATGACTTTCGTCACAGAATTGGAAAAAACTACTTTAAAGTTCATATGGAACCAAAAAAGAGCCCGCATTGCCAAGTCAATCCTAAGCCAAAAGAACAAAGCTGGAGGCATCACACTACCTGACTTCAAAGTATACTACAAGGCTACAGTAACCAAAACAGCATGGTACTGGTACCAAAACAGAGATATAGATCAATGGAACAGAACAGAGCCCTCAGAAATAATGCCACATATCTACAACCATCTGATCTTTGACAAACCTGAGAAAAACAAGGAATGGGGAAAGGATTCCCTATTTAATAAATGGTGCTGGGAAAACTGGCTAGCCATATGCAGAAAGCTGAAACTTGATCCCTTCCTTACACCTTATACAAAAATCAATTCAAGATGGATTAAAGACTTAAACGTTAGACCTAAAACCATAAAAACCCTAGAAGAAAACCTAGGCATTACCATTCAGGACATAGGCATGGGCAAGGACTTCATGTCTAAACACCAAAAGCAATGTCAACAAAAGACAAAATTGACAAATGGGATCTAATTAAACTAAAGAGCTTCTGCACAGCAAAAGAAACTACCATCAGAGTGAACAGGCAACCTACAGAATGGGAGAAAATTTTCGCAAACTACTCATCTGACAAAGGGCTAATATCCAGAATCTACAATGAACTCAAACAAATTTACAAGAAAAGAACAAACAACCCCATCAAAAAGTGGGCGAAGGACATGAACAGACACTTCTCAAAAGAAGACATTTATGCAGCCAAAAAACACATGAAAAAATGCTCATCATCACTGGCCATCAGAGAAATGCAAATCAAAACCACAATGTGATACCATTTCACACCAGTTAGAATGGCAATCATTAAAAAGTCAGGAAACAACAGGTGCTGGAGAGGATGTGGAGAAATAGGAACACTTTTACACTGTTGGTGGGACTGTAAACTAGTTCAACCCTTGTGGAAGTCAGTGTGGCGATTCCTCAGGGATCTAGAACTGGAAGTACCATTTGACCCAGCCATCCCATTACTGGGTATATACCCAAAGGACTATAAATCATGCTGCTATAAAGACACATGCACATGTATGTTTATTGCGGCATTATTCACAATAGCAAAGACTTGGAACCAAGCCAAATGTCCAACAATGATAGACTGGATTAAGAAAATGTGGCACATATACACCATGGAATACTATGCAGCCATAAAAAATGATGAGTTCATGTCCTTTGTAGGGACATGGATGAAATTGGAAATCATCATTCTCAGTAAACTATCGCAAGAACAAAAAACCAAACACCGCATATTCTCACTCATAGGTGGGAATTCAACAATGAGATCACATGGACACAGGAAGGGGAATATCACACTCTGGGGACTGTTGTGGGGTGGGGGGAGGGGGGAGGGATAGCATCGGGAGATATACCTAATGCTAGATGACGAGTTAGTGGGTGCAGCGCACCAGCATGGCACATGTATACATATGTAACTAACCTGCACAATGTGCACATGTACCCTAAAACTTAAAGTATAATAAAAAGAAGAAAAAAAAAATCTTACCAAAACTGCATTCCAGCTCTGATCTAGCTCAACCACTGATTAAATCATAGTCTCAGTCCCTCTTCCTAAATGAGAAAAGGAAGAACCACCTCTGGTGACAAGTAACATCATCTTCAGACTCTATAGTTCTTTTGTATACAAGCTTGGTGTACAATAAAATACTGCAAGACAAGCAAAGGGCATGATAGAAAGACACAGAGATGATGTGTATATGGCTCTTCTTTGTTTTTGCAGAGAAAGGGCTATTTGGGCTCTTTTTGGATTCCATATAAATTGTTAGGAAAAGTTTTTCCTAATTCTGTGAAGAATGTCAATGTCATTGAATCTATAAATTACTTTGGGCCACATGGCCATTTTCACAATATTGATTCTGTCTATCCATGAGCATGGAAGGTTTTTCCATTTGTTTGTGTCCTCCAATTTCTTTAAGCAGTCTTTTGTAGTTCTTACTGAAAAGGTCCTTCACTTCCCTTGTTAGCTGTAATTCCTAGGCATTTTATTTTTATTGTAGCAATTGTGAGTGGGAATTCATTCACAATTCATGATTTGGTTCTCTATACCTATTGTTTGTATATAGGAATGATAGCAATTTTTGCACATTGATTTTGTATCCTGGGACTTTGCTGAAGTTGTTTATCAGCTTAAGAAGCTTTTGGACTGAGACAATGGGGTTTTCTAGATATAGGATCATGTCATCTGCACAGAAAGATAATTTGACTTCCTCTCTTCCTATTCGAATACTCTTTCTTTCTCTTGCCTGATTGCCCTGGCCAGAGCTTCCAATGCTATGTTGAATAGGAGTGGTGAGAGTGGATATCCTTGTGTTGTGCCGATTTTCAATAGGAATGCTTCCAGCTTTTGTCCATTCAGTATGATATTGGCTGTGGGTCTGTCATATATGGCTCTTATTTCGAGGTATGTTCCTTCAATACCTAGTTTATTGAGAGTTTTTAACTTGAAAGCATGTTGAATTTTATTGAAGGCCTTTTTTCTGCATCTATTGAGATAATCATGTGGTTTTTGTCTTTAGTTCTGTTTATGTGACGAATCACATTTACTGATTTGTGTATGTTGAACCAACCTTGCATCCCAGGGATGAAACCAACTTGATCATGGTGGATAAGCTTTTGGATGTGCTGCTCGATTTAGTTTGCCAGTATTTGGTTGAGGATTTTTGCATCTATGTTCATCAAGGGTATTGGCCTGAAGTTGTATCTCTACCAGGTCTTGGTATCAGGATGATGCTGGCCTCACAGAATGAGCTAGGGAGGGGTCCCTCCTTTGCAATTTTTTGGAATAGTTTCAGTAGAAATGGTCCAGCTTTTCTTTGTACCTTTTGGTAGAATTCAGCTATGAATCTGGTCCTGCATTTTTATTGGTTGGTAGGCTATTTATTATCGCCTTAATTTCAGAACATGTTATTGATCTATTCAGGGATTCAATTTCTTCCTGGTTCAGTCTTGGGAGTGTGTATGTGTCCAGGAATTTATCCATTCCTTCTAGATTTTCTAGTTTATGTGCACAGAGGTGTTTATAGTATTCTCTGATGGTTGTTTGTATTTCTGTGAGCTAGGGGTAATATCCCCTTTGTCTTTTGTGATTGTGTTTGTTTGGATCTTCTCTCTTTTCTTTATTGGTCTAGCTAGCAGTCTATCTAGTTTATTAATTTTTTTCAAAAAAAAACTGCTAGATTCACTGATCTTTTGAATGTTTTTTCGTGTCTTAATCTCCTTCAGTTTAGCTCTGATTTTGGTTATTTCTTGTTTTCTGCTAGCTTTGGGGTTGGTTTTCTCTTGGTTCTCTAGTTCTTTTAGTTGTGATGTTAGGTTGTTAACTTGAGATCTTTTTATCTGTTTTATGTGGGCATTTAGTCCTATACATTTCCCTCTTAACACTGCCGTAGCTGTGTCCCAGAGATTCTGGTATGTTGCATCTTTGTTCTCATTAATTTCAAAGAACTTCTTAATTTCTTCCTTAATTTCATTATTTACCCAAAAGTTATTTGGGAGCAGGTTATTCAATTTCCATGTAATTGTATGATTTTGAATGCATTTCTTATTCTTGATTTCTAACTGTATTGTGCTGTGTGTGGTCCAAGAGACTGGTTGTTATGATTTGAGTTCTGCATTTGCTGAGGAATGTTCTGTGTTCAATTATATGATCAATTTTAGAGTATATACCATGTGGCAATGAAAAGAATGTGTATTCTCTTGTTTTGGGTGGAGAGTTCTGTAAATATCTATCAGGTCCATTTGATCCAGTGCTGAGTTCAGTTCTTGAGTATCTTTGTTAATTTTCTGCCTCAATGATCTGTATTAATACTGTCAGTGGGGTGTTAAAGTCCCCCACTATTACTGTATGAGAGTCTAAGTCTCTTTGAAGGTCTCTAAGAAGTTGCTTTATGAATCTGGGTACTCCTGTGTTGGGTGCATATATATTTAGGATAGTTAGGTCTTCTTACTGAATTGAACCCTTTATCATTATGTAACACCCTTCCTTGTCTTTTTTTTATGTTTGTTGGTTTAAAGTTTGTTTTGTCTGACATTAGGATTGCAACTCCTTTTTTTTTCACTTTTCCATTTTCCTGGTAGTTTTTTCTCCATCCCTTTACTTTAAGACTATGGGTGTCATTGCATGTGAGATGCATCTCTTGAAGACAGTATACCAATGGGTCTTGGTTCTTTATCCAGCTTGCCACTCTATGTCTTCTAATTGGGGTATTTATCCCATTTACATTCATGGTTAGTATTATTGTGTGTAGATTTGATCCTGTCATCATGATGTTAGCTGGTTCGTATGGGCGCTTGTTTATGTGGTTGTTTTATAGTGTCACTGATCTGTGTGTTTTTGTAGTGGCTGGCAATGGTTTTTCCCGTCCATATTTAGTGCTTCCTTCAGGAGCTCTTGTAAGGCAGTTCTGGTGGTAACTAATTCCCACAGCATTTGCTTGTCTGAAAAGGATATTATTTCTCCCTCACTTATGGAGCTAGTTTGATGAGAAATGAAATTCTGGGTTGGAATTCACTTTCTTTAATAATGTTGAATATTGGCCCCCAATCTCTTCTGGCTTGTAGGGTTTCTGCTGAGAAGCCCTCTGTTAGTCTTATGGGCTTCCCTTTGTAGGTGACCTGATCTTTCTCTCTAGCTGCCTTTAACATTTTTTCTTTCATTTCAACCTTAGAGAATCTGATGATTATGTGTCTTGGGATGATCTTCTTGTGTGAAATATCTTACTGGGGTTCTCTGCCTTCCCAAATTTGAATGTTGACCTCTTTAGCTAAGTAGAGGAAGTTCTTATGAATGATATCCTGAAATATGTTTTCCAACTTGCTTGTACTCACCCCATCTCTTTTGGGGACACCAATGAGTCATAGAGTTGGTTTCTTTAAATAATCCCATATTTCTCAGAGATTTTGTTTGTTGCTTTTTATTCTTTTTTCTCTATTCTTGTCCAACTGTCTTATTTCAGAAAGCCAGTCTTCAAGCTCTGAGATGCTTTCTTCAATGTGGTCTATTCTGTTATTAACACTTGTGATCACATTGTAAAATTATTGTAGCATGTTTTTCAGCTCTATCAGGTTGATTATGTTCCTTTCTATAGTGGCTATTCTGTCTGTCAGCTTTTACATCATTTTATTTTAGCTTCCTTAGATTGGGTTTCAATGTACTCCTGCATCTCAATGATCTTCATTTCTATCCATATTCTGAATTCTATTTCTGTCATTTCAGCCATCTCAGCCTGGTTCAGAACCCTTGCTGGAGAAGTGATGCAGTCATTTGGAGCAAAGAAGGCACTCTGGCTTTTTGAGTTGTCAGGGTTCTTGAGCTGGTTCTTTCTCATTTTTGTGGGCTTATGTTCCTTCAGTCTTTGAAGTGCTGACCTTTGAATGGTTATTTCTTTTATCCTATGTGATGACCCGGAAGGTTTGATTGTGGTATAAGGTAGATTTAACCAACTGGCTTCATTTCTGGAAGATTCCAGGGGGCCAACGCTCAGCTCCCAACTCCTGGACTGCGAGCTCTAACTCTGAGGGACTTGTATTGGGCCCTGACTTTGTTCTCTGGCTCCGCAAGGTTAGAAATCCACTGTCCTGGGGGAGCTGAGTTGCTCCCAGACCACTGGTCACTGCATTCTGATGGGTGGTGTCGGTCAAAGCTTTTCATAGCGCAGTGACAGCAGGATCCATTTTTGTTCACACATGCCAGCAGCAGCAGCAGCAGCAATAGAAATGTGGTGGGGTGCACACTCGTTGGCTGAAGCAGGGTGCTACTGGATGCCAGGGTTCCTGTTTTCATATGGGCATTCATCACAGTGGCAGAGGCAATATGGCTCCAGGACTGATGGGTTGGGGGGCATCCCTGCTGGTGACTGCAGGCGGTTGCACTGTTGATAGTGTTGGCACGGTGTTGGGGCGCTGGAGGGCACAGGACTATGTGTGATTTATGCACTGCAGGCAGGCGTGATCACTCAGGGTGGGGGAGGGTCTGCTGTTCTCCATGCTTAGCTTCACTCCCACAGCAGCAGCTTTGGCGGGAGGGTGGGGTGCTGGCCGGGGTGGGGCTGGCTAGCTGGCTAAGTGCCGGCCAAGGCTCCAACTGCAATGATGGTTAGTGGTGGGGAGTGCCGTGGGGGAGCGGAGTGCACTTCTGACCCAGCAGTGGCAGGGCAGGGTGCATACACAGAGACGTGCACACACACACACACTGGCAGGGCAAGGAAAGCAAAACCCACCCATACGCATGTGTGCCGGTACATGTTTGGGGTTTGCTGTGGGCCTGAGGGAAGACACAGTGTGGAGAGGGAGCAGGCAGAGCAGCCGGGCTGGCCATGGGGACTGCCCCACTGGCGCTCTCCACCAGTCAAGCATGATCCACCAGTGCAGGAGTTATGAGGCAGGACCCCAGAACACCCGAGGATGCCCTGCAAGCAGATGTGGCAAGGCTGGAGGCCCAGGAGAAGCCAGCAGACCAAGAAGTGCTCAGGTTGGACTGGCCCCGTCTGATGGGCAAGACTGACCTGCAGAGTTCAGGTCCGACAGTTCTCCTGGGGCTAATGTCTCCTATGGGAGCAAGCCAAGCCTAGGAGGATGGCTGTCCCTGGCCGTGTTCTGCTACACATGCTCTCATGCCAAACCCTCTGGGCTCCACATCAGCTGGCTTGCTGTCCCTACCACTTTTCTAAGCAGCTCTCCCTGTCAACTTGAGTGTCTGTGGTGGTTTAGGAGTCTCCTCCTGCACTAAGGCCCATGGTGAGAGCCGGTTGCTCCTTGCCAGTTCAACTGGCCCATTCTCCTTGAGTCGCTGGGAACCAGGAATAAGTCCTGGTGCACCATAGCCCAGGGCAGGGTTCCTGGCTTTTTCCCACTTCAGCCCAGCTTCTGTGTTTTCCCTGTGACCACACTTGGTGCCTTCCCTCTGAAGATCTGTTAGGAATACACCAGTCATCTCAGTCCCTCGGTGGCAGCTGTTCCACCTGGCTTTGTCTAGTCTGCCATCTTGCCCTCTCCCCTATTTTTAAAATTTTAACACTGAGATTCAAATATATATTTAACTAGTTTCTTTACTCTCCGCTGTTTTGTCCCTCATTCGTACTAATATATATGTATTTAATATATATATTATATTATTATTATATTAATTATATATAGTACTAATATATATATAATATGTATTTATATATGAGGTATCATTTATATGCTGTAATTTTCACCTTTAGTTTTGTGAGTTCTGCCAAAAGTACATGATTGTGTAACTACCCCCACAATCAAGATATAGAACTGTTCCATCACCCAAGTAATCCTTTCATGCCCGGTTGTTGTCAATCTCTCATCCCCACTCCACATCCGCTGGCAATCTGTTTCTGTACCTATAGTTTTTGCCTTTCTAGAACATAAAATGGAACCATACAGCATGTAGCCTTTTGGGTCTGGCTTCTTTCACTTAGCATAATGCATTTGAGATTCATGCACATGTTCTACATACCAGTAAATAGTTTATTTTTATTGTTGAGTAGTATTTCATCCTTTTTGTTTTGTATCCCACATTTCCTCTTGGAAACATTTTTTATTTTGCCACAGTAATTATTTCAGGGAGGGTCTAAAGTTGGGAAACATTTGAAGTTCTTATTTGCAAGAAAACGTTTTTATTTATACTTGCATCTGAATAATATTTTAACTGGTATATATTTTAGCTTAATATCATTTTGCTCAAATCTTTGTAGGTATTCTGTACTTTCTTCTAGCATCAAGTGCTGCCTAATGATATAATCTGATGCCAATCTGATTCTAGTTCCTTTGTAAGCAACTTGTGCAAATTTTATTTTTAGAAACTTTCAATATTTTCTACTTATTGTTTGAGTTCAGAGGTTTCACCATGACATGGGTCTTCACTCATTATGCTTAGCCATTGGTGGGTCATTTCAATTGATCACTTGAGTTCTTATTCAATTTTGTAAAGTGTTCATTGCTCTCTCGCTTTTCCTTCATATTTTCTTCCTGGAATTCGTTTTGAAGTGAAGATAAACTATCTAAATTGATCTTCCATATCCTTTAACATTTCTCTATTTTCTGCCTCTCTGTTTTTTGTTCTAATTTTGAATGCTGGACATTACAAATCATTTATTTGTTTTTTAGCCATATTCAGTCTATTACTTAACCATTCTGCCAAATTATTTGTTCTGCTATCATAGTCTTGATACCTAATCCTGTTTTTTTCTGCTTCATTTTCTGTCAGATTATGCTTTTAAAATAATGCAATATAATTTCAAATAAGCTCCATGGGAGCAAGTAACATGTGTTGTTGTGGTGGTTTTTTCTGGGGGTGGAGGGGTGGGGTTATATCACCATGGCATTTACTACCACAATTCAGAGTCTGATACATAGTAGGAGGTGTATAGTGAATATTTTAAAAATGAATGAGTATATAAATTCTAGTAAGAATTTGAAATACATATTTTATATTTCTTGGATTGCCTTTATGAAGGATCAGTTTTCTTGGTGCCTTCACTTTGATCTTTCTTCTTTTCTGCAAATGTTTGTCATCTTTGGTTCATATGTATGATTAAAGATTGAGTTTAGTATTATGGATGGCTGGCATGAGAGTCCTCTGGAGATGAGTATGCTTTCTTTCTTAGCAAGTTTCACTTCAGTATTGGAGGGCTTCTTATTTGGGTTCTTTACATGTGAACTGACCATGTCAACAAGCATATTCCACTTTAAGATGCGGCACACTTGAAAAAGTGAAGCATGCTAGGGACACCCTCCCCACCCCCTTTATGAAAATAAACCGTATGTTGAAAGTAATAGTGGCTAAAGGCTCAGGCTTCAGATTAGCCCTTCTGTATCAATATTCCAATTTATTTCAAACTTTATTAACTTGTGAAAGTTACTTAAATTCTCTTGTGCCTTGTTTCTTCATCTGGAAAATGAGGATAAAGGAGTACTTGTACTCTTTTATTACTGTTCCTTCTCTCTCTCTTTCTATATATATATAGTTATATATATGTATATATAAATAGGAATATATATATATGCCAAAAGAGAGATATATAGAAACTTGAAACAGTGGCTGGCACTTAATAAAGGCTCAATAAATGCTGTTGTTGTAATTATTATTGTTATTACTATTTTCTTCCTGGACAAAACTATCTCTCGTTTAACTTTCTAGCAATGTTTGCTGGAGAACTGAAGTCACCTCAAATTTTATTCCACTTCTTTCCCTGTTCTGGCAAACTATACCTAAGACTAGTTTCATCACTTGCAAAATGAGGATAAAAATAATGCCAACTTAATATGACTGCATTATTTAACTTTATAAAATGCTTAGAAAACTGCCTGGCATGCAGTAAGTGTTATGTAAGGCTTTAATATATAAAATAGAGATATATGCCAGAAGATTAGTCTCTTTCTGTTTTCTACTGTATTCATCTCTGCTTTTACTGTTTATTAGGATCATTCAGGCTCTAGTATTTCCCTTGTTCTCATTTCTTTTCAGGCTCACCTTCCCACATGAGGTTTCTGCTCAATCTCACCTATAATGCTGGCACTAGAATTATCTAATTATCTTCTTTCACAACTGTACTCTCACTTCGGATCTTCTAAAGCACCCTATTTATTTTTTGCATCCACTCTCCAGCCCTTTAGGCTTCTTCAAGTGGAAATTTGTCCTCTATTATTCTTGTAACATGTGATGGACTCAGAGAAGTTAAATAACTTGCCTATGTCACACAATTATTAAGAACAATATTTCAAATGCAGAATGTCTGATTGCAAATCGTTTGAACCCTGACAGCTCCCCATAGGCCACGTTGTTTCATGCTGCCTCTGAATACTATATCCTCTCATAATGCACATAGCTTTATGTTTTGTAAGTAGTTTTCAATAATTTCTCACTTAACATCTATTTGCTCTTTTTTAGTAGTTCTAATGTTTTTGTCTTCTTTTTTCAGTACATAGTCTTCACTATCACCTCATTTACACAGCACATAAGTTGTGTCATTTCAATTGTGAACTCTCAGAAATGAATAGCTATTGAAAATAGCGAATCATTTTCCATGTTTAGTTTAAAAAATTTGTCATTTTGAAAAAGGTTTCCAAATATTGTTTCTTTAAATGATTACCCACACAAACCCCACCTCCATAAACTTTTATCTTAAAAAAAAGGCTGCCAAGTTAGACTACATGAATAGCTCTTTTAAAGTTACTGGATAAAAGTTTAAATTACCAGAAGTTGAACCATTATGGGTTATTATTTGAGAATTCTTTGACTTCTATAACATGATGCTACTCTCAGAGGAATACTGATTAGAATGGAAACCAGATGTGTTTTTCAAGACTAGATTGAAAAAATGATAAACAAGTAGAAAATTAATATAAGAATGACCTAATGAGTTTTCTAGAAACCTGAAGCATGGGAATGACAGAAAAAGCATTTGAGAGTGTGTGTGTGTGTGTGTGTATGTGTGTGTGTGTATCTGTGTGTGGGGGGGGTGGGCAGGGAGAGAGGGAGTGAAAGTAAGCAAATGAGAGAGGGAGCTAGGAAAAAAATATAAAAAAGTGGAAAATAAAAATGCAGAGAAAGGGAAGGAGGTTGGATAGGATAAAAAACAGTTGCAGAATTGAAAATAGAACCCCCCAAAAAATCCCCAAATCTTTGTAAATATTTGGTATCACCAGGGTAATAGCATAATATAATTTTATCTGTAAACCAAGGAAGTGAAAAACAGAAAAAAAGATGATTTCTCATTCTAAAAGGGATAAATTAAGTACTAACGAGATGAGGAACATTGTTGAAAGAAAAAAAGTCCCCTTTTAAATCAAAATATATTCTAGGTATGCTAAAATAATCCAAAAATTTTATATATTTCATTCTTTCTTGTCCACCTTTTTGAGAGAGAAAATGAACAATGATATTTTTGATACTTCTGAGTTTGCATTCTGGTTTCATATTTGATGACACTGGAAATAAAGTATATTTATTGTCACAATATGTCGACATGCTGAGTGGTATAAAATGGAATGGAAGGCATAAAGAAGGCAATCAAGGTAAAGGATGAGTACATATAAAACATTTCATTACCAGTTTTGAAATAGACTTTTACTTAATCCTTTGGTTGTACTAAGAACTAGAATTATCCCCTTTAATTTTATTTATTCAAGGCAAAAATAATAAATATTATCCTAATAAACCATGTATTCTTAGCATAATTTGAAATATGGCGGAAGTTCTTATATTTGGAATCTCTCAATTCAGAATTTGTTACCATTCAAATTGGGCTTTGAATTCAAACTTGTCTTTTTTGCTTCGCAGACATTTCCAAAATTGTGCACAAATAATAGGATATATCAATTGTTATGGGGAATTTTAAATATTTTAGAGAGAAAGCAATTTTCAAACATCTTTCAGTACTTTTACATCCTCATTTGCAGATAACCTAATAAGCTATTTCCATATTCTTTTATTGATTCAATTAAACCAGGTGACAGTTTGATTTATTACACATACAGTACTTGGCATTAAGAAGCAATATTTCGTCTAAAACATGCTATAATTTTGTATTTCTACTTATTCAGCAGCTTTCTAAGCTCATGCTACAATGTTTCCAACTTCCAAACTACTTAGGCTAAGAAATGAAAGCTATAATCATGTGTAGCCAAAAAATTATATTAGAAAAAAATCAGTCTTATTTTGTTGTTCTTCTGGGCACTATAAAATGATTAATATAATTTTTGCCAAATTAGCCATTTTTTCTTGGCATTAGACAATATTTTAGTTTTAACATATTCTTTTTGTTGTGCAATACAGGGTGGTGTTATAATCTGATATGAGCAACTCTACTACTATGTTTCTCTGCTAACATCCTTCTATGGAAAGAAGTATAGCTTTCAGGAATATGAAAGCAATTTTCTTTCAGGTAAAATAACCAGAGAGGGTACTAAGGATTAATTTTTTTCAAAATATCAACACTGTTATTCTTAAAATTTTTTTTTTCTCAGTGTCACAAGAATTGATTTGAACACGAAGTACATTGACTTGTTTTTTGGCAACTTTGAAACCCATTTATAGCTGAAATCAAAGAATAAATCAGTTTTAGGTTTTCACAATAACGTCCCATGATATAGTTTGACTTCCGATATCATGTATTATATTACTGGGGCCTATGATATGCTGGTTGTCAGAGACATCCTTAATTAGAAAAATGAGGGAGGATGGCCCTTATTATTTTCATTAAAATGCATAGTCAATACTGCACAAGAAAAACTTTCCTTTTGCACCAGATATCCTTAAAAAGAGATTTTGTTTCTATTTCCACACTTGTGTGGAAATTGAATTTCAAGATGCTTCTTGGTTCTCATTCAAAGGAGTAAAAAGGTCCAGATCTCTCTGATCCAGAATGAATTGGCCCTTGGGTGATAGCATTTCTCTCAGCCAAACTTTCCAGTTGTCTGATTTTCCCCTCTAATCCTGGTCTTCTCCCAGTCTCCCTTAGCTCAGCAAATGACATCACCATTTATCCAGTTACAAATATTGGACATCTGGAATTTAACCTTGACTCCTCTTTGTCTCTTACATTGAATAAGGCTTTGTCTCTGATATGGTTTGGCTCTGTGTCCTCACCCAAATCTCATCTTGAATTGTACTCCCATAATTCCCACATGTTGTGGGAGGGACCTGGTGGGAGATAAGTGAATCATGGGGGCAGTTGCCTCCATACTGTTCTCATGGTAGTGAATAAGTCTTACGAGATCTGATGGTTTTGTAAGGGGTTTCAGCTTTTGCTTCTCTCTCATTCTCTCTCTTTACCTGCTACCATCTGTGTAAGACCTGACATGCTCCTCCTTGTCTTCCACCATGATTGTGAGGCCTCCCCAACCATGTGGAACTGTGGGTCGATTAAACGTCTTTCTTTTGTAAATTGCCCAGTCTCGGGTATGACTTTATCAGCAGCATAAGAACAGACTAATAACAGTCTCCAACATACATCTAACTACTCCTTTCCATCTCCCTTACCATAATTAGTCTAAGATATAATCTCTGACCTGTATTTCAATTATGGCCTCCTAACCAGTCTCCTTATTTCAACTTTTGCCATCTCCCAAACATTCTCCAAAAAGTTTTCAGAATGATTATACCCATTATACTTGCTAATTACAATCTATTATACTTAGGATCAAATCCAAAGTCTTTAATGTTAGTATCAACGCCTTATGTACATTGGTCTCGTGTTGCCCAACTTTCCCTTTGTTCAGTATACTCCAGTTATACTATCTTTTGGTTTCTAGAACACAACAAGCTCATTTTCACCTCAGAACTTTTGCTCTTGTTACCTTTATCTAGAATGCTCTACCTCCACTTCTGATTTCTTCTCATGTATCAGATCTGAGCTTAAATAGCAATTCTACAGAAAGACATTTTGTAATGAGATTTGAAACATCCTTCTCCTTTCTGTGTTAAATGATACCATAGTAACCTATTTATTTCCTCCTGAAATAGCCATCAGAGTTATTTTTAATATCTATTATCCACCCCCTCCTCCAATAATTTAAGCTCTAAGTCAGGGACCTTGCTTATCTTATTGAACAGTATGTCATAATGCACACTATTCGAATACAGAGTAAGTGTTGATTTAAAGTAATTAGCTGAGTTATCAGTTAACTAGGACCAAGGACTTTATTGCATCATTAAAAACTCAATATGTAAAATTTCAAAGGAAATATCTGATAATTGGTTACACAACTCTTGGGTTCCTCATGCAGACTGAATATATAAGAGAAAGAGATGGGGAGATAGGGAGAGAAGGTAGAGAGGGAGAGAATTTGTAAGGGGGATTTCTTCTCTGTTAGTCCACTTCTCTACCAAGAGGTGAAGTGTGTGGGGGGAGGGAGGGGGGAAATCTCCCTACACCCCAAACCAAGTGAGAGAGCCTAGTGTTTGGGGGATGTTGAGGATCATAGAGGGCATTGGAAACAGTAGTCTGCATATTGGAAAAAGAAAAGTAGAGTTTTATTTAGGAAAAATGGGGATGTTACTGATGACTTTGGGGCAGAGAAATAACATGGTTGCAATTATATTTTAGAAAGATTAATCTCATAACAACATTTAAAATGGATTGGAGATTGGGGAGAGAAGATACAAAGAGGTGGATTAGGAATAGAATTAATGTGAACTATAACAATAACTTGATCTAGGATGTGAAAGTGATAATTGATAGGAAGAAACAGGTGTAGAAGAAGTTGTGGTAGAATTGACATTTTTTGGAATTAATTAGAGGAATAAGGAGGACTCACTATGTTTGAATTAATATTAAAAACTATCGAGGGAAAAATATAAGTTGTAGCTGAGGATAGAAATAACGTTTAGCTTGAAGAGGAGCTTAAGCAGAAGTATAAACCTCCTTTCTCATGCATAAGTTATTGCGATAGCCACCAGTTTTACACAAATACAAATTTTTACTGAATACTTGGCTTTTCATGGATGTAGCTCTATAATTAAGGTGGTGGACTCCCTAACTTTCTTTTTCTTCTTTACTATCATAATTACTTTTACTCTGCCTCTTTTTCTCACTTTTGAACATGCTTTGAAAGCTAATGAATTGAAAATTAAGCCAGTTTTGCTACTAACACATTGATATCCAGGAAACATTTTTAAAAGAAAAATTGCTATTGCTAGTTTTACCCCTCATTTTGCTGCCTTGCTACATAGACAATTCATGTAGAACCAAATAATGACAATTTAGAGCTAACAATGTAATAACCTCAATTGCACAAGGTCTTTGTGTTTGTCATGATGTCCTTCTAGGGATGAAGCAAAATTCTCTCTGTGAGAACATTTTTCAACATTTAGAATGGCATGAAGCTGTCAAAACTAGGTACCAATGTAAAGCACTTACTCAAGGAAATTGATTGTTTCCTAAAGTTAAGCAGTAACTTAAGGGGAATCAAGACAATCTAGAATGAATTACATAATATGCTTTCATTATATAGAAATGTACAAGTGGAAAAAAAAACCCAAACTAGTAGCTCCAACTAGAGATTTTGCTCTAGGTCTAAAGTTGTATCACAATTCAGTAAATTCATAATATAATTTTAAGAACTTTAAATTTAGATTAGCATTTCAGATAACTTCTTACAAATATAAAATTAAAGCATAAATTTTTATAGACTCAGAGATACAAGAGTCAAGTAACTTTTGTAAACTGAGATATTTATATATTTGAGTCACCAGCACACCACAATTTTGAACATATGACTCATACTTTGTATCTTATATACAGTTAGTTTTAAAATGTTAGGGCATTATGCCAAGGGTAAGCACAAGTTTACATAATTGAGGATTTATAGGGACCTCAGGCTTGCTCAATTACTTTTGGGATTTTATGCCAGAGTTTAAACTACTGTCTTTGACCAGGCCCATCAAGTTTGGGTTGACGTGTCCATACTACAGCCTCCTTTTATATTAATACTTAGAATAAACTCAATCTCCTATTACCATGACCTACAAAGTTCATTATGATCTGGTCCCTGCCTACCTCTTCAGGTTCATTCACCTCTCACTACTTTTTCCATTTTTCATTCATATTAGCCTTCATTCAGTTCTTGGAACACACCAAGATCCACCCCACCCCCCACCCCCCACCAATCTACTTGTTTATGTTTGTTCTCTCACTGGAATGCATGCTCTGTTAGGGCAGAGGTCACTTCCAGAATATTCACCATTGTATCTCCAAAAGGCCAGAACAACATCTGGCACCGAGTATCTATTTGATAAATATTTGTTAGATGGATGAATCAAGGAAATAAGTAAGATTGGTTATATGGCATGACCCAGGGTTCAAGCTGATTTATGGAATGGGGTGGACAGAAGAAAAGAGGAAGATAAATTCATAGTGTAAGGACATCTCTGAGAATGTAGTAGAAATATGTCTTGGACAAAGATGCCCTCTCTCACCACTTCTATTCAGCATCGTATTTGAAGTCCGAGTCAGAACTATCAGGCAAGAGAAAGAAATAAAAGGCATCCAAATAGGAAGAGAAGAAGTCAAACTACCCTGTTTGCAGATGACATGATTTTCTATGTAGAAAATCGCATAGTCTCTGTCCAAAAGCTCTTTGAATTGATAAATAACTTTAGCAAAGTTTCAGGACACAACATCAATGTACAAAAATCACTAGCATTCTTATACACCAACAGTCAAGCTGAAAGCCAAATCAGGAACACAATCCCATCCACAATTGCCACACACACATAGACACACACACACACACACACACACACAAACACACAAATACCTAGGAATACAGCTAACCAGGGAGGTGAAAGATCTCCAAAATGAAAATTATAAAACATTGCTCAAAGAAATCAGAGATGACACAAATGCATGGAAAAAGATTCCATGTTCATGGATAGGAAGAATCAAGATCATTAAAATGGCCACACTGCCTAAAGCAATTTATACATTCAATGCTATTCCTATCAAACTACCAATGACATTCTTCACAGAACTAAAGAAAACTAGTTTAAAATTCATATGGAACCATAAAAGAGCCTGAAGATCCAAGGCAATCCTAGGCCAAAAGAACATAGCTGGTTGGGTGCAGTTGCTCACACCTGCAATCCCAGCATGTTGGGAAGCCCAGGTAGGCAGACTGCTTGAGGCCAGGAGTTTGAGACCAGCCTGGGCAACAAGGAAAAATCCTGTCTTTGCAAAAAATACAAAAAAATAGCCTGGTATGGTGATGCATGCCTGTAGTCCCAGCTACTCAGGAGGCGGGAGGATCACCTGAGCCCAGAAACTTGAGGCTGCAGTAAGCCATGATTATGCCACTGCGCTTCAGTCTGGGTGACTCTCTTAAAAAAATAATGACAAAGCTGGAGGCATCATGCTACCCGACTTCAAACTATACTATAAGGCTACAGTACTAAAACAGTATGGTACTGGTACAGAAAGAGACACATAGACCAATGGAACAGAATGAGCCCAGAAATAAGGCTGCACACCCACAACTATCTGATCGTTGACAAATCTCACAAAAACAAGCAATGAAGAAATAACTCCCTATTCAATAAACGGTGCTGGGATAACTGGCTAGTCATATGAAGCAGACTGAAGCTGGACCCCTTCCTTGCACCACGTACAAAAATAAACTAAAGATGGATTAAAGACTTAAATGTAAAACTTAAAACTATAAAAACCCTGGAAGATAACCTAGTAAATACCATTCTGGACATAGGAACTAGCAAAGATTTCATGACAAACATGCCAAAAGCAATTGCAACAAAAGCAAAAATTGACAAATGGGATCTAATTAAGCTAAAGAGCTCCTGCACAGCAAAGGAAATTATCAACAAAGTAAACAGACAACCTACAGAACAGGAGAAAATTTTTGCAAACAATGCATCTGACAAAGATTTAACATCCAACATCTATAAGGAGCTTAAACAAATTTATAAGCAAAACCAAACAGCCCCATTAAAAAGTGGGCAAAGGACATGAACAATTTTGAAAAGACATACATGTGTCTAAAAAACATATGAAAGAATGCTCAATACTGCTAATCATTAGAGAAATGCAAATAAAAAACACAGTGAGATACTATCTCAGATCAGTCAGAATGGCTATTACTAAAAAGTCAAAAAATAAACGCTGGCAAGCTTGCAGAGAAAAGGGAACACTTACACACTGCTGATAGGAGTGTAAATTAGTTCAACCATTATGGAAAGAAGTGTGGCAATTCCTCAAAGAACTAAAGACACAATTGCCATTTGACCCAGCAATCCTATTACTGGGTATGTACCCAAAGGAATATAAATCATTCTACCATAAAGACACATGCATGTGTATGTTCATTGCAGCACTATTCACAATAGCAAAGATATGGAATCAATCTAAATGCCCTCAATGGTAGACTGGATAAAGAAAATGTGGTACATATAGACTATGGAATACTTTGCAGCCATCATGTCCTTTGCAGGAACGTGGATGGAGCTGGAGGCCATTATCCTTAGCAAACTAACACAGGAACAGCAAATCAAATATCATATTCTCCCACTTATAAATAGAGCTAAGTAGTGAGAACAAATGGACACAAACAGAGAACAACAGATACTGGGGTCCACTTGAGGGTGGAGGGA
Source organism: Homo sapiens (assembly GCF_000001405.40). Classification (NCBI taxonomy): domain Eukaryota; kingdom Metazoa; phylum Chordata; class Mammalia; order Primates; family Hominidae; genus Homo; species Homo sapiens. The sequence continues at coordinate 49,418,656 of NC_000015.10, forward strand.
GGGAAGAGAAAATATAACTATCAGGTACTATGCTTAGTGCTTCGGTGATAATCTGTACACTGAACCCTTGTGACATGAGTTTACCTGTATAACAAATCTGCACATGTACCCCTGAACCTAAAAGATCAAAAAAAGAAAAAAAAAGAAATATGTGTTGGACCACAATTTCAGATATGCAAAGAATAACATATAAATTTATATTTATAAATATAAATCAACCTAGCTTTAATTTTGAGAATTCTGCTCTTCCAGTTTGGTAAAAAACTTAACTTCAGTTATTCTAGGGTTTCCCTCTTCTGTTTCAAGATGGGATAGATTTCAAGAGTTTTATGTATGGCCAAAGCTAAGGCATCTGGGTGTTGAGTCATTCGTCTACCCTGATTCCTCTTCTGGGGTATTCATTCACTCTGTTCACACAGTTTCTACAGTTCTGAACTCCCTCCTACTTCCAGAATTATTTTAAAATATGGGAATGTTTATGAGGGGTCCTTATGGACCTATTTGTTCAGACACATGAGGCAGCCCTGATTCTCTGGAGTATTGCTGCCTCTGCTATGTGCGGTGGTGCTGTGTACAGATAAATATACAAGCATGGCTCCCCAAATATGGGGGCCATAAATTTTCTCTATGCTCCCAGGTCCATGGGACTCTGTGATAGCTTCCCTGGGCTGCTTCTCAAATGCACTCTAGTGCTTCCTTTATTTTCAGTGCGCTTGGCATGACCTTTTGAAAGGGATTCATGTTTTACCCTAGTCAGGAAGCATTTATGACTTTTTTCCCTCAACCTTTCCTTTCCAATATCTTTTTGAAAATATGAAGAACAGAAAAAAATGGGATAAATGAACACAGTTTAATATTTCATAAGCCCATTCTGCCAATAGGAATTAAGTTTTGACCAGAACAGAGGCAGAGTAAAATTCTGATCATGTCACTCTTCTGCTTACCATATTATAATGGCTTCCTATTGCTCCTGGAATACAGATCATATGCCTTAATAAAACACATGGAGATCCTGCCTGCCTCTCCAACCTCTTCATGCACCACAGTCCCTTCTCATTCTCTCTACTGGGACCAAACCTGTGTTTCACTGTGAAAAGGACAGGTTTTTTTATTATTATTATTTTTTTATTTTTTATTTTTGTATAGTACCTCTTCACCTGGTTAACTCCCATTCATGCTGTAAAGTTGCAGCTTTAGTGGAATTCTTGCAGGGAAAGCTTACATATTGCCACTTATTATAGATACTCATGGCACTATGTATCTTTTCTTTGTAGCACTTGTCCATGATGGTTACCTTCTCTCATAAGAAGAGAAATGCAAAGGATAACTACAATTTAATGGCATTTTCACTTGTCAGACTAATAAAACTCCAAATGTTTTCACAATAAATTTTTTGAAATAAATGAGTACTCTTACCTACTGCTGGTGGGATTATAAAACTAGCACAACCTCTGTGGAGGATAAGTTGGCAATATCTTTTTTTTAATACCTTTTGTCCCAGGCAGTCTACTTCTGGAAATTGATCCTATAGATTTATTTTCGTAGTATAAAATGACATATTTTGTCTTTATTCATTACAGCATTTCTTTGGTAATAGAAAAGTACTGAAGAAAATTAAATGTTCCTCAATAGGAGGCTGCTCAAATACACTGTGATATACCCATTCGGTGGAATACCCTGTAGCTATAACAAAAACAAAAATGTGAGAAGCTTCCTAAATAATGAGATAGGAAGATTTTTCTGTTAAAAAAAAATACAAAAAAATGCATATGACGTGCTACCTTTTGTATAAAAAGGGTAAAAGTAAAAAATAATATGTATGTGTATATACATATACACACAAACATATGTATCCAGTTTGCCTGTACAAGCATAGCGAAACTCTGAAAAGATACACAAGAAACTAATAAAAAGAATTATCTATGTTTTGGGGAAGAATGAAAACTGACAGGATATGGAACAGAATAAGATGTAAGAATGAAAAGTAATGAAAATATTTAATTATGTTCCCTTCTACTGATTATATTATACATGATTATGAACGAGGCAAAGTTTTGTTTTTCTTTTTCAGATGGAGTCTCGCTTTGTCACCTAGGCTGGAGTGCAGTTGTGCGATCTCTGCTCACTGCAAGCTCTGCTTCCCAGGTTCACACCATTTTCCTGCCTCAGCCTCCCGAGTAGCTGGGACTACAGGCGCCCGCTACCATGCCCGGCTAATTTTTTTGTATTTTTAGTAGAGACGGGGTTTCACTGTGTTAGCCAGGATGGTCTCGATCTCCTGACTTTGTGATCCATCCGCCTCGGCCTCCCAAAGTGCTGGGATTACAGGCGTGAGCCACCATGCTGGGCCAGTTAATTCTTTGAAGCCAGCAATGGTGTGTTAAAAAAGAAAATTCAATCTACAAATAACAAAAAAAAGACAATAGTTCAAAGTATTCCTGTGCTTAATCTATCACTATAGGTCTATTAAAACAAGAGCAACAAACGGTTGCCAATGTATAACTTAAAACATCCAGAGGGTTACCCCATCTACAGTTGCCTAAAGTTATTCTTAGTTCCTGGAGAATTCATTTAGAAGCATAAGCATAATAAGGGCACAGTGAAATCTAAGTTTGGTTCTCCATTATAGCTGTGGTCCTAATGAATTGTGGGCCCATCCTGAATTAATAATTCTCCAATAAAAATGATAATCAAAGAATTTAAACCATTGATACAGTTCCCTTGTTGATATTAATCTGTTCATTAATATTACTTGGATCATATTTCCAAATTACAGAGTGTAATAGCATCTAATGCACTTTCATAGATCACAATTTTATTCTTTTGTTTCCCATTTTACAGTTAATCCTATGTAGCAGATATTAAGGAGGCACTAAGCACTCTTTGCTAACAAACTATCCATTTCTTTCATTTAAGTATTTAGCACTTAGTTAGCAAATGTGGACTTCTCACTTACTGATTTCTTGGTTTAAAAACTGTAGGTTCAGTATGGAACAAATGGATTTAGTAGCTCTTGAATATCTTTACACTGTAAACTTACTATTGATAACTTTTATTTCTTTAGAAGCAATATCTAAGTCCTAGGAATTCTGAGCCTGCTCATTATTGTTACCTCCCAAACTAGCGGAGTGTGATTCAGAACACAATAACATTATATTTTCTTTCCTCCTTCTCTTCCTCCTTTTAGAGAATACATGATAGGATGTTTTCAGCTTTCTAGCTTTCAACAGATGCAATGATCAAAGAGTCTGTCCCCCTCTGCTTTAATAAATGTGGAACATTCAACATTTGGCATATGAAGAGTAACTGGGTACATCTGAACTATTCTGTGCTCTTCATTCTGTTCCCTAAAGGGACAGATACAAAGAGAAATCACATAAACTATAATCCAGTTGAGTAGATTTAATTTCCTTTTCCTATTTGGTCTACATGCACCACCTGGTGGTAAAGTAGTGCATTTCACATAGAGAGAGAGAGAGAGAGAGAGAGAGTGTGTGTGTGTGTGTGTGCGCGCGCGCGCGCGTGCACGCGTGTGTGTTTTGAGGAGTATATAACATGAAAAAGATAATTTTAATATACTTTCTTAATACTGATTTAGATAGACAACACAATTATTCTACACCAAGAATCTAATACAACACTTGAGCACTACTTCATGTATAACAGAACAGGAAGTAAAGGAGAGAACTCATGCTGGAAAGTAAAATAGCTTTCACTTATTTACCTTAGCAATACATATTATAATTCCATCTCTAAATTAACATTTATTGTTCCAATATTCTTATTGAGGCAAAAATCAAACACTGATAATCAATGTGAAACCATTTCCTCCTTTTTAAAGAATAACAGCTTTTAAAAGTAGGTGCCCTGTTCCTTATATTAGTAGTGAGTATAAGTCACAGATCACAGAATTGTAAAGCACCATAGAGGCATTAGACCAATACACCAATTTTACAAATGTAGCAGCTGAGACTCTGGAACAGCAGGTAACTTGCCCGAAGTCATACTGGTCATTAGTGGTCCAACACAAATAAGAATCTAGATCTTCTCACTTTCAGCCTAGGAATATAATACATAAAAATTGTACTTATATTCATATTCAATGAATTGTCTCTGTATGATGTGATAATATTCAACTTATCTACACAGTGCTTTAAGGCACTCATATGTTAGTTAACACATACCAGTTTTGTTCTAACATTCTGAGCACAAAGAAGTAATTGAAGAAATGCATGTATCATAAAGCTATGGAAAAGATTTTCTAAGTATTAAAAAACCCTATATATATGTTCAAATGAATAATTTTCCAAGTATAATACAACTGCTATATTGCAAAGAAGGTTTAAAAAATTCCCTTTCCCCTTCTAACTGCTTCAGAACCAGAGATCTGTTTCTACAAAGTAGGTACCCACTTGTAGATTTAAGCATAAAACATGTTCATAGCTCCCTCTCATGACCATTGAATACTATACAAGCCTCCTTTTATTCTCGCTGTTGTATTCAACTAACAGCTCACTGGCTAAGTTTTAATTGCTTCCAATGAGGTCAGCAAAGGTATTTATCGAAAAGCCCTGAATAAAAGGCTCACACACACACACAAGCACACACGCGCTCACACACAGAGAGAAAATCCTTCTGCCTGTTGATTTATGGAAACAATTATGATTCTGCTGGAGAACTTTTCAGCTGAGAAATAGTTTGTAGCTACAGTAGAAAGGCTCAAGTTGCACCAGGCAGACAACAGACATGGAATTCTTATATATCCAGCTGTTAGCAACAAAACAAGTAAGTTACTGTTATTTGTCTTTTAAAACAATGCTGAATGTTTTCTAAAAGTTTATCTCTTTTTCTGATTTTAGTACTGAGCAGGAAAGTAAAGTTACAAGATTTTTGAGCCATGTAACTATAGTAATTATGCTGTAGAACATAAAGATAAGGTTGAAGTTCTCCAGAGCAATCCTGACATTTAACTTAAAAAACCTGGGCAGTTCAGGAGAAAATAATTGATTAACCACAAATGTAAAAGCATATAATAAAGAAGTCTAGGGAGAAAGCAGTTACACTTTGTTAGCAGTAATTGTAAAAACTTAATTTAAATCAATAGTTCTGAGTGCAGTATGGTTCTCACAAAATAGCAATTGGAATGAATGGTACAGTCATATTCTGTTTTGTCTCTACTCATGCATAAATTTTATAAATCTACACATAAAGTGGTAAAGATTTTGACATCCTCTGTGAAGGCTGTTTTAAATGTATCTTCAAAGAATAACCTATACTGTATTCTAATGCTACTACTTACCCACTAAAATTTACACATACAATTTTTTATCTTCCTCTCTCCTCCCCTCCCTATTCTTAATCTCTCATTGCAAACAGAAGTCAAATAGCAAACAGCGTCACAGCAACTGAACTTACTACGAACTGTTTTTATGAGGATTTATCAACAGAGTTATTTAAGGAGGAATCCTGTGTTGTTATCAGGAACTAAAAGGATAAGGCTAACAATTTGGAAAGAGCAACTACTCTTTCTTAAATCAATCTACAATTCACAGATAGGAAGAGGTCAATGACCTAGGAGTAACAATCAACTCAAGATTCATTTTCATTATGTTATTCATGAACACCCGGAGCACTACACTATAATGCACAAATGGATACTGACATGGATCCTGCCAACTTTGCTCTACAGATCATGCTTTCACATTATCTGTCTAGTGGGTACTATATCTTTAGCTTGCAATGACATGACTCCAGAGCAAATGGCTACAAATGTGAACTGTTCCAGCCCTGAGCGACACACAAGAAGTTATGATTACATGGAAGGAGGGGATATAAGAGTGAGAAGACTCTTCTGTCGAACACAGTGGTACCTGAGGATCGATAAAAGAGGCAAAGTAAAAGGGACCCAAGAGATGAAGAATAATTACAGTAAGTAATTTTAAGTACTGCTCATGAACCTTAGCAATCTGTTAATGGATCAATTTTCAGGTGATATGTTTTCTCATCTTCCTTTTGCTTCTTGGAAAAAAAATTAAATAAAATGTCACCTAATTTCTCTAAATTGAACTATGTTGAACTATGCCCCTAAAAATATCTCTTTTAACAGGGCAAATCTACTTACATTATAGTTGGACCTGATAATCCAAGCCAATTTGAAAATATATACTCCTTGTCCTGAAAATGCTCATAAGTTAAGCAAAATGTAAATAATATTATTCACACCAAAATGTGACTTAATATTGTCTAAGCAAAACTCATTAAGATATCTAATTTAGAACTTCATAAATTATCACTAAAAGCTATTTATCACTAGTTTAAAGAGTAGGGAAATTATTTTTATTAATTTGATTTTCTTTGAAATAATATTTTCATGATGTAAATTAAAATACTTAATCTGTGCTAAGATATGCATTCCTTTGCAATTGTGTATAATGATAAAATAGAAGGGAATCTGTGGTATCCTTATTCATTTGAGTCATAATGAGCTTGTATTAAGTTGATGACTTATCAACTTAGGCAGAAAAACAGATCTCTCCTAACGTTTTCCTTAACTAAATCTTTTATGTCATAAAAGTTCTGTGCTATCTTAAGAAAAATGTAAAGGTGAGGGGAAAAAAGTGGGCTGGAAGAGATGGTAATTCCATGTTTTTCAATTTAAAGCCTTACATTTTTCCCAAGAATCAGTTATTCTTCTTATGTTAAAATATCAGGGTTGTGTTTTGCATTTAATGGTTATGATGAATAACCAACTTCAATAGTATTAAATGTAATGGAATAAGATACACACCTCAACATGTACATTAAGGATTTAAAATACTTAGTAAAAATAAATTTTGTTTACATTACTAGCACTCAGAAAACATTGTTATTAATATATAATTTCATATTAATTGTTTTAAAGTCATTTGAAAAAGAATGCATGGGGAGACTGGTGTAAACATGTGCAAATCACAGTGCCAGGCTTGCAGCAATTACTCAAACTTTTGTTGCCTGTTTACTGAATGACTTTTAGGGTTCTGAACTAATCAACCAATCAATGGGAATTTCAGAGAATTATGTTTCCAATATGAAAATGAGAAGACCTTCTTTTTAACCATAATTGATATAGAATGTTAAGGCCATTTTAATGACTGGACAGTTATGGTTTTATTATTATTATTTATTATTATTACTGAGATTAATAAAGGTATCATGTTAGTTCTAGAAGATCATTCTTATTATACTAAAGTTTATCTAAGGAAATGACTATTTGGAGAAAATTTTTTTGATATCTACTTCTATATAAGCAACAGAATTTGGCTTATAATTAATTTATTTAAAAGTTGCTCAGATTTATCATGGATAATATCATGGATATAATAACAATATTATATATTATCATGGATAATATATATCAATAATAATATCATGGATAATAAAACCTGGTGGAGACGACAGAGCCTAGGTAAAAATTATGACACATGGGGCAACTCCCTGTCTACGAATGATCTGGGGACAATTTCTTTGTTTTTCTGACCCTCAATTTTTCATCTATAAAATGTGGGATAGGTACAGATGATTTCCATGATACTTTCCAGTTCTTATAGTCTATTCTATTTTAAACCGCAGAATATATTTCATAAATATAAAGAAACCTAAATACCCATTGTATAATTATCTCACACAACGAATGAGATGAAAGTAATAGGATAAGCTGTCAGAACTAATTTCAAATTATAGCAATAAGGTTACCAAACCTTAACTGTGGAATTCTACATGCTGACTACTCCTTTTGAATCCTTTTACCAAGTAATGAAAAAGCAAAAAAGTAGATGTAAAATCCAGTGAAAATGAATAGTATGCATAATTATTTAGGATCAACAATATCTTCAACTGGAATACATTTGCATATGTAAATTTTATTTTGTTTGTGTTAAAATTTCTTGAAACAATGAAACTCAGGTAGTACACATGCATAAAATGCTAAAATTATTTTATAGTTTGAAATACAATTTAGTGCTAACTTTGAGTAACCCTAAAGCCAATTTTGTAAACCATCTCCTCTAACACCAATTCTATAGCACAAAAGAAAAAAAAAGGAAGTCGCCCTATATTGTTATAAATTAGAATGTCACAATACCAGTGTACTAAAAAGACAAGATACACATCATGTAAATAATTTTTACTTCTATAAACTTTTTAATAGGCTGTATATATGGTATACTTTCTTGATATCGTTAATTATCCTGGAAAGGGAAACTTTCATCAGAATCCTTTAAGTAAACCCTAAAACTGTCGTAAGGTTATGTGGCTATCTTATTGGAGAAGGAGTCAGTAAGATTTCTCCAAAGTTAAAAAGAGGATAAGCCACTCTTTTTTTTCTATAGGAAGTCCTTAGGTACAGAGGGAAATGCTACAATGAAGAATATATGGAGAATAACATGTTAGAAGAAAATTCTGATAGCCATTTCCTATTATTTGAAGGGTAGCCTTACTATAATAATTTTAAGAGTGAATGTCCAATTGTGCTAATTGACACATGTGAAGTTGAAGCTGCTATATTAGGAAATCTAGGTTCAAAAAATGCTCAGAATTTGTTTAAAATAACAAGAATGGAAACTTGAAATTATGACATTTGAAGATTGTTTACATTCCTCAATCATTAATTGAATGAATGGACAAATAAATGAATGAAAGAATGTTTCCTTCCTATTTTCATTAAAATGAGAGAAAAAGGTAATTGGATTGTCTACTAGAATGAAATGCAGCAGGATTCTGATTAAAGATCAGAATCAAACTCAGAATTTCATTTTCAATGTTTTGATGCCTTAAATTTTTTCAACAGGTTGTCATGTCAATCACCTTTCTTTGGAGGTCTTTTAAGTTAGTATAGATTTTAGTGTCTTGGAAGATAAAATTTTACATGAAAAGTAATATGCCAGCTATGCAAAATATAATTATTCTTCTGGTTACCAAAAGAAAGTCCCCAATCTTTTCTCATGACTTTTTTTTGAATGACTGACCTGAGAATGTCAATAGGCTTCAGAGGACTACTCACTTCACCAGCAGAAGCAATGCTTCCACACAGGAATGTGGTTTTTTAAGATACTAGTAAATATGGATTGGAGCTAGCAGGAGAAGTAAAATATCTAGATGTATAATTCTGCTTCCACAATGTTTTGGGCTCGGGTAGATGGTTGGAGGGCATGGAGAAAGAAAAGGGAGTGGTGGGCAAGTGGATGTGACTGCTCATGTCTCATAACTTTAGGGAATTTTAAAAAATTACTTAAGCTATCCTGGATTGTGAGGTTGTCACTTACTTTAGTCTTACCTTAATTACTGTGTTGTTTTGTAAAATATTTTAAGTTTAGATTAGAATGAATATATTACAGAAAGAGTGCATCAAGGAACCCAACGGAAATAAGACTTGTATTAGTAGACATATAAATAAGAACTATGAAGATGGGGGAATTCATGAGAGGCCAAGAGATACTGGACCACATTTCTGACTCTTGAGGGGACAGAAGCTGCTACTAGAGAACTGGTCATAAGGATTGTGTACTACTGTTACCCAGGAGGCAGAAAGTCTCTCCCCTTTACTTATCTCTCTGGTGGCTTCACATTTAGCCTAACAGTGGGTTTCCAGGTGATGAAACTAGTATCTAACCTTAACTAATAATAAGAATACTAAAAGCATAAAATGTCCCTCCAAAGTACACATTCAAAATGAAGTAAATATTCATTTTCTCTGCAGAAGAAGAAGAGCATTGAGAACATCATAAAAGGGTGAAATGAATGGTCGATACTTCCACTTTTGTTGTCAGAACTCTCCCCATGGGGACAAGATCAGAGGGTGAATTTAGATTACTGCTGCACCAGGCAGTCCAACAGCAGACAGAGGCTATCATTCTGCACCTGACAGAAATAACACTGCTCTTTAAGCTGAGTATTGAGGTGCCGAGTGAGAGAAAGCAGCAGTGCACTGGGCACTCAGTGACCGCCTTGAGAGACAGATGTGGAAGACAGAATCCAATCCCTCAGGATAATTTTCATGCTTTTGGTATCCAATTACTAAAAAGTTGTGCTCTTCCCAATAATAGTCAATATCATCTACTCCTTTTAAGAATTTCTTGTCATAAATTGCCTCACTTGATTATAATGAAGCACTGTTAGTTCCATAGCAAGAAAAGGGTTAGCCATTCTGAAAACTGGCCAATGATTTGGCAATATTCTCTTTTGGACTGTTAGACTGTGATGGGATATGGCCTAACAATTGGCAAAAGGCAAATAAACACAGCGTTGCTGAATTTGACTTTGGCTACAAAACCTTCAGCGACTCATTTGTCAACAATTCTTTGGATAGGCTCCTACTTAACAATAATGTGTTAGAAGCTAGCAAATACACATATTGCCTCTGAATATGGAGATGGTAAATTTGCTTATATTCTAAACAGTTCTTAGCAAGTTATCTAAAAGAACAATAATTCACATTATCAGAATCAAAAATAGCAATGTAAGGACAACCCCTGCCTTTAAAAAAATAGATAATAAGTAACATATCTACGCAGTCGAACCAAAATCCTAGCAATTATAGACAAGGTAGAATCTTGTAGAACTGGTGACCCGCATTCCCTTAAGTAACTTGTTAGGGCTTTAAATTATGAAGAATGGATAAACTGCTGGGGAGCAGATTTGAAAATATTAGCCATTCTTTGATTAGTTTTTAATTTTATAATCTTTTCTTTTTGGCTATCACATGTGCCTGGCACTTATGAAGTGCTAATAAGTTCATTCATTGCCACGAGTGCATCTCTTATCATCTCTTTTCTCTTTTGTAAATCCTCATCTAGACTGACCCTTATGACTCAGCTGTACAATAACTCTTTAACCTACAGTTCTAGAGCATTCAGAGGCCCAAGTGAATTACAGAGAATGGAAGAAGTCAGCTCTTAGATATATTGAAAGGGTTGCCTTTCTACATTTTTCTATCTCTCAACCTTGTCTAAATATTACAATCAGCTGGGGAACTTTAAAAAAATACTGATGCCAGTTTCCACCCACAAAAAATTTTTCATTAAATTGATCTGAGGTACAGTCTGGGCATCAGGAATTTTAAAAGCTTCCCCAGATAATTCTGACATGCTGCCAGGGATGAGAACCACTGGACTAAGGGGATCACATTAGATTACTGGGGAATTAAGTCAGAATCTCACAAAGGTGGGAAGGACCAGGCATTAGTATTTGTTAAAGTTCTCCAATGATTCTAAAGTGCAGCTAAGGTTGCAAACCACTGCTTATGGAGAACAAGAATTCTAATTCAGCCTGGACCACCTCAGGGGTCTTGGGAATGTTTCAGACCCTGTAGAGGGATTCAAAGTTAACTTGAACCCTAGAGGATTTTGAAATAGGCTTGATTAGGCATAAATCTCTGAATTATGCACCAAGAGGGTTCTTCTGGGCTCATCTGACCTCTCTGACAAATCTTAGTGGCTCCAACATTTGGTGAACTGGCCTGGAAATGTACGTGATGATAGCTCTGTAGCTACTATGTTAAGAAGACTGCTTTGGTGAATGAGTTAGCTGCAGGGAAGAATAGGTTCTGTACCACAGCCTCACAATGACAGGCAGGTCTGCATCTCTTCTGACACTTTAAAGTGGTGTTGCAGTAGGGTACTTGAAGTACAGGCCTCAATGTCTGCTTATTCTGCACTTAAATGAGCCACCTTATGACTATGAACTCAGATGCTCCCAGATTAGGATCTCACCTCTCATGGCCACACAACCAAGTTCAAAGGCAGAGGTTTAAGGAGACAACCTCTAGCCTAGGAAACCCAGGGGGAGAGAACCACAATTCTAGAGGGTTGGCTTAGTCTGCTTTGTGTTGATATAAGAGAATACTGCAGATTGGATAATTTATAAAGAAAAGAAATTTATTCTTCACAGTTCTGGAGGCTGGGAAGTCCAATATCAAGGTAATGGCATCTAGCAAGGGCCTGCTTGCTGTGTCATTCCATGGTGGAAGGTAGAAGGGCAAGAATGTATGAGAGTAAGAGAGTATGAGACAGACAGGGCTGAAATCATTTTTTCTAACAACCCATTCTCTTCATAACTCACTTCTGAGAAAATGACATTAATCTATTCAGGAGGTTGAAGCCTTCATGGCCTAATCACCTCTCAATGGTCCCATCTCTTAATACCATCACAATGGCAATTAAATTTCAACATGAGTTTTGGAGAGGACATTCAAACCATAGCAAGGGTCTATCCAGATCAGAGAAAAGACATAAAGCTAGAGGACTGTTCTCTTTTTAAGACTGGAATGATGCACAACATTAGGGCAAAGCTTTTTTTATTTTCTAAGGATCATAGCTTTCTTCCTTTGTATCACACAATTTTTGGTAGCACAATAACTTCTCTAACATCACTATTGGAATACAATACTTTTCCATTTTTAAATTTTATATATCTCACAATAAAATTATGTATACTTAAGTAATATGGAGAAAAATGACTCTTGTTCAATGAAATAGACTTTAATATAAACTCCTTTACTAAACAACATCTAACATTTTTACCCCTCAAATAGGTTGTAAATGAAAATCCTCTGCCTTCCACATGATTTGGAAAATTGTGTTAAAGAGTCCCTGAATGTTTAACCGCTTTTGGACCAAGTTTTTTATCTGCATTTGAGATTATATCTGGACATATCTTTAGTAGAGAAGTCGTGTCAAATTCACTAACAAAAATGTCATTAAAGTTCCTTAACTATGTGTATGAAAGGGTTTGTGTAGTAATATGTAAAGACAAAGTGATTAAGATGGGGAGTGAGAGAGGAGAATTATCCAGTACCCATGCCCAAGTAAACCTTGTCTTTAGGCAGGCAACATCATTCTCAGAGGAAAAAAATTTGATGTATACTGGGGAGAATTGGCTCTAGAGATTCTCCAGTTGCTTAACTTCCCTCCAGAAGAAAGTAATCTCTTCTACTGGAGTGGTCATGAGTACTTGATAGAGTCATTAGCTAGTGTCCATCTAAAAATAAAGAGGAAGAAAATATCTTTGTGAACAGGAGGAAAAAGAGCAAAAGAGAAAAGGAAAAAGACTTTACATAAAAATTATTGGATTTTAAATCTTCTGTAAACTTAAAATGAAGCAAAGTTTCTCATAAAATATAGCCCCACTAACTTTCTTGATGCACTTAAAGAATGAGACAATGGAATGACAAGATAGTAGAAGGAAGAAACAAAACCACTAAAATGCTGGGGGTTGGATTTAACTAGAAATTGAAATAACAATTTCAGATAATAATACAGAGGGGTTGAAATGATAATAAATTATTACAGGTATTACTCAAATAGGTTTGAATCTCTTGGTTGATTTTGTGCCGAAAACTGTAATAATCTTTGCTTATTTATCAGAATTATTCTGAAACTGAATTTATTTTTAAGATTAATGTAAGAGAAATAAGACATGTTTCAATATCCTCAAATATCACATTTGTTATATTCTATTGTAATATTTCCCATTTTATCTGGCTACTTGAACTTTAGATGTAACTGTAAGTAATGCTAAGAAAATAGTTTGAGACCAAATTCAGAATGAACTCAGCTTGCAGAATTTTCTTAAGGTAATATTTCCAAACTGTGTTTCTTTATAACACTAGTGCCCCCTGAGATATTAAGGCTGTTTCCTGTAGCACAGCTTCTCTAACTAACCTGCTGAGAAATATTAGGTTAAATAAAATTGAACAATTTTCTTTCAGCAGAATTTCTCTGAGTCTATACTATACTAATGAGAATTTTTAAAACTCTAGGAAAAGAGTATACATGATTTCTTAAACTTATTTGACAACATAACACTCCTCCTCTCCCTCACCTCCATTCTTAGTCCCTGGTTTGGGTGGAATATTTAAATTTTATTAAATTTCAACTTGAGAGCTATTGTCTAAGGATCTATCTTTGGTGTTGTCAAGAACTAAACGAAGTTGCCACTAAATTGTTTGAATCAAATAAAAAAACTATACAATTGACCTGAACCAACATTTTAATAATGACCAACTAAGCATGTATGCCAAAGTCAGAAGATTATATATGATTTCGGACTATTAGAGTAATATTTTGTGCATGAATACTGGACAGAAATCCAGGGATTTGCAGTGGGATTTAAGCCTAATTTAAAATTCTTTCTGAGTTCTGAGCAGATTTATAGGACCACCCTCCTGTAACAAGAAATGATGCCCAACAGCTATTATTTGGGCCACCGATAAACTAACCAAAAACATTTCCTATGCTATAACCTAAAAATGCTTTAGGATCCTAATATGATTGAAAAATTCTTACTGTATATATCTAAAACAATAAATTTTTACTTTTCGAAAAAGTAGTTGGAGCAAAATTTGTTGCTATTTCAATTATTTCAATAAAGAAATGTTTCATTTACTGGCTAAAAATTATTTAGAAATTTAACATAATCTGATGAAAGGACTACAAATTTAATGAATTAATCTCCACATTCTTCAAAGAAATCAATTATTTGAGATTTTCAATACAGAGCCAGTAATGGTCTTATTCTCTTTCTGTGCCCCAATTGCTTTTCTACCTGTGTACAGCACATCTGCCTTGTCTTATGATTCTTTCTGTTTGCATTTGGCACTGTCACTAGAATGTCAGTTCTGAGAAAATAAGTACCATATCTTACTTTTTATTTTTTTTAATCTTCCAGTGGTAGAAGCAGCAGCACTTAGCCCAGTGTAAGAGGTGAAAGGGTAAAAGAGGGGAGAAAGATTAGTGATCACTCAATATATTTATCCTTTAATTTATTACACATTTAAAATTAGATGTAAATAAGAAATAGATTACTAAATTATCATGAAAATTTAAAGTGGGCAAGAATTAAAAGCCTTGCTGAAATAAAAGAGAAATACACCTCACTTCCCTCTCATTCTCTATCACTAAAAAAAAATGGCCTCCAGAACCAATTTGATTTAATGTCTTTCTAGGTGATTTCAAGGAACTGGTGGAAAATTTGGTTTATTGTAGAGGCCAACTATATAAGCAGACACAGTTACCACTGGTGACACTGGAAGGTTGATTGGCAGGGCATAGTGAAGACCAATTCTAGAGGAGCTGTGGCCCTCCATGACACCCATTTTTGTTCCCACCTGACTGCCAGCTAATCCATGCATGCCAAAAACTATAAACAGAAAAAAACAGTAATTCATAGTTGATATTGGTTTAAGGAATATCTGCATTAGAGACAAAAAGAGAAAAAGTCTTTAATAATTAAATGAGCTATACTAGAAAACAAGCAGTGGACTGATAATTTTGGGGCAGGGGTCTGCCTACTAATATTGATCCTGGAGTTGGTGATCAGCACTGAAGGGAGGAGAGGGCATATGCATAGGAAGAGAGAACTGGGGAGAAGTCAAGAAAGTTGGTGAATCCACTCTCAATTCGTTTTAGTGCCAGTAGCCTGATCTTCAGGAGTCTTTTGGTATCTTACGGGGTCTCTAACTGTACTTCTGACCATAGGCCTAGTTTATCTGGTTCATATTGAGGCAGCTCTCATAGGAAGGTCACTTGTAGGTGTTACATAGTTTCCGCCTTTGTTTGCATGAATAATGAAGATATGCAAAATTTTAAAGGTTAATGACTTTTTTTTTTAATTAATTCAACCAAGTTATTTATACCTCCTTTTGCTAGACTAAGAATGCAATAGTAAGCAAATATACAGTCCATGCTTTTACAGAATTAACAGTTGGGAGTCAAGGGAGAACTCCAAGTCAGAGTGAGTAAGTTTAGGGCACATCGCAGGTTGTCAAACCCAACACAAGGAGAAGGGCATGGAAATCTTTTCTGAGAGGAAATAGCCTGAAGGATGAAAGGACAAAAGATAGAGGACAGATGTATTATCCTCAGAGGAAATGCTTTTTGTAGATGTTTGGTAGTAACAGTACTGCAAGATTGGGAAATGAAAAGTGATTTAACATCTTTCCAAGTATCAATGCTAAACTCACCAAGGTAAAGGTTTTTTTTCTATTAAAAATATAAGAACATTTACTCTTTATTAATTTGCATGCTTCGAATGATTGCTATGTTTATTAAAAACATAACTACCAGCAACTTAAATTAAATCTAAAAACATAGACTGTGAATTTGTTCACTGTGTATGCTCAATCTGGCAAGGGAAAACATCAATAATTAATAAAAAACTAATTAATAATTAATTAATAAAAAAGAGAACCAATTTCTCAAAGTTCATACAATGTTTTTCCTTTAAAGGGAAATTTTAAAGGCATAATTCAATTGGAATAATATATTTTTTCTGAATAACTGCATATTTTTCACTTTTTTATGATAAACAGTATGTTGTGTGTATTTTACAACAATAAAAATACATTCATACAAAACAGTAATGTTCATTTCGAACACATACAAAATAGTATACATTAAAATTGTTGTGTATGAAGTGAGAGGGGGGTACATGGGGAAAAGGCATAAGTGTGAAAAAAATGAATGAAATATTTTTTACTTTTTAATGCCTTTTCAATCTTTGACCATAAGTGTAACTTACCTATGTCAGCTGTTGACAAATAATCACTGTAAAATCGAAGTAATCTTTATGGAGTTTTTTCCCTAACAGTTTCTAAAATGTGAGAAAAATAATTTTGAGTCATATGTTTGGCATGTAAGGACAAAATTATGAAGGTTATCTACCACATTCTTTAAGATAAGACATACTTTTACTACCATGAGCACTGGATCACCTGTTTCAACTATGTAATCAAGACACTCAGTAGTCAAGCAGCTGTGCATAGTTTTATGCCCTCTAATTCATGAAGTATGCTACTTTCATAAAACTACTGATATGTCTTTGTTTTTGCAAAATTAGGCTCACCTCCCTTCTTGTATAAATAATGTGTTATAAAATAATGTTGGATGTTTAACAGGCACACAGAAGTGCTTTCAGCTTTGAAAAGATTCTGGCCAAATTTGGTCTTCAAATTTTCTCTTAACTGGCTGGAAGATGGCCAGATATTGAATAATAATAGATACCCCAAAGAAGATGAGCATAAATCTATATCATAGTTGCTATGTTGTAATTTAAAATTTATGATGTTTTGAAGTACTATTTAGTAGTTTATTAGATATTCAAATTAATATTACCACTAAAATCACTGCACTGTATAGAAGTAAATCTGTTACTGTTGCCATAAATCTTTTAATTTAGTCTGCAAAATCTTACAATGTACAACTGGGAACATTTTTATTGAGTGAATAAATGTAAGTATATAATTAATGTTAATTCTTTAAAAATACATATGCCAATATTGAAATTGGTACAGAGTACTTTATTCCATTCTGATTAATTCTCAAAATATCTCCATGCTGTAAGCTTGCAATTACACAGTTACTTCATTTCACGGAAGAAAAAAAAGACCCTCAGGAAACTGGCCAGCTTAATAAGTTTGCTGGTATATAAATTCTAACTGTTTTAAAATTATACATGGGCCTGTTTTACTTCCTATTTAGATGTTGTTCATTTTAGTGAAGAAAGATTGGTGTTCAAAATTAGCCAGTGTTTCAGATGATCCTATCAAAAACCTTTGCATACAATGTTGATTGTTTTCTGAAAATATTTGAGTAGTCAGTTAACTTACAAAGATTAGATATTGCATAGTAGGTCTGATGAGTCCATTGTGTGATTAACATCATTGTATATTAAGGAGCAAGAAGTTCATATATAGAATCTTGCTTTAAACCTTCCAGCTTTCCTTTTATCAACACAAGCTGGTTACTAAAAGACTGTGTAGAGGAAAAATGAGACATTCTTAAGTAAATTTTTTCCCTCAATGAAAACATGGGCCATTAGTATTAAGATAACAAAAATGACTACTACAACAAAAATTAAATGTGTGAGTGGTTTCTGTGTGCCTGGCACTGTGTTAAACACTTTATATACATTATTTAATTTAATCTTCACAGGGCTCTTATTAGGTGGGCAGACTTATGCTCATTTGCAGATGGGGGAGATTTGGCTCACAGAATTAAGTAACTTGCTCTAGGTTACATAGCTAGTAACTGTCAAAGTTGGGATGTGAATGCAAGTAGGTTTAACTCCAAAGCACAGCTTTAGTATCATCACATGTATCACTATACTGTCACTGGTGTTATTAAAACATCGCATATTACTTTGTATCAAGCAGTGGGATAATTTGCATCTGAAGAAATACAAATAACTGAAGTTTTCTTCTCTGTAATATGACCTAATGAATACTTGGCATTATCTTCAGCTTATTAAATAAAAACTTACTCCAAGTTTCCTTGTACAAAATATATCCATCTGTCTTCCCCTGAGAAGGCGTAGCAACCTTCAGTTTATTTTGCTTACACATTGCTAAGATGCTACAAAATTTAACTTGGTTGTATTTTAAACACATTCCTGACATTTATTAAAACTATTTATACTTCTGTTCTTTAGGGTCTGGAAAATTGTTATAGAATGCATAATAATAATTATCCAGACACTACATATATTATATATTAAATTGTATATATACAGTTTAATTTCAGATAATCTCAGATAACTTAGTCATATTTAGGAATGCCTAAAGATAATTTCCTTCCCTAAAGCCACTAAATCCAAATACAAAGCAACACAAAAACAAATAAAAGAAACAGCAGAGAGTTTGTTTTAACAAGCATGTCTGAAGGATGGTGAAAAAGAAACAGTTTACTGGCAAATAGGTTCTTTCTTTTGTCCATGTCCTTAGTTTATTTTTAATCCTTTTAGGACTGCGCTCCACAAAAAGTAAGAGGCAAAAGAAAGGGAATAAAAATGATGAATTAATCCAAAGATAGTATATCTGGAATTCTATTTTAAGGATTTTTTTGGGGTGTGATTCTGGGTAAATCATATCTCTGTTTCTCAATATTTTTCTGAAAACCAGACATGCATTATTTGTGACCTGATTAACTTTAGGTTCTTTCAGTGTCTTAAGAATATCTTAGAAGGTTTGTATTCTGAAAGTTGCAGTGGCTCTTTCCAGCAATTAGAATACTATTTATTGCAATATTTACTGAGCATATATTACGTATTATGTACTGTGTATGCACAGATACACAATGCAAGCACCCACCATTGAAAAAATTCAGCCTATGTGTGGATACCAACACCAAAGAGTCAATTTCAGTAGAATATAGTAAGTACTGTGAAAAAGGTATGTTCAGGGAGTTAGAGGACTCTAGTGGAGGCCAGCTAACAGAACCTGGGAGAGAAAGGGCAATACTCTCAAAAAACATATTTTAACCACATCTCAAAGAGCAGGTGGGAGTGAATCAGGCTAGAGAAGAGGGTAGGAAATGGGGAAGGGAGTCAGAAGAAAGGGTATCTCTTCCTGGAAAATAGTACATGAAGAAAAAGCTGAGTTGTGTGTCAGTAGGTTTGTATGGGAATTAGTGTTTCAGGAGTACCAAGTTCAAGATAGGAAGTAGGAAGAGATAAGACTGCAGGGAAGTCTCATATCTTGGAAAGTTGTTTTAGGGAATATGAAGCTTTACCCATAGGCTATAAGGAGCCATTGAAGAATAGTAGAAGCACTAACTAATCAAAAACAGTCATTTACATTATTCACAAAAATGACCTGGATAGTTAATATCAATTAATAACTCAAATATTACTTTGTTAAAAATTTAACCTTTCTTACCAAATCCTCTTACCAGAACTACCCACAAAGCAATGAAATTAACTCGTGACAATGAATATCCATTGCTTTGTTCCACCCAGTCTTTGATACAGGGATTTATAAATGGACCAGATTGTCAATTGCAGAAGAGAAAAGGGAGAAAAGTAGGCTAGAAAATTCACCAAAGAGTTATCAGTCTTAGCTTATCACACCAATAGCATTATTTTGTATAAATATTAATACACATTATATATAGCATAGGAGTAGATTGAGTTGATAAGAAAGTGAGAGGGAGCACGAGGACAAGGAAATAATACTGTATCATATATTATGGAACCTGGGTGTTAATCCTTTTTCTTCCAATAATTAACTGAATGACCTTGGGCAAATAGTTGACTCTCCTAGGCCTCAGTTTTTGTTTTTGTATTTGTTTTATAAATATAAATTGAAGAGAGGTAGGCCAGATTTCTTGAATAGATTACAGTTGTTAAATGTTACCAATAGTGCTAAGCAACTGAGAGAGAGAGTGGGTGGTAAGGTGAGAGAAGGAAAGATAAGAGAGAGGGAGAAAAAAGAGAGAGAAAAAGAGAGAGAGAGAAAATTAGTTATCTATTGTTGCATAACAAGTTACCTAAAATTTACCAGCTTAAAACAGTATTTATTATCTTGCAGTTTCAGAGGGTCAGGAATTTGGGAGTAGCTTAGCTGAGTGGGTTGGTCTTAGGGACTCTTACGAGGTTGCAATCAAACTGTCAGCTAGGGCTGAAGTCTTCTTATGTCTTGACTGGGGCTGAAGGATCTATATAAAGCATTCTCACATTGTTGTTGGCAGGCCTCTGTTTCTATCAGGCTGTTGGCCGGCAACTTCCTCTTTGCTATGTGGGCCTCTCGACAGGCTTCCTGAGTGTCCTTATAACATGGCAACTGGCCTCCTTCAGACTGAGCAATGAGAGGGGTAGGAGAGAGAGAGAGAGAGGGAGGGAGAAAGAGAGAGAGAAAGGGAGGCAGAGAGAGAGAGAATCTTTAAGATGGAAATTGCAGTGTGACGTACCATCATTTCTGCCTTATTTTATTGGTCACACAGACTAACCCTAGTAAAATAGTAAAACGTGGGGGGAGGGAACTACCCAAGGGTGTGAATAGTGAATACTAAGTGTTAGGGATCATTGGGGCCAAACCACGGACTAACTACCATGCATGGTTTTTGCATCTGAAGAATTTTTAGTCAAGTTGAAATTCTAAGTACACATAAAATTAAGTTAAAGCAACAATAGAAGAGAAACAGAGCAATAAGTTTGTGGAATAAGCTTGTTTCTGAACAAGCCTGAGAAGTAGATAGCTTTCCTTATTGGAACTGCTAATCTGGGTTAGGGTCTCCTCAGGAGGAACGTGGCTCTCTTCTCTTACTGCAGACAGAGGGAGGAAACCTTATACCATGTGTTAATACCCCACTTCGTAGCATTGAGAAAGAAACTGGATGATTTGCTTGCTTAAAATCACACTAATGGTTGTATGAAACAAAGACAACTCCACTCTGGAATTACAGGTCTGGAAGGAAGCCATGAGATCATAGAGTCCAGAGATTTTGACATGAAGTTTGCAGATAGCCCTCAGGGAAACTGGAAAGGAAAAAATATGCACAAATATTGGGGACAGGATTCAAAGCGTTTATCACATTATCAAAAGTATCTGTGTTTCCAATAAAAGTTTAAGAAGCACTGATCTAGTCTATTATGCTTATTTTATTTGATGAGGGAACTGAGTCACGAAAAGATAACTTTTCAAAATGACATCACGAATTAGTGGCAGTGGTGGTTTGGACTGGAATTGAAGTCTTCTGGTTTTTAGTTCAGCATACTTTTAGTTAAACCCACTGTGTAAACAATATGCATTATTACTGTGGTTTGTAACACCAAAAGCTTAGCTGATTTCCTTCTGTTTATACACTCTTACAATTTGGATCATTTCCCCTTTTGTTCTCCCACCAAATGTCAAAAAGTTGATATATTTCTTATAAGTAAAAGAGTCATCATAGAGGGGTAGAATATTGCTCCAAAGTATTTATAGTGAAAAGCCAATGTTTATATATATAGGAAAAAGAGATCAGCAAATTGATTATAGTTGGCCATCTATAATATAAAACCAAATACTTAATTGAAACTGAAATTGAAACTACTTAATGTCCTATTTACATAAAATTATCTAAAATGAACATATTGTTGTACAGTCATACAGCTAAAATAAAATTAACCAAATTAATGCATTAATATTTATTAAACAGATGGGAGAATAAAAACTTCTCTTTATTGGGTATTAACTATTTGTCAGGCACAGTGCTTGGTGCTTTACATGATTTCTCTCATCTAATTCCATTTTATAAATGAGGAAAATGAGGCTCAGTTTGACAGTCAGAGACTGGTTTGGTTCTAGTAAACAACAGAGTCAGGACCTGAACTCAGGGCTCTACAGAAATGAAAAGCCAATGCTCTTTCCACCCATTGAGTTGTTTTGTTATATAACATTCTGAAGTTGATTACTGAGGTATTATTAAACATTCTAATATTTTAACATTTTAAGTTTTCTATCAAGATGATACTGGTTATAAGTTGGTTTAGATGGAAAAAACTGTAACAAGAAAACTCAACCTGCTTACTGCTTAGAGATTCATTCTTTTTGGCTTAATGTTTTATCTTTCAAAGTGTAAATTACCACCAAAACATAACACTTAAATACTTATGAATAGCTTACAACTTTAAAATGAATGAGTAAATAAGATAATTTCCTGAATGTGGGATTTGATTGGGTAGAACACAGAGAACATGAGATTACCTTAAAAGGAGAAGAGAATACAGAAGTGGAAGAGACTGCAGAAGGAGGTCAGAGGCCTCACCAAACAATACTGCCAATGTTGCCTGGGTGCCCACAACTTAGATTTTCAAATTAAACACTCAATTCATACTTATTTAGCATCAATTTAAGTCTGCAGTGTTATAGGCTCATTAGGGGATACAATGATTAGAAAGCATAACATATGTCTTGGATTCAGCCCCTAAGAATCCAATTTTAGAAATAAAACTAATATCAACACAAGATGAAGTAAAATAAAAATAAAATTAGAGAGACATTAAATGCTAAATCATATGGTATTGGCCACAGTTCCAACAGGAGCTCCAGAGGACTGAAGTAGACCAGGAAAGTAGACCAGGAAGCATTACAGACAAAGTGGGACACAAAGATTAGTTAGGATTTCCATATATAGAGAGAAAAGGAGAGTGCATTTCATGACATGGTATAATTTTCTTCTGATTCACCACAGCAGTACTTCTCAGGGGCTCCACATCATTTCATATGTTCAGCCTCTCAAATAACAATGATAATGATTATAATACTATTTTATTTTATTCATAATTCTTATTCTTTATTACACATTTTCATAATTATTATTCTTAATAGCAGTATTGTGTAAAGTTTTTAAAGAAAATGTATTATCTCATTGAATTCCTATCAGTCACATGACTAATTGCATACAGTGTTTCTCAGTGGTCAGTAGGAGGAGGGAGCAACCTTCTCATTGTACTTATGCATTTATTTTTATCATTTTGTGTAGTGCTCAAGTATTATAATTATTTGTATATGTCTGTCTGGCTAGAGCTCCTTGAGGGCGGGGAACTTTTCTTTTTCATCTTTTTATCAAAAGATCCATTATAGTGTCCAGCACATTAGGAAATAATGTGTTCAAGTAATTGAATTAAGTAAGAAGCAATAAAAACTTCAGTGAATAAAGGTATTGTAAGGCTTCTCTCAGCTCTTCATTAAGAAACTCTATCATTTGGCTCTTTTTTTTCTTTTACCTTATTTTCTACTGTTTGCTAATGGAAAGATTCTATTCTAGCCAGCCAATCTATTCACTATTTTTCCTAGACTATAAACATCCATACTTTTTCACTCTGCATGACAATATTGACTAGAATTTTTCTTCTCAGTATCTACCCATTCTTCAGGGCCCAGATTAAGTCTCAACTCTCCACGAAGCTCCCCTTGGCCATTTCAGTCCACCCCTGCACACTGCTGAGTACCTTGTGAGAGTAAAATGTGAGAACTGTAAAACAGTATACAAACATAAGGCATTACTGTTATGATTTTCTCCTTAGATTACTGTATTCTCCTAGACTTTAGAACCAGGAGTTGGAAGTATTATAGGTCTTTCCATCTATTATATTACCTCTTTTCCAATTCCCTTGTCACTCTCTCCCCTTTCCTTATCCCTCACTCCCATCTCAGCATTAGAATAGTGCTTTGCATAGAGTAGTTACTCACTAATTACATGAATGCAGTGTCTTTTATTGTTGCCTGCCATTATAAAGCTGCAGGTAAAGGAAATCTACTAGCATGGTTATTTAAACATTTGACAGAAAAAGCTCAGTTCTAATTTGTTACTATTTACACTAGACACTTCAAATACCCAACCACTGGCTTTTCTTCTTTTTAATTCCGTTTGTGCTTCCACACGACACCTATATACCTACTAAGTCACTACAATTCACCAAATATGTGCTGCTCACACCACTAATGATTAGGTTGATTAGGAAAAAGAGACTGGAAGTGGGAGAGTCAAAGGCTGTTGGAAATCATGTGAAGGCAGAAATAGTTTCTATCTCGAACTCTGCTGTATTGCATCTCACAAAACTAGCACAATTCCTGGCACATATTAAGTGTTTGAAAATATGTAGCCAATGAATGTTTGAATATATGGGATTAGTTATAAGTAGGGTGACCATATTTGGTGGTCTGCTGAAGCTCCTTGTACTGGTCCATGAGAGCCAATTGTTAAATTTTCAAAAATTTTGTTAACTTATTAAATACAGCCATTATTAAACATTTAATTACATAAACTTAGAATGAAATAAATTACATTAAAAGAAAAGTAATAAATACTCAAAACTCTTTACTACTGAATTTCTTTACTATTATATATGTTTTTGAGGTTATTTCTAATGTATTTATATGATGGAAATACTAGATAATGGTATGCGTCTGTATATTTCTTCCCAACTCTGTTCAGTGATGTTTTGTTGGTGGCTTGGACCCAACTATGATAAGAGCACCTACACCACATAAATTGGCCAATGCTACAAATCAGGGCTTGATTCACTATTTTGTTGATGGTCTACATTTAAGCGAATGATACAAAAATGTTAATAATGTAGATTAAACTTAAGGTTTAGTGTCTATAACTGTTTCATTGTGAATAGAACAAAAATGAGAAAATAGTTTTCTAGTATCTCTAAAAACTATGATCTAATTCAGCAAAGAAGTCACTCATATCATTGAGAAGTGAGTGAAGTTCCAATATACATCTTCATTCATTTACCTTCTTCTTACTTATTAACATAAATGAAAACATCAACAAATATTATTGTCAGAACTATAGTTGTTCCTCTATTACAACCATGGTTTGGCTTCAGAGAAAAACAGAAATAGTGAAAGCATTTTGTGAGTATTATATTTTATTATTTATATGCTTGTGTGCTATGCTTCCTTTATATCAGTAGAATTTGTAATGAACTATGTGTGCATATATATGTACACTTTTTTTCCCTGAGAGTCAGTTGTTAAACATTTACATCATGCTTCTACATATAATCTATCATCCAAACTGGAACACTTTTGAGAGTAAAAGATTGTGCTGTAAATAAACACATCAGAATAGCAGGTGTAAACTAACATTGTGCTGGGCAAACAAGGATGCAAGGTCACCTTTCTTATAAGGATCTTACGGCAGTGTTGGAAGCAATGCTGGGGTAGGCAGTGGCATTGCTGGGATAGCAGAAAACTCATCAATGAGAACCATATGTACTATTTAATTTTTCATTATAGTATCCATTCTCCCTCATAAGGATTTATGATTGCTCTCAAGACAATGAAAAAACGGAGAATGGAAGGCCACAATCCAGCTATTTAGCCCAGTGTTTCTTCTTTTTAACATTTTAACATTTCAGTAAAACATGCTACTATGAAAAGATTTGAAAATGCACGGAACCAAAGTTGGTTTAAACAGTAACAGATTATGTTTTATAGTATGAAAAAGTAAAAAAGAATATAGATGATCACATATTTGCCTTTAAAAACTTTTTTAGGATAAAAAGTAAGTAGACAAAGAAATAACATTGAAATTATCTGCTTCAAAACATCAATAGATTGTAGTACGTGGGTCTAATTACATTCAGTTAAAACGTTATGTGTGTGAGAGAACATAAGGTTTATCTCAAGCTGAAATAACTTGGTATCTAATGAAGCCTAATGAAGCAGATCTAAGTTGAATCAGGAACCTTCTTAGCCTAATATTCTGCTGCTGACTGCAGACCAAGGACCCTTTGTGCATATGTTCCGGGGTCTGTCTCAAAGGCTAGAAATAAATTGCAAATATCTCCAGCTTTTTAAATACTCTGCATGAATCTATCATTCAAGAATCAATTTAAGCCATCTTGAATCAATGTTTTTGTGATATACTTTGAGCTAAAAAAATAAATTTACAACCTAATGCATAAAGTTTAGCCTCTCTTTTTTTGTTTTTATCACATCTCAGAATACTGGTAATTAGAAGCTTTGTGTGTAAACTTAAATAAAATACTTTAGAACAAATATTCATGTATTCATATTCATTCTGATTCATATTCATATATTCATATATGAATTCATATTCATTTGGTTAAAGTCCTAATTATTATATAGATTTCAGACATATCCTCAATAATCCTTTTCTTTCCAGACTAAAATTTCATAATTTAAAATGGTTGGTGTTTTTTCAACTTTTATTTTAGATTCAGGGAGTACATGTGTAGGTTTGTTACTTGGGTATATTGTGTGATGCTAAAGTTTGGGGTATGTATGATCCCATTACCCAGGTACTGAGCATAGTACCCAATAGTTAAGTTTTCAACCCTTGCCTACATCTCTACCTCCTGCTAGTAGTTCCCAGTTTGTATTGTTGCCATTTTTAAGTCCATGAGTATTCAATGTTTAGCTCTTACTTATAAGTGAAAACATGCAGTATTTGGTTTTCTGTTCCTGTGGCAAACTTATTTTTATCATGCTAAATTTTCCTCTCTAGACATTTTTCCCACTTGAAATGTAAGTTTTCTATTGTTTTTTCTTTAGAACATTTTTATCTAAAACAAACAGACCTTTTGCTTAAGCTGTTTTATATTTTGTTAATTTTCTCCTAGTTTGGTTCAGATAAATGTCTAGATCACGGACATACTAATTACCCTGCTCTGATCACTATACACTGTATATATGAAAACATCACTGTGTACACCATAAATATGTACAATTATTATGTCAATTGAAAGAAAAAAATAAAATATAGAAAAGTATATGATCCATCAAGTTCAGATGATAATAGCTGTCCAGTTTTTAAAAACTGCAGGTATCTGTTTAAAGTCCTGCTCATGTTAGCCAAGAAATAATAGTAAAAGAGTGTATTTGAAACTCTCTTATCACCAGATTCCAATTATCAGATAATTTCAAACTAAAATTTAGTATGATCATTTGAAATTAGATAGAAAGTTTACTAGACAAACATATCTATACTATCATTAATAACTTCTTGTTAAAAATGCCCAAGTATCAGACTTCCCCATCTACATTATAATTTTATATAAATTCATGAATTTTTTCCTTACTGGAATAGACATATTTACAATGTTAGTTTTCTTGTACATTAAAACTATGGTGTATTTCTAAATAACAATGTTTTATTAAATAATTCACTACCTTTTAAGTAAAGATGAAGTAATTAGTGTATTATAATTGGGAGTAGGCTGACAACAATTTTCATTGAGGAAGGCTTCACTCACTGATAAATATGGGAACACTTTTTTCTTTTTAAGTTAAGAGCCACTCATCTTAGAAAATCTTAACTGAATGTTACATGGAATCAAAGGGCAATTAGATCTAGTTCATTAAGATTTAAATTAGTGCAGTTCAATTCA
This sequence comes from Homo sapiens, assembly GCF_000001405.40. NCBI lineage: Eukaryota > Metazoa > Chordata > Mammalia > Primates > Hominidae > Homo > Homo sapiens. The sequence goes on from NC_000015.10 coordinate 49,446,313, forward strand.
GTACTCATAGAGCACCTTCGATGTACAGGTGACATTGTGTAATAATGGATACAAAGATAAACAATGTGACTTTTACCCTTAATGTACTGCCATAGGAAATAATTTGGTAAGTTACGATAGTTGCTAGTAAGTTTCATATGAACAAAGGAGTGATAAGGAGACTGAAAGAGAATATTTCTGGGTGCACCTAAGGAGGTAAAGAACTGGGAAAGGAAAATTTCCTGGTAAAGGTGCATTTGCTTGAAGGAAGGATTGGTTGGAGGATTTCATAGAGGGTAAAGAGCTTTTTTAAAGAAGAGAACAAAATGTGAAAAAAAGGTGCAGATGCATTAGGACAACAGTGAGGAATGGGGATCTCTGTCCTGTCTAGCTGGAGAATATGATGCAAAGAAAGTGGTAACACAGACCTAGTGAACAGATAAAATGCTTCAAAACATATTTTAACTTCATATTATAAAAAGAGAAGATAGCACAAAACAAGGATAAATGGGAGAGACAGAATTAAAGGAAGGATGTTAGGAAGTAAATGGAGAAAGATACAAGCAGGGGGAGAAGTGAGGAAGGAGTGCTCACTAAAGAGAAGGAAAAGCAATACACAGATATATCAAGAAATCAGGAGAGATAAAAGGCAGAGAAATACTCCAGAAGTTCTGAAGTTTCTAGAGATTTTGACAGGTATAACCAGAACACTCACTGGAATTTGGGGGTGCGGGAACTCATCCTGAATAAATGGACTGTGATTCTACTAACATTACCCTAAACACTGAATAAAATCATGTTAAAGGTCAAATATGCAAGCCTGTGGTTTCCTACACTGATATAAGGCTTTCAAAAAGTATTTCTTGTAATAATAATTTAGGTGGACAAAGTGTTATTATATAATCCACCAGGCCCATTGTAAATAATCTTGCACTATATTGTTATTTCTTTTGATACTTGTAAGAGCTTGAGAATATTAACTAAGAAACTCTGTAACATGGCTGGCAAAATACTCTCTTATCACTTTGAACTTTACTTAGAGGTAAATACATTTTGAGCTTCTGTGAGGTTAAGAAGAAGTAAGCAAAGATCACAGAGCTAGTTAGTGATAGAGTCAGATTTGGAACATATGTTTCTAGATACCCAGATGTGCATTACAAGAGTCAAATATGGCAGCTAGTATAGAAATCATGCTAGAATAAGAGATTCTCAATCTTAATGTGATTTAATTACTAAGTCTTGGTAGCATATGCGTTGATGTATTGTTTGTCAGGTTTAAAATACATGTTCACCATCAGTGGTGTATTTGCTTGGGGTGAATTTTCTGGTAAATTTATGCAAATTGATAGATTTCAAAGCTATCTCCTTCATTACTGAAGAAGATGATTTGGGTAAAACATGCAATCAATTCATGGATAATTGTTAATACTTGAGAAAATTTTTATGTGGAATGACTTTGTCCTCATTACTGCTTGCTCCAAACTAATTCAACTAACTGGTCACCAACATGATGGAGAAAACATGAAAACATAAAATCCAAGATTCACAGAACGAGAATGAATTGAATAAACAATAGGTTTGACTTTTGTTTTTCATGCCAATTAATATAAGGTAGAGGTAGAATCCTCAGGCTCGTGTCCTTTAAAGATCTAGCTTTTACTTCTGCAACCAGAGAAGAACTTCATCATTCAAAAGCTGCTCCAGATATCTTTTGATTTGAGAGTTTGAAATTATTTTAATGTCCGAGAGCATATACAGATTTATAATCAGTAAATAACAAACTTATCAGAACTTCAAAAGACAGAAATATGAAGCAACATATTATGCTCCTATTTACATAACATATTTGAGGGCCAGATGAATGAGGGTTATCTCAGGATATCTATCATAAATTACTAGAACTTTCTTTTCAACCTTCTCCCTAACATTTCACTATTGTTGTCCCCCCAACTCTTCTGTTTTTTCTACATCTCCTTCCAAATTTGTCTTCTTTCCTGTTACCTTTTCTCCCTCTTTTCTTTTCCTTATTCTTTTTTCTCTTCCCTTCTCTCCTTTCTTTCCATTTAACTCTTTTAATTCCTTTTCTCCATTTCTTTGCTTTAACTAACCACAATATAGAACTGATGTGTATATTAATTGTTCATTAAAGTGACTGGGTAAATTCCTTGTGCTTAAATTTAAAAAGCAATTTTAAAAGAGTATATTTATTGTTTTAAAAAACTCCTAACATAAGTTAATCAAAATTCACAGAAAAATGATTAAAAATAAATATACTAGATTACAATAGTTATATTTCTGGTTATTCTCTTCACTTTTTTTCAGTGATTTCCAAATATTCTTTGATGAGCATATACTATTTTTTGATGAACATCCACATATGTACATATATATATATATAATAAACTATGTTGCTTTTAATACATGTGGCTGTCAATTTCCTCTCAGTCACACTCTGATAAGATAAGGAAGGCTCCCCCAAATACCCAGTAGTCTAAGCAACCCAAGACAGATAACTGGCAAAACTTTTCTTGAAGCTCTCCAAGAATGAACCCTCTACAATTTTCTTTAGCAGTCGATTCCAATATTATATTACCCTAACAACTGGATACTTTCTCATATCTAGGGAAATTACTCCTGCTTCAGTTTAAGCCCCTTTCCTCATGCTCTTTTTTTTGCATATGAATAATATGGATATGCCACTAAAAAAAACACTTTCATAGGAGAAATAACATTCTTTTCTGTCTGCACTCATCCCCTTGATAAGTAATTTTTGGCTATTTCAAATGCTGGTCTGGCTTACAGATAGGAATTCAAACAGAGACTTGAATGATACCTTCAGTCTGTAGAGAACTGCTCACTCTAGCACTATCTCAGACTGCATTACTAAGTCTAAGTTTTTCTTGTTACCTAATTTCCACCTGCATAGGCTCATATTGGGCTCCTAGTATTTATTGCTAGTTATTTTTATATGGAATAAAGCAATCATGAAATCAATCTAAAATAAGACCACAAATCAGTAAATGTTTTTTACTTCTATACCTACAAATTGTCCTCTATAGGACAGTGATTTTAGTATATAAAGACAGTTATATTTCTATTTAATCTTATCTTCTCTAGGCTAAGCAATGTAAATTCACTCAACCATTACACTTAAACATGATTTCTCAGATTTTCACCACCCACCAGTCCTCTAAGAATACCACCTAAAATAGGATACCCAGAATGCAATGCTCCAAATTGCACAGGGTGGGGCCAGAATCAGCAAGATTACTGCCTCCTTGGCAACCTTATACTTCTATTAAGGCAGCCAAGGTTGCCTTCCCATTAATATAGTTTAAGGCAAATATGCCATACTGTCGGCTCATCTTAAGCTTGTCCAGGTCCCTTTCAGATGAATTGCTGCCAAGTTAGGTCTCTTTCGCTTCTATACTTGTGCAATTGCTTTTTGTATTTACAGTGCCTTGCTTTTCTCTTTCTTAAATTTTGTTAGCTTCATCCCAATATCATAGTCAATTATAAAGATACATGTAAACGAGATCAGATATCCATAAAGATTACTTAACTTTAGAGATACTGTCATCCTGTGAATTCTAATGTTAAAATTTCTGAGTTGGAAAACAGGTTTTTAGAAATGTATGGAGGGAACACTCCACAGACATATGCAAAGAAAATGTCATGCTCAATCACAAACTAGACTGTGATGCGCCATTCATACAAATGTGGTTGCATGAGCCCGTAAGGAATGGATCAGCAATGCATGTGCCAAAGTTGTATAAATCCATAAGACTGAGAAGAAACAAATTAAAACGGAGTTGTGGAATAAACATGCCTTCTTACAGGGAAATTCACTATAAAGAAATTTGCAATAATGGAATTAGAATGGCAGAAGAGTGAATTTAGTTTCTATATCAAGACTCAAGTGACAGAAGAATAACAATTGAACAACTGATGAAGTGTGTTCATTTCCCTCCTCATCATCTTTTAGCAGTTTCCTGTCAATACAAGATAACTCTTTCTTCCAAATCTTGGAATTTTTATTGTGTTCCTGACTGTCTAGAGTTCATTTCTCTGGCCTATGTCACTGATTATGTTGCTAAAGATATTTTTTTTCCCTTATACTGACCCTTCAAAACCATCCTGAATGCCATTTTTTAAGCCCCTCCTCTTAGCCAGCTACACCATTAGAGAGCCATTTTATAAACTGACATTATTAATGGTTAATAGCTCAATGTGTAAACTTTCTCAGAAATATTTACTCTTTAGTTATGTGCCCCTGAAAATATGATGCTTAATGTAGAGCAACTAGTTTCCAGTGGTACAATTCAAGGGCTGCAGCCAGCAAGAGTCTGGATAAGAAAGACATTTCAGAGAACAAAAACTTCCTTATGCCTCTTGATTCCCACATCACAGGTTTTCAATTACATTCTTGATCTTTAAATCCAGTTTAACAAAACTAATAACACTGCGTTTGTTATGATAGTTCATTTAAAAATAAACCTCATCTGTTTTACTGTAAAATCTGTTACAGGCAATTGGATAGCTTAGGTTTTTTGTCTGAAGCTGCCCAGTTATTCTTTTCCACATGTGGGCTGAACCTATTTGGGAAAAAAACTAAACTAGAGATATAGTTAGTATAGCTACAGCTAATCAACTCCTTTGAATGCTCCTTCCCCCAAAAATATATTTCCCTGGTCAGTGCCATCTGTATGTGTGTGAGTGGGGAAATATATGTCTAAAAACTGGTTTTTTTTTAAATGACAGTTTAATTCAATCAAAATTTTAAGTCAGATATAATCCCATGACCTAGAAAAAGTATATCAAAAACCAATTTCCTTTAGGGTTTATATGTATTTGTTTCCAAAATATTAACTAAGAATATGGATACTTACATATAAAATAAATAATACGGTCATTTAAAATTTTAACCAATTAGAGCTTGCCAATTTCTACAGAAAGTGTGACAACTACATATATTGCATATCATAGAGGCTAAGGTTTTGTGAGAGAAGAAATTATAAAAACTAAAAAAGTTTTATTAGGCACAAAATTAGTATCATAATGATAAAGTATTTTTTCTTCTGTAAAGTGTTGAATAGTATATATTTTTAAGCAACATTCAAAATTACAGAGAAGTCTATGCATTGCTGACAGACATATATGTATATATGTTTGCTTAAATCTATATGTATATATAGATTATAACATCAACAATGAGATTAAATTCTGAAATCTCAACTTTACTAAAATTTTAGTATTTATATTTTTTTCTAAATCTTCTTAGAATTCCTCTTCAATTCACCTTTAAATGTACTGACTACACATTCATTGACCTTGATAATTTCAGTAAACATGAAGTGAAACACAGCACAAGCCAAACTGAACTCTAATTTTTATGTACGTCTCAAATCATGAAACATGTCTTCTAAATTTGAAGCCTTTATTGGGGATTAATACTCCTAAATTTTATTTAGAATCACTTGTTAAGTAAGTTTTAAAAGTAATACTTATATAGCAATCAAGAGCGGTCAAGTAAATCTTTTACCTAGGAGGAAAAAACTAAGACCCACTTTGTAATCTCTTAGGAATTATTTTACATGCGGTTCTTCCAGTAAGTCCAGGATCCAGGATGCTCTCAGAATTTGAGAGACTGTGTTTAATAACTAGTGAAAAAATGCTATTTGAGAAACTTTCTCTCAATATGATATCTTATATCACTACTTGACATAGATTCAAAATTTGATTCAATACCAACCAGATTTTTTTTTTTTGAGATAGAGTCTTGCTCTGTTGCCCAGGCTGGAGTGCAATGGCATGGTCTTGGCTCACTGCAGCCTCTGCCTTCTAGGTTCAAGCAATTCTCCTGCCTCAGCTTCCTGAGTATCTGGCACTACAGGTGCATGCTACCATGCCCAGCTAATTTTTGTATTTTTAGTACAAATATTACTGGACTGGGGTTTCACTGTGTTGGCCAGGATGGTCTCGAACTCCTGACCTCAAGTTATCTGCCTGCCTTGGCTTCCCACTGTTCTGGGATTACAGGTGTGAGCCACTGCACCCGGCCCCAACCAGAATTTTAAATGCCAGTTACCTTACTATTTCATATTTGTGAAAATTAAAATGAACCCTTGTTAACATCTATTTCTATACTTGCTATGGGAAAAAATGTTTGGTAAACAAATTAATAAGTAAAAAGCTGCCAGAGAAACTGGATGTTATTTTCTGGTTCTTCATAAAAAGATCTATGCAGATTTTTTAATGCAGTTACAAGTTATTATTGTTTATTTAACTTAAGCAACTAAAGAAAGCTCTTTTGGATGCAGTCTTTAGGAAATATAATGAAGATACCTTAGTTTGGGTTCAAATCTGAGATTTGAGAGAAATCCTATTATTTCTGGGCAAATGAGTCAGTCTCTCTGAATCTTGGTTTCTTTATTGGGTGACTGAGATAGTATCTAATCTATGTGCTTACAAGATTATTAAAATAATGAATACTGTATATGTGAATCACAGCACAGGGTGCAGGATAATATAAGCACTCAGCAAACGTTAGCTGTTATATGCCTTGCTTACTATGGTATAAACAAAAAGATGATAAAACTAAATTTCTTTGAATATTTTACATATTTCAAAGTCAGGAATTTATCACTTTAAATTTTTATCACTTTAAAAGGTTTTCCTTCCATAGGGCCCAAATTCACAAAATTACTCTAGTTAAAAATTGTACTGCTAATATAATAATCACTTTTCTCCTTTCTCTTACCACTGTGGAAATGTAATTTTTATAAATAATCTTAGGTAATCATCCTAAAATATTGCATTGAGGTCAACAAAAAGTGGTAGTAGCATGTTTGGTTCCCATTTTATATTCTCTGTAATAACAACTGTATTTTTCTTTTTTTAAAATTTGAATATGTTCTGTTTAATCTAATACGTCATTTCAACACATAATCAGTATAAAAATATATACATATTTTCATTATTATTATTTTTTATTTTAAGATGGGATTTCACCATGTTACCCAGGCTGGTCTCAAATGCCTGAGCTCAAGCCATTTGCTCACCTCCGCCTCCCAAAGTGTTGAGATTACAGGCATGCGCCACCGTGCCTGGCCCAGTATAAAAATATTAATGAGATATTTTACATTCTTTCTTTTTGTACAGGTCCTTCAAAATCCAATGCATGTTTTTCCTTTACAACACACCTTAATTCCAACTATTCACATTGCAAGGGTTCAGTAGCCACATGTGGCACATGGCTCTTATGCAGGACAGTTCAGTGTAGACCATGTAACCGTCAGGGACCATGTGTTACTCTGCTCATGACAACCATATTTTTCTGCTCATACATTCCGAGGTAATTGTATCTAGACTCATGACTTCAATTATGACCCACGTGCTGTTTAATCTGAAATCTGAAATTTCATGTCTCTTCCTTTTCTTGAGCTCTTGTTACATGTATCTAATGGTCACTAGATAGCTCTCCTGATGACCTCCAGGAAATTCAATTTCAGCACGTTCCCAATTGAATTCAGGATCTTCCCCCTCAATCCTGCTCTTACCTTATACATTTTACATAAGAGTTCTGATATTACTCAGTTGACCAAAGTGGAAGCCTTGCATTCCTCCATCTCTTCTAGCTCCCATTTTTAATCACCAAGTCCTACTATTCTATCACTTGAAATGTGATAGAACATTTTAATATTCTCTTAAACTGAATCCTCAAATCTCCTAGGAAGTTTATATGGCTGGGGAGGCAGTGTGGTGTAATAGAAAAGATGTGTCAGACAGGCGTAGGTTTGAAACTCTGCTTTACCTCTAATTAATGTACAACATAGATGGGGCATACTTTTATAAAAGAAATACAGAGTGAATGATTTATTGAAGGTTATATAGTTAGCATTTTATCATCAGAAATACAGACTAAATAAATTGCACTGGAATCCCTGAAATATACCATGGATTTCCAGAAGTTTCATAGGGGGCAGGGCACTTGTTAGGTCTCTCTTGTGCATTTTCTTCTCTTTTCCCCCTTTCCAGTTTAATTCCAGAAACACATCATTTATAAAGTAAAGGAAAAAACACTAATATCATCCTAGGTAAAAATCCTGGTAATAATAAGAGCCAATATTTATTGAGTGCCTGCTCTGTTTATAGAAAATATTTACCTATCAGCATATCCTCAAGTAAATTCAGTTCTGCTGTGGAACTCCCTACTAATGAGAAAACATTGGTTCCACTTAACTTATCTGTACTTTAAGACTAGAAGAGGTCTCCAAGATCTAGATATTCCCCATAATTATACTCTTTATTTATTTTATTTTTTATATTATTTTTTTGAGACGAAGTCTCGCTCTGTCACACAGGCTGGAGTGCAGTGGAGCGATCTCAGCTCACTGCAACCTCTGCCTCCCGAATTCAAGCGATTCTCCTGCCTCAGCCTCTCAAGTAGCTGGGATTATAGGCGCGTGCCACCATGCCCCACTAAATTTTTGTATTTTTAGTAGACACAGGGTTTCACTGTGTTAGCCAGGATGGTCTCGATCTCCTGACCTCGTGATCCGCTCGCCTCGGCCTCCCAAAGTGCTGGGATTACAGGTGTGAGCCACTGGACCCAGCCATAATATATTCTTAAAGCACTCTCTGCAGGCCTTCAGTCTCACCATGTTCCATTAGCCAATTCCAGGGATTTTAGTGAGGTGGGATGGAAAACAGGTACCTTGCCCCTAAACAGCAGTATGATTTAAAGTGTAGTTGGGGGATCACCTGTATTAGGATCACCTACTTTACTTGTTTTAAAGCATATTCTCTAGGCCTCAACCCTCACCTATTGAGTCAAAATCTCTGCTGTTAATTGGCGTCTCAGGTGATTTGTATGCATGCAATGTGACAGGCACCTCAAGTCTGGTGATATTCCTGTTCACCTGTGTGTCAGGCATTCTGCTAGGTGGTGAATACACAGTGTTAACAAAGCGGCCATGGTATCCCTAATGTATAGCGCTTATATTTGTTATGAATTCATCTAGCATGAAAATCAAGGTCAATCTGTATTTATACACAGCTTTCATTTTAAGAATATCTACTTCATGATGAATACTGTGTGCAGAAAAATGCATAAAACCCCAGCATTTTTCAAACAAATTGTATGTTTTCTTAAGTAATAAAATTGTAGTAAGGCAATGTTAAAAATAATGGGCATGATACCATACGGGTGCTCAATTGCACTACTCTGAAAAAGATAAGACAAATACTCTTTACTGAATTTCTGGGTAGGTCCATCGTCAGTTATAAAAAAGTTTTTGGATTTAGATAAAAGTCTTTAAAGAAATATTTTTAACAATTTTTAATCTAATGTCCTATATTTCTAAACAGACATATTTTTAAATGGCAGCACTTAAATAAGTGATTTTGGTGTTTTAAACATCAAATGTATGCTATTTTCTTGCTTAAAGTGGAGAAAACAAAACGTGCTCCACTTTGGGTATGGTCAATAGAAGAAATTTTTCAGTTTGTCTCAAGTAGCTTATCTTATCACTATTGGGTATTATTGAACCATGGCTTTTTTCTTTTTTTTCTTTTTGTACCCAGAAATATGCTCCTCTTAATTTTTCACTCTAGAGCTCCAAATGTGTTGGAAATTACTACAGAATGGGAACTATGTTGTTTAGGGGAGTATCAGAAACACTCTAGAAGAGCTTTCTATTGACATAAATAAGAACTAGCTCAACATGCTGTTACATGCTTTAATGTGACCGCATATTGGTGCCACTTCTGCCATTCACTAACTTATAAGACATTCTAAAATGTTAAAAGTAAGTCTAGACTCTGTATTATAATTTTGTTAAACACATTTGATTGAGATTTTTTTCAGTTTTTTTCCAGATATGCTATATTTCAGAATTAATTCTTTAGAATTTCATTTTTTACCCTATTTCCCTCTGAGACTTGAATTATTACCCCAGTTCCCAAAATGTGTTTGATGATCATAATAGAATGCTTTGTGAAAGAAGTACAAAGTGCAGAGTTCTATTTAGAAGTTGAAAGAAATAATGGAAAGGGAAAGCAGCTGGACAGTGTCTTATATGACAAGTCATTTCTGCCAATTAAAATTTCTTGACAGGGTTAAGGAAGGTTAATGTAAAATGTAATGCTATGTGGGTAACATACTTGAAGTAAAATTTCTCAACCATTATATTTCCATTTATTCAATAAATTCAGCATTTCTACTATATGCAAGCATTCAACTGGATATATATAAAAATAAGACTATTCAAGAATTACTTTTTTTCCTTTGCCTTTCTCTTCTCAAGGAATAAATGTTTGAGAAGGAGAGATAACTAACATAGTAACTACAAAATAAGGCAGGATAAGTGTTCTTTCTAAAAAGAGTCAGAGATACTTTATTTTGTGAATTTCTGAAAAGAAAAAAGGGGAAAGGATCAGGGAAGGAACTTGAGTCTCACTTTGAAAGATGAACAGGGTATTGACAGGTGATGGGAAGTCACAAATAAACAAAAGATACAGAGTTGTGAGAATCAGTGGCAGTCCAACTTTGTTGATGAAAAATAAGACCAGAAAAAGACAGGCAACTGTTTTTACTGTGTTAAGTGCATTACAATTCAATCCAATTTAATTTTTAAAAAGATACCTTCATATTATAGAGAAGGGAACTTAGAATTGAAAAAGTTAGTCACTTTGCTCAAAATCACAGAGCTAGTGAGTGGATGAATCTAGATTTAAAGCCATGTCTCAAAGCCAGTATCATTTTTACTACTACACCACCATGCCTGTCAAAATAGGAAGACTCCATAATTTACAGCAAGACGTTTGGGTTTCATTTCATGAACAGTAGAGAACTACTAAAACTTTTAACAGTGTTTTTTCTTTGGGAAAGCAGGAAGCAGTTTATTGGATTCATTGGAATCAGGAGAAAGTAGGCAAAGAGAGAAGAGTTCGTTTAATACTATAATATTCCAAATGCGGTAACAACGGTGTTAGTAATAGAAATGGAAAAAAATCAAATCAGCGTGTAAACTACCCTGTAGGTGGAATCCATAGAAAGTGGTAATTAGATATGGGTTATGAGAGATAACTTTTTTAAAAAGCATTCAAATTTCAAAGCTGAATGGTTTGGAAAATTATGATGCCATTAACTAAAACAGGAAAATCAAGAGGACTGAACTTTTCAGTAAAATATAAATACTTGAGTCACTTTTTCTTAAAAATCTATAACATTTTATAAGTAACTACATTATCAAATTCCTTAGAGAACAGAAACTTTTCTACTTCCATTTCTCAAGAGGAAAGAAAACTTGAGTACAGACTTGAAAAATGAGTCTATAAAATGAGTATGATCTTAGAGCAGAATCTTTGAAGTGGTCCCAGGTCCCAGTGACAATAGATTTCCAATGTCTATTACTTCAGTATTTAGAAAATAGATGACAAGTTTTGAGGCTTTATTTAGTATATTTAAAATTAAAAGAATTGATTAATACATTATATTAGAGAATAGGAATTTTTATAGTCATCAGTTAAATGGTATACTTTTGGAAAGCGTTCATAATGATATAAAAAACAATTAAATGAATCTAATCATTTTTGTGCTAATTTTAGCACAAGTTAAACATTTAATTAATGTTAGAAAAATTAAGCCTTTACTGATGTTATTTATCTTTCGTTAGGCATCACTTTCTTGATTGATAATATTTTTTCCCCAAAAGCACAATATTCACTTTATAGCAAGATTGTTGTTGGGGAGATCAAATGACATAAAACATGTAAAAATTCTCTGAAAACTTAGTGAAAGGTGCTGAGGTAGGGCTTCAGCTTGATAAGATGGACAAGTGAAGGTATTTATAATCACTAACATAAATTATTGATATGAGTAGGATCTTAGAGCAGGAATTTTGAAGTGGTCCTCAAGTACCAATGACAATAGATTTTGAATGTATATTTATTCATTTATACTGAATTAATATACTCTGGAGAAAAAGAACCCCCCCACGTGCCAAATAGTACATTTAAATAGTCATAATCCACAAATAAGCTATTACTTGGCTTTGAGTCATCTTTAAAGGTCACTTAAACTCATAAACATGCACGTCCAGCATAGTTAACTTGTGTTTCTAATTAATTCTCATTTAAAGGTTTTGGTTTTATTTGGATTATTTTTCATCCAAGATTTTCCTGTTCCCTCTTTACCAATTTAAGATTCAACACACTTTTGCATTTTAAGATAATACTCACTAGAAGAAACTCTTTAAGAACAGGATGACTAAAAATTGCTTTTTACCATTGCCAAGCTCTTGTCTTTATAGAAATCAGAGGGAACTTTATGTTCCCATATTTTCTGACTTTCATACAAATGGGAATCTAATACTTCAGAAAACAAAACTCAAAATCAACTTCATAATAATGTTTCCTAAAAGCAATAGGATTAGTTACAGTTGTGGATATTTCTGAAGTTCCTAAAATCCTGTCTTTTAGAAATTTATTCTATAAATTCAATTTATAAACAAAAAATAAGTCTTGCAGATGAATTCAAAGTATTTCCCCCCTGCACCAGTATTTTGTCTATTTTTTCTAGACTGACCAACATCTACTACTCTATTTAGTAATTATTTTTTACGAGACTAGTTGATAAAAATGACCACTGCTTATAAAAATATTGATCTGCTATCCAGAACAATAAAGCAATTCGTTTGATTGTCCTTCATTTCTATTAAAAAACACACAAAATCTACTGTCATATAACTAATACTCAACTAATATATCTTCCTTCTCTAGTGATATAAATACAAACATTACTGAATATCTTCTGAGTTTCCCAGAAAGTTTCAAAATGCTTTGAATCTTTGTCCAGGAGAAAGAGTGTGCGTGTATGTTTCTCACACCACATTGTAATTGATGTGCAGATGTCAGCTGTCCTGGCCAGAGGAGGAGAGATTTGTACATTTGACTACTTTCAAACATGGAGGAGTAGGCTCCCAATAGGTTCTCTGCATTAGGTGCTTTCTAGGGGAGCAGCACACCATGTGATGCCTACAACAAATTCAAAAACTCTCTTAGAATCAGAACACCTGTAATTAGTATGTTTATTCCATGAATTTTCTGAACCTCCTAGTCCATGTGTTGTACATTTTTGCAGTGCTGTTTTCTTTCTTTTCTTTTTTTTGAGATATAAGAGTGAAAAGAGATTTTTTAAATGAACCTGCATTTCAGCATTGTGTTAAGTGCTTTTCTTTTCCCATCCTCTATCTTTATCTTAATTATTTTAAAGTCCTCTTGTTTTATCTCTTCAATATTTTGCAAATATTGCTTTTATGTAAATTTATAGAGTTTGAGGAATAATTAAAACTAGTATTTCTATAGTTCTCTACACTATTATTTTATGCTTTCAAAAATGACTGTACACATTTTCAGGGGCCAAAACCAGGCTATAGTTCATGACATAAGCTGTGCTTGAGACTTGTAGCTGGTGGTGTGCTGGAGATGGCTCATCCCGGCTCCTGTGTGCATCTCTTTCCAACTCCACATTCATCTCTTCCCAATACCATGTTGGTATCTTGACATGGGCATAAAACTGGCCATGGTGGAGGTATTTACACAATGTAAATGGGCAAATGCCACACATTAGAGACATTTCTTTTCTTCTGGAGAGTCTGTTCTTAAATATTTTTATCCACCCACACACTGTCTGTAGACGAAATTTCCACAGCTATCACTTTCTTCCCTTGACACCACACCTCACCACTGCCTAGTTTGTCTCTACCAACAACAAACTTTATGTTTTTGTTAGCACTGTGACAACCTGTGCAAGGAATGTCAAGCCAGAGCATCAGGTATCATGGAAGAGGCAAGCCCCAAGAGAGGAAGAAAAGTGATACTATTTTTCCTAGTACCTGCCAAAGTTACTTCTGAAGCCTTAAAAAAAAAGTCCAAAAAACTCAGTGCCCCTAGAAGTAGGTAAGCTGCACAATTACTTACATAGTACATAAGTACTGATCCACCCACAGATAACAATATGTTGAGACAAACATATAGCCATGCTTATGGAAGGTGAAGTTTGATTTTAGTGGAATGACATATAATTTACTTAAGTGTTTTAGTTGTGTAGTGGGTGTCCATATATGATCTCTGATTCCACTGCAAAGTCTGAATGCATGTGCTCAAATTAGCTCAAATTCTAAATCTGTGGTACCAGGATTCTTTTTGAAGGACTATGTTTTTACTACTTATATTTTGACATTTCTTCACAGTTCAGGCGATCATTACCAAATATTCGAGGTGGGAGTACTGGCCAATCCCAAAAATGTTCTAGCAACAGCCAAGTCAGAAAACAAATATTTTAACCCACACACATTGTATTCATTATAGTCTGAAAAAAATAGGACTCTTGATACCAGTCATGTATATAATAATTAAACAATCTAAAACCCCTCTGGCACTTATAAAAACTGTGCAGCTTCTTTGTTTTGGCAATATGATTTTCTGTCCTTAGCAGAGACATATTAGAGGGCAAAGCTTTGTGTGTGAGGCAGATATCAAAGAAGAACATTGTTTGTTTGATTATGTTTTGTTTTGTCTTTTTCAGAATGCATTTGGTTTGTTTTTAATTTTTCTTTCTTAAAGGAATACTGTCCAAGCCAAATTCCACTATGTCAAAGCTCAGTGTTGATAGCTGGCATCCATGTAGACCATAAAGAATGAGTGATATTCATCTTGTGGGGCCAGCCTTCCCCTGAAAATACTACCCTTCATCCCACCTCTGCCATTTTTCTTAGTCTATTTCCTTCTAGTATGTTTCTCCCTGACTTAAATATCTCTTCCATCCTGATGAACTTCTTCTTCCTATCTGTTGAAGTCCTCCTCGACTAGACTAGTGACAGATCTTTTCTCTTCCTTACTACTTTGCCACTTAGAGTCTTCCTTGTCATTTGGGCTAATTGCAGGTCTCATTATCTCAAAAGGCAATTAGTTCCTCAAAGATAGAGAGCTAACAATTTATTTTTTGTATTCCCTGTAAAAATCCATGCACAATGTTAGATACTGAGTAGGTATACAGTCAATAACTCTGCTTCATTTTATGCAGATTTGAAAAACATTAAATACATATTCCTTGGCCATCATCCAAACTATAAAAAGAGGAGTGGCTTATCTGACATCATGTCTATTTTTCAATGCAGACTTTAGCTAATCTGAGAAACTGCATATTTCATGCTCTATACTTCTCCTACTTACTGCTAGATGTCTTGTCTATCTCTTTGAAAGAGCCACGTACTTCTGTTTAATTTAGGCATATGAAGTTAATCCCTGCAAATACTGGCTAGAATAAGTTGTACACTATGTATTCAGATAGTGCAGGTACAATATGTACATTCTCAAAGCATCAAAAAGAATAAGAGCAATCCTTATTTTTTTGAGGAAAAATTTTTATACTCCATTAAAACTTAAAGAGATACCATGTGAAATTCAAGTTGAATTTTCTTATGCTAATTATGGTACTGATTTAATTTCAAATTAAACAACTGCAAGCTCTCTATCTACATATGGTTACTAGGGTAACCTCATTTATCTAATACACATAGCTTTAAGACTGATTATTGCCCAGGGGCAGTGGCTCTGTAATCCTAGCACTTTGGGAGGCCGAAGCAGGCAGATTACTTGAGGTAAGGAGTTCGAGACCAGCCTGGCCAACATGGCAAAATCCCATCTCTACTAAAAATACAAAAATTAGTCAGAAATTGCTTGAACCTGGCAGGTGGCGGTTGCAGTGAGCTGAGATCGTGCCACTGTACTCCAGCCTGGGTGACAGAGTGAGACTCCATCTCAAAAAAAAAATTGTATTTAAAGGCAGTATGAGAGCATGGTGAAAGGAGAAATGTGTGAGGATCTGGGATGACTTAGGAGGATCTGGGATGAAAAAAAGATTGATTATTGCTTTTTTGTACTTTAATCATATATGAGTACACTGAAAGTGGTCTCATTATTTAAAATATCTTGTAGAAAATAATTTCTAAACATGTATTTTGCAAGATAAATAGTAAGCTCCTAACATATATTTACTAAATTTAGAAATTTTCGGATGATATTTCTTAATCACAATGCTTTTTCCCCTTGTACTCACTAGAGAGCTGGCCTTAGTCCAGAAGTATTTTTAGTCCAGTCTCATAATTCTCTTTTCCAGCATGGGCAAATATAATTTCTAACATAATTTGTTAAAAAGTCTCTACTGATTCTATTTTAACTTTGTATCTTTCATTCATTGTGCATGATCCACTTTCGTTGGCACAGAACTGGAAAGTATAGAGTAGGGAGGTAAGGGTAGGCTACAGTAACTCTTACCAAGAAGAGGAAAGCTAACTCACTGTTGCTCACAGATTCTATGACTGCTCTTCCTTCCTCTTTCTCTCATTCAATTTATTTTACTTCCAATTAAGTTAAAATACAACTTTGAAAGATAAGATATGATATATCAGATTATGAAAGCAGCTTAGACTAGTGAAGACTTTGGCATGTATAGAAAGGATGACTGTATTCTGAAAGATTATTGATAAATTATAAACGATATTACATTCAAAATAAATAAATACATTTTATTCTCTAGGTCCTAAGGCACTTTATACATTCAATTTTGGCAGAATGGAACTGTGTCATGATAAATATAGCATTATTGGATTCTCTAAATATCAACAATACTTTGAGGTCTTTAAAGAGTTTGTGTCTTAAATCACTCAAAATAGATTCAGGATCTATATGAACCATTTATGGAAATATAACCTGTTTGAAGAAACAAGTTCACTCTCTCCCAATCCTGACGATTCTTGCCCTGGAGTAGGCCTCCATCAGCTCCTGCTTAGATCAGTACTACAATCTCTTCACTGGTCTTGCCTCTTGCCAATTTATCTCCCACACTGCTGCTAGAAGTATTTTTCTAAACTTTTCAGTGGCTTACCATCCTCTACAGAATAAAAATTCAAATTCGGCCAGGCACAGTGGCTCACACCTGTAATCCCAGCACTCTGGGAGGCTGAGGTGGGTGGATCACCTGAAATCAGGGGTTCAAGACCAGCCTGGCCAACATAGTGAAACCCCACTTCTACTAAAAATACAAAAATTACCTGGGTGTGGTGATGGGCGCCTGTAATCCCAGCTACTTGGGAGGCCGCAGGAGAATCACTGGAACCCGGAAGGCAGAGGTTTCAGTGAGCTGAGATTGTGCCACTGCACTCCAGCCTAGGCGACACAGTGAGATTCCGTCTCAAAAAAAAAAAAAAAATATCCAAACTCAACTAGCTGCATAAGTTCTTAATGGTCTAGCCCTGCCTATATTTCTTATTTCTTTTCCTGGAAGTTCGCTGTGTATAAGTTGCAAGCACACCAAGTTAACCCCCAAATGCCACAGTGTTTTATGCTTCTGTGCCTTTCTCACACAGTTCCTTCTGTCTGATTTTCTGTTTCACTACTATGCTGCTACAAAGTACTTATAATGTTTATGGAATAGATTCTGAGGAAAGGCAAGGCAGCTTCTGTAAGGGGAAAATTGTAAGTATTTGCTAACGCTCTTATAAGCACAGAAATATCGTTTTTTAGACTACTTCAAACTGATTTGATGTGGCTCAACAAACAAGGTTTTTGTTTGTTTTTTGTTTGTTTGCTTTAGAGTTACTATTTTTATCCTAGGATAAAGCTGATCTTTTTCATTGGCGGAGGTGAGACACTTTTTAAAACCTGGCTTTGAATAAGTTGTGATTTTTTTTTCCATCCCCAAACACCTGCTGTATGGACAATAATTCTATTAGTTTCATTGGCTAACTACTGTGATAAGCCTCATGAAGGATGGGTTAGGCAGGGGATGGATTTTCTAAACGAGGGTGTAGGGAGGGTAGGTAATCAGAATCTCCACAGAGTATGTGTAGATTTAAAAAGCGGTGATTCTGACACTTTATTTCCCGAAGGATATTTTTTGCCCAACAATTTCTGCCCCCACCTCTAGTCTATCATGTTGAGAATCACTGGTTCTTAAAAGAGAAACAGAAAAGGAATTAGTTTGAATTAATATT
This sequence comes from Homo sapiens, assembly GCF_000001405.40. NCBI lineage: Eukaryota > Metazoa > Chordata > Mammalia > Primates > Hominidae > Homo > Homo sapiens. The sequence continues at coordinate 49,464,351 of NC_000015.10, forward strand.
TTAAATAAAAATGTGTTAACAGTGAGATTCCTCTAAAATGATCCAACTTAGTTGACATTTTTATAAATGATCTAAAAGTATGTACGTGTAGTGAAAATTCTAAGTTTGTAGGTTGGGCTAACATCTCTAAATTCATGAACTAAGCTAATGATGATAAAATGCTGGAAGACAGAACATTTATATATAGGTAGGCAAAAAACTGGCAGATGACTTTTAATGTATTGAATTTTGTAATAAAATTTAAATTATACAAGATAAAAGTCACTGAATAATGATTTTCTTGCAAAAATGACACCAATAAATCATTTCAGATGTTCCCATAAAAATGTTATCTTAATGTGCAGTGGTCCCAAATGACCAATAAAGTAATGGACACTATCAGGAAGAATGTAAGACACAAAACAGAACACATAGTATCTCCGTGTAAACAGTGTGGTGCATCTACATCTGGAAGACAGATGCCATTCTCCTTGCTTAGCGTTAATAAAAACTATACAGTACAATGGAAGCATCCTGCAATTAGAATGAATAAATGAATAACGTAAGACATACATGACATACCTAAAAAACATTTTGGCTATCATCTAGAATAATAAATGTTTATTAAGGTGATAATAAACACCTTAACTAGTTTCTAATTAAGAAACTATAATGTTATAAATGTCTAGTTAAGAAACTATAATGGACTGTATTCAATGTATATAAAATCATAATATGGATAAGAACAGAGGCTTGGATAACTCATGAAATATTAGAAGTAGAATGTCCTTCTTAATTTTATTTTTATTTTATTTTTTGAGATGGAGTCTCGCACTGTTGCTCAGGCTAGAGTGCAGTAACACGATCTCAACTCACTGCAACCTCTGCCTCCTAGGTTAAAGCGATTCTCCTGCCTCAGCCTCCCAAGTAGGTGGGATTACAGGCACCTGCCACCATGTCTGGCTTTTCTTTTTCTTTTTTTTTTTTTTGGTAGAGATGGGTTTCACCATGTTGGCCAGGCTGCTCGAACTCCTGAGCTCAAGTGATCTGCCCACCTCGGCCTCCCAAAGTGCTGGGATTACAGGCGTGAGCCACCATGCCCGGCCTACTTCTTAAAGTGTTAATGTGTTAGGAGCAAGATAGATAAATAGATATGCTATCTTACAGAGTACATAGAAAACATATGTAAGTTGTTACCCATAATATGAGTGTTGCATGTTGAAAATATAAATAGATTCAAGAGAGATTTAGCCAAAACCAAAAAAGAGAGACCTATAATTGATTGAAAAACCAGAGATATTTGGGGTTCTCTCAACTTTTTTGAGTTGGCATCATAAAATACAATCTGAGATAAAGTATTATTTAAATTAACCAAGGAATTTTGTGCTTATTTAATTAAACTCCAAAATGTAATGAAAATTAGAAGGAAATTTAGCAAATACTTTTGTTATTCAATCTAACCTTAGTTTTTCGACATTTAGTATGATTAGAAAACTTGTTAATTCTTTAATCTTGGAATAATAACAATCATATGCCAACTTATAATTTGACACACTACTTAATATGGTGTTTTTGTCATTTATTGAGGGTGTGTCAAATACAAATCCCTGTACCAAGTACTGGGGGTTAGCTGAAGCATAAGATAGTCTCTTCAAATAGTCTACAACCTAGATTTAAAAACAGGCAAAATTTATAAATAACAAGAGAACAATAGAGGTGGGTGCTAATTAATAGTACAGCAGTATGTTCTTAAAGTAAAATAGATGACAACAGATTAGGAAACTACTAATCACTATGGAGAAACTGGAATTTCAATTTGGGTACTCAGGTAGGTGGAAGCTGTTAAAATACTAATTATCAAGCTTCACCTCAGACCTGTTGGATCAGACTTTCTGAGGAACGGGAACTGGAAACCTGAAAATCTTTTAGAGTTCATCTTGTGATTCCATGCAATCAGTCCATGAGGCAATATTTGGGAAGTACTTGAGTAGAGCATTCTATGTAATTCCAGGAACTGGTAGGCAGAGCAGGTAGAGACTGACATTTTGCATGGGAGAGGAAGACAATTAGTAAATCTGTTTGAAGTCAAAGGATCTTCTAAGTTGTAGAAGAAAAATGGGAGAAAATTATGTAGGCTGGAGTCAGATTTTGGAGAGCTTTGGATAGTAAATAAAAGAGGTTTTTGTTTGCTTTTGTTTTTAATAGAGTATACCACTGAAACTTTTGAAGCAGAAGAGTAACCTTTATAACATATATCTTATGAATACATAAAGGGTTAAAGTCAGAAGGGCTGGAGGCAAAGGTCTAGCTAAGAAACTATAATAATAGTTGAGGCACAAGAAAATGAAGGCCTGGACTAATGTGATGGCAATGGAAACAGAAGAGAACGGCTGGATATACATTGGTAATATAGAGAGGAAACATAATTGTTTCTGGTAAGAGCTTGGGGGTCTTTAACCCTTTTTAAATTTTTTAATTATCTTTTTAAGTAAACTCAGATGTTTTTATTTCTGCCTCTTTTTCCTTTCACTTTCATTTCTGTGAAAAAATATTAACTACTCCACATAAGAATTCCTTGTTTAGACTGCTAGCAAAGAGCATATGCTTTAAAAGTGCTAAGAAAGCCAATGACCAAAATGACTTTAAATCGTGCTTTAATTTTTCCATGCTGATGACCAGCATGATTTGAAACCAAAATGTTTAGAATTATCTTATGCCTGGGTAGCAGAACATTTAGACACAAGTTAAAGAGGGAGGGAAGAAAGATTACATTATATATCTACTGGATGGTAAGTTTCACGGAGTATATTAGTATTTAAAATAAAGGGAGAAAGTGGATGTGTAGTTTATCATCTAAGCTGCTGTCTCTGAATTAGATAAAGTGTAGCATAACATGCTTTGTGACTCCTAGAGGTAGCTATGAACAAAACGTTAATGAAAGTTTCTATAACTTCTTTTTCTGACCATTTTCCCCCTTCAATTTCACTCTTAGTGCCCTTGTGATCACTTTCTTCTAGCCCCATCAAATTCTGCTCTCAGAGAAGGTATAGTCACTTATACACAGTATAAATTTATGCATAGGTGTTAACTCCTCCCTGGTACATTTGTATTTTGAAACTTACCTCTCATCCTATGTAATGAAAATCTGGTTTCCTGCTGAAGATATTTTAGACTTTAGGAAAATCCAGAAAATGGAAGAGATTTTCTAGATGGTGGGAAGAGATTGCTTCAACTATTTCCATTTCATATAAAAATCTGATACTTTCTCACATGTTCTGGGACTATAATATCCACACCTATTCTGATAATTTTGGAGCCATTTTTAAAAAAACACAGTGTTGTATTTAGCAGATGTAAATAGTCTACATTGTCAGACAAATAATTCTTTCTGTATAAAAGTTTAGAATCTTTAGTGATTAGAGAGTAAACAAAGAGTATTTCCTCCTGTCTGATTCAGGGAATATATCTTCTCTGGCCCAAAGGAGAAAGGTGGGTCCCTTGCATTCCTGAGAGGCCATAAATGATAAGGAAAACGATCAGTAAATTGGTATAGAAATATAAGTCTGTGCAATACAGTTCAATGATGTTCCCATGACATTCTTCAGTAATATGCTACTGGATAAATATCACACTGTATATTGCACAACCGAATAGTTTGCTTCAAATTCTGATATAGTTCTAACGCTGCTGAAACAAGCTGCTGCAACTTAAATTCTTTCAAAAGAAAGTATTGCTATAATTGTACCACATGCTGATGTACTTTCTAAAGATTTTCTAATGTTTTATTTTCTTAATAAATCCCTGAATGAATGACATAATTATTTTTGGTTAACCAGACATGTCATTTAAATGGTTTTTGACATCATTATAAAATATATATGGGATTAATAAGAAGTATGTTTGATTTATTCCCTAATAATGAGGATGATGTGGAATCAGTTCTCTTGTTGCAGGACATTTCAGTTATACTTGATACCAGCAATTATGCAATCATGTGGAACTATTTTGAATTTCATGCTAATTTGAGGGGAATTATACTTTCTGGGTTTCAGTAATAATTTATCTACTTGTGTTTCTTTCTTGCAGGCTTCAATTAGTTTTCTAATTTCTTTTAGTGTATTCCAAGGTTCTGACTTAAATCTGTTATTTAACAGCTACAGGGCATGCTTTCTTAGGGTAAAGTGATCCAACGACAAGATTAGTATTATCAACCATATGTATCATTGTGTTTTTTTACAATAGTGGACTTCAGGGTTCATGGGAAAAGAGAAAAACCTGGAAGCAGGTTCTGTATCCAGCCTGCTGGAGGTCACTACCTCCACAGAGTCCTTTGTGTTGCCCCTTCAAAGTGAAAGTCAATAAAGAAATGTGGAGAAAGTGAACTCAATTCTTTCCTAACTCAAACATTGAATCATTCCCTCCAGGCAGCAAAGCCAACATGTGCACAGCATATCCAGTTAATGGTCCTATCCCAATACTAGCACTGACAAAAGAGGTTTGTCTTCCGTGTTAAGCAGTCACTCTGCTTAACTGATGGAACAAGTTTATTTCAACTTCAGTGCTCATAATTTGGGCTTTTTCTATTTCACTGTCACTTTTGAAAAAGTCAATTTTGAATAACATGCATACATTACTAAAGGTCATTTGCTTATGTTTCAGGTTGACACCTTAAAAAAATACAGCTACATGTTTTATGTATATGTATATATCTTACATGATTTTGACTTGGTTCATGATGGAGGTAACTTATACAAGTTGTTTACAAGAAAATAAATGACTCATAAAACATCTGTAAAATAAATGTAAGACTGAATGAAATAAATGTAAAATGGTACTTGAGTCATTTATTTTCTTATAAGACATTTGTCTATAACAGTTGATATAAAATTATATTACTCTGTTTTCAAACATATTTTCTTTTAGAGAAACATTTCTTGGTTAGAGATAATTATACCACTTATCGAATACTGTCTATACAGAAAACTGCTGTTTATTCCAGGGATACTCTTAAAATTAAATTAAATTTAATTCTATTTCTACTTGAAGGATATGGAGCATTACAATTATATTTAATTTTAATACATTATATGTGATTTATAAGCACTATCTTTACTTCATTCTGAAATCTCAGACCAACAAATCACTTGGCTTTTCATGGCACAATTTTTACTCCCTTTCTTAGAGTCAGAACAAGAAAAATTTATTTCTGTAGTCAAGGCCAAAACAGTGGCTTATGAATTAAATTATTAGGTGTTGCTTCAATAAAGTATTGAATTGAAATAATTCAATAAAGTATTTACTTAAATTCCTTGATTTTACTATAAGGCAGACAAAAAGTAGCCAAGGAACTTCATTTGCAAGAACTAATTAGCAGTTGTCAGAGAATGAAATAATCTTCATTATCAAGACACTGGTTACAACTAAGTTATGCCTTTAAAAGTGATTGATAATAGCAGTAATGAGATTGAGAAGCTACTGGCTGAAACATATTGTCATTATCTTTCAATTTTTTACGACTCTAAGAAGTCATAATGATAAGCAAACTCAAAATGAGAAATGGTGATAAAGAGAATGGAGAAAATGTAAATCCACATCAAACCAAAGAATTCTCACCTTCACAGTACAATTAAGAGTTTAATGATTCCATCTTTTCATTAGAGGATGGCATTAAATAGAAATGGTAGCTATGCTTTAACATATTTCTTAATTCTCTGGTAAAATTTAAGCCCTGCATACAACCATAATCAAAATGGGACATTCTAATGTTGCTCCATCTTTTGAAGACCACGGTATTATGATCAAAGCGTGGAAAATGATGGAATTCTAAAATGTTACTGTAGATTGTAAATTAAAGAGGAAGACAGGGATAGAAAAACCACATGTGAGAATACTTTAAGTGGCACCTTATAATTCTTTAACACTGGGAACACTGAGTACATATTAAATATTTTTAAAATTAAAACACTATCATTATCACTATATTTTAAAAAGTCAGATATGAAATTTTTTGGTGCTGAGCAAATTTCTTTTTTATTACCAATAAGCAATTCTGTTGATCCTACATATCTAGTACAGCTACAATTTCACTGTGGATCTAGATCACAAAGTGATTTTCTTATGCCAAATTTAGGACAAGTATATACAAAACCACTATCACTTCAAACTTAATATCTTCATAAAAACTCCAACACATTATCACTCCCACCTAGTAAAAATAGCATCCCCTTAACTTTTATGATACCTTAATTCTCAAAATGACCTGTGTTTGAAATGATATTTGACTTCTCTAACTTCTTTTGCTTTAGCCTCAACATCCATTGGGCCTGGAAGTTGAAAAAATGGGCATAGCAAGAGGAATGTGTAAATGTGATAGAAATAATTTGGATCATTGCTGTTAAGTATAAATGAGTATTTGTGATCTATCATATTTGCTGAAGTTTGACATTAAGGTGGTACATTCCAGTATTATGTATCACTTTCTAGAAGATCAATGAAGTAGAAATGCAGTGACAAGGGTGTCATCTAGAAAGAATGAAAAGAAATACATCCAAGAACTCAAACAGCTTGCTGGGAGAAATTCCAGGATGTAAGGACACCAAGGGAACTACTGCAGCCCACCTGGAACATATTTGTTGTGTTTGTTCCACATCTTGTGCCTGAGATGGTTACCAATTCATGTATAATATAAACTGTTTTTCTTGAGTAGATGTGAAAGTGAAAAGTCTTGTTGATACTCTTTTCTATGCTACAGCTTATTAGAAAAGATAAGTACTTTTAAAGGGAGTAGAAAAACTAATTCAGAAAGGAAGCCAAGAAGAAAAATTCTAAAGAGGCTAGGGAATCCAAACCATCATTAAGAATATGGCAAATGTGAGGCCGGATACAGTGACTCGTGCCTGTAATCCCAGCACTTTGGGAGGCCGAGGTGGGTGGATCACCTAGGTCAGGAGTTCGAGACTAGCCTGGCTAACATGGCAAAACCCCTCCTCTACTAAAAATACAAAAATTAGCTGGTGTGGTGGCACAACCTGTAATTACAGCTACTCAGGAGGCTGAAGGAGGAGAATTGCTTGAACCTGAGAGGCGGAGGTTGTAGTGCACCTAGATGGCGCCACTGCACTATAGCCTGAGCTACAGAGTGAGACTCTATCTCAAAATAATAATAATAATAATAATAATAATAATAATAATAATAATAATAATATGGCAAATGTAATGAATTTATATACAGAAGAAAGATGACAGATATGTAGAGTACTGAACATAGTTAAGTAATCAATGACTTGTTTTATTCAAAAATGGAAAGTTATGATTTTCTAATCAAGAATGGCGAATCTGGTCTTTTTGAGAGTGACAACAGCATCTCATGCTTTATGTAACAATAATGAGCATCCAGAAAAGCTAGCTGACATTAGGTAATTTCTTGGCTAGGAAGCAGCTGAACACAGGTTTGACAGTTTGCTGAGTGGGGAGCTGTGGTCTTCCTGACACGTGTATCAAGATCTAAAGGGCAGCCAGAAAAGACGTATCAAGCTAACTAAATGCTGACACATGCAGGAATAAATGACAGCACCGGAAGAAACTTGGAATCCCTCGTGACAGTGAAGTTCTGGATAAGAAAGTGAAAGACATGACAGCACAGGTGTTGTTTTCATTTTTTCTTCTAGTTTTATCTCATGACTTTAGAAGTGAAAAAAAAAAAAAAGCTGTGAAAGTAAACACCTGGCCATTAACAACAGTGTTGAAAATAAGACTTGTCTTTCTGGCTGTTAGCTTAGAATAACTGAAAAAATAGGCTCCTGGAGTTTTATGTACATTTTATGAAGAACGCATTTGAAGTAAAGTGAAATTGGGGTGCATTAGTTAAGATTCAGTTTGGCTTAAAAAATTGTTTATTTCTCCATGCAATAAACATCTGGAGGAGTGACAACTCTGCTCCACAAAAACATCTGGAAGTTTCCAAGTCCATTTAGCTCACCGTTCCATAATCTCTTTGTTCTCATAACCCAAGGTAGAATCCAAATTCCAGCAGGAAGGTGGAATAAAGTGATTAAAAGTGAGCATAAAGGGCTTCTGCTGGGTACCTTTTATGGAAGACTTTTGGAAGTTGCCATAGGACACTTCAGTTAAATCGCATCAGCTAAAACTTGGTCACATGGCCACATTAAGCTGCAAAAAAGACTGGGAAATGGAAAGTTTATTTTGTGCAGTCAGCTAAAAATTCTATTGCTATGGAAAAAGGAGAGAATAAAAGTTGGGAACAATTAAAAGTCTTTGCTCAGAAAGTTGGGGAGAAAAATGCGTACATATGATTGAAGGAATGAACATCACAATGAATGACATTATACTGTCATAAGCTTGAAGACTTAAGGGGCAAAGATATGACAAGAAGAGAATAGAAAGCTTATTATGCCTCATAAGAAAAGGGCTAGAATCAAAACGTGTAACTTCAAATGGGTAGAAAAAAAGCACAGATGTAATGATAAATAGTAGATGGAAAAGTTACATGACATTACAGATGAAGACATTTCCCAAATTTGCTAATGACAAATAAGAGAAAGGAGTATCTAATTTTTTGGGTACCATACATTTTAATATACTCATGTATCAGTTATTTGTGATTTATTCCATGCCAAATTATAAACAGAATTAAAGTGGCTGAATTAAAACTCACCATTTCTTAAGCAATTGTATGTGGACCACTCATGTTTCCAAAGGTACTTGGGGGATTAATTTAACTAAAGGCATACTGTAATCTTTTTTCAACTGAATATTTTTTAAAAACATTTTTGTATTTTTTCAATTTAGAAAAGAATGGTTTGAGTGCCTCCACAAACATATCAAATATGAATGCCAGGAATTTAGAAAGATGAGACAGATTTACTCACAGTTTAGTTAACTCATCCTTTTGTCATTTAATGAAGTCATGATGATGTTCACTATTATATAAATAAGTTCATTCATTGTCATATGCTGCTAAATTTATAACCTTAACAAACCATTGGTTAACAAGAGAAAGTATAAAGAACATTGAGTTAAATATAAGTTATTAGAAGCATAAAATAACTCCAAAATTCGCTTTTATTTTTTAAATTGATGTATATTTGACAATTTACAGTTAACTTTTAGATAATTTTCTTCAGATCACTACAGTCCTAGTGCCAAGAATGGGTCTGGCAATAAACACTCAGTAAATACTTGTTAAATAACTTGTATGTTACAGAAAATATTGTGACAATCATATTGGAGTTGGTCTCACGTTTTGGAGGGGTATAATGACTCTCTACCCCAGCAATATTTTATTTATGGAGCACTATTTACAAATAGAAGAATAAAACTATTTCTCTTATTTCAACATTTGGAAACCAAAGAAATTGTAAAAATAAGTGAGCTAATTTTTTTAAAGCATAGAAAGAATTTTAATGATTAGATTCCAAAACTAGATTTTGTCATCTTTGATGTTATAACATTTATATTTCAACATATATTTATTTAACTCACTTTTAATTCTACACATGCTGTATGAGGTCATTTTAAAATGTATTTTTTCAAAAATCATGAGGTTTTTAAAAACATAATTAATGTAAAGAAAATGAGGAACATTCATCATTTGTTGCAGGGGAACAGTTGACATTTGCCTTTATATATAATACATATTTAAACAAACTTTATAATATAACCTTGAAAAATATACTAACCTAAAACAAAATGTATTTTTGATAGGCGAACTTTTTATTATATTCAAACTCTAAAATAATGACAGGATTTAAAATATTTTTAAGGAGATGGTGAGATTGTATTACTGTAAAATACATTTATGGTCTATATCAAGGAAAATAATGAACACTATTCTGTCTTAGGCTATCTATATCAGCCCAGTTCTTGCTGAGATACTTATTTTTAGTAAATAATGTAGCTGGTAAAGAGTCTGGAATTCATACCGTATGAGAAAGGGCCAAAGAAACTAAGGATAATGGGAAGCATGATCAATGTCTTCACCTCTTTCAAGGGCTGTTATGTGGAAATGGTATTGATTTATTCTGCATAGCTTCAGAGGATATATTCACGTATAATTGGTAACACAATCAGAGCTACTTGTAAATGTAATGAACCACCTGAAAACTGGTAACCTACAATAAATTAATGAGATTATATAGCTGACAGACAGGTAAATCAATGGGACAAAACAGTCAATAAAAGGTAAAAGAGAGGCATCAGTAAAAAAAGGAATAGAATGTTTAATAAATAATGTTGAAAATACTAGATAGCTATTTCAAGGAATAAAATATCAGTTTTCGGCAGGAGCCCCCAACCCCTGGGCTGGGGACCGGTACTGGTCCATGGCCTGTTAGGAACTAGGCGGCAGAGCAGGAGATGAGCTGCGGGTGAGCAAGCATTCCACCTCCTGTCAGATTAGCTGTGGCATTAGAATCTCATAGGAGCGTGAACCCTATTGTGAACTGCATATGCCAGGGATCTAGGTTGCGTGCTCCGTACGAAAATCTCACTAATGCCTGACGATTTGAAGTGGAACAGTTTCATCCTGAACCTCCCCCCGGCTCCCGTCCCCTGACTGTTGGTTTAGAGTATCATCTCACACCATACCCCAGAATTAATTCCAGATGAATTTAAGATAATTTGAATTTATATTTAAAATTCAAACTATAAAAGATAGAATAAACTATATTTCAGACAATGGTATGGAAAACATACTTTTAAGCATAGATACAATATAATAAATTATCACAAAAGATCTATAGAATTGGTTACACAAAAATTGATCAGTTTGATTAATTTTTTCACCCTGCACTCCGGTAGTGTATGATTAGTGAAACATGAGAATTAGGAATAGAACAAGGAGTGTGAAGTGAGCCAAACAGTGCATAAAATAAAGTGTTACTGAAAGAACTCTTGGATTTGGCAATTAGGAGTTTATTCATGAGTTTGAAGAGAGAACGCCAATAAAGAGATTAGAAGTTAGGATGCAAAAGTTAAATTGAAGAAAAATGAGCAGATTCTGGCTACGTGTTCAAGAAAGTTGGTGCTAGTGAAAAGGAACCAGGGTAGTCCTTTGAAAAGATTTCAGAGTTAAGGGCAGGGACATTTTATTCATTTGACCTATAGGCACAGAGATGGGAGCCTGTGAAAATTTCAAAGGCTTGCAAATGTATTTAAACTTTAATATTAAGATAGTGACAGTAAAATTTGAAAATAAAATATACAGATTAGCAGATATTTAACAAATAAAATATTATGCTAACTTTATTATTTATTAAATTTATTAATTTTTTCATAACATCTAAAAACAATTTGATATTTTTTTTACTTTGTAACAATTCCCAAGAATGTACACAATTTGCAGAAAATTTACAGCTGGGGCGGGCACGGTGGCTTATACTTGTAATCCCAACCCTTTGGGAGGCTGAGGCAGGTGAATCACCTGAGGTCAGGAGTTTGAGACCAGCCTGGCCAACATGGCAAAACCGGGTCTCTACTAAAATTACAAAAATTAGGCGGTCGTGGTGGCGCATGCCTGTAATTGCAGCTACAAGGGAGGCTGAGGAACAAGAATTGCTTGATCCTGGGAGGTTCAAGACCCTTGACAATTTGGCCCTAACTCTTTTTCCACCCTCTCACTATTTTGTTACACTTCCTATTCCAGACATACAGCTCTAGTTTCAATCTTCTGAACATGACTTTTGAATCTTTGCTTCCATGGCCTTGCACATAGTACTTTTATCTCTCAATTAGCATGTTTCCATCTTTTCTACCTATGTCAACTCTATTCATCCATCAAGATCTAATTCAAGCTCTATCTATTCCTCAAATCCTCCGTTGACCACTTGACCACTTCTTTCTTCTGAATTCCTATTTATTTTGCTGTTTTGTTTTTTTGTTTTTGGTTTTTTTTTTTTTGCATTTGGCATATACTGCCAGGTATCACTTATTTTATTTTTTCTGTGGAAAAAGAAAATACTAACTGAATTTTTGTATATATTTATTAATATCCAGATAGGATATCATAATTAAAGTAATCAGATCAAGTTTCTAAAATATTACTGGCTCTTGTTTTCCATTCCCAAACACCTGAGAGATACTGTACACTTAACAAGTGAAACAGTGGTCTGTATATCCAGTATTTGTATCCTACAATTTCCAAAGTGTGTTTTTATTATGACCTTACTCCTCTTTACTGTCCATATTTCACAAAAAGAAGTTATCCATTGGGTAAGAAGATCTTAATCCATTACCAAAGACATTTTTAATAGTAATTAATAAATCACATATGTTCTATATATTTTGGACATAAATAAATAATGTAAAATGTCGGTACAAATAGTTTCTCTACACTCAATGATATTATATTATTAAAGTCAGCTGCATTTAAAAATTAGTAGACTTTGTATTTTAGAACACTTTTAGATTTACAAAAAAAATTGAGCAGATAGGCCAGGCGTGGTGGCTCACGCCTGTAATCCCAGCACTTTGGGAGGCTGAGGTGGGCAGATCACAAGGTCAGGAGATTGAGACCATCCTGGCTAACACGGTGAAACCTCGTCTCTACTAAAAATACAAAAAAATTAGCCGGGCGTGGTGGCGGGTGCCTGTAGTCCCAGCTACTCGGGAGGCTGAGGCAGGGAAATGGTGCAAACCTGGGAGGCGGAGCTTGCAGTGAGCGGAGATCCCGCCACTGCACTCCAGCCTGGGCGACAAAGCGAGACTCTGTCTCGAAAAAAAAAAAAAAATTGAGCAGATAATAGAGTTCCCATAAACAATCTCCATTTCCCCCCACAGTTCCTCCATTATAAATATCTTGCACTAATGTGGCACATTTATTACAACAGATGAGCCAATATTTATTTATGCCATCAGTTTATACTAAGGTCCACGTTTTGCTTTGTATAGTTCTATGAGTTCTGACAAATGTATATCATGTATCCACTATTACAGTATTACGCAGAATAGTTTCACTGATTTAAAAATCCCCTGTGATTCAGCTTTTCATCCTTTTTCTGCTCTCCTCAAGGCCCTTGCCACCACTGATACTACTGTCTCTAAAGTTTTGCCTTTGCCAGAATGTCATATGGCTGGAATCATACAGTATGTGGCTTTTTCAGACTGGTTTCTTTCACTTAGCAATATGTACTTAAGGTTCCCCTTGTCTTTTTGTGGCTTCACAGCTCAATACCTTTTTATTGCTAAATAATATTCCAGTGTATACGTGTACCATAGTTTGTTTATCCATTTACCTATTGGATATGTGGGTTGCGTCTGGTTTTTGATGATACGAATAAAGCTTCTATAAATAGTCATGTTCAGGTTTTTGTGTGGACATAGTTTTCAATTCAATTGGGCAAAAACCTGGGGGCATGACTGCTGGATTATATAGTAAGAGTATGTTTAGTTTTTAAGAAACTGCCAAACTGTCTTCCCATGTGACTGCACCATTTTGCATTCCCACTAGTAATGAAAGAGTTTTGGTTGCTTTGCATCCTTGCCAGCATACAGCACTGTTAGTTTTTTGGAGTTTAGTCACGCTAATAGTTGTACAGAGGTATCTCATTGTTGTTTTAATTTGCAATTCCTTTTTAAATAATTTCAACTTTTATTTTAGATTCAGGGGGTACATGTGCAGGTCTGTTACCTGGGTATATTGTGTGATACTGAGGTTTGAGGTATGATTGCTCCCATCACCCAGGTACTGAGCGTAGTACCTAATGGTTTTTCAACCCTTCCCTCATCTACTCCCCGCCAGTAGTCCCCAGTGTCAGTTGTTGCCATCTTTATGTCCCTAAGTACCCAGTGTTTAGCTCCCACTTATAAGGGAAAACATGCAGTATTTAGTTTTCTGTTCATGTGTTAATTTGCTTAGGATAATGGCCTCCGGCTGCATCCATGTTGCAATTCTTTAATGATCTATGATATTGAGCATCTTTTCATATGCTTATTTGCCCTTTGTGTATCTTTAGTGAGGTGTCCAGATTTTGCCCACTTTTTAACTAGGTTTTTTTTTTCTTATTGTTGTGTTTTCAGTGTTTTTTGTATATGTTGGATATATTGATATATTTTTTGCATATATGTATATGTCGGTGTATTTTAGTGATGTAAAATGAATGGAATCTATAGCCTTAAACATAATAAAAATATATAATAGTTAAGATTTCCCACTCAACAATCCAGGCTTGACAGAAAATCATAAAATGTATTTAAATTTAAATGTTTTTTTCTTTGTTGATACTAGTTCTTAGTTTTAACATGCCAAAGAGGGTATATTTGATCAAGGACAAGATTAAATGTTCTGATTGGCTAACCATCAAACCACTGCCTCCACTTTTTTTCCAACTTGAAAATAATATTTAGTTATCATGCTAGCACAGCCATATTAATATATACCCCTTCAAAACTTTAAATATAAAGCTTTAAATGTTTCAGGAAAAAGAAATATTAATGATGCTGAGATTGGTGGGCATGGATTCTGTGTAGTGAGACACTAAAAAGTAATTTTTCAAATAGGAAAGTTAAAGCACTTTAAAATCACAAAGCTATTGGTAATTAAAAAAAGAATTAGTATCAATTTCTGAAATACAAGATTAGAGGGACACCTAAAATTATGAAAGATTTTAGAGAATTTTTTTAAAAAGTAATTGCAATTTAGATCAAAGTTTCCCATTTTTCATTCCAAGTGTGATACAGGTTTAAATAATAAACAGACAAAAAGGTTTAGATAAATTCATGAATTATTGAACCAGAGGATAAAAAATAGGGAAGCTATTTAGGGCATAGTCTCTAGTGTGTAAGGGTGACATCCTAAATAATAAATTTGTGCTATTATTGACAATATTGCTGACAAGGCTAAATGGTCAATGTGCTTGACATATTGCCTGGTTTTTCATGTTCTATTGCATGAGCTGATTCTCTCTCTCTTTTATTTATATTTTTGAACTCTACCATTATGCTATCATGGACATTATGTCAACAATTTGATGCATCTATGTAATATGCTTTAAATCTTTGGAAATAAATTTACTGGGTACTACTTAATGTGAACAAACTTCTCTTAAGCACAAATGGAAATCCACAAAGAAAGACAGCCTCTTCTATTTGTTTTATGTGAGGCAACGGATACACTGTAGACAAAAAGACCAAGTATAATTAACTTATATTGGTAACTAACTTAATATCTGCATATTACATATTTTTCTATTATGTTTTCTGAGCAACTTCGTGGCTTCTGATTTGGAGGGTAGGATTTCATAGTTAATACCTCTGTTTTTTTTTTTTTTTTTTTTTTTTTTTTTGTGAAATGGAGTCTAGCTCTTGTTGTCCAGGCTGGAGTGCAATGGTGAAATCTCGGCTCACTGCAACCTCCGCCTCCCAGGTTCAAATGATTCTCCTGACTCAGACTACCGAGTAACTGGGATTACAGACACCCACCATCATGCCTGGCTAATTTTTGTATTTTTAGTAGAGATGGGGTTTCACCATATTTGCCAGGCTGGTCTTGAACTCCTGACCTCAGGTGATCCACCCGCGTTGGCCTCCCAAAGTGCTGGGATTACAGGCGTGAGCCACTGCGCTCCGCCCATAGTTAACACTTCTATAAATATTTGTGCATATTGAAAGGAACATCACTCCCCACACTGCAAGTGAACAAAAGAGTGATAATGTTAATTTCTTTATTCTTGAGCTTTTCTTGAATAAAAGAGGGTTGTAGGACATGGAACAAAATAGACTAGAAAATAGGGTTGATAAGCTACTGATTCTGCCAACACTGCTTAATGCTCTTCCCAAGCAATTGTCTTTTAGATATGTTGATTTCCCAGTGTTAATGGTATTTTTTAAATATGTCAAGCAATTAAGAATATAAGTCTATTCTCATCTCAGTTAAACGTAGAATCTTTACAAAGAATTTTTGGTATCCTTAACCCTAATATGTGGAGGGATAAGATTAAAAATGTTCATCACCTTATTTTTATTTATTTATTTATCTATTATTTTGAGACAGAGCCTCACTCCACCCACACTGGAGTGCTGTGGTGTGACCTCGGCTCATTGCAACCTCTGCCTCCCAAGTTCAAGTGATTCCCCTGCCTCAGCCTCTCAAGTAGCTAGAATTATAGGAATGCACCACCATGCCCAACTAATTTTTTTTTTTTTTTTTTTTTTGGTGAGACGGAGTCTCACTCTGTTGCCTAGGCTAGAGGGCAGTGGCGCCATTTTGGCTCACTGCAGCCTCCGCCTTCTGGGTTCATGCAATTCTCCTGCTTCAGCCTCCTGAGTAGCTGGGATTACAGGCACCCGCCACCACACCCGGATAATTTTTTGTATTTTTAGTAGAAACGGGGTTTCGCCATGTTGGCCAGGTTAGTATTGAATTCCTGACCTCAAGTGTTCCGCCTGACTCGGCCTCCCAAAGTGCTGGGATTACAGGTGTGAGCTACCACATCCAGCCATCCCCTTTGTAAAGTGCAGTAAAGAAACAGTGGGCAATAGACAGGCAGGGGATAGAGGAAAATGTTTTGGGAGAGGGGCAATATGAACTTATTGTCATGACTGGACCAAAAAGGGAAGATGTCTGCCTATCATAATTAATAATAACTCTATCAGTCAACATTTATGTTTTACAATTGTTCTGTAAAAGAAAAGCCAGCAAACATTACAGATTCCAGTCCCTAATAACTGATCATGAAAGACACTCTAAACTTGTGCATCAGCATTCTCTTTTTATCTAAAAGAAAATATATTAAATAAAGGGAGGAATGGCAGGAGTAAAGAGACTTGAAGGAAAAGAAAATATTGACTTCTTAATGATATTTTACAATGCTAAGATCTTTAGAAACCAACTATTCCATATGTCTTTTAAATATTAGGTTGGTGCAAAGGTAATTACAGTTTTTGTCATAAAAGTAATGGCAAAAGCCACAATTACTTTTGCACCAACCTAACTGATACATTTATTCCATTTTGGAGGTATTGCAAATATGTTGAATCAATGAATTTCTTCAGTATTTTTCATTTTATTAGTACAAATTTAACCTAATAGTATTCTTCTGCATGTTATTTCCCTTTGTGCTTCCTTTACTGCAATGAAGTTGTAGTTACCAAATAGAGTGCTCTAAAAGGGCAAGGCTTGTCTGTGAATTAAGCCTAGCATAGAATTGGCTCTCAGTGAAGATGTGTTGAACGTTACATGAATGCATCAACATCATAATCCTTCATGTGCTTGTAAGCAATTATTAAAATTTTCTCTAGCCTATTCAGGCCTGTGTTCTTCAAAATTCTGCAAAATATATGGACGTGTTTGCTGTTTCTATTAGGTTTTAACTTCTGGTGTCAGAAACCAGGGCTGTTTTTCTTAATTTGTGTCCTAAAACCACAGTAGGGTTGTATGCATTGTGATAATGCTTAATAAATATATAAAAGATTAATATCCATTCATTTGCATTTTCTTAATAAAACCCAATTTCTAGATGAGTAGCTGTGAAACTCTCAACTGGACGAGCTCTGACTAGTGTTAAGTATAGTATATTGGGAAAAGGGCTTCTATATGCAACATATATGTGAGGCAAATGACAAATATTAGCTGGGCTACATTAAATCCCAATGACATGAATAGAAATTTTATTATCCAGGTAGCAAAAATGAAGTAAAAAAAATAAATAAGAGAATGAAGTGAAGGTATGGGGCAAAACAATTAGTTTTTTCTTTAAGTCAATATTTTAGAAAATAGTTTTTGAAGGCCCAATCACACAGATAATTGACACTTTGACTTTTCTTTGCACTGTGTTAGACATAGGTAAAAGAATGTCTCAGGACTGTACCTTCATGTAGAAAATGTAATTAATAGCAAATTGCATAAAAGTACATTAAAATTTTAATTATTACATCATTTTAATAAATATCTTGAGATTTTACTTTATTTAGTGTGTCATTAAAACACAGGATTTAAGGAAGATATATATAATAAAGGAAAATAGTAAGTTACCATTCTTGTGTAAACACATTTTGTAAATACTATTTCAACAAAGATTTAAAAGTTAATTACAAAGGTATAAAGTTATGAAGTATTATATAAACAGGATTCATAATTTTGTTTTAAATGGTCTTTTAATGTATCAAAATACTATCAGTTTAAAACAATCTTTTTTTTAAGGCAGTAGGCTCTGTTTACCATCATTTACACTTGCTTTAATTAGAATTTTCTTCACTTTCAGTATATTCAAGAGCTATTCTGTTGGCAATAATTTTTAAGATAAAGTTTATCCAAATAGAAAAGTAATTATATAATGATTAAGAGCCAGAATGTCTGGGTTCAAATTCCAGTTCTGCTACTTATCAGGTATAAGAATTTGGGCAAATTTCTTAGTTTCTCTGTGCTTCAGTTTCCTGATCTGTAAAACTGGGATAACAAGACTACCTGTCTCAATCTGTGGTTATGAGTAAATGAGTTAATACATAAGAGCAATGCAATAATCCTTGGCATGTGGTATGAGTTCAATAAACATTAGCTATTATTATTATAGTAAATTAGAAATTTAATTCTAGAGAATAAAAAGCTGAACTCAAATATGTAACTATTTATTTGATACAGACACATTTTCTACAAAATAAAAAACCATCGGTTTGCACTTCCCTTATATAATGACTATCTTGGTGTTTGTGTGTATCTGTTGTGGGTCAGGGGTCTTGGGCTGAGTAAATAATCACATTAAAAATTTTAAAAACTTCCGATTAAAACAGAAATAAGAACAAATGGCCATTCGTGGATCATTTGCAAAACTGAACGAATATTTGACATGTCTTTCTGTGATTCCTTGCAGATATCATGGAAATCAGGACAGTGGCAGTTGGAATTGTGGCAATCAAAGGGGTGGAAAGTGAATTCTATCTTGCAATGAACAAGGAAGGAAAACTCTATGCAAAGGTATTGATAATTGATAGCTTAGGCTTAATTTTTAAAACTCATTTTTGTCAAAATATCTCACCTTTCTGAAAAGTAAAAATGGAATTAATTTATCTCCAACTGTATAATTTAATGATTTTATTAAAACACTTTATACTCAAACGTTAAGAAAAAATGTTTTCTGTGTGACTTTGGACAAATGGCTTGTTCTTTGGATTTTGGTTTCTTCATCTGTAAAATGAGTTGAATTAACTGACCTCTAAGGATCCTTCCAGCTCTAAAATTCCATGTGCATTTTAGATATTTAAAATCCAAAATTTCCATTTGCCAGTATTAAAGCTCTTTTTGTTAAAGTTCACCCAATTTGCACATTGCTGACATGAAAATTCTTGGGAAAAAATCTTGAAATGTTTAGTTCATTCATCAACATCAATCTCACAATCATGGGCATTGAAATGTAATTATTCACATTGTCCCCACTTCACTACAATGCAAAATATGTAACAGTTCATCCCACCATAATAAAATATAATTGGCTTTCCTTTGTATTCCCACAGCTAGGCATAATGATACAGGTTTAATTGAATGAACAAATGGTTGCATGGATGAACAAACAAATTAACCTTTTATCTTCCATTACCATTGAAGACAATGTAGAAGTAAATAAAGTTGTGAAACAAGTCTCTCACCTGAGGGAGGCAGAGGTTCTGCTAATTATACCAAATTTCCAGTGGTTAAAGAATGAGTGATGTGGGAATAAGTAATATGAGGCCTGTTACTTAGGGGGAAATAGGTCCTAATTTAAAGAATAGTTGACATGAACTTCCAAAAAGCTACACATATTTCATAACTAGCTGTGTATTATGTGGTGTTTTTATTTCAAATTTAAGATACCTTTTTATGCAAATATACTACATAAGTATAGCTAATAAACCACATTAGGCCTGCTCAATCTGAGGGTTAAAAAAAGTTGTGTATGTTTCAATTCTACCAAATATTACCTGCTTACTCTTCGTTTAATTGAGCCTCTCTAAAAATCATTTGGATAATGTCTGTTTGTTTGTTTGTTTTAACAGAAAGAATGCAATGAAGATTGTAACTTCAAAGAACTAATTCTGGAAAACCATTACAACACATATGCATCAGCTAAATGGACACACAACGGAGGGGAAATGTTTGTTGCCTTAAATCAAAAGGGGATTCCTGTAAGAGGAAAAAAAACGAAGAAAGAACAAAAAACAGCCCACTTTCTTCCTATGGCAATAACTTAATTGCATATGGTATATAAAGAACCAGTTCCAGCAGGGAGATTTCTTTAAGTGGACTGTTTTCTTTCTTCTCAAAATTTTCTTTCCTTTTATTTTTTAGTAATCAAGAAAGGCTGGAAAACTACTGAAAAACTGATCAAGCTGGACTTGTGCATTTATGTTTGTTTTAAGACACTGCATTAAAGAAAGATTTGAAAAGTATACACAAAAATCAGATTTAGTAACTAAAGGTTGTAAAAAATTGTAAAACTGGTTGTACAATCATGATGTTAGTAACAGTAATTTTTTTCTTAAATTAATTTACCCTTAAGAGTATGTTAGATTTGATTATCTGATAATGATTATTTAAATATTCCTATCTGCTTATAAAATGGCTGCTATAATAATAATAATACAGATGTTGTTATATAAGGTATATCAGACCTACAGGCTTCTGGCAGGATTTGTCAGATAATCAAGCCACACTAACTATGGAAAATGAGCAGCATTTTAAATGCTTTCTAGTGAAAAATTATAATCTACTTAAACTCTAATCAGAAAAAAAATTCTCAAAAAAACTATTATGAAAGTCAATAAAATAGATAATTTAACAAAAGTACAGGATTAGAACATGCTTATACCTATAAATAAGAACAAAATTTCTAATGCTGCTCAAGTGGAAAGGGTATTGCTAAAAGGATGTTTCCAAAAATCTTGTATATAAGATAGCAACAGTGATTGATGATAATACTGTACTTCATCTTACTTGCCACAAAATAACATTTTATAAATCCTCAAAGTAAAATTGAGAAATCTTTAAGTTTTTTTCAAGTAACATAATCTATCTTTGTATAATTCATATTTGGGAATATGGCTTTTAATAATGTTCTTCCCACAAATAATCATGCTTTTTTCCTATGGTTACAGCATTAAACTCTATTTTAAGTTGTTTTTGAACTTTATTGTTTTGTTATTTAAGTTTATGTTATTTATAAAAAAAAAACCTTAATAAGCTGTATCTGTTTCATATGCTTTTAATTTTAAAGGAATAACAAAACTGTCTGGCTCAACGGCAAGTTTCCCTCCCTTTTCTGACTGACACTAAGTCTAGCACACAGCACTTGGGCCAGCAAATCCTGGAAGGCAGACAAAAATAAGAGCCTGAAGCAATGCTTACAATAGATGTCTCACACAGAACAATACAAATATGTAAAAAATCTTTCACCACATATTCTTGCCAATTAATTGGATCATATAAGTAAAATCATTACAAATATAAGTATTTACAGGATTTTAAAGTTAGAATATATTTGAATGCATGGGTAGAAAATATCATATTTTAAAACTATGTATATTTAAATTTAGTAATTTTCTAATCTCTAGAAATCTCTGCTGTTCAAAAGGTGGCAGCACTGAAAGTTGTTTTCCTGTTAGATGGCAAGAGCACAATGCCCAAAATAGAAGATGCAGTTAAGAATAAGGGGCCCTGAATGTCATGAAGGCTTGAGGTCAGCCTACAGATAACAGGATTATTACAAGGATGAATTTCCACTTCAAAAGTCTTTCATTGGCAGATCTTGGTAGCACTTTATATGTTCACCAATGGGAGGTCAATATTTATCTAATTTAAAAGGTATGCTAACCACTGTGGTTTTAATTTCAAAATATTTGTCATTCAAGTCCCTTTACATAAATAGTATTTGGTAATACATTTATAGATGAGAGTTATATGAAAAGGCTAGGTCAACAAAAACAATAGATTCATTTAATTTTCCTGTGGTTGACCTATACGACCAGGATGTAGAAAACTAGAAAGAACTGCCCTTCCTCAGATATACTCTTGGGAGAGAGCATGAATGGTATTCTGAACTATCACCTGATTCAAGGACTTTGCTAGCTAGGTTTTGAGGTCAGGCTTCAGTAACTGTAGTCTTGTGAGCATATTGAGGGCAGAGGAGGACTTAGTTTTTCATATGTGTTTCCTTAGTGCCTAGCAGACTATCTGTTCATAATCAGTTTTCAGTGTGAATTCACTGAATGTTTATAGACAAAAGAAAATACACACTAAAACTAATCTTCATTTTAAAAGGGTAAAACATGACTATACAGAAATTTAAATAGAAATAGTGTATATACATATAAAATACAAGCTATGTTAGGACCAAATGCTCTTTGTCTATGGAGTTATACTTCCATCAAATTACATAGCAATGCTGAATTAGGCAAAACCAACATTTAGTGGTAAATCCATTCCTGGTAGTATAAGTCACCTAAAAAAGACTTCTAGAAATATGTACTTTAATTATTTGTTTTTCTCCTATTTTTAAATTTATTATGCAAATTTTAGAAAATAAAATTTGCTCTAGTTACACACCTTTAGAATTCTAGAATATTAAAACTGTAAGGGGCCTCCATCCCTCTTACTCATTTGTAGTCTAGGAAATTGAGATTTTGATACACCTAAGGTCACGCAGCTGGGTAGATATACAGCTGTCACAAGAGTCTAGATCAGTTAGCACATGCTTTCTACTCTTCGATTATTAGTATTATTAGCTAATGGTCTTTGGCATGTTTTTGTTTTTTATTTCTGTTGAGATATAGCCTTTACATTTGTACACAAATGTGACTATGTCTTGGCAATGCACTTCATACACAATGACTAATCTATACTGTGATGATTTGACTCAAAAGGAGAAAAGAAATTATGTAGTTTTCAATTCTGATTCCTATTCACCTTTTGTTTATGAATGGAAAGCTTTGTGCAAAATATACATATAAGCAGAGTAAGCCTTTTAAAAATGTTCTTTGAAAGATAAAATTAAATACATGAGTTTCTAACAATTAGAAAAGAAAAAATTAAAACATGAAATGATAACAAAAGTAAACAAAAGATACTTTCAAAGCAGTGAACAAAACATTTTGACATAAGCCATAATATAAATTATAATATAAAAAATAAAAACCATAGTATAAATTGTCAGCCTTTGAGTTGGCTACAAATTCAATTTAATGACAGAAGAGAAGGGATGCTGGAGGTAAATTCTTAGGGTTTCTATCTCATAGAGTTTGCTCTTCTGGTTCTCTAGACTGCCAAAGAACATAAAGATGTGCGAGGGGACCTAGCTGTAGTAAAAGCAATCCTATAACAAGAAAAACTCTAAAACAGTGCCCCTTACGATTTTCTACTGAAATTTCTCTAATAGTAGAGGTGTAAAATAAGAAGTTAGAGAATAATGCAAAGGGGGCCCACCACAGACGGAACATTTCTTTTCTCTTAAGACTCATGTGATTTTTGCATCTTACTCCATAATATATTTGTGGTTGCGTTAATATGACAATGTCTGCAATTAAACACCAGTAAGCAAAATTGATACATCAGAATGACTTGCAGGGCTTATCATGCAGTTTGGTTTACATCCCTACTCCACTGCCATTTACTTGAGCGTGAATGAGACACAAAAGATTATTTGCCTCCCATAATCCAACTTTACACATAAATAACACAAGGCTAAAGAAAACCAGAACTCAAATTCACCACGCATAGGAGTGATAACAAAAATATTTAACAGTCAGTATGGGTGATTACTGGCCAATCAGAATACATCACTGATACATCGAAATGGATGCAGGCCACTATGACTAACTTGTGGGTATCATTTCTATGATCACCCTAAAACAGAGTTGGGAAAATATCTATTAACTGGTCTCTCTGGTTTGAATTCTCAATATGTATCTTAATATGAAATAGCTCATTAAAACTTCATGTGTAACTATTTCAGCATTGTTGTCAGCTACTCTTTATTCCACTTCTGTACAGTATTTATTCAACCAAGCTGCTGCTTTCAATGAAGGTCACTTGTTCCTTCAGGGACACATATACTCCCACCTATCCTTTAATTTTGAATGGTTTGTCAGGAAAATTTACTTTCTCTTGAGTTGAAAAACTTGACAGGAAGCAAGAAATAATACAGTCCTAGCCTCTTTCCAATAACATCTGATTTCTCCATTCTCAAACTACACTTCTCAAGGAACCAGATATTTACTCTCATCTGGGAAGATGCCTCTTATGTTTTCCTTTTACTTCCTGGTTATCATGTGGTTGCATTTTCCAAGTTCTTATCATTGAATTTATGAGAGCCTATCAAAATTTATTTTCTTTCATTTATATTCTAATAATTGAAATGTGAGATGAAAATAACATTTCACTTATGAAAAACCCTTCTCTTGATGAATCCTTCCATGTGTTAGTTATCTATTGCTGTGTAACAAATTAAAACTTAATGGCTTGAAACAAATATTTGTTTTCTCATAGTTTATGTGGCTCAGGAGCCTGGGCATGGTTCAGCACAGTGTTTTTGGTCAGAATTCCTCATGAGGCTGCAATCAAGGTGTAGACCAGGGCTGTAGTCATCTATCTCAATATTCAACTCAGAAAGGGATCCACCTTAGATCCTCACTGGCTGTTATCAGGACCTATCACTTCCTAACCACATGGACCTCTCCATAGCACTGCTTACAACATTACAGTCTGTTTCCCACGGAGCAAGAAATCAGAAAGTGTGAGATGAAGTACCCAAAATGGAAGCCACAGGTTTGTTTTTTTATTTTAATATATATAGCCTAGTTTCAAAAGCGATGTTACCTCTGCCTACACTCATGAGGAGGGTATTATACAAGGGCATACATACCAGAAAGCAGGGATCACTGGAAGCCATTTTACAGGCTGCCTGATCCAAGTCATAAACTAGGTGTTTTTAATGTCACTGCCATAAACTGGGATTCTACAGGGTCTAATAAGAGTAATTCATGGCTTTCAGTGGGCATCCATTCATCAGAGAAAGAGATGAAATATGTATATTCTCTGTGGAAACATTCTTGATTCTTCCTTGAGGGATACTGCGTGGTCCATTCCTACAAAGGATAATTAACAAAAGGTTTGAACCAATCTGGACTTCCTCTTAGCCTGAGATGTGGCTACTTAGAACTCCCAATGTAGCTGCAAAACTAACAATATCCCTTTGCCTCCACATGAAGCAAATTACCCTGCCATCAGACTCAACATGAAGATAATCCTCCCTTTAGCTGCCCTACCTCAAGAGAATAAGATCATAGATGCCAGCTGGAATTCCTCTAGGCCATAGAGTGTTTTGTTCTAGATGCTGAAGGCAATCAGCCACCACTTACCCAAGACCATCTGAGAATAAGACCTAAAAAGACTTGAAAACAATTGATTTCAATGGTAGGTACACACTGGTATCCCCTGTTCTATATATATCTATAGATATATAGATATATACAGAACAGGAGATATATATATATATTTTATATATATATATATATTTTATATATATATATATATTTTATATATATATATATATTTTATATATATATATATATATATATAGAGAGAGAGAGAGAGAGAGAGAGAGAGAGACAGAGAGAGAGACAGAGAGAGAGAGAGAGAGACACCTAGGCCCCAACGCAGGCCAATTACATCAGTGTATATGACAGGTGGCCCATGCAGTGGTATTTTAAAAATTCCCCAGAAGATTCTAATGTGCCTCTGCAGTTGAGAACTAATTAGGTAAATGAAAACAACAACAAAAACCAAAAAACCTCTTCAGAAACTATGCCTGCTTCTTCATCTTTGTCCCTTCTTTAAACACCTTGAAAGGTCTTATTCCCTCCCAGCCCCTCCTGCCCCTAGGTTTTCCTAGATGCCTCCATATTTCTGCTATTCACAACTGGGGCTCACAGGAAATGTAGACACTAGAAAGAGAGTTACAATTGTTTTTGCATCAGAATGATTATGGAATACAAAGTGCACAAAAGTTCTCCCTCCCCCACCACAGTCCATTCTCAAACAGAGCAGCCAAAGTGATTCTGTTAAAATATATTTCAGATCATGCATCCTCTGTTTAAAATTGCAATTGTTTTCCATATTCTTCAGAATAGGAGCCTGTCCTTATAGTGGCTAAGGAGTGGCAATGGAAGAAGGTGAGTAATTAAAAACTTTGCTGCTTAATTAGGTGGGCAAAACAACAAGAAAAAGTAATAAAAATCTAGAGAAATTATGCACTTAAGTTGTTTGGCAGATGTCACTGAATTCTTAGTTCATTTTAAAGAAATGGATACTGGATACTATAGACAATATTTAATGGGTATAATCATTATTAGAATCATACTCAGAGGAAAGGGCATAGCTCTACATCGAAAAATGACGAATGTACCTTTTTATGTTTGAAGTAAATATATTTAGGGCATGTACATATCACCTTAATGATTCTCCACTTGACTGAAATTTTTCCATTAATCAACCAATTAATAGATACAACCAGGCTAGATGAGAGGGCTTCTACTTTACTATCACTTCTTTATTATATATCTCCGATTGTTGATTATTTTTGGTTATTTCAATTATTTTATGAAGATAAATATGAACAATTTATATATGTTTCTTTATATTTCTGATTTTCTTAGGACGATTACAGGAAATAAAATTGAAAAACTGATTTTCTGAAAGTTTTTTCCAGAATATATTCTAATCAGCAGTGCCGGAAGTAAATATTCTCACTTTTATACTCAAAATTTAGTCAGCTCTTATTCTTGTCTCTCCTTCCCTTTGACTCTGTGAATATGGTAAATCACCAACACTCAGCTAACTTCTTTCTCAACATCCATTCAGATTCATCTCTTTCTTCATCCTCCTACAGCTTTATTACTTCATGCCTAGAATTTAGCAATAGCTCCTTAATCTTTCTTGTTTCAAATTCCTTCCCATCTCATATACTGCCTAATTCTTTAATCTTCCTATAATACTACTTTGACTATTTCAGTCACCAATTGAAGACCCATATTGGCTCTTTTTTGCCTGTTGGGTTTAGTTTAAATCTCTTAAACTAGCACCCAAAGCTGTCAAACAATTGGCTCTAACTCGACTGTCCAATCTTCTCACTGTTCAATATACACCTAGTAGTTTCTTTAGTCCATTGTATTTATCATGATTTACACAAGTTGCAAATTGATTCTGCCTCTGAGTTTTGTCTATACTGTCCCCACTGCTTAGAATATCTCTACTTCCTACTGTCAATCAATCCATACCCTGCTCTGCTCTTAAGGACAAAGCTCAAGTTTAATGAGCTATTCCCAAACTTGCCCCTGCCTTATAACAATTTTTTTCCTTCTCTGAATCCTATTGCACTCTAATATAGTAATTGATTGCACACACACACACACATATGCACACACACACACATATATATATGCAATGTTTATGTATATGTGTATTCATCTACTTCAGTTAAACAAGCATATATTGACAATTCTACCATGTTTGTATCAAGCACTGTATGATAAATATATGTTGAGTGTGATAAAAGTAAAAGTAACTATTGCCTTTTTAAAATTCCCCATGTAATCTGGTAAGGAAATAGAACGTCAAAAAGTACTTAATACTATTAATACTTGCTTACTAACTGATCCATATTAATAATCTATTGATAAAATATATAATAAATTTTATATACAAAGATCTTTCCAGTCTTGTCATCATGCCTACATAATCTTATCTATTGCCATACAAAGGTCTGTGTTATATATTGGCAAGTCCTTTAGAATCTGTTTTTAAAAATAACTTATTTAACAAATGCAGCAATCACTATGTGAGGTAAAAACACATCTATACTTTTAAAAAATTCTGTCAGTCACAGGTTTGAAAGCACAAGATATTTGATAGCATTGATAGTGATGCTAGTCCTGTATACAATTTAAATAGAATCCATCAGGAAAAGCAAGAGATCAAAACTTTTTGCTTTTGAAGTACTTCATCCCTTATCCTTGAAAGCTTAGTGTGTTCAGCAGTTCACGCTCATAGGCCTTCTTAGAATGAATCATGTAACATTTTTCAGCTTTTCTCCCTTTTCTTTATTCCTGTCTGTTATTGTTTTGCTAGGTGGCAGTGCTTATCTCAATTCAATTTTAAGTTTCTATAGTTTACAGCGTTAATTATTAATTTTTCATATTTCTCATTTATTGTACATGTCACTCAACTAGCTATTCATCTGTCCAACTTTTATGATATTGCTCTATAATGAAAAAAGAAAAATGTTACTTTCTTGCTAATAAATCTTCCTAATTATCTCCATTCACTGTTTCAAAAATAATATTGGAATTTTTATTCCCTTTCAGAAGATAAATATTTACCATGCCTTAATGTTATTAAGGTTAAATCACAGGTGATATTTTATTGTCTTCTAAATACTTCATTTTCAAATTTTCTACATTAATATATATGATCTTTATAATCAGAATAACAATAGCAAATGTGGTTTAAAAAATTATCTTCACATTCAGTTTTTATGGAGCTGGAAGAGTGGGATGTTGGTGCAGCATTGATGTATTAAATAGCATGGTCTTCTACATAAATGATCAAACCTGGCACCCACATTGCTCATCTCATTCAATTAACTAAACTTACTGAAACTCCATAATTTCATAATAATGTAGTCATTGTTACCATATTTTAGTGGTGACTGTGTCCTGAATCTTCTTCTTGAATCTGTTCCTTTATCCAGTAATCACCAAGATTGCTCAACTCTTCTTACCTAATGTCCCTCAGTCTCATCTCTTCCTCACTACTTTCATGACCTCATTAAATTGTACCTAAAGTTTAGCAATAGCATCCTATTTGTTTTTCTGTTCCAAGTCCTCGTCTCAATTCCTGTTTAGTTACCTAATATTCCTAAAATGTCATTTAAACTATGTCAATTACCAATTGTAGAACCCATGTTGTCTCTCTAGGGCTCACTGAATTTGGGTAAAATTCTTTAAACTAGAAATCAAAACCATCAACAAATTGGTTCCATCCATCTGGTCCAATCTCCTCACTGTTCACAAACTTCATAGTATCCTTAGACCATTGTTCTCATGTCATTTTGTACACGCACCATACTTCCTTGTGTCTCTGGGATTTGTCTATATTGTCTCTATCATCCAGAATGTCTCAACTTCTCACTATCAATCCATACCCTGCTCTGCCATCAAGAACAAAATCAAGATTCTCCTCTTTAATGATTACCAGACTTGGTCCTGCCTTACGATGATTTTTCTCTTCTATAAATTCCCACTGCATGTCAATCTATGCCATTAATCTAGCATTTAGAGAATTTTTATCTCTATCTCAATAGAGGATGGATAGGCATACCTGTATGTCTATCTATCCATCCATCTACACTTATCTACTTAAGCAACTAGGCATACCTGTGTGTCTATCTATCCATCCACCTACACTCATCTACTTAAGCAACACAAATACACACACACTTATGTTATATATGTCCACATCTATTTCAGTTACACAAATATATAAAGGGGTCTGTGTATGTATGTATGTGTATATATATATATATATGTGTGTGTGTGTATGTATGTGTGTAGTCAATAGTACAGTGTCAGGCACTGTAATAGTGTTAATAAAATCCATGCTTCAAAATTTAAAACAATTACATACCTATAGATATATAATCAATTTTATGAGGATCAGATTTGGAACAAATGAGCCTTTGGAACCACTAAGAACCATAAGTGATAGCTGACAGACTGTCAAGAAAAAAACTTCCTAAGTCTTTAGCATGTCAGTTGTAGAGCACATGTATAAGTTACCATTGTGCTTTGACCCTAACAGTAATTTTAATGCTTGAGTCTTAAATATAAATATGCATATATTAAACAACTGCCAAACCAGTATCAACTCTATTGCCTTAGTGGGAGACACACAAACACACACACACACACACACACACACACACACACCCTAAACATAGAGTCAGCAATAAATTCAAAAAATTCAGTTGAACAAAGAAACGTATATTGTCAAGAACTGCAATTTCAGTTTTGTTTTTGTTGCAAACTTTCTGGTTGACTTCATTCTGTGTTTAACAAGGTCCAGTATTGTCCTGGAAGTCCATGTTACAAGACGGACTTTATTAGTGAAAACTTTTCCTAACATTTTGCTAGATTTATACATTGCACTGATTTACTCTAATGAAAACTTAGCTGTCCTCTTAGGATACTGCTTCCCCTGCAATCCTCTCAGTTGGAGGCTCTTTTTTTTCCCTCACACAGTATTCATACCAGTCTAGAGGTGTATGGTAGGTATATGTATGCCTGCTACACATTCTATGTAACTTATTTAATCACACTTGTTGGTTATTGTCTGTCTCTCCTCACTAGCCCATAAGTTCCATAAGGAAAAGGATACTGTTTTGTTCCCTTATGTATCCGAAGCTCCTTTAAGAGCAGCTGTTAAGCACTCAGTAAATATATTTAATACTCAGGAAATATAAGGACTCAGTAAATGTTCATTGCACTCAGCAAATATTTATTAAACTAATGGACAAACCAATTCCAATTCAGTGACAGAATAATAAGCACACCTCACTGCAAAGAGTCATTCTAATACCTAAGCATGATACAAATGTCATTGTTGCAAATGAATAGAAATATATCACATTGTTTTATGCAAACTGATGACTAAATCTCTCAGGTATTCAAAGTCTTATCATTCACTTCTCCATAACACAGCATTTTAATGTCATTTAGTATAATATGCTAATAATTCATTTCATAATATAATGGAAACCTGCTGTTTCAAAATTAAACCCAGCCCCTCTGACTAATGCTACCAACCAACAGACCAATATATCTGGGGGAGGTATTTGCAGGCGATCTTATGGTAGACATGGAAAATTATCTTGGAAGTTAAATAACTTGAAATTGCTTGGTGAGCATGGCATCAAAGCAAAAGGAGAGAAAACAGGTTTGAAATATACATATTCTCCAAATAATGATGAAATCTAACTCATAATAATCTGAATAGTTCCGTTAAATTTCTACCAAATTTCCGGTTCTTTGGGCTACTCTGTGCCTTATGTTATTCACTCTGCTTCTGTTCATATAGTCTTTCTCTACACAGTATAAAATACAACTAACAACAATATGACTTAACAAATTGCTACCACTTTGGGAGTTTGTATGTCTGACCATATTAATAGCATATTTCTGGGGTTTCCTCACTCCTTAGCTGTGCAAATTTCTTGGTTTTCTTTTAATGATGTATAATGAAAAGCATAATGTGGAAATTTTACTGGCTTAGTTCTCAAAGTGCTATTTTATATCCTACTTCTAATGGTTTCTTTTTTATTATCCCTGAGCATTGCTAATAGTGAAGAGGTAGCAAAATTAGAGGTGCAAACTAAAATCCGGGCCGGGCATGGTGGCTCGTGCTTTAATCCCAGCACTTTGGGAGGCAAAGGTGGGCAAATCACTTGAGGTCAGGAGTTTGAGACCAGTCTGGCCCACATGGAGAATCCCTGTCTCTACTAAAAATACAAAAATTAGCTGAGTGTCGTGGTGCATGCCTGTAGTCCCAGCTACTTGGGAGACTGAGGCAGAAGAACTGCTTGAACCCGGGAGGCAGAGGTTGCAGTGAGCCAAGATCCCACCACTGCACTTCAGCCTGGGTGACAGAGCGAGACTCTGTCTTGAAAAATAAAATAAATAAAATAAATAAATAAATAATAAAATCCAAGTAGCTCTTTATAACATATGGAATCCTAAAGCATCTGGCTATTACTTTAAATATTTCTGTAACATGTCATTTGCTAAATATCACCTAGTACTTGTGTATGAGTAACTACTGTGTTTCTTTTTATTTTTTATCTCCTTACAGTGCCAAGTACAGTAATGTGTACTAGGTACATAAAAGTACATGATAGTTAAATATAAGGATTTTTCTTATTGCTTGCGGTTTAAGCTACAGTTTATAAAAAGAATGAGACTTGTTATTGTTTTAGCTTTAAAATCCAACAAAGAGAAAAAACTGAATTTAGAAATTGGGGGAGAGGTATAAAAATAGTTTTTAAAAATGATCTTTATTTGAGTTCAAAAGCTTAAATGGTATTGTACCACAATAAAGAAATTAACATTAAAATTTTAGTCTTGTAAATAATCTAACAATACACTGCTTAAGAGGAGCTGGCTTATAAATCATGAGTCATTCCAGATACTGAAATTCTATAACTGCTTACATTCCAGTCCTAAAAAGGGAGATATCATGACATTTTGTTTGGAAGGCAAATTTTAACTATCCACTGTGTGTTTATTTCATTAAAAACAAAACAGAAAGTCCTCTTTGTAAAATTCTGGAAAAAAGTTAACTCCACATTACAATAAGCATCTCAAATGTCGAAAAAAATTATGTTTTAAATATGTTTTAGATTAGAAGAAGCAATCCTAAGACAGCAGTATATATGGAATACAGAATATTTCTTTTAAGTCATATATATGTATATGCATGCATATGTACATATACTAATGTTTTACCCTAGTTCTGCTCTTTATCTGCCTTAGCCTTCCTCCAGCACACAGAATAAGGTTTTAGTATACACAAAGTCACACACACACACACACACACACACACAGCTATAGAGAAAGAGGAGTTCTCAAATCATGAATCCTAAACCACCAGTCTCTATTACTAATTACACCTGAACAGTCAGCAATCACTTTGGAAGATTATTCAGCACCTATGGATAGAAGTCTTTAAAGAACAAAATGCTGGAAAAGGGGAATATAGAAATATTCTACTCACCTCATTTTTCAGTTGTAAAAATAAAGCTCAGAGGGGTTGTATGACCTGCTCAAAGACATTCAAGTTCTTTATGTGCAAGTTGAATACATTAGAGCAGATGAAACATTAGGGACTATAGTATAGGAAAGCCTCCAAACAAAAGCATACTTATGGCACCAGTAAATACATGATCTGAATCTTATGTTCAGAGAATTCTCCACAATGATGACTGTGTCCAGACTGGGGGTAAGGTACACAGAAACTGTAAAGCAACAAGCAGGATATGGAAGCTCTCAGATACCATGAGCCAAGCCCCTTTGCAATGATTTCCTATAGGATAGGAATGTTTCAGTTTCTCACCGTCAATCCATACCCTGCTCTGCCATCAAGGACAAAATCAATGAGTTGGGGGAGGCACTCACTGACCACTAACTGATATAAAAACACAGAAGATAGTTTTAAAAGTAGATTAAAGCTCTGGAGAAATATGAGATGCTCAAAGTTCAAAAAAGAAACTCATAAATTTGAACAAACTTCTTTCTTAAGTAGATTTCCTAGTAGTCACAATCTAAGCAGAAGATTATAGAAAAAATACCTCTTTAGTGATCTTTACCTCTTTGAAATGTTACAACAACTTCTCTTTTAATTCCACCATCAAAAACAGCGGTGTGTGGTAGACATGTAATTCTCAATGGAGGCTGTGTTTCTTTTAGAGGTTTAGAAATTCTGGCCCATTGTTGCCATTGTGCCTCTGCACCACTTTGGCCCCAAAGTGTGAATTTTCCAAGTCCCCTAACCATTGCTTGCTATTTCTAGAGAAATTCGTACACGAAACTGGAAAACAAGTAAATTTTTGTCCAGTCTTCTGCTACCTTTCTGGCCTTTCTACTAGCATCTTTCCTCATTCACCCTCATCTATTAAAATTTAATCCAGGAAAAGACCTAAAAACTCATTCACATTTGCCATAAATGAAGTATTAAGGCTATGGTAACTCTCATAAGTTACAATACTTATTCTACAATGATAATTTTAAGCCTTAATTTAATTATAAGCCTGTAAAATCAAATGACTGATAGGCAGTACGTGAAGTGGTTATGAGTTCAGACTCTGTGGCCAAAATTTCTTGAATTTCAATTTATAGTCTAGCACTGATCAGTTATGTGGCTTTAGGAAAATTACTTAATCAACTTATATTGTGGTTTTGTCACTTATAAAAATGAAGATGATAATAAAAGTCACCTGTCACATAAAAGGATTACTCATTTATGAGAGTAAGGCAGTTAATAGAGCCTTAGCTCTCTTAAGTTAACACACTTTATCAAGTACATATTTCAAACTGAAGATTTTCCCAGGTTGAACATGAACTATTAAATTAAAATTTGAGCAATGAATTAAAAGAAACAGCCACTATAACTTGGCCCTTGCTCCCACAGCTTAGACCATCTCATCCAGAAACAAAAATATCTTGTCACGTTTTAGCGTCAGATATAAAAAGCGTATTTCAAATATTTAGAGATAAATAAAATATATAATACACTTTCAAGCTTTTTAAAAGGCACAGAGTGCCAAGTTGAAAAAAGAATCAAGACCCAATAGTCTGCTATCTTCAAGAGACCCATCTCATGTGAAATGACACCCATAGACTCAAAATAAAGGGATGGAAAAGGATCTGTCAGCCAAATGGAAAACAAAAAGAGCAAGGGTTGCTATTCTTATATCAGACAAAACAGACTTTAAAACAACAATAATCAAAAAGGACAAAGAAGGGCATTACAGGCCGGGCGCGGTGGCTCACGCCTGTAATCCCAGCACTTTGGGAGGCCGAGGCGGGCGGATCACGAGGTCAGGAGATCGAGACCATCCCGGCTAAAACGGTGAAACCCCGTCTCTACTAAAAATACAAAAAATTAGCCGGGCGTAGTGGCGGGCGCCTGTAGTCCCAGCTACTTGGGAGGCTGAGGCAGGAGAATGGCGTGAACCCGGGAGGCGGAGCTTGCAGTGAGCCGAGATCCCGCCACTGCACTCCAGCCTGGGCGACAGAGCGAGACTCCGTCTCAAAAAAAAAAAAAAAAAAAAAAAAAGAAGGGCATTACATAATGATAAAGTATTCAATACAACAAAAAGACTTAACTGTCCTAAATATACATGCACCCAACAAAAATGCAAAATAAAAAGTTTTTTCCTATATAGCAGCATGAATAATCAAAATTGAAAATTTAAAATGCCATGTATAATTGGAAAAAGATGTGTCTGTATAGTAAAAACTAGAAAACATTGCTGAGAAAAATTAAAGAAGTATTATATAAATATAGGCATATTCTATGTTTGTGAACTGACAAACTCACTTTGTTAAGATACCAATTCTCCCCAAATTGATCAATACAATGTATTTAAAATAAAGATGCCCGAGTATATATTTTAGAAACTGACTAGCAGTTTTTCAAATTTATATGGAAATGACAAGAATCTAGAATAACCAAAATAATTGTGTAAAAGAAGCGCAAACTTGGAGGACTTATAGTACCTAACTTCAAGATACATTATAAAACTACAGTTTTAAAGGTAGCTGGTTATTGGCATCAGTGGAACAGAATACAGAGAACAGACATAAACCAATATGTATGGTCAATTGATTTCCAAGATAATTCGATGAGGAGAGGATAATCTTTTCAACAAATGGTGCTAAAGCAATATGCAAAGAAGTGATTCTTAATGTTTATACATATAATTAAGAAAAATTACTCAAAATGAATTAGAGACCTAAAAGTAAGAGCTACAACTCTGAACTATAAAGCTACATACTATAAAATTTCCATGTGAAATTGGGTTCACAAATATTATTAAATAGAATGCAAAAAGCACAAACTATATTAAAAAATTGATAAATGGGTTTCTTCTAATTATAAACTTTTGTTTTTTAAAAGATGTTATTAAGAAATGAAAGGGCAAGCAACATACTGGGAGAAAATATTTGTAAAATATGTATCTGAAAAAGGACCTGTTTCTAAATACATGAATAACTTTTTTCTAGGCTGCAGTGAATTATGATCATGGCACTGTATTCCAGCCTGGGTGACAGAACAAGATCCTGTCTTTAAAAACGAACTAACTAAATAAATAAGCATAAAATATATAAAGACCTCTTATAACTCAATAAGAAGACAAACAACTCAAATAAAAATGGCCAAGATATTTGAACAGACACTTCAGCAGGCACTCAATAACCTGTGAGAGCAGCTGTGGGGGCAGAACCCCACAAAGCCACAGGGGTGAAGCTGCCCAAGGCCTTTGGTGCCCATCCTTTGCACCAGTGTGCCCTAGATGTGGGACATAAAGTCAAAGGAGGTTATTTTGGAGCTTTAAGATACATGGATGGCAAATAAGCACATGAAAAGAAGCTCATCATGATTGATCATCAGAGAAATTAAAATAAAACCTAGCTAAATACCAGTATATAACTCACGAGAATAGCTAAAATTAAAAAGACCATAACAAGTGTTAGTAAGGAAGTAAATATAACTTGTATACTGGTAGAAATGTAAAATTTCGGATAAGAGATTGACAATTTCTTAAAATGTTATACATACGTGATATAGTTTGGATATCTACCCCCAACCAAATCTCATGTTGAAATGTAATCCCCAATGTTGGATGTGGGGCCTGGTGGGAGGTGGCTGGATCATGGGGGCAGATCCCTCAAGAATGGCTGGGGCCATTCCCTTGGTGGTAAGTGAGCTCTTGCTCTGAGTTCATATGAGGTCTGCTTGTTTAAAATTGTGTGGCACCTCTGCCCCCCTCTTGCTTGATCCTGCTTTTGCCATGTGACATGCCTGCTCTCCCTTCACCTTCTGCCATGATTGTAAGCTTCCTAAGGCCTCTCTAGAAGCTGAGCAGATGCCAGCACCGTGCTTCCTGTAGAGCATCCAGAACCATGAGCCAATTAAACCTCTTTTTCTTGTAAATTACCTGGTCACGGGTATTCTTTTATAGCAACACAAGCATGAACTAATACAGAAAGTTGGTACCAGGAGTAGGGCATTGCTATAAAGATACCTGAAAATGCAGAAGCAGATTTGGAATTGCATAATGGGCAGAGGCTGGAAGAGTGTGGAAGGCTCAGAAGAAGACAGGAAGATGAGGGAAAGTTCAGAACTTCTTGGAAACTAGTTAAATGGTTGTGGTCAAAATGCTGATACTGATATGGGCAGTGAAGCCCAGGCTGATGAGGTCTCAGATGGAAATAACAAACTTATTGGGAACTGGAGCAAAGGTCATCTGTGTTGTGCCTTAGCAAAGAACTTGGCTGCATTGTTTCCCTGCCCTAGGGATCTGTGAAAGCTTGAACTTCAGAGTGATAATTTAGGGTATCTGGTGGAAGAAATTTCTAGGCAACAGGGTATTCAAGATGTAACCCTGGCTGCTTGCAACAGACGACACTCAGATGCAGGAGCAAAGAAATGATAAATGTGGAACTTATATTTAAACAGGAAGCATAACGTAAAAGGTTAGAAAATTGGCAGCCTAGCCATGTGGCAGAGAAAGAAAAGGCTCTTTTGGAAGAATAATTCAAGTAGGCTTTGTAGCAATGACTTGCTAGAGAAATTTGCATAACAAAAGGGAGCCAAGTGCTAATAACCAAGACAATGGGAAAAAGGCCTTGAAGGCATCCCAGAAATCTAAGACACAGGTCCTCTAGTCACAGGCCCTGAGGCCTAGGAAGACTAAATGGTTTTATGGGTCAGGCCCAGGGACCTGCTGTCCTGCACAGTCTTGGGCCACTGCTCTGTGCATCCCAGCTGCTTCAGTTCTAGCTGGGGCTTTAAAAGGTCCAGGTACAGCTTGAGCTGCCACTTTGGAGAATGCAAGCTATAAAACTTGGCAGCTTCCTCATGGTGTTAAGCCTGTAGGTGCACAGAATGCAAGAGTGAAGATCATTTTGCAGCCTCTGCTTAGATTTGAGGATGTATGAAAAAGCCTGGTTGCCCAAGCAGAAGCCTGCTGCAGGGGCAGAGCCCTCATAGATAACTTTTATTACGGCAGTAAAGAGGGAAAATGTAGGATAAGAGCCCCCACACAGAGTACCCACTGGGGCACTGCCTAGTCGAACTGTGAGAAGGGGGCCACTGCCCTCCAGACCCGAGAACGGTAGATCTACTGGCAGCTTGCACCCTGAATCTGAAAAAGCCACAGACACTCAATAACCTGTGAGAGCAGCTGTGGAGGCAGAACCCCACAAAGCCACAGGGGTGAAGCTGCCCAAGGCCTTTGGTGCCCATCCTTTGCACCAGTGTGCCCTAGATGTGGGACATAAAGTCAAAGGAGGTTATTTTGGAGCTTTAAGATTTAATGACTGCTCTGCCAGGTTTGAACTTGCATTGGGCCTTCAGTTCTTTTCTTTTGGCCGATTTCTCCCTTTTGGAATGGCAATGTTTACCCAATGCCTATACTCCCATCGTATTTTGGAAGTAAGTAACTTGTTTTTGACCTTACAGGCTCATAGGCGGAAGAGACTTGCCTTGTTTTAGATGAGACTTTGGACCTCTGAGTTAATGCTGGAATGAGTTAAGATTTTCGGGGACTGTTGGGAAGGCATGATTGTATTTTGCAATGTGAGAAGGACAAGATTTGGGAGGGGTCAGTGGTGAAATGATATAGTTTGGATATTTGTCCCTGTACAAATCTCATGTTGAAATGTAATCCCCAGTGTTGGAGGTGGGGTCTGGTGGGAAGTGGTTGGATCATGAAGGCAGAGCCCTCATGAATGACTTGGGACATCCCCTTGGTGATAAGTAAGCTCTCACTCTGAGTTAACACAAAATCTGGTTGTTTAAAAGTGTGTGGCACCCCGCATTGCCAAGTCAATCCTAAGCCAAAAGAACAAAGCTGGAGGCATCACGTTACCTGACTTCAAACTATACTACAAGGCTACAGTAACCAAAACAGCATGGTCCTGGTACCAAAACAGAGATATAGATCAATGGAACAGAACAGAGCCCTCAGAAATAATGCCACACATCTATAACTATCTGATCTTTGACAAACCTGACAAAAACAAGAAATGGGGGAAGGATTCCCTGTTTAATAAATGGTGCTGGGAAAACTGGCTAGCCATATGTAGAAAGCTGAAACTGGATCCCTTCCTTACACCTTATAAAAAAATTAATTCAAGATGGATTAAAGACTTAAACGTTAGACCTAAAACTATAAAAACCCTAGAAGAAAACCTAGGCAATATCATTCAGGACATAGGCATGGGCAAGGACTTCATGTCTAAAACACCAAAAGCAATGGCAACAAAAGCCAGAATTGACAATTGAGATCTAATTAAACTAAAGAGCTTCTGCATAGCCAAAGAAACTACCATCACAGTGAACAGGCAACCTACAGAATGGGAGAAAATTTCTGCAATCTACTCATCTGACAAAGGGCTAATATCCAGACTCTACAAAGAACTCAAACAAATTTACAAGAAAAAAACAAACAACCCCATCAAAAAGTGGGCAAAGGATATGAACAGACACTTCGCAAAAGAAGACATTTATGCAGCCAAAAGACACATGAAAAAATGCTCATCATCACTGGCCACCAGAGAAATGCAAATCAAAACCACAATGAGATACCATCTCACACCAGTTAGAATGGTGATCATTAAAAAGTCAGGAAACAACAGGTGCTAGAGAGGATATGGAGAAATAGAAACACGTTTACACTGTTGGTGGGACTGTAAACTAGTTCAACCATTGTGGAAGTCAGTGTGGCGATTCCTCAGGGACCTAGAACTGGAAATACCATTTGACCCAGCCATCCCATTACTGGGTATATACCCAAAGGATTATAAATCATGCTGCTATAAAGACACATGCACACGTATGTTTATTGCGGCACTATTCACAATAGCAAAGACTTGGAGCCAAGCCAAATGTCCAACAATGATAGACTGGATTAAGAAAATGTGGCACATATACACCATGGAATACTATGCAGCCATAAAAAATGATCAGTTCATGTCCTTTGTAGGGACATGGATGAAGACGGAAACCATCATTCTCAGCAAACTATCGCAAGGACAAAAAACCAAACACTGCATGTTCTCACTCATAGGTGGGAATTGAACAATGAGAACACTTGGACACAGGAAGGGGAACATCACACCCCGGGGCCTGTTGTGGGGTGGGGGGAGGGGGGAGGGATAGCATTAGGAGACATACCCAATGTAAATGACGAGTTAATGGGTGCAGCACACCAACATGGCACATGTATACATATGTAACAAACCTGCACGTTGTGCACATGTACCCTAAAACTTAAAGTATAATAAAAAAAAAGAAAAGATCAGATATATATTGTTCATAACTTTGTTACTCAAAGTGTGTGGAACTAGCACCACTCGCGTTCCCTGAAGCCTGCTAGAAATGCAAAATCCCAGGTCCCACCCTAGACCCACTGAACAGAAACTTTTAATAAAATAAAGGTCATTCATGTGCATGTTAAAGTTTAAAAAAAAAAAGTGTGTGGCACCTCCCTTCCACTTTCTCTCACTTGCTGCTTCTTTCACCATGTGATGTGCCTGCTCCCCCTTTGCTTTCTGCCATGACTGTAAACTTCCTGAGGCCTTCCTAGAAGCTGAGCAGATACCAACACCATGCTTTCTGTAAAGCCTGCAGAACCATGAGCCAATTGAGCCTCTTTTTTCCTAAATTACCCAGGTTCAGATATTTATTTATAGCAATGCAAGAATGACCTAATACGTTACATAACCATGCTGCTCTGTCATCCCACTACTAGATGTTTATCAAAGAGAAATAAAATCCTATATCCGAACAAATACTTGTATATAAATGTTCATAGCAGCTGTATTTATAATAGCCAAATACTGAGAACAATACAAATAGCCACCAAAAGATGAATGGATAAACAAATCATATTATATTCCTACTATGGAGGACTACTATTCAGCAATACAAAGGAAGAGATTATTAATACATGTAACAACATGAATGAATCTCAGAATAATTATGTGGAATAAAAAATGTTAGTTGAAAAACAGCATGCACTCTATATAATTTCATTTATGTAAACTTCTAGAAAATTGCATTCTAACCTATAGTGACAAAAATTACATAAATGATTGCCTGTGGGTTGGTGGCAAGAAGGAATTACAAAAAAAGCATAAGGAACTTTTGAGAGAGATAGATGTTTTTTTACCTCGAGTTGTAATGGTTTTACAGATTTATACATACGTCAAAACTCATCAAATTTTACACTTTAAATATATGCAATTTATTGTACACCAATTAGATCTCAAAAAGCTGAAAAAACATGTAATTATTTGAAACAAAAGTCATGACACTATATAATGTGAGGCTATTATTTATGTAGATATATTTGACAATAGCAAAAAAGACACGGGGGTGTATATGTAACTATACTGCTCCAAGGTCCTACATTTTAAGTTAAGTAGGACAATATTAACTTTAGATAGTATTTTGATAATTTAAGAATGCATTTTGCAAGCATTAAAGCAGCCTCAAAAAATACAAAAGTGGTATAGGTAAATAGCCAATAGAGGAATTAAAATAGAATGACAAAAATATTCAATTAACCAAAAGAAGACAGGGAAAACAAAGAACAGATGGGATAAATCTCAAAACAAATAGAAACTAGTAGAAATAAGATTAATCATATCAATAATTACATTAAATGTAAGTGAAGTAACACTTCAAATTAAAGTGAAGAGATTGTCATCCTGAATAAAAAAACAAGACTCAACTACAGATTGTTTACAAAAAGTATATAAGAATATGAACTAGTTATATGTAAAATGATGAGAAAAGATACGATGTGAACCATAAGCATAGGAAAACTGAAGTGTCTATATTAAGATTAAACAAAATGAACTCAAAAAAAGAGAATTATCACAGCTACAAAGGAACATTTTATAATGGTTAAAGGAAAAACCTAATAAAAGTATATTTGCTCAATAATTTAAAAATGGATACAGCAAAAATCAATAACATTAAAGGGAGAAATAGATAATTCTAAAATTATATTTTAATATCCCCTCTGAGTAATTAATAGAACTAAATAAAATATCAATAAAGATATAGAACTAGGGTGAGCAAAATTTTTCTATAAAAAGCAAGTCAGTATTGTAGGATTTTCAGGCCAATGTAGTCTCTGTCACATATTCTTTATTTTGTTTTACGTTTTTGTTTTTTACAACCCTTAAAAATGCAAAAACCATTCTAAGTTCATAGAATGTATAAAAACATGCTACACACCAGATTTAATCCACAGGCTACAGTTAGCTGACTTGATACAGAAGATCTGAATAATACTATTAGCCACCTTGATCTAATTGAGATTTTTTTTAACTGCAGATATACATTCTTCTCAAGTGTACATGGAATGTTCACCAAGACAGACCACATTCTGAACCATAAAACAAGTCTCAACACGTTGCAAAAGATCATACAGAGTATGCCCTCAGACCACAGTAGTTTTTTTTTAATTAGACATCAGTAATTTTAAGATATCTAGAAAGGTCCCAAACATTTGGAAATTAAACAATACTTTTCTAAATAACCCTACTTTGACCTACTAATGGGTCAAAGTAGGAATTACAGTAAATGTTAGAAAATTTTTAATTAAGTGATAAAATACAACATATCTAAATACAACACACTTAAAGCAGTGCTTAGGGAAATTTAATCTTTAATTGCTTATGTGAAAAAAGAAGAAAGAGAATGATTTAAAGAACAAGCAAAATATAAATAATTGGTAGGTAAAGGATATATGGGAGTTGTTAATGCTATTCTTACCACTTTTCTGTTACTTAAAAAGAAAATGGAAAGTTCACAAAATACTCTCAATTTAGTTATTCATATGTGAGGGTGAGAAGTCAAAACAGATAAACAAAATTGGCTCAAGATAGTAGACTATTACTCTTTCTATCAGAAATCCCTAGAAATAGCCCCCCACCCCCCATAACAATATATACGAAGTTTTGGTAAAACACTGAGGATGACAGCAAACAAGAAAATTTCCTGTAACTAATAAAAGATAGAAATCATATTGGATGATATATACTGCGATAAGAATATAGAAAACCACAGTTAAAATAGTGATGCTCTAAATTCAAAATTCTCAGATCTGAAGAAGAATAATTAACTAATTAAATAATTCTAGAATCAGATTAACTAAAGAATAACTTCCCAAAGAGTAGGCTGGGTAGGTTAATTCCTCCTCTTCCTTGGCCTATATCAAGGTATAGGTTAGAAAGGTATTTCCCTCTGCATTAGTGGTTTGTAACATTGCCTGCACATGAAATCATCTGAGGCACTGAGGAACTTTAAACATTACTAAGCCTAGATTCTGATTTAACCAGTCAGACACGAGACCTGAGCATTAGACTTATGTTTGGTATTAAAGAAATAGCATAAACAGGAGAGAAATAAACTCGCCTTACAAAGCTTATTAATGTAGAGTAACTGAGGACTTTGGTCCTGGCACAAGAATTTGGACGTGGCTCAAAGGAACAGAAAAGAATATTAAAATGTAAATGAATTGGTATTTCAAGTAGGCTCTAAGTGGACTATTTAATAAACGGATCATTTGGAAAAAAAAAACCCATCATATTGGAATACAACTATGCTGTTTATAACAAAGAGTTAAATTTATATGGAAATTTAAAAATACTAGAAAAATACAGGTAGGTATTTTTATAATCTTAGTTAAGTCTTCACAAACACACCACAAAACTGAAACCCTAAAGAAAACATAATTTAAATGAACAAAATAAAAAATGTAAATTTATCTATAGAGACAATACATATTAACCAGTTAGCAATACAAGTAAAAGTGAGAATATATGTAGTATACATAAAGACAAAAAGGATAAACATTTTAAAAAATCATTATTTTGTAACAGGCAAATGGAAAAAGGACTTAAGTGTGTACCACTATAACATCAATCTATAAATCAAATGTTATTTTAAGGCCCTCACCAAAAACATAAATCATTAGAAAATTCTGCCTAATAAATAAATTAATTGATTTTTGCTACCTATTCCATTTGGCAGTATACAGAAACTTTACTTACTAGTTGATATATGTTCTTGACTGTCTGCAATTCTTTCCTTTACTGATTTTGCAGGTGCTTTTTTGCTACCATGAATGGTGGTTGTGGAGAGTTCTTTCAGTTTCCAGTGGATCCAAAAGCCTTTTTGAGGTTTTAAACCTGTTAATATAAAATACATATTTAGCCAAATAAATTTGGATTTTGAAAATACCTTTTAATTTGTCAAAGCATTTTTATGATAATTATACATTTCATCCTCACAACAAAAAAGTTCCTTTTTTGTTCCTTTTAAGCTGCGTAGGATTAGATAAGTCATCTAACCACTCTAAACATCTGTATCCTCAGCAATAAAAATGAGAATAACATAAATTATTTTGAAATATATGTTACAGTGTTGGTAAATGGGAAAGTATGACACAAATATGAACTAATATTATTATTAATATTATATGTTAACAATAATTATGACTATAACATGCTCATAAATGTAGCCAATATTTTCTCAGCGGTGAGTGTTCAATGAGGGTTATTCACTAGACTGAGCCATCAAATTGTAATTTTCTAAATGTTTTTAGATACAGTTATCACTTATTTAGCAGACTTCAGTTTGATTCACTTGAGTGCTTCTAGATAGATTGCCTATGTTTTAAAATATTGTGCATTAATAGAAAAATTGAAGTATAGTAAGGCCAACAGATCAGCAGATTGCGTTTAT
The DNA here is from genome assembly GCF_000001405.40 of Homo sapiens. Classification (NCBI taxonomy): domain Eukaryota; kingdom Metazoa; phylum Chordata; class Mammalia; order Primates; family Hominidae; genus Homo; species Homo sapiens. The sequence goes on from NC_000015.10 coordinate 49,508,905, forward strand.
AAAGATGGTTTATTACTCACAGTTCCCAAGAGTAGGGGGATGTCATGCCACAGGGGGCCACATGGGCAAGCCCTGGGGCCAGTCAGGAGGCAGAGAAAGAGGGGAGAACTGTGGGGGAGAGTCTTTATTGTGCTTTCCTTAGGAAGGAAGAGGCAAGGCAAGAAGGCCTATGATTGACTAGTTTAAATAATTTCAGTAGGCTTTAGTGCATAGGAGCTACCCCTATCTGGTACCTAGTCCTGGGATGATTTGGGCAGGTGGATAGTGACCCAGAGTGTAACAGCCAAATAAAGGAAATGGTTGTGTGTGACCTCTGAATTGGTTGGTTTGTTTAAAAATCAAAAAGCATTTAAAAAACATGCTCATGGGCAAGTTGCCTCTAGGAATTAACTAACCCTAGGAAGTGCAGTCCTTCTAGGGTCATCAAGGTCCCAGATGTCAAAGTATCAGAATATAGAAAATAAAATACATGGTTAATACTGTCCAGTATTGCATAAACCCTACTTGGTCCTGATATATAAAGAGAGAGAGGGATTACTATGTACCAAACTATGTGCTTGACACAAGGGGCGCAAAAGTCATTTCAATCTAGTCCCTGTCTGCCATCAAGGCAGACGTGAAATTATTTAACATGGTGCCTGATCCCTAGTAAGCACTTAATATAAGTTACTTTCACTGTTACTTTTTTTTTTTTTTTTTGCAAATTAGCCACTGGTTGATATCTGACTACATTCCAACATTATTTACAAGTTTTAATTCAAATTGGTCACAAAACATGAATTGTTCCAAAGAATGACATTAATATAGAGCCACAACACTCGAAATTTATCTTTTCACATTGCCAGTTTTAAAAAACTAAACTCTAGTAGGATCTATTCAAGTATTTCCTAGGAAATTGTTATCCTACAGGATTTAGAAACAAATGGCCCATAAAATAAAGGAGCTAAAAACCTAAAATGTCTTTGCAATTATTTGGTAACTTACATATATTCTAATTTTCATTTTTCATTTTATAAAATTTATACAGACATACAATTTAAAGAGTGAAATTATATGTGAAACTATTTGTTTAATTTCCAAAGTCCCATAGTTCCTCACACATCCCCAAGACCATATCTTGCTTCCCAGAAACAACTATCTTTATCTGGGACCCATAACCATAGCACACACAAAAAAGGGCTATATTGTTACATTTTGATGTATTAATTTTAGGCATTCTATTGACGTCCAACTAGGGAAGATAAAGATTTAACGATCTTTCACCATCCTATCCCATTATCACCACATACAAGCTAACTTTCTATTCTTTACATAATATCAACTGTTATAATTTTCATTGTGTGAATATCAGCATTTACATTATTGTAACTATGTAAAATCTTGTTGACAGCTGAACCAGTTTTCTCTTTTTGAATATAGAGAATAATGTGGACAATTGAGACTTTAAAAATGAATCTGCTATACTTATTTTCTTAAGAAAATTTTTTTATCTGAAGTTAATAATTGTTGGATGTTTTTGTTTTCTTATGTTCTATGTACTTATAATTAACTTAGCTCCAAACTGCTCCCCCCACTATTGTCTAAATTGCCTTTGAATACATTCAGATGCATTAGAGATGCTTTCAGTTTAATATTCTTGGAGACATCTCTCCCAAAGCCTGCCAATGTGCTCGAATCTGAACAAATTTTTTCATTAGGCCTGTGCAGTTATCATTTAGGGAGCTCCCTTCACCAGTATTTTGGAGATTCAATTTACATGTCTCATGTGTTAAAGCCTCCATTTCTTGACTCTCATCTTAACCTCTTCATTAATTTACGCCTTATTTTGGTGGTTTTTTTTCTCCAATAACTTGATGAGAAAAGATGTATATAAGTTAACAATGCCTTCAGTTCATCTTTACACTTACTTGACAAATTGGTTGGGTCTAGGGTCCTAGGTTATAAATAATTTTCCCTTAGAATTTGTAAGACATTGTTCCATTCTCTTCCATCTTTCAAAGCTGCTGTTAAGAGGGATGATACAATTCTGTTTCTTAATCTTTCTGTTCTCTGGAAGTTTTTTTTTTTTAGCATTTTCTTTTTGTTCTCTGGGTTCTGAGGACTCACAATTTACTGTGGCATACAGCAATTTTTATCCATTGTCCTAAGCACTAGATAACCTCTTTCAAACTAGAAACTCAAGTTTTTCAAGCATGGAAAACTTTTTGAAGTAATTCTTTGATTATTTCTTTGCTTTCTCTCTGTTTTCTCTTTTTGAATATAATATAGAGAATTGAGATGTCAAAAACAAAAAGGCTTCTGAAGGGTTAGTTTCTTCCCATTTGAGATGGATGCTTAAACAGATCACTGTGGTCTTCAGTCTTTATTCTTTTTTGAAAATACACATTAAAGGCCATAAATTACCTTCCAAGAACCTTAGCTATCATCTTATATATTTTGAGACATAGTATTTATTCTTGTCAACTTGTTCAAAACTAGTTTCCATTTCTCTAATTTCCATTATGATATCTTCTTTGAAGATTGAGTTAGTAGGCACATATTTCTTATTTTATTTTTTCATTAACTTTTAAGTTCCAGGGAACATGTGTGGATGTGCAGGTTTGTTATATAGATAAACGTGTACTATGATGATTTGCTGCACAGATCCCCATCACCTAGGTACTAAGCCCAGCAACCATTAGCTATTCTTCCTGATGCTCTCCCTCCCTCTGCATCCCCAATAGGCCCTAGTGTGTGTTGTTCCCCTGCATATGTCCTTGTGTTCTTATCGTTCAGCTCCCACTTATAAGTGAGAACATGCAGTGTTTGGTTTTCTGTTCCTGGGTTAGTTCAGGAAAACAGCTTCCAGATGCATCCATATCCTTGCAAAGGACATTATCTCGTTCCTTTCTGTGGTTGCATAGCATTCCATGGTGTATATGTACCGCATATCCTTTATCCAGCCTATTACTGATGGGCATTTGGGTTGATTCTATGTCTTTGCTATAGTTAACAGTACTGCAATGAACACACATGTACATGTCTTTGTAACAGAATGATTTATATTTCTTTGGGTACGTACCCAGTGATCACAATGCCTCTCCAGCAAGGGAACAGAACTGGGTGGGGGCTCAGATAGATGAGCATGTTATTAGGCACATATTTCTTTTTATTATTATTATACTCTCAGTTCTGGGGTACATGTGCAGAACATGCAGGTTTGTTACATAGTTACACACGTAGGCACATATTTTTAATTTTCAACTTACATAAAGACTTCCTATTTTTTGATCATAGTTTCTAATGCATTGCATTCAATGAATGATTCCATATGATTTAAATCTCTTGAAAGCTGGAAGTATTTGATTTTTGGCTGAATATAAAAAGAATTTTTATAAATATTTTGTGTTTGAAAGTAATGTATATTTTTCAATTGTAGTGTTCTATATGTATACATTACTTCATGTTTGTTAATCATGTTATTTAAATCGTTTATACCTGTCCTAGGTTTCATTTTTTTGCTCGCTTCTTCTATTAATTACTAAGAGTTGTACATTTCTTTCTGAATTATTTTTTGTCCCTTATCATTACCCACAATCTTCCAGAATTATTATGGCTATGCCAATAATTGAGATGATGTTCTTAGATTCATACGAATTCTTCGATAAGGTGCCTATTCAAATATTTATTTTTTTAATTATTTATTTATTTAACTTTACATTCTGGGATACATGTGCAGAATGTGCAGGTTTGTTACATAGGTATACATGTGCCATGGTGGTTTGCTGCACCTATGAACCTGTCACCTAGGTTTTAAGCCCTGCATGCATTAGCTATTTGTCCTGATACTCTGCCTTCTCTCACCTCACCCTCTCCCCACTCGACAGGCCCTGGTGTGTGTTTTTCTCCTCCCTGTGTCCACGTGTTCTCATTGTTCAACTCCCACTTATGAGTGAGAACATGAGTTGCTTGGTTTTCTATTCCTGTGTTAGTTTGCTGAGGATGATGGCTTCTAGCTTCATCCATGTCCCTGCAGAGGGCATGATCTGATTCTTTTTCGTGGCTGCATAGTATTCCATGGTGTATATGTAACACAAAATTTTCTTTATCCGGTCTATCATTGATGGACATTTGGGTTGGTTTCATGTCTTTGATATTGTGAATAGTGCTGCAATAAACATACATGTGCATGTATCTTTATAATAGAATGATTTATATTCCTTTGGGTATATATCTAGCAATGGAATTGCTGGATCAAATGGTATTTCTGATTCTAGATCCTTGAGGAATAGCCACACTGCCTTCCACAATGGTTGAACTAATTTCCATTCCCACCAACAATGTAAAAGTGTTCCTATTTCTCCACAGCCTCACCAACATCTGTTGTTTCTTGACTTTCTAATAACCACCATTCTGACTGGTGTGAGATGGTATCTTACTGTGGCTTTGATTTGCATTTCTCTAATGATCAGTGATGTTGAGCTTTTTTTGATACATTTGTTGGCCACATAAATATCTTCTTTTGAGAAGTGTCTCTTCATATCCTCTGCCCACTTTTTGATGGGGTTGTTTTTTTCTTGTAAATTTGTTTAAGTTCCTTGTACATTCTGGATATTAAACCTTTGTCAGATAGGTAGCTTGCAAAAATTTTCTCCCGTTCTGTAGGTTGCCTGTTTGCTCTGATGATCTCTTGCTGTGCAGAAGTTCTTTAGTTTAATTAGATCCCATTTGTCAATTTCAGCTTTTGTTGCAATTGCTTTTGGCAATTTCATCATTAAATCTTTGCCCATGCCTATGTCCTGAATGGTATTACCTAGGTTTTCTTCTAGGGTTTTTACGGTTTTTGGTTTTATGTTTAAGTCTTTAATCCATCTTGAGTTATATTTTTATATAAGGTATAAGGAAGGGGTCCAGTTTTAGTTTTCTGCATATGGCTAGCCAGTTTCCCCAGCACCTTATTAAATAGGGAATCCTTTCCCCATCGCTTGTTTTTGTCAGGTTTGCCAAAGATCAGATAGTTGTAGATGTGTGGTCTTATTTCTGAGGTCTCTATTCTGTTCCACTGGTCTATATGTCTGTTTTGGTACCAGTACTTTGCTGTTTTGGTTACTGTAACCTTGTAGGATAGTTTGAAGTCAGGTAGTGTGATGCCTCCAGCTTTGTTCTTTTTGCTTAGGAAGGCCTTGGCTATGTGGGCTCTTTTTTTGGTTCCATCTGAATTTTAAAGTAGTTTTTGCTAATTCTGTGAAGAATGTCAATGGTAGTTTGATGGAAATAGAATTACATTTATAAATTACTTTGGGCAGTATGGCCATTTTCACGATATTGATTTTTCCTATCCATGAGGATAGAATGTTTTTCCATTTGTTTGTGTCCTCTCTTATTTCCATGAGCAGTGGTTTGCAGCTCTCCTTGAAGAGGTCTTTCATGTCCCTTGTTAGCTGTATTCCTAGGTATTTTATTCTCTTTGTAGCAGTTGTGAATGGGAGTTTATTCATGATTTGGCTCTTTGCTTGTCTATTGTTAATGTATAGGAATGCTTGTGATGTTTGTATATTGATTTTGTATTCTAAGACTTTGCTGAAGTTACTTATCAGCTTAAGGAGTTTTGGGGCTGAGACTATGTGGTTTTCTAAATATAGGGTCATGTTATCTGCAACAGATACGACTTCCTCTCTTCCTACTCCATTTAAATATTTCACCCATTTTTAAATTGAGATGTTTGATTTCTTTTCAGTGAATTTTCAGCTCTTCATATGTCTCAATACCAATCTTTTATTATAAATATGATACGCCAGTGTTTTCTTCCAGGCTGTGAATTTTCTTTTCATTTCTATTAACAGTGCCTTCTGAGTAACAGAAGTTCTTAATTTTGATTAAATCCAATTTGTCAAGATTTTTCTTTTATGCACTATGCTTTTGATGTCTTAGCTAAGAAATTGTGCCTAACCTATTGTCACAAAAATTTCTTTCATGCTTTCTTCCAAAAGTTTTATAGTTTTAAGTTTTACACTTAGGGCTATAATCCATTTCAGTTAATTTTTGCATAGGTTAGAAGATTTGAATCAAAGTTTATTTTTCAACTTATGAATAGCCACGAGCTCCAGGACAAATTTTTGAAAAGACCACTCTTTTCCATTTAGGAAGATCTCAGCCATTACCTTCTCAAATATTTCTTTTATAATATATTCTCTCTTTTCTCCTTTAGGGATTCCAATTACATATATGCCTGACAGTTTGAGGTTGTCTTACAGGTCTTGGATGCTCTGTTCTGTATTTTTCACTCTTTTTTCTCTCTGTGTTTCAGTGTGGGTAATTTCTCTGATCTATGTTCAAGTTAATGGATTCTTTCCTTGGGTGTGACAAGTTTATGTGATAAGTTTGTCAATGACATTCTTCATCTCTGTTCATGTGTTTCTCATTTGATCCTCTTAGAGTTTTCAATGTCTCTGCTGAAATTACACATCTAAGTATGCATGTTGCGTACCTTTTCCACTAAAGCCTTTCACATATTAATTATGGTTATTTCAAATTTCCTGTCTGATATTCCAATCTATGAGCCTTACCTGAAACTGATTCTGTTGATTGCTTTTTCGCTTGACAGTGTTTTCTTTTTCTATGGCTTTTTTGCATACCTTATAATTTTTGTTGAAGACCAAATATATTATGCAGTGTAGTAAAGATGAGGTAAGTAGTTTTAACGCCTGAAAATGGGCTGCTTCTTTTGCTCAAATTTAGTGTGAGAAACTGACCAAATCTAGTCTAGAATGAACTGTGTTTATGTTTTCTTGTTGCTATTATTACTTTTAGTACTGCATATGCTTCAAATTCCTCTTAGGATGGGAACTATTATTCCAGAAGTGTTTTGTTGTGTTTGTCTGTTTGTCTATCAACTTTAGATCTTCTCTTTGTGCCTTCTTCTCAAAAACAGTATTTTTATACACTACTTTCCCCTCTCTCAGAAATAAACTGCTGATATTTGTTAGTTGATGTTTGTTAGATGGGTGGCAATGGGATATCCTCCGTTGCCCTGAATCAGCTCAGTGATGGGCTATGTTCCTGTGTCTTGGAATGGGGTCTTCTCAATGATCCAGAGTTGCTCCAGCTGTAGCACACCTCTAATATTTTGGATCTGGTATGTAGTCCTGGCCTCACAAGTAGAGGGTTTTTTCTCTGCTTCTTTCTTGTAGGTAAATCAGGTCTTCACCAGTTCTTTAAGGACAATAGGGTTTGCTGTCCCCATGCCAAGACTTAAAAAAATTTTTTTATTGTTATTTTTTACATAGAGTAGGGGCTTTATCCCTTTCCTTCAGTGACTGCTCTTCCATTCTCCCAGACATTCTCAGGATTGTCACACTATCCCTAAGCTTTCTTATGAGGTCCATGGTGTAAAACATAAATGTAGGGCAACTTCTCTTTTATCCGCACACTAACCTATGCTCAGCTTTTAGCAATTCACTAAAAATTTCTGCTAAATTGTTATTACTTGATTTTATGGCAAAGTACTGCATCTCCTCCAGGTAAACAAGGCTTGCATCCCCTCTCTGCTTGGTGGCTACTTTTTAAAAATAGATTTTGGATTGGTGCCTACAACTTCTGATGGGTTCAGGAAAGGTTTTGAAATTGCAGATAGTTCAGTGATTTTTGGTAGAAGGGAGGGAGCAATATATTTTTAGCTATCTAAATCCTAGGCAGAAGCCATAAGTAATGGCACAGGTTTTAATTTTACTTTTTGTAAGGCTGGGATGTGGAATTCAGTCATAAAGGTTGTGACATAGTCTAGCCAGTTATACAAAACCTTAATGTGTCTCTGTGGTGGGCAGAGGCAGTCTTCAAAATCACCCATGTTCTAATCCCCCAAAACTATGAATATGTCTTGTTATATGGTGAAGGGGACTTAAGGGAGAAGACAGAATTAAGTTTGCTAATTGGCTGACCATAAAATAGGGTGATTATATTGTTCAGGCAGGCTCATTGAATTCACAAGAATCCTTAAATGTGGAAGAGAAAGGCAAAGCAGTCAGTGTCAAAGTGATGTGATATGAGATCAGACACTTATGACTCTGAAAATGGAAAAGGGCTATAAGGCAAATGCAGAGAGCTTTTAGAAGCTACAAAGAAACAGATTCTCCCAAAAAGCCTCTAAAGGAACACATCTCTGTCAATATCTTGATTTTACTCCAGTTGGACTTCTAACTTCCAGAACTGTAAGATATACATTTGTGTTGTTATAAATCACTAAATGGCAACTTGTTAAAGCAGCAATAGAAAACTAATACAGCCTCTTGTGATCCTTTTTTTCTCTTATTGTGTATAAGTCACTTAGGCAATGAAAATTTTAGTTGTGAAAAAATGAACCAAAACTAAAGCCAGTTGTTAATGAAATTAATGGAACTCAGTATACTGTAAACAGCCTAAGAAAGTGATTACTTCATCCTGAAGAAGAATATATGATACATTAAAGAGAACATTGAATCTAGTATTTTAGATCTATAATACAAACATTTCCTCAACAAAGAAATAAAAATATGTTTTATAAAATTCTTTCAACAAGTGCTTTTGCCAGTGCAAAATAGTCACAAATAAAAGATAAAAATCTATTTGAGTCACAAATGTAAGTTGAGAAAATCATTCATGAGAATTAGACTCAGAAAACATGTGATTCTTGATGGATATAAACTGTAAGAGAAAGCAGTGTAAGAAAAATCTATACAAACATATTAATGATTAAATAAATCATAGAGGCTTTACTGCAGCTACTATTGCCTTTGTTTTCAACTTAACTTTTTGTAAATTCATATAAATATTCAAAAAATGAACAAATCATAAATGTATAGCTCAATTAATTTTTTACAAATTTAATATATAGTGCTCACATAACCAGCACCTAGGAGTCCTCTGTTCTAGTTACTACCCATTCCAAGGGTAACTATTAGTCTCACTACTAACACAATAGATTAGTTTTATAGATGTTGACCTTTATATAAATAGACTCATACAGCATCTACTCACTTGTATCTGGCTTTTTCTTTTTGTTTAACTAAGTTTGTGTGATTTAACCATATTGTTGTATATAGATATAATTTGTTCACTCTTATTTCTGGTAATATTTCATTGTATGAATATTCTGCAATTTACGTAAACTTCATATTACTGATGGGCATTTTTACAGTTTCTGTCTTGATGATTATAGACAGGCCTGATATGAACATTTTGCTCTTTTTTCCGTGTACAGAAATGTGCACATTTCTATAGGGCATGTACCTGGAAGTCATACATATTCTGTGACAAAAGTATGCATATGCTCAGCTTTAGTAGATATTGGCAGTTGTCCAAAATTATTGTATTAACCTGCACTCTCACCAGCATGGTTATCTTTTATCTTAAAAAATATAGGTCTGTGTTTTTATAGGATTTTAAGATGGCTGCCTATGGTGGTTGAATGCCAGTACTCCTCAGAAAGATTAAAGTTACAGGTTGATGGTCATGACCTGAGTGAAAAGCTAAGGGAATTATGCTCAAAACTGTTGGGAGAACACTGTATTAGTTCAATTTCATACTGCTATGAAGAAAATACCCCAGACTGGGTAATTTATCAAGAAAAAAGAGGTTTAATGGACTCACAGTTTCACACGGCTGGGGAGGCCGCACAATCATGGCAGAAGGCAAAGGAGGAGCAAAACTAGGTCTTACCTGGCAGCAGGCAAGAATGATCACGTTCAGGGGAACAGCCCTTTATAAAACCTTCAGATCTCAGGAGACTTATTCACTATCATGAGAACAGCATGGAAAAAAAAACACTCCCATGATTCAATTATTTTCCACTGGGTCCCTCCCATAACACATGGGGATTATGTGCTACAATTCAAGATGAGATTTGGGTGGGGGACACAGCCAAACCATATCATTCCATGCCTGGCCCCTCCCAAAACTCATGTCCTGACATTTCAAAATACAATCATGCCCTTGCAACAGTCCCCCAAAGTCTCAACTCATTCCACCATTAACTCAAAAGTCTACAGTCCAAAATCTCATCTGAGACAAAGCAAGTCTCTTCTGACTATGAGCTTGTAATATCAAAAGCAACTTAATTACTTCCTAGATAAAATGCGGGTACAGGCATTTGGTAAATACACCTGTTCCAAATGGGAGAAGTTGGCCAAAGTGAAGGGGCTACAGGCCCCATGCAAGTCTGAAATCCAGCAGAGCAGTCAAATCTTAAAGCTTCAAAATGATCTCCTACGACTCCATGTCTCACATCTACATCATGCTGATGCAAGAGATGGGCTCCCATGGCCTTGGGCAGCTCCACCCCTGTGGCTTTGCAGGGTACAGCTTCCCTCTTGGCTGCTTTCATGGGTTGGCATTGAGTGTCTGTGGCTTTTACAGGCACATGGTGCAAGCTGTCAGTGGAGCTACAATTCTGGGGTCTAGAGGACAGTGGCCCTCTTCTCACAGCTCCACTAGGCAGTACCCCCGTGGGGACTCTATGTGGGGACTCTCACCCCACATTTCCCTTTCACACTGCCCTTGCAGAGGTTCTCCATGAGGGTTCCACCCCTGCAGCACACCTCTGCCTGGATATCCAGGCATTTCCATACATCCTCTAATTTCTAGGCAGAAGGTACCAAACCCCAATGCTTAACTTCTGTGCACCCTCAGGCTCAACACCATGTGTAAGCCACCGAGGCTTGCACCCTCTGAAGCAATGTCCTGATCTGTACATTGTATTTTGGCTCCATTTCATCCATGGCTGGGACACAGGGCACCAAGTCCCAAGACTGCACAAAGCAGCAAGGCCCTGGACCCAGCCCACAAAACCACTTTTTCTTCCTAGGCCTCAGCTTGTGATGAGAGGGGCTGCTGTGAAGACCTCTGACATGCCCTGGAGATATTTTCCCCATTGTCTTAGCAATTAACAGTTGGCTCCTCATTACTTATGCAAATTTCTGCAGCTGGTTTGAATTTCTCCTCAGAAAATGGGCTTTTCTTTTCCGTCGCATTATTGGGCTGCAAATTTTCTGAACTTTTATGCTTGGCTTCCCTTTTAAACATAAATTCCAATTCCAAACCATATATTTGTGAATACATAAAGCTGAATGCTTTTAAGAGCACCCAAGTCACATCTTGAATGCTTTGCTGCTTAGAAATTTCTTCTGCTAGATACTCTAAATCATCTCTCTCAAGTTCAAAGTTCCACAGATCTCTAAGGTAGGGGGAAAATGCCATTAGTCTCTTTGCTAAAGAGTAGCAAGGAACACTTTTGCTCCAGTTTCCAATAAATTCCTCATCTCCGTCTGACACCACTTCATCCTGGACTTTATTGTCCATATCACTATCAGCATCAAAATGCTGACAGTTAAAGCCATTCAACAAATCTCTAGGAAGTTCCAAACTTTCCCACATCTTCCTGTCTTCTGAGCCCTCCAAGTCTCCAGGAAGTTCCAAACTTTTCCACATGTTTATGTTTTCTTCTGAGCCCTCCAAACTGTTTCAACCTCTCTGCCTGTTATCCTGTTCCAAAGTTGCTTCCACATTTTTGCGTATCTTAATAGTACCCTGCTCTCCTGGTGCCAATTTACTGTATTAGTCTGTTATCATACTGCTGTGAAGAAATACCTAAGACTGGGTAAATTATAAAGAAAAAGGAGGTGTAATTAAACTCACAGTTTCACATAGCCAGGGAGACCTCACAATCATGGTGGAAAGCAAAGGAGAGCAAAGGCACATCTTACATGGTGGCTGGCAAGAGAGAGCATGTGCAGGCGGAGCTGCCCTTTATAAAACCATCAGATCTTGTGAGACTTATTTACTATCATGAGAACAGCGTGGGAAAAACTCATCCCCATGATTCAATTACCTCCCATCAAGTCCCTTCCATGACACATGGAAGCTACAGTTCAAGATGAGATTTGCGTGGGGACACAGCCAAACCATATCAAACCCCCAGGAAGAAGCTGGGCCACAGGAAAGGAAGACAGCAAGAGTCTGGTAGAGATTGATGCCTGGAGAACTTGAAGTCCCAGTGAAAGGATAGGTGGAAATATTTCTTTGCTCCCCTCACCCCAAGACAGACTACTGACCACTGAATTGTCAGAGTCCCTCTTCCCTTGTGAGCACAAGCAATGCTGTTGGAAGTGATATGGGAACTTCCTGGGGGTACAGCACAGGGCAGCCAGATTGTGCATGTGTGTTCACGCTCCCCTCAAACCTGAATTGAGGTGGTGGGTGCCATACTGCTTGTACACTTGTTATGGGACACTGTCTCATCCAGGGAATCTTAGCCCTGTGTTGTTGCATCACCAGATCATCTGGAAACATGCTCTGGAACACACTCTGACTTTGGCAATCACAGGGGACCAGCCAGACGCTAGGGAGCTGTGGGATTCCTGGAGACCTAGCCCTTAGCATGGGCTGCCCCAAGGAAAAGGGGCAGTGCAGCCCATTAAAGTGCCCTTTGAAACAAAGGAAACATGGGTGTGTGGTGATCTCTGAAAGGGGCAATGTTGTTCTGCCTAGCAAAAGGGCAGCAACTAGTGGCTGACAATGGACATGGAGGGGGTTCATCTCTTACTCCCCTTGTCTACAGCTGTGGACATAGCCAAGGCTTTCCCCACTGGGAACTAAAGCAAACAAACTTGGAGACAGCCTTTCCTATGCTATTTGTGTTCAGTTACACCTCCCTGAAAGTGTGCCTGCTGCCACCTGAGCTTGCACAAAGGGAGGGCTTATCTCCCCTTCCTGCAAAAGAGTGCAGACCAGCTGCAGAGCTGTTTGGAGCTGGGGAGAGAGTTTCTTCCCCAGGCCATTTTGGTAGCTACCAGATGGGTGTTTTCCATGGACCTAGTCACATCGTGGTCTCCAGATAAAGAACAGAATCTATTTTAACTGAAGCTTGCAAGCCCTATGACAGGGGCATGATAGGAAAGCAAATTATATTTCTACCTGCCAAAGATGAGGAGATGGTGCAGCCCCCACGCCATTTCTCCACCCCAGACCTCAGCACATTCAACCATGAACTCCCTCCACCACCCCTATCAGGGCGGCATTTCCACTCATTATCAAGATACTGGAGGGTGATCTGGCTTCCAGTCTTAAGCACCACCTACTGTACTGGGAACTGAACTGCACCACCAAATAACCTGCTGAAGCACACCATGCTAGGGCAGGAGATAAGCTTCCTAAGACATCCACACTCTCAGCCACACAGAAGACAGTGAGTCAGTTCATACACCCAATACACAGCTACAACAGGAGCCATTTGAGAAAATCATGTCCAAAAGCTATCTATAAGCAAGGAACCCGTAACAGTGTCTTAGCCCCTGGAGATCACCCAGGAACAAACCAAAATGATCATACACAACATACACTACAGTCAGAAACACAAAGGAGAAAAGAATAAAAAATTTAGAAGTCCCATCTAAATGATAGCAAATTTAAAAATAAGAAGTGATAGCTTCTTCAGTTGAGAAGGATTCTGTGCAAAAACTCTGGAAGCAAATAAGACAGAGTGTTTTGACATCCCCAAAGGAATCACAGTCATTTCTCTAGCAATGGATATGAACCAAATGAAAATTCTAAAATGACACATAAAGAATTCAAAATATGGATTGTAAGGAAGCTCAATAAGACCCAAGACAAAGTTGAAAAACAACACAGATAAAAAATTCAGAATATGAAAGATGAAATCGATATATTTTAAGGAACCAACAGAACTTCTAAAAATAAAAAACTCTCTGAAAGAATTTCAAAATACAGTTTAAAGCTTTAACAATAGACTAGACCAAGTAGAAGAAAAAAATTTCAGAGCTTGAAAACTAGTCTTTCAAATTAACTCAGTCATACAAAAATTAAAAAAAGAAAGAATTTTTTAAAATGAAAGAAGTCTTTAAGAGATATGGGATTACGTAAAGCAACCAAACCTATGACTTATAGACATTTCTGAGGCAGAAGAAGAAAAAGGAATTTGAAAACATATTTGAGGGAATAATTCAGGAAAATTTCCCTGATCTTGCTAGAGATGAACACATCCAAATACAAGAAATTCAAGGACACCTGGGAGATTCTATACAAAACAAGCTTCACTAAAGCATACAGTAATCAGACTCTCCATCTCTACTCTCCATACAGTACTCAGACTCTCTTTCTTTTACTCTCTTCAATGTGAAAGAAAAAATCTTAAGAGCAGATGTAGAGAAGTAGCAAATCAGCTATAAAGAAAATCTCATCAGACTAACAGCAGACTTCTAAGCAGAAACCTTGAAGCTAGAAGAGATGCTAGAAGAGTGAGCCTAGGGTTAGTCTTCTTAAAGAAAACAAAAAGCCAGCTGATATGGTTTGGCTGTGTCCCCACCCAAATCTCATCTTCAATGCCCACATGTTGCAGGAGGGTTGCAGTGGGAAGTAATTGAATCATGATGGTAGGTTTTTCCCTGCTGTTCTTGGGATGGTGAATAAGTCTCACAAGATCTGATAATTTAAAAAATGGGAGTTTCCCCGCACAAGCTCTCTCTTTGCCTGCTGCCATCCATGTAAGAAATGACTTGCTTCTCCCTGCCTTCCACCACGATTGTGAGGCCTCCCCAGCCATGTGGAACCCTAAGTCCATTAAATCTTTTTCCTGTATAAATTACCCAGTCTCGTGTATGTCTTTATTAGCAGCACAAAAGCAGACTAATTCAGTAAATTGGTACCGGTATAGTGGGGTGCTGCTAAAAAGATACCAAAAAATGTGGAAGAGACTTTGGAACTGGGTAACAGGCAGAGGTTGGAACAATTTGGAGGGCCCAGAAGACAGGAAGATGTGAGGAAGTTTGGAACTTCCTAGAAATTTGTTGAATGGCTTTCACTATCAGCATTTTTATGCTAATAGTGATATGGACAATGAAATCCAGTCTGAAGTGGTCTCAGATGGAGATGAAGAACTTGTTGGAAACTGGAGCAAAGGTGACTCTTGTTATATTTTAGCAAAGAGACTGGTGGCATTTAGGCCCTGCCCTAGAGATCTGTGGAACTTCGAACTTGAGAGAGATGATTTAGGTTATTTGGCAGAAGAAATTTCTAAGCAGCAAAGCATTCAAGATGTGACTTGGATGCTGTTAAAAGCATTCAGTTTTAAAGGGAAACAGAGCACAAAAGATAAAAAAAATTGCAGCCTGATTATGCGACAGAAACGAAAATCCCATTTTCTGAGGAGAAATTCAAGGCAGCTGCAAAATTTGCATAAGTAATGAAGAGCTGAATGTTAATCCCCAACAGAATGGGGAAAATGTCATCAGGGCATGTCAGAGGTCTTCATGGCAGCCCCTCCCATCACAGGCTTGGAGGCCTAGAAGGGAAAGATGGTTTTGTCAGCTGGGCCCAGGGCTCCCTGCTCTGTGCAGCCTAGGGACTTGGTTTCCTGTGTTCCAGCCACTCCAGTCATAGCTAAAAGGGGCTCGAGTGGTTTGTTCAGGGGGTGGAAGCCCCAAGCCTTGGCAGCCTCCATGTGGTGTTGAGCCTGCAGGTGCACAGAAGTCAAGAATTGAGGTTTGGGAACGTCCGCCTAGATTTCATAGGATGTATGGAAATGCCTCGATACCCAGGCAGAAGTTTGCTGCACGGGAGGGACCCTCATGGAGAATCTCTGCTAGGGCAGTGCAGAAGGAAAATGTGGGGTCAGAGCCCCCACAGAGTCCCTATTGGGGCACTGCCTAGTGGATCTGTGAGAAGATGGCCACTGCTCTCCAGTCCCCAGAATGGTAGATCCACTGACAGCCTTCACTGTGCACCTGGAAAAGCCACAGACACTCAACGCCAGCTGGTGAAAGCAGCCTGGAGGAGGGATATACCCTGCAAAGCCACAGGTATGGAACTGCCCAAGCCTGTGGAAGTCCACCTCTTGCATCAGTGTGACCTGGATGTGAGACATGGAGTCAAAGGAGATCATTTTGGAGCTTTGAGATTTGACTCCCCCACCAGATTTCAGACTTGCATGGGGTCCGTGGCCCCTTTGTTTTGGCCAATTTCTCCCATTTGGAATGGCTGTATTTACCCAACGCCTGTACTCTAATTGTATCTAGGAAGTAACTAACTTGCTTTTGATTTCACAGGCTCATAGGCAGAAGGGGCTTGCCTTGTCTCAGATGAGACTTTGGATTGTGGACTTTTGAGTTAATGCTGAAATGAGTTAAGACTTTGAGGGACTGTTGGGAAGGCATTATTGGTTTTGAAATGTGAGGACATGAGATTTGGGAGGGAATCGGGGTAAAATGATATGGCTTGGCTGTGTCCCCACCCAAATCTCATCTTGAATTCCCACATGTTATGGGAGGGACCCAGTGGGAGGTAATTGAATCATGGGGGCAGGTTTTTCCCTGATGTTCTTGGGATAGTGAATAAGTCTCATGAGATCTGATGGTTTTAAAAATGGGAGTTTCCCTGCAAAGTTCTCTCTTCGCCTGCTGCCATCCATGTAAGACATGACTTGTTCCTCCTTGCCTTCTGCCATGATTGTGAGGCCTCCACAGCCATATGGAACTGTAAGTCCATTAAACTTAAGTACATTAAACCTTTTTCCTGTATGAATTACCCAATCTTGGATATGTCTTTATTGGCAGCATGAAAACAGACTAATAAACCAGCCAATCATTTTATATGCTGCAAAATCGAGCTTCCTAAATGAAGGAGAAATAAAACACTAAAGTAATTTGTCACCATTAGACCAGTTCTACAGGACCTGCCTATAACAGACCCATCAAATGTGTACAGATACCTAGAGACTCAAAGTTAAAGGGTGGAGAAATATATATATATATATATATATATATATATATATATATATATATATATATATATCACAAACAGAGCACAAAAATGAACAGGAGTAGTACTCTTACATCAAATAAAGCAGACTTTAAAACAACAATGGTAAAAAAAAAGACAAAGAAGGATATCATATGATATTGAAGGGTTCAATTCAACAAGATTTAACGATCTTAAATATATATGAAGCCAACAATGGAGCACAAAGATTCATAAAACAAAGAATAATAAACCTTAGAAAAGAGATGGACAGCAATACAGTAATAGTGGAGGACTTCAACACCCCACTGACAGACCTAGATACCATCAAGGTAGAAAATCAAGAAAGGAACTCTGGACTTAAACTGGACTCTAGACCAAACGAACCTAATAGACATTTAAAGAAGATTCTACCCAACAATTGCAAAAGAAACATTTTTCTCATCAGCATATGGAACATTCTCCAAAACTGACCAGATGCTTAGCAATAAAGCAAGTCTCAATAAATTTCGAAAACTGAAATTGTATCAAGTATCTTATCAGACCACAGTGGAATAAAATTAAAAATCAATCCTAAAATGAACTCTCAAAGTTACACAAGTACAGGGAAACGAAACAACTTGCTCCTGAAGGACTTTTGGGTAAAAAATGAAATTTGGGCAGCAATAAAAAAATTTTGAAATCAATGAAGCAGACACATAATATACCAAAACATCTAAGATATGGTAAAATCTGTGCTGAGAGTAAAGTTTACAGTGTTAAATGCCAACATCAAAAATATCGAGATCTCAAATTAACAACCTAACATTTACCCCAAGGAACTAGAAAAACAAGAACAAACTAAACCCAAAGCTACAAGAAGAAAATAAATAACAAAGATAAGAGCAGAAGTGAATGTAATTGAGATTAAGAAAGTGATACAAAACATTAATGAAATGAAAAGTTGGTTATTTGAAAGGAGAAACAAGATTGATAGACCATTAGGTAGATTTGCCAAGCAAAAAAGAAAGAAGATTCAAATAAGCACAGTCAGAAATGGTAAAACTGACTTACCACTGATATCAGAGAAATACAAAGGATCATCAGAGACTATTTTGAACATCTCTATGTGTACAAACTAGAAAACCTAGAAGAAATGGATAAATTTTGTGGAATATACAACCTCCCATGATTGAACCAGGAAGAAATAGAAATTCTGAACAGATCAAG